>NC_000021.9:29265032-29894954 GCF_000001405.40 Homo sapiens
TTTTGAAGTACTTCCACTCCTCAGTGATGATTTCTGTACTGCCAAAGAAGACCAAGCAGAGGTTAGTATGGTGGGGAGGGGTAGGGTGTGTGCATAGAAAGATGTTCTCCAGTTCTTTCTCCAGTTACCAGGTTGTGGATTGAATAATGTGATTAATATACTGGAATTCATTTTGTATATAGTTACATATATAATATATATTATATATTTATATGTATACATCTTTTCCCAATGAAAGAAAAACATACATTTTACTTAAATTTCCACATCTATTTTTCCTATTATTTCATTATAAATGTGTTCATTAAATATTCTTTGATCACAAGATTTAACACATCACATGTAAACAGCAACAAACCTGTAAACAAGAACTATTTAAGAGGTAAATTTAGGTCGGTGTGGTGGCTCACGCCTGTAATCGCAACACTTTGGGAGGCCAAGGTAGGTGGATCACTTGAGGTCAGGAGTTCGAGACCAGCCTGGCCAACATGGTGAAACCCCATCTGTACTAAAAATTCAAAAATTAGCTGGGTGTGATGGCAGGTGCTGTAATCCCAGCTACTCAGGAGGGTGAGGCAGGGGAATCACTTGAACCCAGGAGGTGGAGGTTGCGGTGAGCTGAGATCACGCCAGCCTGGGTGACAGAGGGAGACTCTGCCTCAAGAGAAAAAAAAAGAGGTAAATGTAATACTTTTTGATTAACATGTGATACGGTTTGACTTTGTCCTCATCCAAATCTCTCCTTGAATTGTAATAATCCCCATGTGTCAAGGCCAGGCCAGGTGAAGATAATTGAATGATGGGGGCGGGGGTTTCCCCCATGCTGTTCTTGTTGTAGGGAATAAATCTCACGAGATCTGATGGTTTTACAAAGGGGAGTTCCCCTGCACATGCCCTCTTGTCTACTGCCACGTAAGATGTGTCTTTGTTCTTCCTCCACCCTTCTGCCATGATTGTGAGGCTTCCCCAGCAATATGGAATTGTGAGTCAATTAAACCTCTTTCCTTTATAAATTACCCAGTCTTAGGTATGTCTTTATTAGCAGCATGAGAACAGACTAATACAACATATTAAAACCTCACTGATGTAAATCCTAGACATTTTGATTTGAAATGAAACTTCCAACTTCAAACCTGACTGCATGTTAGGTTTGCCTGGCAGCTCTGGGACTATGGGGACAACAACCATCACCACCACCCCATGCCTGGGACTCAGCCGCAAAGATGGTGTTTTAACTGATGGGGGAGTTGATACTGTTTGAAACCTCCCCAGGGGATTCTAATGAGTCATCAGGGCTGGGAATCACTGGCCTAAAAAAGTAGAAGCACCTACTTGAATGGGACAATAAATACTTGCTGAAACAGATTAAGTACTCAGTACTTTAAAACCAATGCCCTTGGTCGGGTGTGGTGGCTTGTTTCTGTAATCCCAGCACTTCAGGAAGCTGAGGCAGGTTGATCACTTGAGATCAGGAGTTCGAGACCAGCCTGGCCAACATGGTGGAACCCTGTCTCTACTAAAAATACAAAAATTAGCTGGGCCTGGTGGCGGACACCTGTAGTCCCAACTTCTCAGGAGGCTGAGGCAGGAGAGTCACTTGAACCTGGGAGGCAGAGGTTGCAGTGAGCCAAGATCACACCACTGTGCTCCAGCTGGGGTGACAGAGTGAGACTCTGTCTCAAAAAAAAAAAAATCAATGCTCTCATCTGCACAGCATCCATGAAAGAATTTTCCTTTGGTCTTTAACCTTCCTCAGATGCTATCTCCTTCTCCAGACCTATTTGTCTCTAAAGAGTAGAGGCTGCTCAAAGTTTCTATTTCCTCCACTTCTTAATCCATCTCAAACAACAGTCATGATCTCCATCCTCCTGCAACTGATCTTATCAAGCCTCAATCAGTAATTCATTTACTGTATCTTAATATGTAATTTATAACTAATATATAACATCAATGTATATTGAAGACCTACCTGAAGACTGCAGTGGGTCATAAGAGGGCTATTGAATGCCTGAGTCTCTAGGAATTGATAAGATTATAGAGTTGAACAAAGATTTTAAAATTACCTTGTCCTGTGCTTCTCAAGATAATTTCATTTAGAGTGACACATCCCTTTATTTGGGAAGCTTATTTGAAATGTCAGCAGGTAATAAAAGAGAGGGTGGGGCTACTTTGTGTGGTATTGATGGTGGGGACAGAGCCCTGATTGCTGGGTTCTGTCCACCTTTCTGTCCACTGTTCCCTCAGAGATAGCCCTTAGAGATCTCCACAGACCCTCTGCATCTCTGCAAAGGACAGTTTGGAAACTACCCATCTAGTCTTGATCCCTTTCAGATACAACACAGGATATGTCTGCCACCTTAAGAAGCTTCTAGGTTTTCTTTCTGTTTCTTTTTTTCTTTTTTGAGATGGAGTCTCACTCTGTTGCCCAGGCAGTCTCCCAAGTAGCTGAGACTACAGGCGCCGCCACCATGCCCAGCTAATTTTGCTGAGACTACAGGTGCCTGCCGCCATGCCCAGCTGATTTTTGTATATTTAGTAGAGATGGGGTTTCATCGTATTGGCCTGGCTGGTCTCGAAATCCTGACCTTGTGATCCCCCCACCTCGGCCTCCCAAAGTGCTGGGATTACAGGCGTGAGCCACCATGCCTGGCCACTTCCAGGTTTTATAAGTAAAACACCTGTCAGTGTTAAAAACATTATAACTTATGAGCTCCCATTTACAATGTGTTTATTATTTGGCAGTCACCTTTCTATGTCACATGTAGTGACTTGTTTGGTCTCACAACAGTACTGTGACTGCAGTTATTATCACTCCCATTTTATTGATGAGTACACAGAAGCAGGAGGCTTTAATCTGCTTGCCAGTCACAGCTGGGGAATGTACTTATGAGCCCATGCTCTTAACTGGTAACACTTTGCCTTGTATTAATATATACAAGGATTCTGTCTGGTAGCCTGCACCACACAGACACCATGTCTTTGTGCATATACATTATTTAACCAACAGATCTTTAGTACTGGTGGCTCATTATTCATTAGTGGCAGATACTGTAGATACAGGAGTTAATGCCATGCTAGGAAGACAGACAACACACCTGTAAACAAATAAGGAAATAAGATGATGCAGTAGGGAAGAGCAAAGAAGAATATATGACGGTGAAGCCACAGGAGTTACCAGGGTGACGGTGCATCTTACTTCCTACAGGCTTGCTAGAACCTTGCCGCTCAAAGGGTGTCCAGCAGCCGGGGAGGATTGTGTCATATGAAAGGTTGTTAGAAACAAAGAATCTGGAGAATCACCTGAGACTTACCCCAGATTCAGAATCTGCATTTTAAGAAGCTTCCCAAGTGATTCATGTGCACATTAAAATGTGAGGGGCACTGAACAGCAGAGGGCATGTTTCTGTTGCTAACAGCCAAGATTCATTCTTTCTCTCCCCTGACCATTCACACACACACACAAACACAAAATATATGTACATAAATAAAAAATATGGACTTTGCATTTTGAAATGTTACATTGTAATATAAGAACAGTCCTGGCCGGGCGTGGTGGCTCACGCCTGTAATCCCAGCACTTTGGGAGGCCAAGGTGGGTGGATCACAAGGTCAGGAGTTTGAGACCAACCTGGCCAATATGGTGAAACCTCGTCTCTACTAAAAATACGAAAATTAGTTAGGCGTGGTCGCAGGCACCTGTGGTCCCAGCTTGGGAGGCCCAGGCAGGAGAATCGCTTGAACCCAGAAGGTGGAGGTTGCAGTGAGCCGAGATTGCACCACTGCACTCCAGCCTAGGTGACAGAGTGAGACTCTGTCTCAAAAATAAAGAAAAAAAAACCAAAATTCCTAATTTTATTTGCAGTGTATTCTCAGAAACTTCATCATTTAAAAACAGTATGTTATTAGACTAATGATATAATTGGGGGTTATTTGCTGATTCAACATGAAATAATTCATAGCACTGACTAAAAGGAACATAAAAGAAAAGCTAAGTAAAATTTCTATATATTCTTTTAAAATATGAAATTTAATGCTTCAACTCCAATAAAATGAGTAAAAAATACACTGTAAAGTTAAGTATATAAAGAACTTCAATTTGCTGTAAAAAAGATATATAGTATATAAATATGATTCCAGTGTAAATTTGCTTTAAATTAGGATGCCAATTATAAGCATTATTTAAACATTTAATTAAAATGACTGTATTTGCATTTTGATAAGAAAATTCATAATTTTCCAGGCCACTTTTATTTATTCGTTTATTATTTTTATAAAATTGTTTAAATTTTTAATATTTTGATACATAGTAGGTGTTTATGGGGTACATGAGGTGTTTTCATACAGGCATCCAATGTGAAATAATCACATCATGGAGAACGGGGGATCTATCCCCTCAAACATTTATCCTTTCAGTTACAAACAATCCACTTAAACTCTTTTAAGTTATTTTAAACTGTACAACTAAGTTATTATTGACTATAGTCACCCTGTTGTGCTATCAAATAGGTGTTATCCCCACTACTTTATTTGTATCCATTAAACATCTCCACCTCCCTCACCCACCAGTACCCTTTCTAGCCTCTGGTAACCATTTTTCTGCTCTCTATGTCCGTGAGTTCAATTGTTTTTATTTTCAGATCCCACAAATAAGTGAGAACATGTGACATTTGTCTGTCTGTTGTCCAGGCCACATTTAAAGACCATCTAGTTTTATTTCAACACATACAACCTTTTTCTCTGAGGACAAGTAACACTCAGAATCATCCTGATTATCTTAGAGTTTTCAGAAACTAGTACTCAGAGTACTGAGGTGTTATTTCAGCAAAGGTTGGTGGCACTTTTCTTACTAAAGACACTTAGAAAATAGAAACCACCCCAAATACCCCTACTTGGCACTGCCCAGCCTTTTCAGTTTCCTCAGAGATTTTGTATAGCAAAGGTCAATCAGAAGCCACTGGGGGAAGAAAAAAAAAAACTACCAAGGGACTCAAGTCCTTTCAAAGCCAGCTGAACAATCATCATCCCAAACAATAATCCCAGTTTGCCTAGGACTTTCCTGGGTTTAGCACTGAAAGTCCCAATTCCCAGGAACCCTCTCAGTTCCTGGAAAACTGGAATGGTTGGTCTCTCTAGGTCACTGGTACGGTTAGGCTTTCTATCCCCACCCACATCTCATCTTGAATTGTAATTCCCATCATCCCCATGTGGCAAAGGAGAGACTAGGCGGAGGGATCATGGGGGCGGTCTCCCCCATTCTGTTCTCGTGATAGTGAGTTCTCACAAGATCTGATGGTTTTATAAGGGGCTCTTTCTCCTTTGCTCAGCACGTCTCCTTCCTGCCATCTTGTGAAGAAGTGCCTTGCTTCCCTTTCACCTTCTGCCATGATTGTAAGTTTCCTGAGGCCTCTCCAGCCATCCTGAACTGTGAGTCAATTAAACCTCTTTCCTTTCTAAATTACCCAATGTTAGGTAGTTCTTTATAGCAGTATGAAAACGGACTAATACAGTCACTAAAGATTAATTTTTAAAAATGGGTTTCACAGAATTGTGACACAATATTGGGTTTTATTTTGCTACTTGCAAAGAAAATCCTCCCAAAATATTAAAACTCAACACCAAAGAGTATCAAATGTTAATTTAATAGTATCAAATGAATAGAACATGTATCTGGTAAAAAGAAAAACAGAAATTGCCATCGCCTTTTTCTTCCCTTTCTTAATATTGTGTTATAGCCTGTTTGGGAGAAAGCAGAAAAATAGACATTGCCTTTATGATTCACTAAACCACTGAGCTCCAAAATGGAGGTAAATGAAGCCAATATTAACAGTTCTATTTTTATTGATTTAATTTTGCTAAAACTGAATAATAGAAATTATGCTTTACTCATGTGTAATATACAGATTGATACTAGTGTCTTCAGTGGACCAGTAAGTCAGAATGCATACTTCTGGAGGGAGGATGGGGTGACATCGGTTCCTTCTGCCATTGGTTTATTTCTGAGAATCTTAGGGTGTATTATCAGTGACGTACTATACGAGGTCACCTTTGTGTTAATTTATAAAAATGAGACCTTTGAATATGTGATACTTTTTGAGATGGAATGTATTAATCAGCTTTTACTGTGTAACAAAGCATTTGAAAACTTAGTGGCTTGAAACAACAACTTTTATTCTTTTTTTTTTTTTTTGAGATGGAGTTTCACTCTTGTTGCCAGGGCTGGAGTGCAATGGCACCATCTTGGCTCACCGCAACCTCCGCCTCCTGGGTTCAAGTGATTCTCCTGCTTCAGCCTCCCAAGCAGCTGGGATTACAGGCATGCGCCACAATGCCCGGCTAATTTTTTTTGTTTTTAGTAGAGACAGGGTTTCTCCATGTTGGTCAGGCTGGTCTTGAACTCCCGACCTCAGGTGATCCACCCGCCTTGGCCTCCCAAAGTGCTGGGATTACAGGCGTGAGCCACCACGCCCTGCCAACTTTTATTCTTTCTCATGATTCTGTGTGAAGCCTGAACGAAAGCTGAGTGGTTCTTCTGATGTCCTTGTTTGAGGTGGGTTAAACTAGGACGACTTTATTACTTTATTAGTAAGTATGGCGGGCTGGGAGTGCTGGGACAATCCCCTATGCCACATGATCTCTCATCCTCTACCAGACTAGTCTAGATTTCTCTTTTTTCTTTTTGAGATGGAGTCTTACTCTCACCCAGGCTGGAGTGCAGTGGTGCAATCTCCACTCACTGCAACCTCTGCTTCCCAGGCTCAAGCAATTCTTCTGCCTTAGCCTCCTGAGTAGGTGGGATTACAGGGGCACACCACCACGTCCAGCTAATTTTTGTTTTTTTTTTTAATAGAGACAGGGTTTTACCATGTCAGCCAGGCTGGTCTCGATTTCCTGACCCCAGGTGATCTGTCCGCCTTGGCCTCCCAGAGTGTTGGGGTTACAGGCATGAGCCACCACACCTGGCCTAGTCTGGATTTCTTCACTTGCCGATTAATGAAGAGCAAACAGCAGAAAGAGAGAAAGCCACACGCCCTTTTCGAGCCTTTGCTTGCATCACGTTTGCTAATGTCTCATTGGCTAAGGCAAGTCACATGGCCAAGCCCAGGTTCAAAGGTTAGAGAAAAATACTCCGCCTTTTTCTTGTAGGGTCTGCAAAATCACATTGCAGGAATGGGTAGAATTTATGGCTATGTTGCAAGCAATCACAGAAGTGGAACTAGTAAACCATTAAAATGTTTTGCAACCCAGAAGTTCCTGGCTCAATTTCTGGCAAAGCATTTAAAAGATGTATTAAAAGATGGCATGCATGATACAAACAATCCAAATTTGCTGACTTTTTCTGTAAAGATAAATGGCTGTTAGAATCATGTTATGGAGCAAATATTTTGAGCAAATAAACACAGTCTGTCCTTTCAAAGTAAATATGACATTTCAACAATGTGTAAGAAAGCACTAATTTTTCAAAAGAAAATTATGGAAAAAAAAAGCCTTTCAAAATAGTTTGAAAATATTTCCAATGTGAACTTATTCTGTTTTAAAAATGGATGTTAATTAATCCTGTAATGCCAGCACTTAGGAGGGCTTAGGCAGGAGGATTGCTTAAGGCCAGGAGTGTCAGATCAGCCTGGGCAGCATAGAGAGGCCCCCAATCTCTACTAAAAATTTTAAAAAATTCACCAGGCATGTGGTGCGTGCTTGTAGTCCCAGCTATTCAGGAGGCTGAGGTGGAAGGATAGCTTGATCCCAGGAGTCTGAGGCTGCAGTGAGGCATGATTGAGCCACTGTACTCCAGCCTGGGCAACAAAGTGAGACCCTGTCTCTAGAATCTTTTTTTTTAAAAAAGGATATTGGATTATGCAAGAAAATCCAAGACATTCCCACCACTTATAGTTGTACTTTTTAAATGGATGTATTTTTTTTTTTTTTTTGAGACAGAGCTTCGCTCTGTTGCCCAGGCTGCAGTGCAGTGGCACAATCTCAGCTCACTGCAACTTCCACCTACTGAATTCAAGCGATTGTTGTGCCTCAGCCTCCTGAGTAACTGGGACTACATGCATGTGCCACCACACCCAACTAATTTTTGTACTTCTTAGTAGAGATGGGGTTTTGCCATGTTGGCCAGGCTGGTCTCTAACTCTTGGCCTCAAGTGATCTGCCCACCTTGGCCTCTCAAAGTGCTGGGATTATAGGCATGAGCCACAGTGCCTGGCCAAGGAACAGTAGATTAACATGAGATTAAACATGCCACATATTTTTAGGTTATCAATTATACTCAAAGATTCATAATAAAATATATTGACACAAAATAGTTATATATTGGAGTAACAGGCAAAAATAAAAAAGCAACATTTACAATGAAACATGAAACTTCAAATGAATTCTGAAGTTTTTGCCATATCTTCAGACTTGGTGAGGAGATGTGGGAATAGGTATAAGGTGAGACAAACTGCATTTTTATGTTTCTCTATCACTAGGGGTTCCTTCCCAGAAAAGCTTGTTTGAGATGTACTATCACCCTATAGGGAACTATCCTTACATATGTAATATCTTGGAATTGTCTGTTTGCCTATATGTTTTAGATACAATTTTTCTTTTAGTTTAGATTATGTTCTCCAGGACAGGGTTATATTTCTTAATTACTTTTTAGGATAATATAAGGTCATTATAGTTTTTAATTAATAAAAATTAAAAGTCTTGAAAATCTTTTGAAGTTTTAGTGGGGAGGTAAACAGGTGCAGTAACTTTGGAAAACAGATGGATATTCATATACCAGGTGAGTTAGCAGTTTTATTCTTAGGAATATATGAGAAGCTCTTGCACATGTTTAAGACTGGTCACAGCAACACTGTTCCTAAAAGCAAAAACCTGGAAAGAACTCAAATGCACATCAACAGGAGTGTGGATTCAAGAATTGTTGTGTAATCACACAATGAAATATTACATAGCATTCTTACCTAATAAGACACTACAATACCCACAATTGGATAAATCTTACAAATATTAGGTTGGAGCAAAAGTAACTGTGTTGTTTTCTATTAAAAGCAATGACGAAAACCGTAATTACTTTTGCATCAACTTAATATACTATCCAATGGAAAAAAGTTATCAGGACACTATCTATAGCATACTACCTTTACATAATATAAATGCTGGTCCCTGTATATCAATGTGTCACTGAGTTTTGCAGTTTTGGTAGGTCACACAATAGAAATGAAAGGGTTAGTTTAAATATCTAACTTGTAACACAAATAGCTTTTTTTAGGCATATTAAAACTTTTACTAAAAAGAAAAAAGATTTAAACGTGTTAGAATGGATATAGCAAATTATGGATTTTATGTTTTTAGTGAATTTAATAATAAATAAATACAAGTATATAGATTTATGTTTATATATAGGTAAAAATTAAAAGAGCAAAACAATATTTTTGTTGAATTGAACGTAATATAATTTTAAAAACTGATACTCTCCTGATGTAGTACTTAAGCATTAGATTCCAATTAAGGTTCATGGTAGCCAGCCTCCAAGATGGCCCTGAGTGATCCTGAACTCCTCATGTTCATGCCCTTTTGCAGTACCCTCCTACTTGGATTAGGATGGAGTTTTGTAGCTATAGGATATTGTGGAAATAACCATGTGTGACTTCTGAAGCTAGACTGTGAAAAGACAATGCAGCTTCTGTCTTGCTCTGTCTTGGGTCTCTCACTTTTATGGGGAGCCAGTCACTATATCATGAGGATTCTCAAGCAGCCCATGGGGAAGCCCAGAAGAGGAGGATCTGAAGCCTCCTGCTGGGAAACAGCAGCAGGTGAGTGAGCTTTCTTGGGAACAATCCTAAGCTTCGTCCAACCCTTCAGGTGACTGTGGTCCTGGACAGCATCTTGACTACAACCTCATGAGAGACTCTGAGCCAGAACCACTCAGCTAACTGTTCCCAAATTCCTGACCTGCAGAAACTGGGAGTTAATACATATTTATTGCTATTTTGAGCTGTTATGATTTACAGTAATTTATTACACAGCCATAGACTAATACAAAATTAGCTAGTTATGGTTCTTTTATACTTAATGCTTCCAGTGGCTATTTTTTTCATACCAAGCGCCTTAACATTCAACATATTAACAATAAATTATTTCAAAATAACTCGTGCTCTGTTATGTGTCACTTCACATAATATAAATGCTGGTCATAATATATATACATAATATAAATGCTGGACACATCTCAATGTGTCACTGAGTTTTGCAGTTTTAGTAGGTCACACAATAGAAATGAAAGGGTTAGTTTAAATATCTAACCTGTAACACAAATAGCTTTTTTTAGGCATTTTAAAACTTACTAAAAAGAAAAAAGATTTAAACATTGTGTTAGGATGGATATAGCAAATTATGGATTTTATGTTTTTAGTGAATTTTCCTATGGATTTTTCTAGTTTTCCTTTCCCCCATTGATTAAATTAAAACCTCTATATTATCCATGAGTTCCTTAACAGAAGTCCTGGTGCCTGGAAATTATTTATATAATGAATAATAGCTGCCATTTTTGAGCACTTATCGGGGTAGAGGTTGTGCTAAGGCTTTTATATTCATTTCCTCATGCAATTAGAAGAATTAGATGAGAAAGGAAGGCAATCACCACAGAAAGGAAGGCAATCACCAGGAAGAGGTATTATCCAGAAAGTAGGAATGAGAAAGGGAAAGATAAAATGATGTTATTTGTTTTCCTTATGTTTTTTGACTTTGTTTTTTTAGAGCAGTTTTAGGTTCACTGCAAAATTGAGAGGAAGGTACAGAGGTTCCCCATGTCTCCCCACCCCACACATGCATAGCCTCCACCATTATTGACATCCCCTACCAGAGTGGTACATTTGTTGCAGTCAATAAACCTAACTGACACATCATTATCACCCAGAGTCCATAGTTTACATTCAGGTTCACTCTTGGTGTTCGGCATTCTATGAGTTTGGACAAATGTATAATGACATGTTTTCCTTATTTTCAATGGTTCTTTGAAGAGCATTCATAGTGCTTCATTAAAATATATTTCTTTTTATATTGTATTTTTCTTAATTGAAACACATAAACATTTTGTCATTTAGCTGCAATTTCATTCAATTTAAAATGCATTTCATCTTCATAAGAAGTAATTTATAGTTTAAATTTAAAATATTACCTTTTAAAATGATGATCTTTAATATACAGTGAAAGCTTAAGTTTTTAGCATAGTAGATAGTATAACTAGAGCTTGGTGATTAATGCTAAGCTAGTGAGTGAACTACTTTATTATGGAAATAAATAAGTATAAAATATTAATTTATCTCTTAAAATTTGAAGTACTAAGTTTTATTCCTCATAATTACTTGTATTTTTCCCAATTGAATACTTCTACTTTTTGAAGAAAGATATAACTGTGTTGAATGTTATAATTCACTGGCAGTCATGATATACTTTTTAAAGACTGAGCCTGTTAACATGATTTTAATAAAAATCAGGAGAGTGAAAATTTAAACTAAAAACAGATTCCAGCTTTCTCCAACATCTTTATCACTTTCCTTATGGGCAGTGTTAAATGTATCTTATTCTCTTTAATTTTTCCTTATTGAGTTTAAAGTAATAACAAATAGCAAATCTTAAATGTGACTTAAGTATATACTAAGTGTTCCCTATTGACTGACTCCTATTCATTTATTTCTCCTGTTGGATATTTTCGTAAGCATGTAGCATAGAGCTATTAGGAAGGTTGGAGAAGGTTCCAATCAGGAGATGAATTTTGAGCTGGTCTTGAAAGCAAGTAATGAGTGAAAAAGAGGTGAGGTGGGTGACTTTGGGTACAATTCCATTCAGGATGAGATGATAGCAGGTGAAAAAGTACAGAGCTAATTTTTTCTATAAAGCAACAGAAAGCTGAAAAAATTAAATTTCAAAACAATACCAGTTACAATACTATCAACCATCATAACATATTAAGAATAAATTCAACCAAATGTGTGGTAGGCAATTTTTGTATATCAGCTTTGTATTCTCTGACCTCATTAAATTCACTTATTAATTCTAGTAAGTTAAAATTTTTTTCTTATGATTTTTCTACATAAAAGAACATATCAACTACTAATATGAAGTCTTCTGTTCACT
Source organism: Homo sapiens (assembly GCF_000001405.40). Lineage (NCBI taxonomy): Eukaryota > Metazoa > Chordata > Mammalia > Primates > Hominidae > Homo > Homo sapiens. The sequence continues at coordinate 29,277,159 of NC_000021.9, forward strand.
TTTTACGTTATTTATTTATGTATTTTTGCCTTATTGAACTGGCTATTACCTCTAGTATAGCACAAACTACAAAACATTGCAGAGAATAAGTAAAATATATCTAAATATATCTAATATAAAATATATCTAAATAAATAATGAAATATACCATGTTTATACGTTGGCAGATTCAAGACTGTTAGGACATCTATTCTCTCCCAAATATAAACTTAACACTATTCCAAATAAAATCTCAGCATGCTTTAAAAAAAATCTAGAGGCCAATTCTAATATATTTATGGATTGCTGAAGACCTAGAATATGCACATTCTGAAAAAAAATTTTATTGGAGAATTCACACACCTGATTTCAAGGTATACTTTAAAGCTTCTATAATTGAGACAATATGGCATTAGTATAAGGAGAGACAAGTAGATCCAAGAAAAAAAAAAGTGTCTAGAAGTTGTTCCATAGTTACATGGTAATCAATTTTTGGCAAAGTGCCAAAGTAAATCAATGGGAAAAGAACAATTTCAACAAATGATGTGGTACATCTGTATGTCTGCATGGGAAAATAAATTAACCCTGACCTCTGCCTCACACCATCCACAACATTTTTTAAGATGGGAAGTAGACCTCAATGTAAAAGATAAAATGGTAAAACTTCCAGAAGCATAGGAGAATGTCTTTGTGCTCTTGCCACTGCCATCGATTTTTAGGCTAGGACACAAACACTATCTATAAAAAGAAAAACTGATAAGACTTCAGAACAATACATCATTAGGATAATTAAAAGGCAGAATAAACAAGAATAAAATATTATCTCTCTTGCTCTGTGTGTGTGTGCACATGTGTATGTGCGAGCATGTGCATCTTAAATCCGGAATACATAAAGAACTCTTAAAAATCAAGAATAAAAGTATAAACAGGCAGTAATACATAGGCAAAGACTTGAATAGATACTGCACAAAAGAAAATATAGGAATGGCCAATAAATACATGGAAAAGTAACAAGGTGTTCAGCGTCATTGGTTGTCAGTGAAATGGAAATACATCTCCATAAGACTACATTTCTTTCTTTTTTGAGACAGGGTCTCGTTCCATCACACAGGCTGGAGTGCAGCGGCATGATCACAGCTCAATGCAACCTAGACCTCCAGAGCTCAATCAATCCTTTTGCATCAGCCTCCTAAGAAGCTGAAACTACAGCCCGGCTAATTTTTGTATTTTTTGTAGAGACAGGGTTTTGCCATTTTGCCCAGGATGGTCTCGAACTCCTGGGCGTAAGCAATCCTCCTGCCTTGGCCTCCCAAAGTGCTGGAACTACAGGCGTGAGCCACCACACCTGACTGAGAACATGTCATACCCACTAGAATGACTAGTGCTTAAAAAATGGACAATATAAGAGTTGCAGGGAATGTGGAGCTCACACATTGCTGATGGGAGTGTAAAATGTTACAAAACTTTAGAAAACAGTTTGGGATTTCTCATAAAGTTATAAATACACCTATTGGCCCGGTGTGGTGGCTGACGCCTGTAATCTCAGTACTTTGGGAGGTGGAGGTGGGTGGATCACCTGAGGTCAGGAGTTCAAGACCAGCCTGGACCAGCCTGGTGAAACCCCGTCTCTACTAAAAATACAAAAATTAGCCCAGCGTGGTGGCGCATGCCTGTAATCCAAGCTACCTGAGAGGCTGAGGCATGCGAATTGCTTGAACCTGGGAGGTGGAGGTTGCAGTGAGCCGAGATCATGCCACTGTACTCTAGCCTGGATGACAGAGCAAGACTCCATCAGACAAAAAGAAAGGGGCAGGGGGAACCACCTATCTTAGGTCCAGCAATCCCACTGCTAGGGAAATGAGGGAAATAAAAACAAATATTCATAAAAAATATTGTATATGAATATAACACTTTTATCCATAATAGTCTAAACCTGAAACAACCCACATGCCCTTCAATAGGTGAATGGATAAGCAAATTTATGATACAGTCAAACAAATGACTATTTCTCAGCAATAAAATGAATGAACTATTGATACACACAATAATGTGGGTGAATCCATACTTTCCAATTCTTTTAATTGAGGCTTGAGAACAGCAAAAATTAAGCCATGGTCAAAGAAATTGGATCAGGTGTTGCTTGGAGGAGAGGGAGGATAAGTCATGGTAAAGGGGCATGAGAGAATCTTCTGACATGATGGGAATGTTCTAGATCATGATTGGGGTTGCACATATATATACATTTGTCAAAACTCACAGAACTGTACACTTAAAATCTGTGCAGTTAGTGTAATAAATTTTACACTGACTAATCCAATTAAGAGATTGAAAAAGCCACAGAATAAGGAAAAATCTAAAAGACATATACCCCTAAGTTATATATTTTCAAAATCTTCCTAGAACTCATTAAGAAAAATACAGACAGTCCAATGAAAAAAGCCAAATGACTTGAGCAAGACCTCACATATCAGGGTTTTCAAAATGGTCAATAAATTTATGAAATGTGGCTTAACATCATGGAAATGCAAATTAAAACCACAATGAATGTCATTACCCAACAACCAGAATGGGAGAAACTTCAAAAACTGACAGTGCCAGGTGTCTTAGTGGATGTGAAATACTTGGAACTCTCATACACCACTCATTGGAATGTTAATTGAAGAACTATTTAGGAAAGTTGTTGGGCAGCATCTGTGAATGCTGATCCTCTGCATATCCTTTGATCTAGTAATCCCATTCCTAGTTTTATACCCAAAACAAATGTGCATATAAATGTACCAGGAAGCATTTGCAAGTATGTTCATGGCAACTTTATTCATAATGGCCTCAAACATGCCTACCAACCATACAATGGATACATGCACTGTGGTACATTCATACATGCAATGAAATACGGATATTATTGCTACTCCTAATAACAGGGATAAATTTTGCAAAAAAAAAAAAAAAATAGAGCTAAAGAAGCCAGACACAAGATTATATACTGTATAATTCTACTTCAAAATTAATTTAAACTTACATGAAGTTCAAAAAACTGGTAAAACGAATCTGTGGTATTTGGTTGCTGAATAATGGTTATCTTTTGGGGACACAGGTAATTATTGGTAAGGTACACCAGGGAGTCATCTGGGATAATAGAAAAATTCTACATACTGATTAGGTGGTGTTTACATAGGTGTATTCACCTTGTAAAAAAAAATTAAGTTTTATACTTACGATTAATGTATCTTTCTATATGCATGCTTCATTTTAATAAAAGATTTATATTAAATTAAAATGGAAGAAATAATGAAGGCCTGAAGTAATGTTAATAGAGAGAAGGGGAGAAAAGTGCCTGATTTTAAGGATATTTCAGAGGTAAATTCCATAGGATTTGGTGATTGATTGGTTTTGAGGAATCCAGATGAAATAGAGATGAGAACAAGCTAGCCTGGTGGAAGAGGGTGATATCATCAATGGAGACTGAAAATATAAGCAACGAAGGAGTTTGAGGTGAGGAACGAGATGGGGTGATGGAGGAAGTAGGATCATAAAATGGATGTACAGAATTAAGAAACTTTGGGACTATGGTTATGCCTGGGGCAACTGAAAGTAAAGATCTGCTGGGCATGGTGGCTCATGCCTGTAATTCCAGCACTTTGGGAGGTTGAGGGAGTGTGGATCGCTTCAGCCCAGGAGTTTGAGACCAGCCTGGGAAATATGGTAAAACCCCGTCTCTACAAAATACAAAAAAATTAGCTGGGCATGGTGGTGCATGCCTGTAGTCACCTATTTGGGAGGCTGAGGCAGGAGAACCACTTGAGTCCAGGAGGTCAAAGTTGCAGTGAGCCGAGATTGCGCCATTGCACTCCAGCCTGGGTGACAGAGAGAGACTCTGTCTCAAAAGAAGAAAAAAAGTAAAGATCTGAAAGCTTAGAAATAGGTTAGGGAGGGGGATATTGTCTTCCCATCATTATTATATAAGGTAGTTTGCCATAACTATCATATGAGGTATTTAGGTCATCCTTTTTTGCTGATTTCACCTTGGCTTTATTCTACACTTTGATCTAGTATGTAAGCTTTTTTTTTCTTTCTTAAATCTCTTTGATTCTTCTGATTGCTTCCTCCTTATGTATAACCTCATCTGTTTTTTAAATGGATTGGATGGAGAGTTCAAACCTCACCTGACTTCCTGCACTAAAGCTCTTGTTTGTTTGGAATACAATTTGGGGGTGTTATCTCCTTATCTAAGCAACGTTTATGGTTGTGTAATCATTCTATTCTAAGTTTGTTTGCATTGTACTATAAGATGCCTTTTTCTATGCTTGGAGTTTGTATTAGTCCATTCTCACACTGCTAATAAAGACACACCCGAGTGGCTGGGCGCAGTGGCTCACGCCTGTAATCCCAGCACTTTGGGAGGCCAAGACGGGTGGATCACGAGGTCAGGAGATCGAGACCATCCTGGCTAACGTGGTGAAACCCGGTCTCTACTAAAAAAAAAAAAAAAATTTAGCCAGGCATGGTGGCAGGCACCTGTAGTCCCAGCTACTGGGGAGGCTGAGGCAAGAGAATGGCGTGAACCCAGGAGGCGGAGCTTGCAGTGAGCCGAGATCACACCACTGCACTCCAGCCTGGGCGACAGTGCGAGACTCTGTCTTAAAAAAAATGAAAATAAAAAAAAAAGACATACCCGAGAATGGGTAATTTATAAAGAAAAGAGGTTTAATTAACTCACAGTTCCACATGGCTGGTGAGGCCTCACAATCATGGTGGAAAGCAAAGGAGGAGCAAAGACACATCTTACATGGCACAGGCAGAAGGGCATGTGCAGGGGAACTCCCCTTTATAAAACCATCAGATCTCATGAGACTTATTCACTATCACAAGAACAGTAAGGGACAATCCCACACCCATGATTCAGTTACCTCCTACCGGGTCCCTCCCACTACACGTGGGGATTATTACAATTCAAGGTGAGATTTGGGTGGGGACATAGCCAAATCACATCAAGGTTTGTTGAGTTTCTTGGCTATATATGTTTATGGTTTTCATCACATTTGGAAAAATTCTTCAGCCATTATGTCTTTAAATGTTTTTTTATGTTCTCTCCCATCCTTGGGAACTCCAATTACATGTATGTTAGGCTGCCCAAGATTGTCTCACAGTTAAGTGATGCTCTGTTCATTTTTTTTTTTCAGTTTATTCCGTTTCATTTTGGAGAGTTTCTATTGCTGTGTCTTCACATTAGTCCTTTCTTTTGTGGTACAGTCACAACTTCTCAGCAATAAAATGAATGAACTATTGATACACACAATAATGTGGGCAAATCCATACTTTTGTATCCATACAGTGTCTAATGTGCTGTTAATCTCATACAACAGATGGAATTTTTATTTAAGACATTGTACTTTTTATTTCTAGGAGTTGGATTTGGGTCATTTTAATATATCCAAATCTCTATTAAAAATGTTTCATCTTTCTCCTGCCTTCTTGTACATATGGAATATAGTTACAATGGAAATAGAGTTACAATATAGTTTTAATGTCCTTGTCTACTAATTCTATCAGTTGTAGATCCATCATTTCTGGATCAAATTCTATCAGTTGTAGATCCATCATTTCTGGATCAATTTCTATTGATTAACTTTTTCTTTCATTATGTTTTGTCATATTTTTCTGCTTCTTTGTGTACCTGGTAATATTTGATTGGATGTTGTTCATTGTAAATTTTATCTTGTTGGGGTTATTGATATTTTTGTATTCCTGTAAATATCTGAGTTTTATTGGGATGCAGTTACGAAAATAGTCTGAGCCTTTCAAACTTTTAAGCTTTGTGATTTGGGAGGAGAGCAGCCTTTAGTTTACGGCTAATTTTGCCCCATTACTCAAACAATACTCTTCTGAGTACTCTCTATCCAATGCTTCATGAATGAAGTTTTCCACTCCTGCTGGGAGACACCTGAACTATTCCCTGTCTTGTGTGAGCTCCAGTATTTGCTTTCTTTGTTCCTTTCATATGGTTCTTTGCCTATCCGTCAACCTTTGCCTCACAGGCATGCAGTGAACATTATTAAGCTGGAGACATGAGGGGGACTCTCTGCAGATCACTGGAGTTCTCTATGAAGCTCCCTTTCTTCAGCATTCTTCTCTGCAAATTCCAGCTGCCTTGGTTTTTCCAGATGACCAGCTCCAGCTTCTTAACTCTGATTGACCACCAGGCTCCCCACTTGGGTTTCCTCTCTTCAGGCAGTAATCTGGGGCACCCATAGGACTCATTTTATTTGTTTCCCACTCTCAGGGAACACTGTCCTGTGTTGCTAGAATCCAATAGAAAAACCATTGTTTCATTTTTTTTTTTCTGATTTTTTAGTTTCTGGTGGGAGGGTGTATTAGTTCTTGCATTGCTATAAAGAAATATATAAAACTGGGTAATTTATAAAGAAAAGTTTAATTAGCTCACAGTTCCACAGGCTGTACAGGAAGCATAGCTGGGGAGGCCTCAGGAAACTTACAGTCATGGTGGAAGTTGAAGGGGAAGCAGGCATGTCTTCATATGTTCAGAGCAGGAGGAAGGGAAAGAAGGGGGAGGTGCTACACACTTCTTAACAACCAGATCTCATGAGAACTCACGATTACAAGAATAGCAAGGGAGAAAGCCACCTCCATGATCCAATCACCTCCCATCAGGCCCCTCTCCCAACACTGGGGATTATAATTTGACATGAGATTTGGGCAGAGATGCAGATCCAAACCATATCGGAGGGTAAACCTTGTTTCTGTTACCCTATCTTGGTCATAAGCAGAAATCCAGATGCATTCTGCAAACATATTTTTTCTTTGTTTTCTCCCATTGGCACTTAGTCTCATAAATCTGACAGATTTCTATTTATGAAGAAGTAGTAAATGGGCCACACCTGTGTGACTTTCTTCCTCAGGGAATCAAAGGAAGTCATTCCTTACGTTTCAATTCAATTCAATTCCTATCATTGAATTCTATCTGTGTGACTGAAACTAATTCTTGAAAAAATGTTTCGTTCCAGTCCTCCTCTTTCTTTTTTAATGCCTTTCAGCTGTTCCCAATACTATCTGATGGAAACACTGAAGTTACACTGATGGCTGTTCAGCATCAGTGGCCAAGAGCACAGATATTGGCATCAATCAGAGCTGGATCTGCATCTTGGCACAACTACTGCATAATCACAGCATTCCTTGAGCTCTTGCTACCTGGCCAGGCAAGGTGTGATGGGCTTTTATATGAACGATTTCAATGAGTATTCACAACAATCCTACCTAATAGCATAGTTGGCGTTATTATTATGAGTTATCACATGGAGGTCTGCAACAGCAGTCAGTGTGTCTGAGTTGAATCCTGGCATTACCCCTTACTATCTTTGCATTATTGAGGAAGTCCTTTAACCTCTTCAAGCTTTGGATTCTTCATTTGTAAAGTGGTAATAACATCTTCCTCAATGTGCTGTGAAGACTCTAAAAGAAAAAATATATAAAGTGCTTAGCACAGTGATTGGTGCACATGAGTGCTCAATAAAAGGTGACTAGATGCATTATTTTTCTGTGAAACATTGAGAATAAAAGGGATGTTGCCTTGTAGCTTTCAAACAAAGACTTTTTGGAAACTTGATAAAGAGGCCATGAGAATGCACCTCCCAGACCTTCTACCACAGGGCATAGTAGAAGGCCATTTGTAATTGGCCTATGGCACCAGCTACTAAGTTTTGAAATGCATGGGTACCTTTGCTTGAGGCTTGAGGCTATACTTCCCATGGGCTGCTCCTTGCCAGTGATGCAGTGTAGTGGGGATACAAAGGCAGACTCATTCATAGAGCCATGGGACTCCTACCAGTGTCCACTTAGGCTCAAGGACTTTCTGCTAACTTTGTTGAACCTTCGTTAGACTGCACTGTATTTCTACGATGCTTCCATGCAATCTTCTCTCCTCTCTTCTTTGCTTGAGATTAGGCTTGCAATGGAGTCTTATTGCTCTACCTGCTGTTTCCTTTCACACAGGCATTCCTTCTAATCAATTCCTTGCATGTTTAATCCTGTTCCAGGTGTTGGCTTGTTAGAGGATCTGAACTAACACACTTGCGTTCTTGTTCAGTGTACCCTGGCAATCATGCTGATTGGAACTTGCAAAGGGTTTTTCCTGGCCCCTATCTCAGGAAAATGATGTTCACCACTATTTTCCTTAGAAGTCTCTCTTCATTCCTCCAATGGTTCCTTGACCTCATTCATTTGATTTCCCACCATATTTTAACAGTGAGAGTCACCTCCCATCACCCTTCTTTGATTTTCCTTCCAGCCACCTATATTTAGTAATTCATTCTTCATCTGCTCCTTTTTTTCTCTCTCTTCCTTGCAACTTTGAATTGTAGGATGTTTAGTGAGACATCCTATATCCTTCATATATCTTTGCACTTCCTCAACTTTTAATTGCAGTCAACTTTGCAAATTTGCATAGAGATTTTCTTTATATAATTAAGTTACATATAATGGAATTTTTACCGTTTTTGTGATTCTTTCTTATAACTCTATGTTCTACATAACCCTGCATTTAAATACTCATTCAGTTTAGTATTGGACAAATTACTTCTCTGATTCTCAAACTCCTCGCTGTGAAACAGGGATGAGCATACATGCCCCTTCTGGTTGTTGTGAAGATTAAATGAACACACATCAATGGAACCTAGCTCTGTGCCCAATGTTTGGCAAAAGTTAGTTCATTCTCCTACCTAGGTAACTCAAAATCTAAGACAGTTCTTGGTTGTATTAAGAAGAAATAAAATACTGCTTAAACTGAAAACATTCAAAGATAGAAAGCAGGCTCATAGAAGTTAGCACAGCTAAGGGCAAGATTTGAATTCAGATTTCCTGATCCCAGAGTGTGCCTTAATTACTAATCATTTATTATAAAAGAAGACAAAAAGTACTTCACTTCTATCTTGTCAGTGTGTTAGTCTGTTTGGGCTGCTATAACAAAATACTATAAACTGGGAGGCTTACAAAACAGAATTTTATTTTTCACAGTTCTGGAGGCTGGGAAGTCTGAGATCCAGAAACGGGCAGATTCTGTGTCTAGAGAGGACCCACTTCCTGGTTCATGGATGGTGCCTTCTTGCCGTGTTCTCACATAGTAGAAGAAGCTAGTCAGCTCTCTGGGGTCTCTTTTATAAGTATACTAAGTGCATTAATCACTTCCTAAAAGTGCCATTTTCTAAAACCATCACCTTGGGGTTAGGATTTTCACATATGGATCTTGAGGGAACACAAACATTCAGATCATAGCAGGTGGGTTCCCCAGAAGCAGACCCTGAGACAAGGATTCATGTGCAAGTGATTTGTTATTTATTATTTTCCTCCCAAGGGAAATCAGTAAGGAAATGAAGGAAGAATAGGGAAGGAGAGGAAGCCAAACAAGGTGCAATATTGGACAAAAGTCCTGCGGAAGATAGGTGTGGCCTGATCCCATAGGGGAACTTAGAGAATAACGTGAGGCAGAGGAGCTTGGCTTTCATACTCCTCTGCCCAGCAGCTAAGCACCATCCAGAGAGAGGTAAAGTTGCAGGCATTTCTGAATCAACATGTGCAGGGGATGGGGGTGGGAAGCAGCTTCACTGACTGAGGGAAGTCTTCTAAAGAAGGGCTGGCCATCGGGAGCAAGAGCAGAGAGGTGCACAAAAATGGTAAAAGGGGTCTGAAGGGTCTCGGTGGATCACCAACACTGTGTACTTCAACTCCAGCCTGCTCCCTGGGAGGCTGTTTTCACAGTTTTGTTTTCACTTAGAAGATGCTTATTTCAAAGAGCGTGCACGCAGCTGCATCTTCAACCTTTTTCCATTGACTGGATTTTTAAATACACACACACACACTCACACACACACACACACACCCCTCTATTCCAAAGGCCATCATCAAACCGGTTTATAACTGAAATTTAAATTAGGGTAATATCTCTTGGATAGTTTCACATTAAGGAATGATTAGTATTCCTCTTGCATAACTTCAAAGCTAAAAAATCCTCAGTGCCACCATTTTCATATTTCTTGATGCTATCTAGTCCCTTCTCAGAATCAGCAAATTAGGCTTGGGCAGGACCTGATCTCTGCTTCACCCTTGCTTTTATCTAAAATATTCTTGGCTTCTATAATAATGAAGCTAATACTTATACAATTATGCCTATGTGCTGGTCTAAATGCTCTTTGTATGTTAACTCATTTAATATTTGCAACAACTCTGTTGTAATAAGTACCAGCATAATCCCTGTTTATGGGTGAAGAAACAGGCACAAATGGGTAAGTAGTAGAAGTGGGTTTCAAACACTCTGGCTCTAACTAAAGTCCATGTTTGTAATCATTATGCTGAAATGCCTCTCCACGAGGGATGAAAGTCCCTCCAAAAGCAGCCTACATTGATTTCTGTTCCATCTACTTTCTCATCAATGACTTCCTGTTAGCCTGAATTGAACTAATAAGTACTCAAGACTAGTAAATACTTAGTTCCTGAACTTGGTGATTCAGATAGCAGGAAGCCCAATGTAGCTTCCTTCCAGTTTCTATTCTAGGCCATCTGTGGCTTGCTTCATATTCTCTCCCAGCAGGACTCCACAGAGGCCAGGATTTTGACACTTTTGACTATTATAAATAAAACTGATCAAAATACCTCCTACAAATCATATGACATAATAGGGAATTAATAGACCTTTTATTAAATGATTACAAATCATACTTAAAAAGGATATAACTGCACACTGTATGATATAAAGCTTTAAAACATGCACATAAATTGATATAAGAAGGCACTTATGAAGTCCATACAGTCAAATTTATTTACCTGTATTTATTTACAGGATCTTCAGGGAATGTTTCAGGTGGAGGAAGGGGCTCTTGGTCAATGAGCCTGAAGACTGCATGGCAACCTTTGCCAGCTTTTGGCCTGAAAACTCAACTTCTTCATTTGAGATAATTCCTGTTTTATATACTTTCATTTGAGATATTCCTGGTGTATCAACTGAAACAAAATCTATGAAATATCAGATTCACAAAAATACATTTTGAATATTGAACGTGGATAGATGTATTTAAATCTTTCCTATTTTTTGCACTTTCATAATATATATCATTCTTTATTTTTCTACTAATAATGATGAATCTACAGTATCTCAGGGCCTTATTTTCAATATCTTAACTGGATTTTTAATAAAAGTCTTACTGAATAGGTAACACTTGTTTCCAAAAACTATGCTCACCTGTCAATGATTCAGAATTCGTCTCTGTCATCCCTCTGCTACTTAGCATTCAGTGCCCTCTACTGCCCTCCCCGACTCCACCAAAATTCTCTCAGGCCCCAACAGTGGCATGGATTCTGCTCTCGATGCTTTCTTCCACTTTCCTGTCAAAATGCATTTAAATCCCATTCGCCATGAGTATTTTTATGAGCTGCTTCTCACTAGAGTGATTACGACTGTCCTTAAATGTGGCTTAATGTTTGCCCTCTGAAAGAATTTGAATTTTAACAGAGAACTTCTGAATACGCAAAACCTTCACCCCAAATAATCAATCTTTAAGGGATTTCGGGCGCCAACTAGAAAAGTAATAAGGGCACAGACTGATCTGTTTGTATCTGCTAATAGAAACACGGATTTTTGTCTATTAAAAAGTGATAGAAATGTCTATGATTAATGTTTTCTTTCCTATGCCACATCATGCGGTGCTTGCACATGGTTTTATGCTTGACTTCCCATTGCTAAGGATAAAGAATCAAATTATATTAGAGCTTGTTTTTGGAAACCCAAGGGGTACATGTAGTTAATTAGAGATATGCCCTCTGTTTATTTTCCCTGTTTTTCCTAAGGGATGTAAAAAACATTTTCAATAGTATTCCTTCTGGAAATCTTATTTAGCCAGTGGGTAATTTTCCAGTGTTCTAACCAATTTAAATGGATGCTTTTAGAACTGTAAGCTTAATATTCATTCTAGAGCCTCTTTTTACTTAGGTAAAATTCTCAAATTGCTAGTATAAAAAGATATTTCCTTTTATTAAATGGGATTCAACATCTCATTCCTGTAGCTTCAGTTCAGAGACATGGATTTAAAATACATTTAGTTTATTTTGACCATGTTAAGTGGATCTGCTTTTTTAAATTTATGCAATTATGACAGATGTTTTATTGATTATTCTTTCATAAAATGCACAATAAGAGGCCGAGTATCAGAATAATTCCATATAATTTCACATGTTCCCCCAATGTTTTTGCATAGCTTAAATCCATAAAATTGTTTTGAAGGATTTTAATTTCTTTTTTGTTTGGCAGCTGTCCCATGTTTCGAAAAAGCCATTTCCTGGAACTTTGTCAGAGTATTTTTACTGGCTTATCTATATCTGTGTTCTGTTATGTGTGACCTCATTATATCCAAGGGGAGGTAGCAATACTGAAGTCAATAATATTCTTCATAATTTCATAATAACATACATCTTTTGTTCTTTTATTACTGTCGGCACTATTATACTGTCATTCAGTGCTATTCATTTGCCAGCCTCCAGGATCATTGGTGTAGGTTGAGCGTCTTGGTCAATTTGTGCTGCTTTAACAGAATACCACAGTGGCTTGTACAACAAGCACTTATTTCTTACAGTTCCGGAGGCTGGAAGTCCAAGATCACGGTTCAGCTTGGTCAGGTTCTGCTGAAGGCCCTCTTTTGGGTTGCAGATGTCACCTTCTTGCTGTGTTTTCACATGGTGGGATGAGGGAGGGAGCTTTTTGGGGTTCTTTTATAAGGGCACTAATTACATTTATGAGGTTTCCATCCTCAAGAACTAATCACCTTCCAAAGGCCTGACCCCCTAATAACATTACAATGGGGGTTAGGATTTCAACATAAGAACTTTGGTGAGACATAAACATTCAGTTTATTGCACTGAATATTTTCATAACAATCCACTTACTCCCATACAACAGAGGATGCATGACTTCAGGGTTCTTAGCATGTATGTTTATACAGAATGACAAGAGGAACTTGAGATTAAGAAGGGGTATCAGTTAAGACTGCATTTGGCTTTATGTCACAGAAACTCAACTCTAGAAGCTTAACTGAATAGGGTTTTCTTTCTCTGCTTTTAAAAGAAGAGTAAACTCAGTAACCAGGGCTAATCAGCTGCTCAAGAAAAGTCATCAAGCACCTGAGCTTCTTCCTAGCTTCCTGCTCTGCTATGCTTAGCCTGTAGTTTTCATCCTCATGATTGAAAGAAAAGAGCTCCTCCTCCAGTCATTCAAGGAAGGTGGACAGAGGGCATAAGCGCAGCTGATTCAGCCTTTTGTTATCAGGAAAGTAAAAACTTTCCTGGAAATTGTATTGAGTCCATATTTGCTTATATGTGATTGAGAAGGACTAGGTCACATAGCTAATGCAATCTGGAAAGGCATGTTTTAAGTTGGTACATTGCACATTTAATCAGGATTATGTTAGAAAGAAAGGGATATTGGGTAGACAAAGCAGTGTCTGTCACAAAGGGATTAAGGGCAAGGTAAGTGTATGGAAAATAAAGCATCCCTGATCTAAAGGTCAGTCCTGAAGCTACTATGATTAATAAAGAGGGTGTTTCCATGAAGTAGGAACCACCTGAACCAGGTCACTGCAGGATTGTCATCTCACCATGATTTTGAACTTGCTGATGCAGAAAACTGAACTATAGACACATTGGTGGTGATAACAGCTTTAGGATGCACATTCACCTGAAGCTGCAGAGGCAGGGGGAACACTGGAAAGATAATTTATTGATTTACAATGAGGATATAGCTAACAAGTGTTTCAAATATTGATGCTTATTAACCAACCCATCTCTTCCAGTAGGTAAATGTACATGTAAAGGCAAATAATTATTGGAAAGAAATCAAAGAGAAATCCAGGTTGGAAGACCTCTATAGCTAATGTAGTAGAACCAAACCATGGTAGCCTGTGCTTCCATCCTTCTCCTGTCCTGCAGGTTAACAGGGCCCAGGAGTAAAATACTGAGTCCCAGGCAGGGCAAGGGATATGATGCTCCTATTTGTACCTCTAGCTTTCCCTTCACTGGCTTTAGGAGTTGATTTAGCTTCTCTTTACTACATCCACATTCTTTCCTTTGATGTGTTAATATAGTCACTCTCCTTACCCCCAAGTCTTGATCTGGTGAATCAGTCAGGGAACTGATAGAAAACAGATGGAACCATTTACAAGGATGAGGGCAGGGAACCCACCAAAGGGGTGATGCACCCTAGGGCTAACCAAAGTAGGGAGATACCACTACCCTTAGAGTGATGTTGCTTTGGCTTTAGCTGTAGGTGAAGGTGGCCTGGCAGGAGCTGGGGACTTTGGTAGAGGAATACAGCCATAGCCAACCCTTGGCCTGGCAGGTAGACAGCTGAGTTCCTGTAGACATCTGCCGTTATCCGTATCAACCAGAAGTGAGGGAGCATGGGGAATCCATGAATACCATCCTAAAAGGCCTGCCTCCTAGGGTACAGAGAAGTGTGGAGGAGGCTGGAGAGGGAATCTGGAGCGATCAAGGCTGAAAACCCAGCACCCCTAATCAATTGACTGTTCTATCTCTTCATGCTAATAACCATCTCTCTCCTCTGATCCAGTAGTTCTTATTCAAAGATGAATCATTTTCCTCCCTTTCCAAAGTGCTCCCTATGTATGGCACCTCAGTCCAGGTGAATCATTTTCCTCCCTTTCCAAAGTGATCCCTATGTATGGCACCTCAGTCCAGGGAATAGGCTGTTATGATGACAACCTGTGTCTACGGTCTCTCCTCTAGGAGTTCAGTACTTCTTCTCATGGTGGCCACTCAGACCTCAGTTAGCTCATGATTGAATTATCTGGCTTATCTTTTTACCCAGATGCCAGGAAGCTATAGACAAATCTGTAGCTCATCTTTATCAAAGATACATGTTTTGCAATATGTATGTTTTAGCTTCTTTCCTGATTCCATTTTTTGATTTCCACTTTGTTCCTTTATTCCTTTACACTTTCTTTTAATGTATACGCACATTTCTCATATTGGGGCATGAATATCTTTAGGTCAGGGTTTCTCAGCCTTGGCTCTGTGGAAACTTGGGCGAGATAATTATTTGTTCTGAATGGCGAATAACGTATCCTTATTCACAAAGTATTTTATCCATGGGTACTGTCCTGTGCATTGTAGAATGTTTGGCAGCATCTCTGGCCTCTACCTCCTAGAGGCTAGAACCACCCACCCCATAACAATATCTCCTGCTGCAGGGGGTGGGGGGTGCAAAATTGGCCTCTATTGAGAACCTGAATGAGAACCTGATTGAGGACACTGAATGAAGTGTTATATGAAGAGGTGAAGTAAAAATATGAGTCAAAATATGGCACCTCTCTTGGTTGTGCCAGTTTTGCATTAAAAAATGGAGAATACATTTATTAAAACAAGTATGTTATAGAGTAGCCTTTACTACTTCCAGAACGTTTCAGAATAAAAGATCAGGAGCTGCAGGCTACAATCCTTGGTGTAAACACGAACAAATACATAGAACAAAGCTATCAGACTGGATTTTTCTGTCTTTTGCAGACGTGTGACTATGGTTGAAGGTGCTGTCTCTGATTCAGTACCAAGCATAAGCATCACTGACTCTGCAGGAAGGCACTGGCACCAAACATTTAGTAACTTTTCCGCAGGCTTGAGGGATTGGTTACATGAAGCTTTGGGCAGTCTTCTGTCACCTTTCTGGCTGGAACTCTACTTTCTTCTCCCCTCACTCCTCCCCAGTTGGGTGCAGAGCAGTCAGGCTACATCCAAGATTCTGAGGGTCTCACTTTCTATCCCCAGACATTTATATGTATGTATATGTGTGTGTATACATATATTTGTGTGTGTGTATATATGGTGATAAATGTATAAATATTATTATAAAACACTTAAACATTTATTATAAACTGTTATGTTAATATAAAAAATATATGTATGTACATATACATATAATACATATAAAAACACCTTGCAGCATTAGCTTATGAGAGAAGAATTTCTCTACTTCATTAAATAAATATATGTAACAGAATGAGAGAAAATCTGTAGCACAATGAATTCTAATGGAGGACAATTTCAAGTGTCATTTTAGGTCTAGGAGCTTGACACAGGTTTAAAATGAAACAGCCTTTTTCAATATTTTCTGTTTTATTTACTGAACTTTCCTCTAAGTCATGATCATTGGGGTTGTGGTTCTTCTTACAAAGTTAACTCCATTTTCATGCTCCATTTTAATCATCTGATATTTTATTTAATCTTGATTTTGGTTATCTATTGCTATATTAAAAAAACTGCAAAATTTCATGACTTTAAACAATAATCATTTTACTATTTCATAATTCTATGTGTTGGCTGGGCTCAGCTGGTAAGTTCTTTTGTATAGACTTGACCAAAGAACATCCTAGATGGCTCATTCACATGACTGGCACTTGATGCTCAGTACTGGCTGGTTGCTCTGCTGGGGCTCCTGAGTGAAGAGGCCACACATGCCCCATGCATGGTGGTTTGGTTCTGAGAGAGGGTGTCCCAAGAGAGCTCATTTGAAGAAAGAGGAAGTAGAGGCTAACAGTCTTCTAAAAGACTAGAACCAGAACTGGCAGAGCATCACTTCTGCAGTGTCTTCTTGGTGATGCAGTCACAGGGCCAGATTCAAGATGATGAAAAATAAACTCCCATTCTTGACGGGGAAAACGATAAAAATTTTGTGGCCATCTTTAGTCCACTGCAACCTCCTACTGGTTTTCAGAAGCGCAATTTTTTTTGGATATTTGGGCCACTTTGGTTGTCATTAAATCTGGTATCTGAGCAGCACCTCTTTCACTGATTTGGCCCCTGTCCCACTGAGTTCTTCTGCTTCAAAACTGGCTATTTCCTTTTCATTTTTCTGCCTTTATCTTAATTTTACACTTTGTAACATTTCAAACCAGAGGCTACACCTCATCTTTGATTTCAGTTATCAGGTAAACATGAGGGTGTGTTTACTCATCTGCTCCAGGAAGTTCTCATTGTCTTCTAATAAAATATGTTCATTTTCCATAAAACTTTCCAACCTGGAGGCAGGGGTGCTATGACTTTAATCCATAGTCACATCTCAGGGTACAGGTGTCAAAGAGCAGTTGTTCAAGTGGGAGACTTGTGTTGATCTGGGTAATCCCCCACCTTTAAAGCCTAGTTGTTTTGCCCCACCCCCCCTCCAATATTTTCTTGACTTAGTGAGTGAATACTTAAAGACAAAAGGAGCTAAGGCAATGAAGATGGAGGGAATGAAGTTCTGGGAAGGCTGGAGGGGTATGCAGATTTGTAGGGGTTACAGATGTCATGCTGCATCTGTGGAAATGAGGATTCAAAACCAAAGGTGGGTAGGGAATAAATGTGGAAGTGTGGATCTTTCCTGAGGTTAGGGAGGAGGACAGGGGACAAGGGTTACACTGACTACACATCAAAGTTTTTTCAGGATATGTATTATGTCTTACTGTCCAAATATTATGCTATGGTGTTCCTTATAGCCATGAACATGTCACCTATCTGTATGATTTAGCTCCCTCATTTTTGAGAGTCAGGCAAGACAACCTGCTATTAGAGGAGAAAATGATGGTGTTTGTATCTAGGTTTTATTAAAAATCATTCCCTAACTATGGCTTATAGTTATTTAAATTGTTTTCAGAGTTAATGATAAGATTTTATTTTGGTAATAAAATCAGTATGATGGCCAGAAAGAAGATATGAATGTTTGGAAAAATTGGAAATATCATTTTTGAAAGAAATGTGACAATGCACATATATAACATCTTGCGAATGGTATTGTATATCACCAAACCTGCTCACAGCAGGAAAACTAGCCATCACTTCTCACAGTCAATGAGAAGTATAAATCAAGGACATAGCAGTAAGCTGTGATACCCAAGCTTCACGGATAAATTCTCCTAAAGAATAATGCACTAAAAACAAAACTACATGACAAAAAAAAGCACTAATTGCAAATCACTGTGAAACAGTAGCACAAAATCTTTATATTGTGCTACTAGTGACAGCAACAGAAGACAGTCAAACGCCTAGGCAGATAGAGGCAGGTCCCCGGTGAAACCCCACCTCCAAGCTGAAGACAGTTTAAAGCCTGAAAGCCAAACTACAAGTTAAATTTTCAGACTAGATTGAGAACTTGTCTTCCTGTTTGGCACGCTTTCCTCTGATCTCCACCCTTCACCTATTTTACGTATACTTACCCTTTCTAATTGGTTTTCTACACTGTCGTGCCTGCCTTTGAGTGGTGTCTTTGCTTTAACCTTTTTTTGCAAACTCACAAACCAATCAGCATGCACTCCCCATTCTGAGTGCATAAAAGCCCCAGGCTCAGCCACATGAGAGGGGATTTTCCCACTTTCGGGTAGGGGAACTGCTCCCAGCATTCGCTCTTTGCTGAGAGCTTTCCTTTTGCTTAATCAATTCCACTCCACTCACTTTCCGGTGTCTGTGTGCCTAGTTTTTCCTGGTTGTGAGACAAGAACTTGGACCTAGCTGAGCTAAGGAGCAGAAAGACTGCCAAGACTAGGCTACTTGTCCCAGTTTCAAACTATTATCAATACTAATTGAAAGCAATCAGCTGGGAGCGGTGGCTCATGCCTGTAGTCCCAGCACTCTGGGAGGCCAAGGCAGGTGGATCATTTGAGGTCAGGAGTTTGAGATCAGCCTGGCCAACATGGTGAAACCTTGTCTCTACTAAAAATACAAAAATTAGCTGGGCTTGGTGGTGGGTGCCTGAAATTCCAGCTACTCAGGAGGCTGGGGCAGGAGAATCACTTGAACCCGGGAGGCAGAGGTTGCAGTGAGACAAAATCATGCCACTGCACTCCAAGCCTGCGTGACAGAGAGAGACACCATCTCAAAAAAAAAAAAAAAAAAAGCGATCAGAATTTTTTTTCTTGGTCCCCAAATCTCAACATTTTTTTTTCCCAATAGGAATTAGGTAGAAGCACTATGTCTCATTATAACCTCAAGATAATTTTTAAAAATCTGTTTTAGTAATAGATTTTAATAAACATATGAGTTAGTATAAAAGATCTTGAGGCTGATGTTCTTCAAAGTTGACCATGATGTAGCCACTTTTCTTGATTCCGAGTATTGCAGGATTACTCAAGGTTTTGTTGGCCTGGCAGCTAATAATGTTAATGCTAACTCTGGAAGTCCAGAAGACATAGGTCAGAACATACAGTTGTTTGTGAATATTTACACTGACATACAGGTTTTAAAAGAAATACATTCTAAGTGGTTTTGGTTCAAAGCAAGAGAATACTGAAAACAAAAAGTGCCACATCTTTCACTGAGCATTTTACTGCATTCATTCCTTCATTCAACCTACTATCTGTTTCCACTCCCATTCCTTCTCAATACTAGAATTAGCTTTTAAAAATAACC
This sequence comes from Homo sapiens, assembly GCF_000001405.40. Lineage (NCBI taxonomy): Eukaryota > Metazoa > Chordata > Mammalia > Primates > Hominidae > Homo > Homo sapiens. The sequence goes on from NC_000021.9 coordinate 29,296,581, forward strand.
ACATGACTTAGAAACCTCTACTCACTTATTGCAGACCACGGGATGAAGTCCAAACTCCAGGTGCTGTGCATGAGGCCCTTCTCATACTGACTCGGTTTCATTTCATTCTCCAGTTTCATTTTTCGTCCTGTCCCTACTACATGCCATAAGCTTGAAGACCACATGCTTCAGTATTAAAAATGCAGACCCTTAGGTCCTACTCAGATCTACAAAATTAGCATCTTTTGGGGGTGGGACCCAGGAATCTGCATTTTTTTTTTTTTTTTTTTTTTTGAGATAGAGTTTTGCTCTGTCGCCAGGCTGGAGTGCAGTGGCGCGATCTCAGCTCACTGCAACCTCCACCGCCCAGGTTCAAGCGATTCCCCTGTGTCAGCCTCCTGAGCGGCTGGGACTACAGGCGCACACCATCATGCCTGGCTAATTTTTTGTATTTTAGTAGAAACGGGGTTTCACCATGTTGGGGTTTAGTAGAAACGGGGTTTCACCATGTCGATCTCCTGACCTCGTGATCCGCCCGCCTTGGCCTTTGAAAGTGCTGGGATTACAGGCATGAGCCACTGCTCCCGGCCGGAATCTGCATTTTAACAAGCAAACCAAATATTCTTCCCCATAATGAAGCTTGAGAGTCACTCACTTGACTTGATACTCTTAGCACATCTGTATACCTTTGTGAGAACTTCTCAAATAATTAAACCTATCAGGGCATACATCATAATTTTCAGGCTAGAAAATGTCACTGCTATTATCTAAAGAAGCAAGAGTTCCTCCCAAAGAGGAGGGTCTGATCTTCCCCTAGAAAAAACTGCACAGGTGTAGAAAAAACTGCATAGGTGTAGAAAAAAGACACTGCAATTCCACTGGCTCAAGGTGGAAGGAGAATAAAGCCTCGGACACTCCCATGTGTCTGCAAGAACTTCAATCCTTCTTTCATGGTGTATTTCCAAGTGTCCTTTCCTCCTGTTTCACTAAATATCTGCACTCTCACCATGAACTGAGGCAGCCTGGGATGCGAGGTACCTCCTACCTCTGGACCCTATCTAGACTGCTGGGTTCCACTCTTCCCAATCAAGACCCAATGCAAATGTCACCTGCTCCAGGAAGCCTCCCCTAATTCTAGGTCATAATGTATCACTTCACCCCTCGCACTCTCATCCAATTTCACTTGTGTGATTTTCTCATGTATTTTGGATGTAGCTCAAACGTCCCCAAGTCCCACAGCCTGTGGGTGCAAATGCAGTCATGTTAGTCGTAATACCTGAATTATTATCTTGGTATCCTTTTTGCCCCGGGAACTCCAGGGCTGTGTTCTTGTTGCTGGCTCCAAAGCTAACAATAAAATCCCTTCACACAAATCGTCCTTTGGCTTCAGACCTCAAGGTCCGTGTCATCTCCGCAGGAACCCTCGTGGGGTTGGCGTGCCCAGTCCCCTCCGCTGCGCGTGCATCCCGCTCCGCTGACAGCCAGTGCTTTGGTTCTCCAGAGGTGTTAAATGGCTTGGGAACATAATTTCAAAACGGACAGTTGGATAAACACCAGAATAAGCACCAGAAGATGACAGCGGAACCAAGGCTCGAGATGGGCCGGCTGACACCACTGGGCGCTGAACCTGGCTGGAAGCTTCCTGGCAGCGACAGCGAAAAGGGAACACCTGTCGTGGGCGCCCTTGTTTCACTGTCAGTAAGAAGTAGAGCAACTGCTAGACGCGCTCCACAAAACCCTGGACGCACTTCATACACACCCCCACCCCAGCAAGCTCAAGTACCCTGTGAACCTGGACGCCCACCACCCCCAGGGCAGGCAGCGAGGAGCTCTTCAAGGGGTAAAGCGACCCCTGTGGGGCCAGCGCCCGTCCTCTCTCCTGCTGTTCGCGGGCACCCGGGCACGCGGCGACTCGGCTGAATTAGGGCGTCCTGCAGCTCCCGAGGCGAGGAGGCGCTTGGCCTTTCCGTTCCGCCCTCAGAAGGGAGAGGAGAGGTGGTCCTCGAGTGGGAGTCAGTTCAGGATGCGGGCTGTGCCACGCGCGGAGGTCCGGGGACCCCACCGCCGCCTCCTCGAGGCCCGCCCCGCCCCTTACGACCCGTCCCTGCAACCCCCCGCGTGGGCTTCCGGCCGCGGCGACCCCTGCCCCGCGCTATTGCGCGCGCTCGTTCGCTGACAGAGGCTTCGAGGGCGGCAGGGCGGGGCTTCGGCGCCGGGGGCGGGGCCTTCAGCGGGCGGGCGGGGTTTTGGCGCCGCGAGGTGGCGGCAGCAGAGCGGCGCAGAAGGGAGGGGGCGGCTGGCCGCGCGGAAGGAGTGAGTCACCTGACCGCTGCCCTCGCCGCCCGCCGGGCGCTCTCGCTTCAGTCAGTCGGGCCGCGCCGCGCCTCAGCTCTGGTGAGTGGCTCGGCCGTCCCGCCGGCCCTTCTCCGGGAGGGTTGGCGCGGTCAGGGCCGCGGGCCTGTGAGGGGAGGCCGGCGGACAGGTCCAGTGAAGGCGCGGGCGGGCCGGGGGCGGCTCTTTCTGGGCTGGGCGGGGCGCGGGGGGCACGTATCGGGGCCCGCGGGGGGCGCCGGCGGCCGGGATCCTGGAAGTGGCCGCGACGCCGGAAGGGGCGTCCCGTCGGCGGCCGAACCCCCTGCACTGCCGGAGCTGTTGTTTACCCGCGCGCGCCGTACTTTACCCGGGGCGGGCGGGGGCTGGGGGCCGCGGGGTCCCTGCCCCACCCCCCTCCCTGCCCTCGGGCGCCAGCCCGGCCCCTCGCCCGCGGCCCGCCCGGGCTGTGACACATCAGCACCGCCCTCGCGGCTGGGGCCCCGTATTGTCCTCCGCCGCCTCCCACCGCATGCCCAGCCTCGCGTCTACTCAGCCCGGTGGCTGTCGCGCGTGGAATCGCGTAAGAAAAGCCGAGTTTGTGGCTGGGGAGAGAAGGCCACCGTGCTGAGCTGGATTTAGCGAAGACTGGTTTTGGGGACCGGAGAGCCCAGGACTCCCTTTGTTGGAGTTTTGCCCACGCGTTGTAATTAAGCCTCGCACAATATGGTGAGAGTGGGCGTTGATTCTGGAGACACCAGCTTTGTGCTCGTGTAATGTAACACGAGTGCCGTTGCTTTCTCATTCTTACACGGCAGTTTCATGTCATTGAGTAGAATTGTGCGGAATGCTTTTATGGAGTGAGGCTTCTGCGTTAAACTTGTGCTGATTCCAGGTAAAGTGTAGTAGTAATTGTGAAAGAACGTGTATGAGGAAAACGAGCTACAATGTCATGCTTGGAGGAACAAAGAATGTTTTGTAGGATGCTTTGCTTTTTGGAGAATTGTGTAGGGGTAGGGACTGTTACCCATGGATGATGCTATGGGAATTTGATCATGTATTTGAACACCCTTTACATCAGAGGGTCTGCATTGAATGCAGTTCAGAAGGATAAAGGGTGGAAATCCCAGATGTGTTAGTGGCAGAGCACTTGAGCGCTTCACATAGTCAAGCAGAGAAATGGGAAGAGGTCGGCTTGCTTCTTCCTGGTCTTTGGGTAGTGGTGCAAGGGCTGGGCTGGGCTTGAAGGCACTTGCCACTTCTGCCTTTGGACATCTTGAAGAAGCTTAGGGAAGAAAGGCTCCCGGTGAGTCAGCTTGGAGTAGGGTGACTTTGGCGTAGTGATTCTTGTATTGTTGTTTAACCTATGTTTCTGTCAAGTGGTTTACTGTTGTTCGGTATGTTGGTTGGTTAACAAGGTAGGATGACTCTCTAAAAAGTTGGGTTGCTGAGTCATTCGCCCCAGCTTGAGAGGTAATTAGAAACAGCTGGTGCAAATACTCTCATCACATGCCTCCACTATAAAAGGCCAAAGAGCGCTCTAGAGAGGTTGCTTCAGAAGGCTGAAGGGGACCCAGCTGGGGTTGTTTTGATACAGGTTATCAGTGGGTGAAGTGGAAGAGCACTCTTAGGCAGTGGCCAATAGCACTGAGGCGGGTTTAAAGACGGAGCCTCGTGACCTGCTGTCTGAGAATAAATTTGCGCTGGAGAGAGCTAAAACTGGGGAAGAAATTTGCAGCTAGGGGTAACCCAATAAAAAATATTGTAACAAAAATATTTACTACTCTTACTGGACTTAGTTTCCTTTTTGTGGTTTCTGTTACGTGGTCTATAAGTTTCAAGCAGTGAGCTTAATTTGTGCGTCATAAAAATTTGGTTATGAGTACACAGAAGGGACTTGCTCTGTTTCTCATGGCCCTTGGCTTTTCATGCATACACAAGAAGTTTCAGGAGTCAGAGGAGGGTAAGCACCATATGGGTGGAATTAATAGGTCTCATTGGGTTAAGTCTCGAAAGAGCTGTTTAATAAATAGCCAACCGTAAATACCTGTCTCATTGTCTTGATTATATGACACCACTGCCTTTACACCTGGTGTCATTGCTTCTTGCTTTAAAAAGGAGCACACAACCCAAATATTTATATGAGTCCTCATTGCAAACAAAGTTTAGGAATGGGAAATGTAGAGCTGGGAATTTGGCCCTTTGGTGAAAAAAATGATGATTCCTATTAATGGTAGTTCATTTAAAATATTCTGTATTAGGAAAAACGATTTATTTTGTTCCTTTAAGTCTGGGACTAGAGGAGATTAGAAATCATGAATTTTGTAAGTATTAGGGCCTCCAAGGTGGGGTGCAAGGAGGTTCATTTGGAAGGAATATATTAAAACTTTTAAAAACTTTAATATAAGAAAGACATTAAGCTTAAAGATGCAGACTAACAATCGTGTATTCATATTATATAATGCGCGTGCATGTCCTCCACCCCTTTGTTGCTGGGGGAACATAGCCTGTTAACCACTGTCAGTAACATTCTTTCAACAACCGGAATGCTTTTTCTTTTAACTTACGGTTTCCTCCTAAGAGTTCTTTCAGACTGTTAATATTCCATTTAAGTTTTATTTTATAGGTAGTTCTATTGTCTGTATGTTTTACTTTAGAAGCTTGAGTGTAAATTTCTTGTTACATTGTTGATACTGGGGATGGAAATACAAAAAATACAGAATTTCATTTGATAACCTGTATTTTGAATTTGGAGACAAGCCCAGCGGTTGGTTTAATGTATGTGATCTGAAGTGCAGTGATGTGTAAAAGGGTGCAGTGGAAATACTTGAAGATAATCTACACATTGGAGTGTAATATGTATAGCATATGTAAAAATTAGTTTGTACTGTTACTCCTTGAAGTCTGTTTTTTTTTGTTTGTTTTTTGCCAAGCTTATGTTCTCTTAAGATTAATAAGACGACATATTCAGTAAATCCCTTGGGAAGTGGCATTTATTCAGAATATCAACCTCCTACTAGTGCTGGGGGCGGGTGGCGGCGGTGAGGGTGGTTAGTATTTACCATTCAGTTAAATCTCATGTGCCATGTGCCTTCTACACCCCTGTACTGTGAGAGGTGATGCTCAGAATAACAGTTGCAAAGCCCGTTAAAATTACCACTTGTCAGATTTTCTCTTCATAGTGCTGATCTCTCCATGACTTACGTTTTAGGAATCACCACCTCTCTTCTAATTTTCTGACTAATGTTCTGTTAATGAGAGAATTGTCTTAACCCTAAAACCTGCATTCCCTGAGCATTCTAGACAGAGGGTTTATTTTATGTGGTGGAACGATGATTTTTGAGATTGTTTTGATTTAAAATATATGTCAAATGAGGTAATGTACCGATGGCCAAGGTATGGGTAATTTGAGTGCAATTCGCCAGAATCCGTGCCCCTTGGAGGGAGTAAACATTTCAGGACTGCAGCTAAAACATTGACTTACACTCTCCTGAAGCCCAGGCACCTGGCTTACACAGTGCACTAACATAACTGAAGTCTGGGTTTGATCACTGTACAGTTGACAAAGAAGCAGTAAGCAGAATGGTTAAAAAGTAGTTCTGGAGCCAGACTGCTTAAGGTCAGGTTCTGGTTGTGTCACCCACTTTAAAGCCTTGGGCAAGCTCTTCTACCTGGTAACTAGTGCCTCATTGTTTCCTCTGTAAAACAGGGGTGGTGATAGTAGAATCTGTATCAGAGAGGTTGTTGTGAGGATTATATGCGTTAATACGGGGTAAGTGGTTAGAACAGTGCCAGCTTTATAAGAAACATCAAGTGTTAGGTGTTATTATCTGTTGTTCAGAATCAGGGAAGTACTTAGTTACACAGTAGTGTTTTATAGCTGTTGAGAGCTGAATTGCCGGCATTGATCACAAGTGAGACTGGAAAAACAACCCGGGGAACACTCTTATGTTAAGTCAGTAGCACCATCTCAAACATACATCCAACTTCTGAGGGCAACGAACACAGGACATAGCTTTTTACTTAAAGGAATCTTAACAGTCTCAGCGGAGTGCTTGAGGTAGTCACTAACCAGTTAATTGAAACTGGCTTTTACGAAATAAAAACACTTGCCATTCTTTGGCTAGTCTTTTCCACGTTGTAGTTGACATTGTGGCCTGGCAGCTTTAGTAACCTGTCCACCCCTCCCTTCTTGTTAATACCAGAACAGAACTAGTTTCTCAGTACATATTCCTGGGCCCTATCCAGTTTGTTGGAAACATTTAGAATGTAAATTTGTAAGCTAATTAGTTTCTTCTAAGTATTATGTTTTCTTTAGATGATATGCCTGTACTAATACAGAAAAATTATCCATGAAATGGATATGAATACAATGGACATATTTATCGTATAGCTTTTTGTACCTGTTAGTAATTCAGAAAGGTTGTGTTATTTTGACCATTCTTTCAGCCAGATTGTAAGTTTCCTGATGGTGAGAATCTGTGTCTTTCTGTTTTATCTCCTATGGCACTCTGAATGTGCCTTGGCTGTGTTTCTTTAATAAACTGTTGGTTGCTGAACTGGGTGGTATGATATGCGTTCATTCTAGTTCTGTGATTTTGAAACTTGGGAATGTTTAACAGATTGAAGGAGAGAACATCGTGTGTGGTACCTTGTAAGTGTGCACTGAGTTGAAATTCTTTTGATTATTTAGCTTTCTACTTTCTGTTTTTATCATTGGTGTGATTATTGAGAAGGCAGCTGGAATTAAGTAATTCTAGTTCATCTCCTAAGATAGACATAAAACTTGTCTTGTGACTTATTTTTACCCATAATTGGATTAGAATTGAATTGAGCAAAATATAATTTGGTTTTCTAGATGTTAAATGTCTTATATGTCTAATACTTTGAATATCACTCCTCTAGAACAGGTTCTTTGTTTTATTTAGGATCAGGGACAGGTTAGAAAATATTCAAATATTCATAGGATAATAAAAAACTGCCCTGAAGCAAACGTGAGGAAGAAGAAATAGTGGTAGCCAGAATCTTGGTTGTTAATGACCAGTGTAGAAACACAGTGGGCATGCAGTGAAATTGGCTGGCAGCTGGTTCCTTCTCAGTACGGGCACAATTTAGAAAATGTTACATTAATGCAGCTGAAATTTTGTGCAGATCATGTTATTTGAAAAATAAATGTAAACACTTTTTGCAGTGCCTTAGGAAAGTCATCGTTCAAACTAATATTTTTGTAATAAACTAGTTATTCCCAGTTTTTTTTTTCTTTTTTTTTTTTTTGAGATGGAGTATCACTCTGTCGCTCAGGCTGGAGTGCAGTGGCGCGATCTCGGGTCACTGCAACCTCCGCCTCTTGGGTTCAAGCAATTCTTCTGCCTCAGCCTCCGTAGTAGCTGGAATTATGGGGCACCCCCCACCATGCCCAGCTAATTTTTGTGTTTTAGTAGAGATGGGTTTCACCATGTTGGCCAGGCTGGTCTCGAACTCCTGACCTCAAGCAATCCACCCGCCTTGGCTTCCCAAAGTGCTGAGATTACAGGCGTGAGCCACTGTGCCTGGCCCCTAATTATTCCCAGTTTCTTTCAGGTAAAGTTTTTTTCACTTTTTAAATTTATCATTTTTTTAGATCAGATCAGTCAGTGGACAGTTGCACTCTACTTCCCCATCCCTCATTAAAGTGGAATTACACTAAAAAAGGTTTTCAATTCCTTTGTAGCCTGGACATTAGTAATAGCCTACCTCTAAGGCTGTAGAGTAAATAGTATAGTAAGGGAAATGTCCCTCCCTCCCCCTACACACCTTTTTTCCAGTTATCTCTTCTTTTTATTGATTTGTCTGCCTCCAGGACCCTAGGGAGGTGTTTTTGTCCTAAGGAGGTGAACTCCTGAGGGTCCTATTGAAGAAATAGGGCGACCTATCCACCCAACTTCCTCTTTACTGATATCTTCACATGCTTATTGCCTTATTCATTTTCTAAAGTGTGCCAGCGTCTTTCAGAAGTCAGCTAAATTAGTGCAGTTGCTCATCCATCAGACAGTTTTGTTATAAAATATGTGGCTATAAAAGATTGAATAAATTTATTAGGTTGTAATTTCATTAATGTGTATTTTATATTTAAATATTATTTTAAAAAATGTACAGTGGTTATCTGATCTTGGCCCAGGCCTCTTCAATTTCCAGTGTACCTGATGTCTCTTTATCAACTGTTTTTCTGAGGTGTATCTCAGCCTGGCCTTGGGTACTCCCCTAGGTAAGAGTCATAATTCAGGTTAAAAGAGGTAAGAAAAAAAAAAGCTTTTGGCTTTTGTAATCTTGTTTTTTTTTTTTTCTTTCACATTAGCAAAAGACTGTTGAAGTAGAGAGCATTTTGCCCAGCTCACTCGGATTCTTTGCTGGCATGCCTTCAGTTTCAGTTGTCATCCAGAGAAGTCAAAGGAAATGCTGCTTGGGGATGAGCATGTAATTACGATTAACTTTCCCTACTTCGTTGTCTCTTTGTGGTAAAAGACTGTCACAAGTGCTATTCAAACTATAGGTATTTTTTTTTAGATTTCTAAAAAGTATATTTTGTCTCTGAGGGCCTCCTGTCTTTGGACTAGTTTGTCTTTTTCCAGACCCCAGAAAGGCTGGGCCACCTTTTCTTCTTTGAGCAGGTTGGCAACAGTGGTCACAAATAGCAGAGGAGCTGAGATTCTAGAGAGCTATCCTACCACTGCTTCTCAGATGCCAGTGTGGAAACAGCCTCTTCTTTTTTGTTGAATTAGCTTGGAACAGCTCTCTAATCTCTGAAGAGTGAGGAAAAACTGTGTTTTTAAGTTTCAAGGCTAAGGCACTGTGTTCTCTTTTCTCCCTGTTCCTGCTGCTGTTCTCCCCCAACTCACATGAACGCATACTTAACTTTCAGTGTATGTGGACAGTAGGGTTGCTAAATTCATGTCAATATTTGTGGCATTCCTACATGTTAGGCATTTGGTTTACATTTAACTTATGAAACAAATGTTTAGGCTTTTATAAGCCAGGAACTTTTCCAGATATTGGCAATAATGAACTTTTCAGAAGTTACAGTCTAATAGACAGGCAAACTATTCCCATAGCATGCTATAGTAGCAACATGTAAAATGTGCTGTGGAACCACAGACTATTAAAAGCCTAAGTTTTGGGAAATCAAGAAAGCCTTAGGGATGTTTAGTGATGAATGCATAGGTTAGTGGAGGAAACAACTTGTATCAACTCAATTTGAGAAGCTTAGCTGTGAATAAGAGGAGAGAGAAATAGATTTTAGTAGGGAGAAGTTGGGTCAGGAAGAGTGTGTGTGTGTGTGTGTGTGTGTGTGTGTGTGTGTGTGTGTATTTAAAAATCCAGTCAATGGAAAAAGGTTGAAGATGCAGGCAACGTCCTTGTTTTGTCCTTGGCAAGTTCCTCTTATGGTTGCAAGATGGCTGCCACAAGTTCAAGTGTCACAAGAAAATATGACTTAAGTTTCCTGGAAGAAGACACACTTTTTTTTTTTTTTTCCTAGGTTGTTGCTATCAGTGAGAAAAATTTTTCCCTAAAGCCTCATAGCAGATGCTACCTTGTCCCTCTCTCCTCTCTTCATAGGTCAGCATTGCACACAAGCCAGTGCCTAAATGAGTCAAGGTCAAGGGGAATAGTACCGCTGTGATTGGCATAAATGGATCGTGATTCATCTTAGGTTGTGGCTGGGGTCTACTTCCTTGGAAGTTGATGGCCTCGGGTTGAGAGTAGATACGTGAGCACAGTCAGGGTTTGGTTAGAAAGTGAGGGGGTGAATGGTGTTGTGCAGTTAACAGTGACATCCTTGTCTACTAGTTCTGCCACCACTACACTTAGATACAAACTTCGGAGGAGAAAAAGAAAATGTGCTTGCCTTTGGATTTGGAATTTTAGGTGACTTTTTTTCCTCTTATATGCCATTTCCTTCTATGATCAAGTAGCACTTTTACAATCAAATCAAATCAATGGTTTATTTAAAAATTATTTAAAAATTGAAAATGCCAATTTTGTCAATAAATATATATAGAAGAAATAATTTTTTTTTTCAATGCTTTAAACATTTCAAAAGTTCCCTGCCATTGTCTTATTCCTTTCAGGGAGAGGAGAACATATAATTATATCTTGTAGTTTCTGATTATGTGTATACTAAGAGGACTACTCTGTCCCTCAGTCCATAGTGCACACCCACCTGTGGTCTCTATGGCTTGCACTGAGTGCTGAGGCCAGCCTGGCTCAGATAGAATTGTTAGTTCATTGGCTAGATGGGTCAGGATTCTTTAGAATGCAAATTCTTGAATCAGGAGTACAAACAGGAACATCTTCCCTTTTCTACACACTCATTCCCCTCCTCGAAGGGAAAGCTGTCCCGTAGTTAGCTTATTCGTCATTCTTTTCAGACTTTAAAATTAATGCCACCTTAAGTTTATACAGTATTCTTGTAGTACTCCTAACTTTTCTGTTTTGCTGTATGTGTACATTGTAGAAAGATTAAATCAAGCTAATTAACATGTCCATTACCTCACTTACCTTTGTGTGTGTGTGTGTGTGTGGTGAGAACCTTTAAATCTACTCTCTTAGCAATTTTGAAATACAGTAGGATCCCCACCCACTGTTTTACTTTCAGCAGTTTGTTACCTGTGGTCAGATGAAGTCCAAAAATATTAAATACAATAGATATTTTGAGAAAGAGACAAACATCACATTCACATAACTTTTATTACAGTATATGGTTATAATTGTTGTATTTTATTATTGTTAATCTCTTACTGTGCTTGATGAAAAAGCATAGTATATATATAGGGTTTGTTACTATCTGCAGTTTCAGGTATCCACTGGGGTTCTTGGAATGTATCCCCTGTAGATAAGGGGGACACCTGTGTATGTTGTTACAAGTATGATCACTGTGTAAAAGCACTTTTGTATTTCATTCTTGTTCCTTCTCAATCGCAGGTCTGGGTGCTTTCTGTGCTGTGAAAGGCAGACAAATAATGTAAATCCTAAACACTTGAGTGTTGTAAATTTACAAAATGAGAATTGCTCAATGGTTGTTTCTTTTTGAGAGTAACAAATAGACTGTGATAAATGGCCAGAGTAGGCTTCTGAACTGGTATTAGTTTTTTGGATAGAATTTAGAAAGACTTGTACTACCAATATAATTTTTGTCTCAGATAAATGCAATAGTATTTCCCTACTCAGTAGTTCCTCAGATGCTATTTAAACTGAGCTATATTTCAGCTTTATTTATAGGCTGCAAATTGTTCCTTATTTGGCTGAATCTTGTGGTTATGATATAATGAAAAGTAGTTACTGAGATCACTGGTGCAAATCTGTAGCTTGGAAATCCTCATTTTAGAAATGATTATTTTGACTCCCAAGTTAAATAGTAAAAAATAGACTTATGTTTTTAGTTTTAGCTATGTATATTGAGAAACTGTGGCCCTACGGTGGCTGTTAGGGATTAGTGGATTAGGTTGTTTTTAAATAAGACATTTCAGTTTAGTATCTCTACTTGAATAAAACAGTTTCAAATTTGTGATTCATATGATATACTGATTGCCCTACGGTAACTTCTGTTTTATTTAATTAAAATTGTTAACATTCTTTTTTATACTCTTAAGCACCTCCCTCCACCCTCACCCCCCTTTTTGACTCAAATTTTATTGTGAGTTGGTGTATAGTTAGGAATTTGAAGAGCACTTTTTTTGTTTATTTTATCTTTTCGGTTACTATGCATACTATGTGTGTCAACTCTTAAACCTGCAGGGGGTCATTTTGGCCATCAACTAGTTTTAGGGCTTTCGCCTCCTAAAGAATATGAATTATGGTTGTAATTTTTACAGTTTAAAAAACAAGATGGCATATGAAGAATCTTTATTTCATTATGAAAATAGAACATGGATGCTTAATCCTCTGTATTGAAAGTAACTTGTAGTGAAATACTTCCTAGTGTTCTCTTCTTCTAGTTGTCCATATGTAGTATGTATAACTATAGACCTTGATGATTTAAGTTGAGCACAGTTTAGTGTCAGGTTCCTTTCAGTGATGCATGAGATTGGTTATATGATCTAGTGAGTGTTATTTAGAAATTAATTCACCAGACCCGGGTGTGGTGGCTCATGCCTGTAATCCCAGCACTATGGGAGGGCGAGGCAGGCAGATCACCTGAGGTCAGGAGTTCGAGACCAGCCTGGCCAACATGGTGAAACCCTGTCTCTACTAAAAATATGAAAATTATCTGGGCGTGGTGATGCTCGCCTGCAATCCCAGCTACTTGGGAGGCTGAGGCATGAGAATTGCTTGAACCTGGGGGACAGGTGTTACAGTGAGCCAAGATTGTGCCACTGCACTCCAGCCTGGGTGACAGAGTGAGACTCTGTCTCAAAAAAAAAAAAAAAAGAAAGATTCACCAAATATTGATTAATAAGGGGAAATTTGTTGTTCCACAAATGCCCATTTAATCTGTTTGTGTAATAGTGTTCCTTCTCATCACACACAGGATACTTGGGGTATTTCTTGAACTCCTTGTTCTTCCATCCCTCCTCAGTTTTACCTATTCTTCCCCCACATACCACTTGAGTCATGTAACATGAATTGAAATGTAATATTTGGACCTGGGAGCAGAGACTTTTTCAGTCTTTAAATTATTGCCCTTCTCAAGCCTTTAGTTTCCTTATCTGTAACAGAAGCGGGTCATCCTGGATGAATGTGCTTTTTTAATTGGAAATTCTTTAGGTCTGTGAAATTAGCCATTATTTTGGGCAGACTTGTGCAATTTTAATATTTTCATTTTATCTTGAGATCCTTATTAAGCTTAACTGAATTTTTATTATAGGAAGTGTTAAGCCAGGTAATTTACAGAAGATCACATGGTTGATGATATCAGTAGAGCGTTAATCTGATTATCCACAGCTGCTGGTAGCCTTAAAATAACCTAAAACTTGATTTCCTGTTGTCCCTAATAATTCTGTGTGTTTAACACTTCATATTTTTCAGAGGGCTTCGTGAGACAGATAGGGTGGGAGCTACCTACTTAGGCTATCTATTCAGTTTCACACATGCACATTTGCCCTTGTTCACATGGCTAGACTTGACTTGATGGGTCTTTCCTCCTCATTTTCCTATAGCAGGGTTCTCTCATTTTTTTTAAACACCAAGTCTTCTTTTTATTTTAGATTTCTATAAAATTTAATTTATTCTTTAGTAATTTATTGTGAAGAATCTGCTAAGTTTTAGAGCCCATCAACTTATCATGTAGTGACAAACCAATTATCTGCTGATGACTGTAGGAAATATCTACTCTAAAGGGGGAAAATGTAATTGGCAATCTTTGGGAGATTTCACGACAATCAAAATAATTGTGAACTATCTTTTTAACCAAGGCACATTTTTTGTTTGTTTATAGTTATTTATTCCAACATTTTTCTGATTATAAAGTAGTATGTATTTATGGTTAAGAATTTGAATGCAGAAACAAAAATTACCTAGATCTTACCATGCTAATATTTTAATTATATATCCTAACAAGGCATGGTGATGGTGATGAGGGTGGCAACCAAGATTTCTGGACATACTGAATTGGTGATGCCTATTAGACATACAGGTAGTAATTTGAGTATGCAGTTGGCTATATGAGTATGAAATTCAAGAGAGAAGTCAAGATTGGACCAAATACGAATATGAGAGTGTTCAGCAAGTCAGTGAAGTGATCGTGTCTCCATTGTGGGTCCAGATGTGTTCACCTAGGGAGTGTGTGCAAAGAAGAAACCAGAGGATTGTGGTATCCTGGAAGCCAAGTGAAGACAAGGTTTCAGGAAAGGAATGATCAACTTGTTAACTATTGCTGAGATGCTGTGTAAGAAGACTGAACATTTGCCATTTGGTGATGTGGAAGCTGTTGAGCTTCACTAAATGGTTTCCACGGAGTGGAGGGGAAAAGGCTTGTTTGAGTGGCCTCAAATGAAATTGGGAAGAGAGGGAAGAGACAGTGTGAGTATAAATGGTTCCTTTTGGAAATTCAGTACAGGAGAGCAAAGAATTATAGATCGAGGGGTATAAGGAGGGTCAATAAATTTTAAGAGAGGATCCATTATTCATCAGTTCCATTAAAGGCAAATGCAAAATTTTATTATGTGCGTGGTTTTCTGGTGGAAGTTCAATAGATTTCATCAGATTCTGTAAGGCAGAGAACCAGTGCTCTAGTGATTTGGCAGTTCAACAGCTCATTTTTCTGGAGGATACCCTTAAAATTTTAACTGATTTAAATTAATATTCACCAGTATTAAATAGTATGTGTAACATCGTACCCAAACAAGATGTCTTTCTGTATTTTTTTCTTTCCTTCTCTTAGTTTTGTTAAAATCTTTTTAGTTCAGAATATTCTCTATCAAATGCCTTTTCTATTTGAAGACTCTCCTAAAAAGTTATATTAATACTTGCAACCAAGTGATCAACCATTTACATTTAACTAAATTTTGCTACTTTTGTTTACTATCTATTTAAACATTTTAAGTTTGTGTTTTTAGTCAAAGTAATACTTGTTGGTTTTTGTTTGTTTGTTTTTTTAAGTACAGAGAACAACCTTATCTGCTGCACCTCACCCCCTAATTCTGCTTCAGAGTTATGTGCAATGTTTACTGGTTTCTGCTATTTAATTTTTTTGGTGGATACCTCTGTCTAAAATGTTTACACCTCAGTTTATTTATCAACCTAAGATATTATCTGTTGACTTGGTATTACTGTGGGTGATGATTTCGTTTACTCTACTATCCCCCCACATGTATTTGTAATCTTATTATTCCACTTCTACTGTTGATCACCTCTGCAACTCCAGCTCTAAACACTTTTTTTCTATTTCTTTTTCTTGTCTCATTAATCTGAGGCAGTGCCTTTTGACTCTGCACATTGTAAGTTGTATGGAAATACCATTCCCATTCTTCCTGATTCTGTCTCCCAGCCTGCTTTATTTTGTCAAGGTTAATAATATTTACATTCTATGCTATAGTTATAATTAAGTCTCTCATTATTTGTCTATTCTAAAAGTTGAAAAAAGTCACAGAGATGTAAAGTGACATGCTTAACTGACAGTGGAGTCCTCAAGTTATAAAGTGCTATTAATCTTTTGTGCTGTCCACCCATAGGTATCCCTAGAGCAGCGCTAGCTGCTGTTTGGCAGTTTCTGGAGAAGTCTTTATGTCCTTACTTGTGCTCCCTGATAACAACTCTGTCCTCATCTTCAGCCCCTGATTGTGGGATTTTAGGGGTATCTGAGATGTAAGCATTTAGAAAGTGGTGTAGACAAACCGTGGAAGAGGCTGAGTTGGGAAATTTTACGTGTTGGGGGAATTTTCATTCTTTGCTTTTTTCCCCTCCCCTCTTTCTTGTGGGAGCCTTAACTGGGATAGTAACAATTGCACCCGCCTCTCTGCCCATTAGTTGCTCATCTTAGAAAATCTACAGTTAACATATTTAGTGGCGAAATACTTAACACTTTCCTTATATGGGAATGAGATGAGGATACCCACTGTCACCACTCTCACTATTCGGTCATTGCAATAAGGGAAGAAAAAGAAATAAGCATAAAGACGGGAAAGAAGTAAAATGGTCTCTGTTTGCAGATGACATGATTGTGTGCATAGAAAATCCTATGGAATCCACAAACAGCTATCCGAACTAGTAAGCAAATTAAGGTTGCAGAATTCACGGTTGATATTTAAAACGATAATTTTGTTTTTACACAATAGCAACAAAACAAAACAAAAGAGAAAATGAAGTTTAAAAAAACCAACTCTGTATGCAGTAACTATAAACATTAAATGCTGAGGAATATAGCAAAAGCTTCACAAGCCCTCTACTAAAAAGATCATAATAATGCTGAGATAAAGAATGCCTAAGTAAATGAAGAGAGATGCCATATTCATATACTGGAGGACTCAGTTTTTTAGATGTTGGTTCTCCCCAAATAGATCTATATTTTCATTGCATTCCTAATCAGAATTCAACTAGCTCTTACAGTAGAATTTAATAAGAATTAAAAAGCCCAGAAGAATTAGACATTTCACAAAAGAAGGTATACAAATGGCTAATAAGCACATGTAAGGAGGCTCAACATCCATTACTTATCAAGAAATGCAAAGTAAAACCACAGTGAGATACCACCATACATATCAGGATAGGCAGGATTAAAAAGATGACAGTACCAAGGGTTAATGAGAATGTAGAGCACGGCTGTCCAACCTTTTGGCTTCCTTGGGCTGCATTGGAAGAATTGTCTTGGGCCACAAATAAAATACACTAACACTAACGATAGCTGACAAGCTAGGAAAAAAAAAAGGTCCATGCATGATTTTCATGCTATCTGCCACCGCCGATGAAACAAAACAGTCCTCACGTTCAAAGGGATGGACACGTCTTACGTAGAGCATTCTAATTAATTGCCATACATTGGAATTGTCATACACTGCTGGTAGCAAGATAAAATGATACAGTCACTTTGGAAAACTATTCAGTAATTTCTAAAAAGTTAGGCATGTGCCTATAATATGACCCAGCTCTTCTACTCCTAGGTGTTTACCCAAGAAAAGTGATACACGAAATATATGTCCATGCAAATGTTCATCAAAGCTTTATTACAATAATCCCAAATTCAGAACAATGCAAGGGTACATCTTTATTATAGTAGTCCATCAGAGTCAAATGGATAAACAAATTGTGGCATATCCATGTAATGGAGTGTTATTTTGTAATACAAAGGAACATCTGATGTATGCAACAACATGAATGAACCTCAGAAACATTAAGAAGTAATGTTTCTGAGTAATGAAAGAAACCCGAAGTAAGAGTACATAATATGTGATTCTATTTGTATAAAAAGAAAATGCACATTAATCCATAGTGACATAAAGCAAATTATTGGTTACCTGGAATCAGGCACAGGGAAGGGTACATGTCAATGCCCTTGGAGGAAGGGGCGTGTGAAATTTTGAGGACTGATGGAAATTTTGTCTTGGTTGGGGGGGGTGGTGGTGGTTTTATGCACATATACAGTTGTTAAAGGTCATTGTATTGCATGCTTTAAATAGATATGGTTTATTCTATATAAATCATACCTCAAAGTTGCTTAACAAATAGTGACTGACAAAGGCATGACAGAAAATATGTATTCAGTAAAAAAGCTTTATTGATGTGGACCAATTCTAGTTACTAGTTCACATTTTCATAGCAGATAACAATCCTATTCAGAATCAAGTAGCAGCCAAATATGTTAAGCAAATAAAAGACTTCATTGTTTCTTAAGCTCTTTGTAGTAAGAAGGTATAACAGTGGAATCTGTTAGTCTTGTTTTGGTTCTGGAGCTTGGATTTCCTGTGTTCCTTCTCATCTTTGTTCCAGTATTTACTTCCAAGCTCTTCTAAGCTTATGACCTGGAATTATCAAAGTTGGTTTTCATCATTTGGGAAGTAAAACACCATTTATTTTTGAGCTTTGAGGAGTCTATAACTTTAACAAACTTCCCTAACAGTTCACAGTCTTCTCCTCTAAGCTTAACTTTAGTTTCATAATTTCGAATATGGATTTAGACCCAGCAACTATAACAAAAGGTCCATGACTTAACTATATAGTTTTTAATGTTAGGAAAAGTAAATGAAAAATCTTGCCTGTATGGGACCTCACATGATGTTGTAATAATCATGAGCTGCAAAAATTGTAGTGATTCCCTCCCACCCCATTTTTAAAAAAGCGGTGGCATCTTTAGTTATATAACAGTTCTAATGTAAATTACCAGGTTATTTACTCCTCTAACAATGTCATCATTTTTGGTGTTGCTGTAAGCTCCTCTGCTACTTACCTTAGTTCAAACTTTTTTTTTTGTTTCCCATTTTCATTCAGCCTTTTCAAAATATATTTGTCAGTGTACCTTATCCAATAATACTTAAGGATTTTCTTAAGGCTGAGAGAAATAACTTTAGAAAATGTGACTATCAAATACAGATGTTTAAACAGTTATGATATTTAAGCCTGTAAACGGTTAAAGAAAATAACAGCTTGGTCATGGAGTTACTCTTCCAGGCTCTCCTGGCAGGTGAGTCGGGTCTTAGGACCTTGGGAAGAATGTTGTCTTAAATTACTGTCCTGAATTAAGTTTCCACAGACTTTCTGATGTTAAGTTTTTTTCAGAATTACAGAATGATGAAAAGCCATGTCTTTAGAATTTTTCTTATGGGAATCTCCACCTTAAATTTAAAATCATTTTTAAAATAAAGGCCCTTAAAGGAGAGTTAAGGGTGTAGACACAGGATACTGTTGGATCTTTGCCATCCACTTGAAAAATTGAATGTAAGGTTCACCTAATTTCAGAAGAACACTCAAACTTTGGGTATCTTAGGTGTATTGTAACAGGAACTGACTGGCTTAGGGGAGTTTGAAGCTTGGGCTTAGGGAGGTTAGCTTTCTTAGCTTAGGGAGCTCAGAAAGATGTCATAGTAGAGGAATTTCCCTGTCTTCTGAGCCATTGAATACCCTGCCCTGAAATTGAGTGAGGTGAAAGTAATTGACAGGTTGATGAAGGTGATGTTAGGCAGAAACAGTGAGGAGGCAAAGGTGGAAATTCCAAATAGCCACTAGAAATGCGAGAAGGCAGGTTTTGAGGAATGGACTGGGCTGCAGATCAGGGCACTGCTTTTATAAAAAGGCTGGCACTTGCCCATATGCACCGTTCCTGATGTCCACTGGCCACCACTTGTGGCCAACCACACACACACACACCCTTGACTAACAGAACTATTTGTGAAATAATTGTTCTCATTAATTGAATATTATGGTTAAATGAAAATTGACCAGGAAAGTAGTTTTTGTTTGAAGACTTACTTCAAATAAATACCTTTCCAGATGTCCACATTCCTGTGTAAATTGATTATAATGATCATTATTATCTTTTTTACTTGAGGCATCATTCTCATTTTGAACATATCTAGGTTATGTTCTTGAAGGGACAGTCTTTTATTTGTGTTTTCTTGGCACTTAATGCATCATATGGCCCAGCTAACACTTGTAGGAAGAACATTTGTCATTTTTCAATGAAGATAAAAAATGTATGGTAGCCTTTTTTTAAAAAAAAAAATTTGAGGTGTTATTTATTGTACCCTTCTACATTGAGAATTAAAACACAACATATAATCTATTGAAACTTGAGGTAGATAAAATTCTAGCTCTTTTTCACACATGGAACTTTATACAAAGTTATCTTCTGACTTTCTGTTAGATGAAATATTGTAGACCTGGTTCCATGATCACATGTTCACCTTAGGTTTTTAAGAGTTTTTTTTCCTTTAAATAAATTATATAATGTGATAAAGCCACAGCATCTTGTTTTCTGTATGATTTTGAAAGCAAAAATGTCAAGTAGTAACTATATCAAAACTTAAATTATGTGCATTCAGCAGAGAGCAGAAGTTATTTCCAAATTGAGGTGTAGGAAGCTTTAAAATGCTTATTCATCCTTTATCAGCACTAGTGAATGAATTGGCAATTTCCTAAGGTCAGCAAACTTTTATTTTGAATGATAACAATAGTATTATTTCTAAGAATATAGAAAAATGCAGGCGTAACACAGGAGTCCAAATTTAGTATTAAGTTAATAGAATTTTAGATTCTGGAAGGCTGGAGTGTTTTTAGGTTTGAGAAATGTTAGAAGGTGCATGATGGATGTTAGAGGACATGAAGGTGCCGTTCTTGTCTGATGTAGTTGTTACGTAGTTATTGGGTAAAAATGGATTGCTGACCACTTAGATGGTTTCCAGGATTAGGAGAAATGATTTTCAGAACACTTCTGTAGTGCCTCATGCTAATGAAAGCAAAAGGCAAGGTGTTTTCATGACTGTAGGTCATATATATTGGCCATGTTTATAGTTGCCAGTCCTTGCTCTTTTTTGGCCTGTTGTTGCAGGTATGTCTTTGACTTCCAGAGGGATGAGCTGGCCTCTTTTTTGTCCCTCAAGTCGCTGGAAAAGCTGTCCAAGAAATTTTCTCTGAATGCTTGGCTCAGTGGCATTGTTCCACATATGTTGGAATAGGTGACTAGGCTGTGTTTGGAAGAAGATCTAGATTGGGGTCCCCAACCTCCGGGTTGCACAGCAGGAGGTGAGTGGCTGTCCAGTGAGCATTACTGCTTGAGCTCCACCTCCTGTCAGATCAGCAGTAGCATTAGATTCTCACAGGAGTGTGAACCCTATGGTAAACTGTGCATGCAAGGGATATAGGTTGCGCAGTCCTTATGAGACTCTAATGCCTGATGGTCTGAAACAGTTTCATCCTAAAACCATTGCACCCGCCCATGTGGGGAAAATTTGTCTTCCATGAAACCCATCCCTGGTGCCAAAAAGTTGGAGACTGCTGATCTAGATGATCTCTGTTTTGTTTCTGTATTAAAAATAAGAAATTACTAATTCAGCAGCATGTACCTGTGTTGGACCAGGTCCAACAGGTATGCTTGGGTTATGGCAGGGAACAAATCAGACAAAGTTGTGACATTTAAACAGAGAACTAAAAGGTGAGGCATTAGCTGGCTGAAGAGTAGAAGTCCAGATAGTGGCCACAGTGTATGTGGAGGCCCTGAAATCAGTAGGAGCTTGGGGCCTGTGGAGCAGGAAGGAAGAGACAGTGAGGCTAGAGAATAGCAAGAAAGGGGGGCAATGGCTTGAGATAAGTCTGGATTAATGGATGGAAAACCCAACTACATAGGACTTGAGGACGTGTTAAGGATTTTGAAGTGATATGCCATTTATTTGGAAGATGACGTAGGGTTTTTGTTAGGAAGAGAATACATTGGAGGGGGTCAAGAGGGGCTTTAGGGGTATAAGGCTTTTGTTAATATTATCACCACTAATAACAGCTAATATTATTTGTTGCTGTAGACCAAGCACTGTGCTGTGAACCCTTTTCCCACATCATCTCATATAAACTTCAGAACATCTCAGCGAGGTGGTGTTTTCTCTACTTTATAGATGAGGGAACCGAGACAGTGAGGTTAAGCAACTTGGCCAAGGTCATATAGCTAGTAGTGGCAGAGCTGGGATTTGAACCCAGACAGTGTAAGATTGTAAATTCTGAGACTCTAAATCCTGTGGTGTTTGCCACTGGGCCTGTATTTTTCATTGCGTAGGTGATGCGCCTATGTGGGTCTTGAAATTGAGTGGATCGCAACTGGGATTTAAAAAAAAAATTGAATGGAGTAGAAAGTATCAGACTACTTGCAAGTAATAAGCATAAATATTGATATGTGAAACTTTATTTTATGTAAGTAAACTTGTACATTTGTGAGCTTGTGAGCTGTTATAGAAGGTTAAACAGCATTTTTCCAGGCAGGAGCTGATGATGGCTTGGATTAGAGTTGTGCTGATGCCGATGGAGAGAGGTGGACCCCAGTGCTAAGAGGCAGAGGCAGCAGGACTCAGTAAGAGATTGGATAGAGGTGCCCAGCTGAGGAAGGAATGAGGAGTGAGTCCCAGATTTCTTGTATGAACAGCATCAGTCATGGTGCATGCTGTGCTCAATCCACTTGAAGGGAGACTGATCCTTCTTAGAGGGGTCCTCCTGGATGGCTGTTTTACTACCTGAATTTCTAGTTTCTCTCAGCTGCAGCTGACAGGACTTGGGGTTGGCATCTCGCCCAGGGGCAGCAAATCTGTAAGCTAGCTCTCAACCCATGAGATGATGTGTTACTGAAAACTGCCTAAACAGATGTTGAGCCAATAATTAATTCTCTGGAATTTGAGGTGAGTAGTCAGCCAGCTGGTGGCAGGATGAGAAGCGGTGGGCCACAGATGTATGTAGTTGACTACTAGCAGCTCTAGGGTGAAGGTGTAGGAATTATTTGTGTGGAGTCACCTTGAGATTCAAAGAACCTTTAGATTTCCGTTTCTAAGGCCCAGAGTCATTCTCTTTCTGAAGCTCAGGTCCAATTTTTTTTTTCTTGCTCTCTCTGCGGTCCATATCTGTATTCTCAAGCATAACCTTTTAGTCATATCCAGCTCCCCACATTGCTGCAGTGAATCTCCATACTGTGCGTTCAGCTAGTACTAACTGGAGACAGAATGATGGAGTAGTTAAAAAAAATGTCTGGTGGCAATTCTCCATCTTTGTCTTATTGGTCTTTTGATGTTGGCCAAGATACTTCTTACTGAGCCTTGGTTTCCACATCTGTAAAATTGGGATGATAGAGGAGCATCACAGGGCTGTTTTGAGGCATAAACGAGAGAAACTCTATCTAGCACTTAGCTCAGTGCCTGGTGAAGAATTACAGCTTAATAATCTTGCCATTGATAGTTAACATCTTTAGGATAGTCTCTGGAGAGACTTAAACGTGTTCATTAACAAACATTATGGGAAGGAGCCAGCATAGAGGGAGAGGTTGGATATCTATGAGACAGGGTCTTAAGAGAAGGTATTGGATCCCAGAGAAGCAGGCATGGCACGGGATTAAGAGAATACATTACAGATTGTTTTCAACAGAAGAGGGAACCTGATGGAGGTGGTAGGAGGACTGTTTTTTCTGAGGTTGGGTCCCAGTCATGGTGATTTGCTAGGAGAGATGCTGATATCAGGAGGAGAAAAGTGGCAAGGTGGAAAGCTATTATAGAGAACAGGAGACAGGGACATACCAGAAAACTGGTGAACAGTACCAAGAGCCTGCGACTGCACATTGTAAATTTATAATGACACCAGTCTGTGTATTTCTACAGTGTTTTCTGGCAGTGCTGTGTTCAAAAGAATGATGAGCTATAGAAGTAAGATTAGTATAGTTTTGAAGGGTGTGCATCCTAGATACCAGGAAAGAATAAGGAGGCTGGGAGCGTGGGTACAGGGACATAGTAGGGCAGGTGGTCAGCCATGGAGTCCGGCTTGGTTGGGAGGGCAGTGTGCTCTGGGCAGGGTATAGTCTTGAAGAAAGAAGAGGGCAGTGGTCTGTGTGTGGTGCCACCCACAAAAGATATATAACTTCTTTGATTGATGGTTTTCCCTGTTATTCTTAACACTAATTTCTTGTGTTGATAACTGAAGTATTAAGACTAATTGCTAAAAATAAATTTATATTCTCGTATGGGCCAAAACTGGAGTTAGTTCTAGTGTTTAATTTTGAAGTTACCAGTGATTTCGTGTGGTATGCTGAATCAGTAAATAAGTTGTGATCCTTAACCTTGGGACTGAACTTCAGTAGTCCTTATTTCTCCTTTCATTTTTGTTTGGAGTGTGTAGCAAATCTGAAAGCAGTACCATTTACTCATTCACTGACCATTTGAAGGCTTCCCATGTGTCAGGAGAACAGAAGTGAATGACGCAGGGATGATACCGTGAGGCATCACACGGATAAAGGCCAATAAGCTCCTCACAGTATCATCCTTTCCGGCCGTAGGGTGCTGGAAGACAATATTAGAACTTCTCTTTTAACCTGTTACTTTGAACTTCTGTGTTTCTCAGAACATATATATCAGAATAGTAGCACATGTCTGAAAAATATAGATAAGCATACACGTATTGGGGGTATTCTTGTTTTTGGCAGTAGTGTGTATGTGATCAAAAAATATTTGGAGGCTATTATATGTTAGTATGTATTTTAAAAAAATATAAAATTATAACTTTTTCTTAGCATTTTGAGAAAACCTAGTTTCTGCATGTAATTAATGAGGTAGTTTTACTTGCCTGTATTTGTAGTGTGAAGTAAATCTTACTGTATAAAAAGACTTACTACCAAGATCTGGCTTGACACATTTCAGTCATTTTCTTCTTGGTGCTGGAGGAACTTTACCTTTTGTAGAACAGTGTCCCTTGTTATAAAACACTAAATTCACTTGCCATCTATCAGATGTTGAGGAATGGGGTGTGGAGAATGTGGAACAGCACATGCCTGTTTTACTATCAGTCTCATCCCAAGGTGTGACCTCTGGGGACCTTCCTTCTTACCTCTCTGGCTGTCTCTCCTGCCTTCTCTCTCTCTCTCAACTGTCTCAAAACAATAGGATTGGGATGCCACCAGAAATTCCCTGCTCCCATCTGTTTGCTCAGAGTAGGTGGTTACTCAGTGTGTAATGTCTCACTTTCAGAGAGCCATGAAATCCTTGGTTCAAAAAGTTCCCTCACACCAAGAATCTTTTCCGTAAAATTAGTTAGAAAAACTGCTATCAAGAACCTATTTTAAATGAAGTATATTGAATAAATGCCTCTAGGTTGTTCCTCTGGAGGTTTTTTATTTTCATTTTTGTTTTAATGAGTATGTATCTTAGCCTGTATTTGACACTGTCATTTTTTAACAAGATGTTATTTAAGTGAAATCTTGCATGTGTGTTTGCAGGTTGATGATAATTAGAAGCATGCTTTCCACTGAACTTCCCGACAACATTTGTTATGCAGAATGTCTCTGAGTGAGAACTCGGTTTTTGCCTATGAATCTTCTGTGCATAGCACCAATGTTTTACTCAGCCTTAATGACCAGCGGAAGAAAGATGTGCTGTGCGATGTCACCATCTTTGTGGAGGGACAGCGGTTCCGCGCTCACCGGTCCGTGCTGGCGGCATGCAGCAGTTACTTCCACTCAAGAATCGTAGGCCAGGCTGATGGAGAGCTGAACATTACTCTTCCAGAAGAGGTGAGAGATCCATGTTTTTGGCAATTTTAATCTACTTTTACTTAAGTTTTTTATGGTTCATAATGTTGAAAATAAAGCACAGTCTCCTTGTCAGGTGGCTATGGAGCATTTCCCAGGTTCTGTGCAACCCCTTTTTTTTTTTTTTTTAGTTTTTTTAATGTAAAATCATTAATTTTGAATGTTGGTTAACATTACTGAGCAGTTGGATATAACATAACACCCACTGTTATGTTATTTTTGATGAAATGACCAAATCAGGACACGCCCAGTGGATTGTAGGCAATTGGAAAAGTCATGGTTTTGAGAGTCTGTGCTGTGTGACATTCTCTTCTAGGGGCCCTTTCCAGTGATCAGCAATTGTAGCTATGTGTGTTAGTCTGTTCTCGTGGCGCTAATAAAGACATACCTGAAACTGGGTAATTTTTAAAGGAAAGAAGTTTAATCGGCTCACAGTTGCACATGGCTGGGGAGACCTCACAATCATGGTGGAAGACGAAGGAAAAGCAAAGGGACTTACGTGGTGGTGGGCAAGAGAGAACTTGTGCAGTGAAGCTCCCCCTTATAAAACCATCACATCTCGTGAGACTTATTCACTATCACCAGAATAGCACTGGAAAGACCCGCCCCTGTGATTCAGTGACCTCCCATTGGGTCCCTCCCATGACGTGGCAATTGTGGGAGCTACAATTCAAGATAAGATTTGGGTGGGGACACAGCCAAACCATATCACTAGGTTTAGGGTTCTGTAAAACGTCCGTTTTCCCAAGACATCTCCTATGAAAAGGAGGCACTCCATGAGTGTTCTGTCTCCCCTTCTTTCTTGACTTAGTCTTTATGTATTGATTAGAAAAAATAAACAGTGTTGCGTCATTTTTATATAGCCTTATTTTTACATACATCTTTTTCTCTGGTCTGTTGTGGAGCTCAGGCTAACAAATATTTGGGTCCTTGTTAATGTCCTGCCTTTCAGAGGAATTCTCTTTTGGGTGGGGATGTGCTGGCTGTGCTGACTCCTAGCAGCATCCCTTGCTTTAGTTAGTAACTGCTACTAGCAGAGTATCAAGGCTGTGGCATTGGGACACAAATAGAAGTTAGGAGGAATATGGAGAAAGAATGTAGAAATCATTTGAGTATGACAGGTCTATGTGGGATATTCCCAGTTGGATACGGTTGGATAAACTGTAAACTAAGTCTACAGTTTAGCTTGTTGCTGTCCATGCCTACTTCTGTGAAACTGCAGCTACGGTTTTGGGAACAGGTTGTCTGTTAGTTTTGTAGCAGAGGTCAGAGTCAATGGTGCAATATCAAGAAAATGGTAAAAAAGGCCAACCTATGAACTAGCCATTGTTTTAAAAAAAGAACAACACATTTTATAATGGAGATGTATTAACTATGGTTCATATTTTCAAATTATTGAATGAGACTTTACAAGTAAAGCAAAGTTTGATTCGTGGATTTAGGAGGAAAGGTATGTGCATACATGCATGTGTGTATGCATTCATTCATTCTTTCTAATGTGTAAATCATAAGTTTTCAAATATTTGAAGTGTTTCATTATAGTGACAATGTCAAAATACCTTATAACTCACTATCCTAAAGACCTTTTTAGATTATTTTAACATATTTAAAAATTTTAATTGAAATTTTTATCGAGTGTATTAGGGTTCTCCAGAGGGACAGAACTAATAGGATATATGTATGTATGAAGGGGCGTTTGTTAAGGAGAATTGGCTCACATGTTCACAAGGTGAAGGCCCATTATAGGCCACCTGCAAGCTGAGGAGGAAGGAAGCTAGTAGTGGCCCAGTCCGAGTCCAAAGGCCTCAAAAGTAGGGAAGCCAACACTGTAGAGCCTTCAGTCTGTGGCCAAAGGCCCAAGAGCCCTCGGCAAACCGCTGGTGTAAGTCTGAGAGTCCAAAGGCCAAAGAACCTGGCGTCTGATGTCAAGGGCAGGAGGCATCCAGCAGGGGAGAAAGATGAAAGCTGGAAGACTCAGCAAGTCACCTATCCCACCTTTTTCCTCCTGTTTTGTTCCAGCCTCGCTGGCAGCTGAGTGGATGGTGCCCACCCATATTGAGGGTGGGTCTTCCTCTCCCAGTCCACTGACTCAAATGTTAGTCTTCTCTAGCAACGCCCTCACTGACACACCCAGAAACAAGACTTTACAGCCTTCAATCCAATCAAGTTGACATTTAATATTAACTGTCACACTGATGTTTTCATGTACAGATGTAAGAAACAATGCAGAGTTCCTTTTCACTTTGTCCAGTGTCCGCCATTGATAACATTTTGCAAAATTGTAGTATAGTATTACAACCAGGATATTGATACAATCTCCCATAGCGTTCAGATTGCCACAATTTTGCTTGTACTAGCATGTGTGTGTGCGGGTTAAGTTCTATATAATTTTATCCCCTGCGAAGGTTTGTGTATCCACCACCATAGTTAAGATAACAGCCGGGCCCAGTGGCTCATGCCTGTAATCCCAGCACTTTGGGAGGGCGAGGCAGGCAGATCACCTGAGGTCAGGAGTTCGAGACCAGCCTGGCCAACATGGTGAAACCACATCTCTACTAAAAATACAAAAATTAGCCAGGCGTGGTGGCGGGCACCTGTAATCCCAGCTACTCGGGAGACTGAGGCAGGAGAATCACTTGCAGTGAGCCAAGATCGTGCCGCTGCACTCTAGCCTGGGTGACAGAGAGAGACTCTGCCTCAAAAAAAAAAAAAAAAAAAAAGGAACTGAACTTGCCAACACAAAGATCCCTTGTGTTGTCCTTTTATAACCACAGACATCTCCTGCCTACACTCCATGCCCTCATCCCCTTGCCCCCTTCCTCCGTGCCTAATCCATGGCAACCACTAATCTTTCTTCCTTTTCTAAAGTTTTGTCATTCTAAAAATGTTATATAAATGGAATTATGCAGTATATTACCTCTTAGGATTGATGTTGTTTGACTTAGCTGAGATTATCCAGCTTGTGTGTATCAGCAATTTATTCCTTTTTATTGCTGAGTAATATTCTGTAGTATGGATGTACCTTGTGTGTGTGTGTGTGTGTGTGTGTGTGTGTGTGTGTGTGTGTGTAGCTTTTTACCTATTGAAGGAAATCAGGCTAATTCTGGTTTTTGGCTATCACAAATAAAATTGCTGTAAACATTTGTGTACTGGTTTTTGTGTGAACATAAATTTGCATTTCTCTGGGATAAAAGACCAGGAGTGCAGTTGCTGGGTTATATGGTAGTTGCATGTTTAGTTTTATAAGAAAGTTTTTTTCAAAGTGTCTGTACCATTTTACATTCCCACTAGCAATATGTGAGTGATTTAGTTTATCGGCATTCTCATTAGCATTTGATGGTATCACTGCTTTTTATTGGAGCCTTTAAAAAGCCTAAACATGGTTTAGCATGTTTATGTTTTTAAGAAGATCACAGCCGGGCGCGGTGGCTCACGCCTGTAATCCCAGCACTTTGGGAGGCCTAGGCGAGTGGATCACGAGGTCAGGAAATAGAGACCATCCTGGCTAACGTGGTGAAACCCCCGTCTCTACTAAAAATACAGAAAAATTAGCCGGGCATGGTGGCAGGCACCTGTAGTCCCAGCTGCTCGGGAGGCTGAGGCAGGAGAATGGCGTGAACCCGAGAGGCGGAGCTTGCAGTGAGCCGAGATCGCGCCACTGCACTCCAGCCTGGGCGACAGAGCGAGACTCCGTCTTAGAAAAAAAAAAATCACAAATATTAATATTATCTTGACCACTCTTATAAGAACTCAGTGGTTTCAAATTAATTTTGTGCTTTTAATCCAGGATGATGCCTTCTGTGTACTGGAGTTGGTTCCATTTGCCTCTCACTTTAAGAGGCAGGTTTAATGTAAATGTGCAAGTTTCTACTTAAAAGTTTTGTTACTTCGAGTCCATGAATTTTTGCTGAAACAGTACCGAGGCATGATTTTTATAACTTCTCTTAGATCACTTTTAAAAATCTGAATCTTTAAAACTTTTACTGTTAGGAATTTTTGACAGTAAAGTTAATAGTTACCAGTTAGTATGCATTTACCATGGATCAAGACTTTGTAACTGCTTTACAAATACTGTTTTATATCCTTTAAAATTCTGCTTTTGTAGCTTGTAGCAGTTGGAGTTGTTTGGAATACAGTGGCCATGTGGAGCTGGGCTAGCAGTAGACTCACTATGTGTGGCAGGTAGTGTTCATCCTGCTCTAATTCATAGATGATTTTTTTTTTCACTATCATGGGAAAATTGTGGTAATGTCTTACATCTTTAACTTATGTGAGTAAACCATAATTCATGTGCAATTAAGAGAGGACTCTATAAAATAGTGTGTGGTCCCTGTGAAAAGCATGCTTTTCCAGGATCTTTTTCTTTTACATTTCTTAGAAGAATATGTTTTCTTCAAATTAAAGTACATATTTTATAATTATCACAAATAAGTTACATATCTCTCTATTCCTCTTCTACTTATTTTGTTTTTATGTACTAGACAGCTTTCAAATGATGTGTTTGTTTTTATTTTGTGTATCAACAGGTGACAGTTAAAGGATTTGAACCTTTAATTCAGTTTGCCTACACTGCTAAACTGATTTTAAGTAAAGAGAATGTGGATGAAGTGTGCAAATGTGTGGAGTTTTTAAGTGTACATAATATTGAGGAATCCTGCTTTCAGTTTCTGAAATTTAAGTTTTTGGACTCCACTGCAGACCAGCAAGAATGCCCAAGAAAAAAATGCTTTTCATCACACTGTCAGAAAACAGACCTTAAACTTTCACTTTTGGACCAGAGGGATCTAGAAACTGATGAAGTGGAGGAATTTCTGGAAAATAAAAATGTTCAGACTCCTCAGTGTAAACTCCGCAGGTATCAAGGAAATGCAAAAGCCTCACCTCCTCTACAAGACAGTGCCAGTCAGACATATGAGTCCATGTGCTTAGAGAAGGATGCTGCTCTGGCCTTGCCTTCTTTATGCCCCAAATACAGAAAATTCCAAAAAGCATTTGGAACTGACAGAGTCCGTACTGGGGAATCTAGTGTCAAAGACATTCATGCTTCTGTTCAGCCAAATGAAAGGTCTGAAAATGAATGCCTGGGAGGAGTCCCGGAGTGTAGAGATTTGCAGGTGATGTTAAAATGTGACGAAAGTAAATTAGCAATGGAACCTGAAGAAACGAAGAAAGATCCTGCTTCTCAGTGCCCAACTGAAAAATCAGAAGTGACTCCTTTCCCCCACAATTCTTCCATAGACCCTCATGGACTTTATTCTTTGTCTCTTTTACACACATATGACCAATATGGTGACTTGAATTTTGCTGGTATGCAAAACACAACAGTGTTAACAGAAAAGCCTTTGTCAGGTACAGACGTCCAAGAAAAAACATTTGGTGAAAGTCAGGATTTACCTTTGAAATCCGACTTGGGCACCAGGGAAGATAGTAGTGTTGCATCTAGTGATAGGAGTAGTGTGGAGCGAGAAGTGGCAGAACACCTAGCAAAAGGCTTCTGGAGTGACATTTGCAGCACGGA
Organism: Homo sapiens; assembly: GCF_000001405.40. Classification (NCBI taxonomy): domain Eukaryota; kingdom Metazoa; phylum Chordata; class Mammalia; order Primates; family Hominidae; genus Homo; species Homo sapiens. The sequence continues at coordinate 29,327,051 of NC_000021.9, forward strand.
CACTCCTTGCCAAATGCAGTTATCACCTGCTGTGGCCAAAGATGGCTCAGAACAGATCTCACAGAAACGGTCTGAGTGTCCGTGGTTAGGTATCAGGATTAGTGAGAGCCCAGAACCAGGTCAAAGGACTTTCACAACATTAAGTTCTGTCAACTGCCCTTTTATAAGTACTCTGAGTACTGAAGGCTGTTCAAGCAATTTGGAAATTGGAAACGATGATTATGTTTCAGAACCCCAGCAAGAACCTTGCCCATATGCTTGTGTCATTAGCTTGGGAGACGACTCTGAGACGGACACCGAAGGAGACAGTGAATCCTGTTCAGCCAGAGAACAAGAATGTGAGGTGAGCAGGAATATGTTCTTAATTCATTGTTTTAATAACCATTAATTGGGATTTACTGTGGATCAGCTCCCTTTGCATCATTAGGGATATAATCAGGTTCAGGGAGTGGGGAGGAAACTCATACAAAATTAATTGTAAGACTGTGTGATAGGGCTGGGCGCAGTGGCCCACAACTGTTAATTCCAGCACTTTGAGAAGCCGAGGTGTGGGTGGATCACCTGAAGTCAGAAGTTTGAGATCAGCCTGGCCAACATGGCGAATCTCCGTCTCTACAAAAATTAGCTGGGTGTGGTGGTGGGTGCCTGTAATCCCAGCTACTCGAGAGGCTGAGGCAGGAGAAGCGCTTGAATGTGGGAGGCGGAGGTTGCAGTGAGCCAGGTTTGCACCACTGCACTCCAGCCTAGGAGACAGAGCAAGACTGTCTCAAAAAATTTTTTAAAAACACTGTGTGATAAATACCAAAAGAGAGAGATGAAGTTTGAAGGACTTCTGTTCATTCGTTTCCAGTAGATATATTAACCATAAAGTAGGTTCACACATTGGCTGTGTTCACACATCGGCCATTTAATTGTTTAAATCAAATGCCATGCTGCAAGACAAAAAAGAATAATGATTCTATGCTCATTATTTGATAACTCCTGGAAAAATGCAGCATATATTCAGTCTTGCTCATTGCCAACAAGAACCTCTAGACCTGGGACATGTCCCTGAGCAGTGGTTTAACAGTGATTAGTTGTAGGAATGTGACTTCTAGTGGAGTAAAGTTTATTGGATCTAGTTTTTCATGGCCATTGATTTTTAAATTTTCCTTTGGCCATTTCAACTATTGATGAATGTCTTAATTTAGCATGAGTTACATGTAGCTGGTATGATATTAATCAAAGCAAGCTTGATTTGTATATTCTGTTTGTATTTGATAGATCCTTTCTGTAAAATATTACTTATAAGTCCAATAATGACAAGGGCCTGTTAGTTCCTTCCAAAAATATATTAATTAAAATATTTTTTCTTTTTTTTGTTTTTATATTTTATGATTTTTTTTGCCTTTCAATAGTTGGCTTTTCTCTTTATAATCACAATTTACATTCTTTTTAAAAATTATTTTTCTATTTTATCCATTGCATTTTTTCCCCTTTCTTGGGCTTTATTTGTTTTTTGTAAGAATACTTAACATGGGATCTACCCTTATAACAAAATTTTAAGTGTACGATACAGTATTGTTAAGTATAAGCACAATATTGTACAGCAGATCTCTATAACTTATTCTTTTATGACTGAAACTTAACCCATCCAATTGCAATTCCCCATTTTTTCCCTCTCCCTAGCCCCTGGCAACCACCATTCTACTCTCTGTTTCTGTGAGTTTGACTGTTCTGTCTACTTCGTATAAGTGAAATCATGTTGGATTTACTCTCCTCTGTGTCTGGCTTATTTCACTTAGCATGATGCCTCCCAAGTTCTCCATATTGTAGGCAAATGGCAGGATTTCCTTCTTTTTATCAGGCTGAATGGTATTCCTTTGTGTATATACACCACGTTTTCTTTATCCGTTCATCCATCCATGGACATTTAGGTTGTTTCCATATCATGGCTATTGTGAATAATGCGGTAACGAATATGGCGGGGAGTACAGACTGGGCACAGTGGCTCATGCCTGTAATCCCAACACCTTGGGAGGCTGAGGTGGGTAGATTGCCTGAGCCCAGGAGTTTGAGATCAGCTTGGGCAACATGGTAAAACCCCATCTCTACAAAAAATACAAAAATTAGCCAGGCATGGTGGCATGTGCCAGTAGTCCCAGCTACTTAGGAAGCTGAGGTGAGAGGATCGCTTGAGCCTAGGAGGTTGAGGCTGCAGTAAGCCATGATTGTGCCACCGTACTCCTGCATGACAGAGACCCTGTCTCCAAAAAAATATGTGTAGATCAGTGCAGATATCCTTTTGAGATTGTATAGAAATTGGGATAGAGGCCTATGTTTTCTTTAATGTAAAATAAGTTCTCTGAAAAACTTAGATGTATACCTTCATCTTCCTAGGTTTGACTATAATTATAAAATACAGCAATAATTAGTAATATTTATTTCATATTCTAGGTAAAACTGCCATTCAATGCACAACGGATAATTTCACTGTCTCGAAATGATTTTCAGTCCTTGTTGAAAATGCACAAGCTTACTCCAGAACAGCTGGATTGTATCCATGATATTCGAAGAAGAAGTAAAAACAGAATTGCTGCACAGCGCTGTCGCAAGAGAAAACTTGACTGTATACAGAATCTTGAATCAGAAATTGAGAAGCTGGTAAGTGTAAAAGTTTCTTGTTACTATTTAAATTCCACCACTTTCTTTTTTGTCAAGGAAATAGTTTTTAAATTTCTAGGTCAGATATAATGCTCAATTACTTATTTTAATATGTATCAATTACCATTTTATCATTTTTACCATGATATGCTGTGATATGTAAGTGCTTTTTAAAAAGAAGGTTTTCAAATTAAGAATGACTTTACTGTCTACCTAATCATTAGTGGTTGTGAATAGATTCAAGAAATTATAAAGCACTTTAGGTTCTCTGTTTTGTGTCTATAGAAGTTAATATTCCAGGTGTTCATTTAAATGAACTGTGGACCTGAATAACTTGTTTTGGTTGATACCAAAACCAGACCAACCAGGATCTTTCATCTAAGGAAAAAAATTCTGATAGATATGGTGATATGAATTGAAAATATTAATATCTAATGGGATCCTAAGTGAGAACAATGCTTGCTTTTGAATCTTTTCTTTTTCTTTTTTGAGATGGAGTCTTGCTTTGTCGCCCAGGCTGGAGTGCAGTGGTGCGATCTCGGCTCACTGCAAGCTCTGCCTGCTGGGTTCATGCCATTCTCCTGCCTCAGCCTCCGGAGTAGCTGGGACTACAGGCGCCTGCCACTGCGCCTGGCTAATTTTTTTTTTAATTTATTTTTTGTATTTTTAGTAGAGATGGGGTTTCACTGTGTGAGCCAGGATGGTCTCGATCTCCTGACCTCGTGATCTGCCTGTCTCGGCCTCCCAAAGGGATTTCAGGCATGAGCCACCGTGCCTGGCCTGAATCTTATTTTCTATTCCAGCATCAAGACACAAATTAACTGAAAATTGATTAGTTTACTCCTCTTTCTTTTTTCCGTTGGTGGAAGGAAGCATTGTATGAAAGAGGACAACTCTGATAGTACAGGCCAGCTAAAGCTAAGATATGGTAAAAGATAGCAAGGAAACAGCCTAGAAGTAGTAAAAACATTGCTTGAATATTCAATTTTGTGTCTATTAATTGTTGAAAGTTTAAAAGTTGGGATTGTGGCAAGTTTTCAAGCGTGAACATTCTAGCTATGAATGGCAATTAAACAGCAACAATTTAGGGAAAAAAATTGTGCCTCCAGGAGAAGTTGAAAAATAAAAAATTATTATTTATATATTGTACATATACTTTGTGTAAAAAGATAAAAAATCATAACTATATTAAAGAGATGAAGCATAACTAAATAAAAAATAGAGGAACTAGATGTTTTACAAATAGAGGCATGAGAGATGTTAAAAAAAAAAACAAAAAACCCAAACACCGACATGATATTGCTGAATAGTTAAAATTGTTAAAACCAAGGAGGAAAAGTTTTCAATTCTATAGTACTTAGTACTTTTAGAGTGTGTATCAGTAATACCTTTAATAAACACTGGTGTTCTTTCTTATTCAGTTTTGAATTAAACCCTTACCTGCCTTTAGAAGGAGTATAGCATTTTGAGCTTCAGTTTTTATTCTGTGCTGCAATACAGAGATGCTTTTTACACTGTTAGGTTATGCGAAGCTAGTGGAATGAAATCTACATAAAATTGTACTACTGAAGTTCTTAGTTATGCTTCTTAGTTCTTTTTCTTGCTCTTTCTCGTCTGCCAGCTATAATTTATAGTAGTTCATAGAGTTTATCCAGTTTTCTTACTCCTCTAAAAATAAAAATAAAAGCGAAACAAGACTATTCTAGTTTATTTCGTAACTTTATTTTATAAATGGATACTAAGCAAATATGTTTGAGAGTAGCTATTATCCTTTAGAACTACTCTATTTCTTGGCTCAAGGGTTTTATTTTTTTGATACAAATCAGACATTGGTTTGCTAGATTATTGATATTGCTACTAAATTTCAGATATCTAGGATGAAGAAGCCTTGCTATCTTTGGGCTTTCTTCTCCCTCTGCCTTTCCTTCTTAGAGAGGTGGCAGATACAGTGGTTAAAATTGTGGGCTCTCAATCAGATGCTTAGTAACTTTGGGCAGGTTAATTTCTCTGTGACTTGGGGTTTTCATCGGAAAAATAGGATAATACTAGTTCCTACTTTATAGATTAGGTGCTTATTTGGGGGAATTAATTGAGTTAATCCATCTGAAGAACTTAGAACAATGCCTGGCACGTAGTAACTACTCAATAAATACTATGTATTTTTTATTATTTTCCATTTTCTACTTTTTAAAAAATTTTATTTGGTTTATTTATTTATTTATTTTTAGACGGAGTCTTGCTCTGTCACCCAGGCTGGAATGCAGTGGCATGATCTCGGCTCACTGCAACTTCCGCTTCCCGGGTTCAAGCGATTCTCCTGTCTCTGTCTCCCGGGTTCAAGCAATTCTCCTGCCTCAGCCTCCTGAGTAGCTGGGATTACAGGCACGTGCCACCACACCCAACTAATTTTTTGTATTTTTAGTGGAGAACAGGGGCTTCACCGTGTTAGCCAGGATGGTCTCGATCTCCTGACCTCGTGATCCGCCCGCCTCAGCCTTCCAAAGTGCTGGGATTACAGGTGTGAGCCATTGCATCCGGTCTCCATTTTCCCTTTCTTAATTGACCTTCTTCCTAATGTCTCTGCCTAAACTGTAAACTCTGTGTTTGGTATATTGCTTCTGTCATCATAGTAAGGTTCCTTTCATATGGTCAGTGAATAACTACTGGTTAATTTTCAATACAAAGTAATATTTTGTTTCTCAACAGTTTTTATGAAATCCAAAATCTGAATGGTCAGTATCCTGTTTAACTATTACATTAATTTGGACTCTTTGGCTTCAAGAAACAGACTTTTGATTGAAGAATGAATGAATGAATGAATGAATTTGTTGTAGGGAGATAGGTACCTCTCATTTAGAAGCTAGACAATGGAGCCAGGCCTCATAAATAACAGGGAACAGAAGTGGAAGACTCCTGGGAACCCAGGGACTTCTCTGTGCACCCGCTTCGCTCTCTATCCGAGAGTGGCTTTGTGTGTCACTAAGTGCACATGGGAAGGGTGGCTGTGGCACAATGCCTGAATAATTTCACTCTCTCCAGGGACTAATCCAGTCAGAGACTACTGTTTTAGTCAGTTCTGAATTCCCAAGGAGAGCATCTTACTGGCTGAATTCACTCAGGTATCCTCTTCTGTGACTAGCGAGCAAGAACAAAATAGAAGAGTCAAGACCCTCCTTTCTGGGCAGGCACAGCAGACATCTGATAGTGTCTCCTGCACCTAGATAGGCGCCAGTCTGACTTCTAAAATAACCCCAGAGAAGTTGTGTTGGAATTTTTGTATCAGAGTGACTCATTTGTGTTTCATCTTCCTTGAAGTCTCTACTCAGTCCTTCACACTGCTCTCAGTTCTAGTGATTTGTACTGGCAAACTCCAGTTGCAGCGTGAGGGGTACATTACAAATTTCTGTACTGCGTAGATGTCTTTCTCAGATAAACATAAACAGAAAATATGCTGCTTATTAGCTAATACGAATAAGAAAGCTGGCCCGTCTAGAAGGAAAAGAATTTGACGTTTAAGATAGTTATTATGGTAAGAAGTTTACTTGGACCCTGGTTGTTGGGTGATGTTATGGATCTTGTCTTTTGTAAACAGAAAACTAGGAGGGTTACAGCCAGAGGTTTATACTTAGTAGCATGGAGAGTTGAGAAAGAGGAAGGAATGTGAACAGATATTTGTGTATATTTTAATCTCATTGAGATGTTACTTTTTGAAAGTAACATGGCCAATAAACAAGCAGTATTCTTAGTCTTTATAGTCTAAAGATTATAACAAACCTATTTAAGGGAAATTGCTTGTTTAATAATTAAACAGCCATTTGCACATAGTGAATGACTGGTTGGCTTTAACATATTAATAGATTCACAGTATTTATTGCTCAGGTCTAAAAATATTCATGCAGAGGGCCCTATATTCTAGTTAGTTTGGTCTTAGGCTATTGGCTGTTTGTTTTCCTAGAAAGAAATCTTGGAACTTTTTGCAGTTCGTCCTGAGGGCAATGGCATAATAGATTCTGGATGGATCAGCATGTGATAAAAAGGGGTTTGATTACAATAGAATAATTATTCTAAAATGTTTGCAAAGTGGGTTAGTATTATAATTATGTATAAAGGAATAAAGGACACTTTTATTAAAGTCTCAGTGTGTTGGGACAAAGGGAGATGTGAGTTAGCATTTAGTAAATAAGGTATTTCTCAACAAGAAGTTCTGTCAGAGTCTAATAGAACCTTTGAAGAAAAGGTGTTTATTTATTTGGTGGAAAAATGGATGGTATTGACTTTAGCATTTATTTTGAATTTTATAGTATGTTAGAGGTTAAGCATTAATTTAGCATTGCTTTTATTACAAGAACTGAATGCGCATAATGCATAAGCCAGTAACATGACTTTGGTTTTTTTTGTTATTTTTTTTATTTTTTTTATTTTTTTTTTTGAGGCAGAGTCTCGCTCTTTTCGCCCAGGCTGGAGGTCGGTCTTGGCTCACTGTAAGCTCCGCCTCCTAGGTTCACACCATTCACCTGCCTCGGCCTCCCGAGTAGCTGGGACTACAGGCGCTGGCCACCATGCCTGGGTAATTTTTTTATATTTTTAGTAGAGACGGGGTTTCACTGTGTTAGCCAGGATGGTCTTGATCTCCTGACCTCTTGATCCGCCCGCCTCGGCCTCCCAAAGTGCTGGGATTATAGGCGTGAGCCACTGCGCTCGGCCGACTTTTAAAACTAACAATTATAAAGTCTTTGGATTCAGCTTCTGTTCAGTGTTTAACTTATGAAGCTCTTGTCTATGTAGCTTTCTTTACAAGGTCCAAGTTTATTCTTTTCTGGAAGATTAATTCAGAAGTTAGAAAATATACATATCTCTGATAACCATTTTAACCTCAGAGGTACCCTGAAATGAAGGGAGCCTCGCTTTTTGCAGAAAAATATTTACCAAAATGTATTTCTTTTAGAAAGTATCAAATATTGTTTTCGATATCAACTTGTAAGTGATCAGCAATCAGAATATTCACAAACACTTGCGCTCAGGGTTGAGGTGTTCAGACACCATTTTATTTCATTACTTTTGTCCATTATGATGGCACAGAAGTAAAACGACCTCATCCGTCCTTAGTGATTTGCATTTTGTGGTGAAGATTATATTTTATTAAAAATAAACCTGTCCTATTCACAACTAGTCACAATTTACTGGCTGCTCAACCAAAGCGCACCCCAGTGGCCCTTCCGGAACCTGCCCTCTGTCATTCCGTGTTGTCGTTGAGCAGCATTTCTTGAAATGTGGTGTGTGTCCCATTGGCATCATAGTTATCTTGGGGTGCCCCTTAAGGTGGACATTTCTTAGTCTATACCAGAGCTGTTGTTAAGGCCCTGGACCTTGCATTTGATACAAGTCCAAGATAAATGTCATGTACGTTTTAAATTCTGAGAACTCACTGCATGATAGCACTGAGGTCAGACGGAGGCTTTGGAGACAAATGACTGGAAAGCCTGCCTGGCCACTGGGTAGCTTTGTGGTCTGGGGCAATTGCTTAACCTCCAGTACCCACATTCCCCCGTTACTAATGTGGGATAAGAGTAACAGCCACAGCGGGGTTGATGCAAGGATCTGATGAGATCAGGGATGAAAAGCTGTTTGTACTGCCCAGCACGTGTTCAGGGCTCAATATGTATTAGTTGTACTTTAAATAAAAGTGGTTCTCTATTCTTCCTATAAGTATTTGCTGGTGACCCTACATGTTAAATGTTGTGCTTGGTACCAGGATGTCAGAAATGAGTAAGACAGAATCCTCACTTACTTACAGTCTCATAGGGAGTCAAGTTCAAGTGTGTTCATTTTTTCTTGAGCTTCATGTCAGCACCCCCCACCCCATTCTAAAAATTTCAAGCTTTCAGAAAAGTTAAATGAATGGGTACCATAAGCAACCATATACTCTGCATGTAGATTCTTTGATTTTTGACATTTTGCCACATTTGCTTTATTTCTCTATCTTGATCTTTCCGCCTTTGTCTCTCCACCTCAGATCATCTGTCTATACCTGTTGGTTTGTCAGTCTTTGCACCTCTATCTCCGTCTATCCATCTTGGTCCTTTTTTAACCCCACTTGGTTGATCTTGGTCTCTCACCCCTTGGTGTCACTGTTGTTCCTGTCCTGCTGTCTTGCTGGCTGTCATTCCTCACTCTGGCTCTCTTCCTCTCCTTTTATTTTCTGAATTGTTTGAAAGCTACCATATTATGACACTTCATCCTTAAATGTTTAAACATGCATCTTCTAAAAAGAGGCATTCTTAGATATGACTAATACCTTTATTATGCCTGAGAATTTCAACACATCCTAAATATTATATCTAGTTTTTATTCAAATTACTCTGATTTTCCCATCTTTCATAGATGCTTTTTTTTCAAACGAGGATACAGTCATCGTATAATGCATTTGATTAAACCTGTTTAGTCTCTTAATCTAGAACAAGTACTCTCATTGTTTTAATGACAATAACTTTTTGAAGTATCCAGGCTGGATTTCTCATAAATGTCTTACTTTAAGTTATTTGTCTGATTGCTTCCCCATGGCTTTAAGTCATTTCTCCATCCCTTTACTTCCCGTAAACTGGAAATGTTTGAGTTGAGGAGACTGAGTTTAAACATTCACTGGTGTTGTCCTTTATATTGTGTCGCCTAGGGAGGCAGGAGGTCCAGTGTCAGTATTGTCGTACCTGGGTAGCTGGGAAGTGCCAGATTGCTCCATTTTCAAAGTAATATTTTTTCAACCTGTGTTGCTTAGTTATCTATGATGTGTTACTTGGGCACTTTATAATTATCCCGTTCCCCAATACTCCTGCATCCTTTAGAATATGTTGATGACCTTCACTGTGATTACCATGATTACAAAATCATGATTTTTCTAAATCTTTCATTCTATTTACATTATTTTAGTTGGTATTCCTGATTAAAAAGGATTGTTCTTCCTTTCTTTCTCTTTTATTTTTTTATTTTTTTTTGAAACAGAGTCTCACTCTGTTGCCTAGGCTGGAGTGTGGAGTGCAGTGGCGTGATCTCAGCTCACTGCAACCTCTACCTCCCAGGTTCATGTGATTCTCCTGCCTCAGCCTCCCGAATAGCTAGGACTACAGGTGCCCACCACCACACCTAGCTAATTTTTGTATTTTTAGAAGTGATGGGTTTTCATCGTGTTGGCCAGCCTGGTCTCGAACACCTGACTTCAAGTGATCTGCTTTCCTCAGCCTCCCAAAGTGCTGGGATTACAGACATGAGCCACCATGCCTGGCCTTTTCTTGTTTTCTCTTTTCCCTCCCTCCCACTCTTTGGAATCACAGTGGACTCATGGATTAATTTTTTCTGATTCAATTTGTTAGGATAAGTAATAGTCATTATTCTTTTTGATGTTGACATTTTTCAAATTTGGCCTGGGAGAGCCCGTTCAAGCCAGCTCCTGTCCTGTTGACATAACCATCTAGCACTTGCCATGGTCTCACTTTTTAACCTCTATTGTTTCAAGATTTGGAATCACCCATTTCTTTAAAACTCCTGGTTTCTTCTAGCAGTTATATTGGACTTTGGAAAGCCTACCTGCTGCTGGAGTATTATTCCTTCTGGGCCTTTTTCAGTGGACAGAGCTAGGAAATATATGCATCTGTGTATAAAATAAAGTTCATTATATCATGAATTCATATATATCAGGCTTCAGTAAATGAAAGTAAAAAGTACATTAGAAATCCTGAGTTTATGTAGTATTTCCAGTCCAAATTTAGCAGTATAGAGCTTTTGTCTTCACTTCTGTGTTTATGTTTAATCTCTCATCATTTACAGGAAAAATTTTGGCTCCAATTACATTAGTGTATTGTTTCCTTTATAATATACAGTAAGTTCTCACTTAACATGAAATGATGGATAATGAAACCAGTTTTTTTCCTCATCAACTTTATAATGAAAGGATGTTGTAAAAATGAGAACACTTGGACACAGGGTGGGGAACATCACACACCGGGGCCTGTCGTCGGGTGGGGGAGTGGGGAGGGATAGCATTAGGAGATATACCTAATGTGCCGGGTGCGGTGGCTCAGGAGTTCGAGGCTAGCCTGGCCAACATGGTGGTGCAAACCTGTAATCCCAGCTACTCGGGAGGCTGAGGCAGGAGAATCGCTTGAACCTGGGAGGTGGAGGTTGCGGTGAGCTGAGATCATGCCATTGCACTCCAGCCTGGGCTACAAGAGCGAAACTCCGTCTTAAAACAAAAACAAAAACAAAAACAAAAACAAAAAAAACGAGTTAATGGGTGCAGCACACTAACATGGCACATGTATACATATGTAACAAACCTGCACGTTGTGCACATGTACCCTAGAACTTAAAGTATAATATAAATAAACAATAAAATAAAAAAGAAAGGATGTGGAACAAAATGTTTATTGAGGACCTGGTGTGCGTTGTTTCTCTTAAAGTCAGTTTCCAAAAACCTGTCGATGATTTTAAGTGAGGGCACACTGTATAAAAAGTAAGAAAATTAGACAATCAGTATTACTATTAACAGTAAACAAATTGAGCAGAATTTGAGATTTATTTGCTTTTTTATGCTTAAATATTTCCCAGTGTGAAGCTTTAAAGTTATTTGAAATATTTGTGTTACCAATTTGGCATACAATTAATTTTTTTTTCTATTTATATTACTGGGATTTACTCTACATTTTTTGAGACAGGGTTTCACTCTGTCACCCAGGCTAGAGTGCAGTGGCACAGTCATGACTCACTGCAGCCTTGACTTCTTGGGATCAAGCAAATCCTCTCATATCAGCCTTCTGAGTAGCCAGGACTACAGGTGCGCACCACCATGCCCGGGTAATTTTTTTGTGAAGGTGAGGTTTCGCTGTGTTGCCCAGGCTCCTCTCAAAACTCCTGGGCTCAATCGATCCTCCTGCCTTGGCCTCCCAAAGTGCTGAGATTTTAGGCATGAGCCACCATGCCTGGCCTACATTTTTAATTTGTTTTATTTTGAATGTAAAACGTTTATATGGTTCAAACATTAAAACTATATTTTAAAAAATATATACTCCAAATCTTGATCTCATCTTCTCCTTATACCCTATTCATAGCTACTTCCTATAGGTAACCATTTTCATTAGTTTCTGGATTTTTTTTTCCCTGTGTTTCTTTTCTAAAAATGTGTTAACATTTTATGTCTACTCTTATTATCCATCCTGCTGCATGGAAGTATTTTATATACATTTTTCTGTACTTTTTAAACTTAAGAATTGATTTATAGGAAATATTTTTTCTTAGTTCAGAGAGGTTGTCATTCGTTTTCCAGCTCCATAGTACTCAGTAGTGACTGTAATACAGTTCAAACCAGTCTTCTGTGGGTGGACAGTTGGGATCCTGCAGTGAATAACTGTATACTGTTTCATGTTTAAGGAGCTGTGTCTCTAGGACACATTCCTAGAAGTGGGATTGTTGGATCAAGGGTAAATACATACATAATTTTATTAGATATTAACAGATTCCCCTCCTTAGGAATTGTCATATTTGGCCTTCCAGCAGCAGTATATGTGTGTGTGTCTGTCCACACCCTCAGTCAAGATTTGTTGTCAGCTTTTGGGTTTTTTCCAGTCTGATAGTGAGATACCATGATATCTCGTGGTAGCTTTTATTTTTATCTTATGAGTGAAAATGAGCATTTTTGCTTATATTTCTCAGTGCCATTTGCAGATTTCTCTGAACTGCCGTTCAGAGGTTTTACTTACTAAGGAACTATTAGTGACCATTTTCTAACAGTGAGTACTCTTTACCCTATCATAAAATTGTCACTTGTACTTTTGGTGCCAAATTCTTCTATATCTTTATTGGGTGAGTTATATTTATGATCTTTAAAAAAATTATATTTGAATAAATATTGTGCACTAGCTATTCAAAATAAGGATTTAGATGCAAAGGTTTTTTTTTTTTTTTTTTTTTGAGACAGAGTCTTGCTCTGTCACCCAGGCTGGAGTGCAGCGGCACAATCTCGGCTCACCGCAACCTCCGTCTCCCAGGCTCAAGTGATTCCCCTGCCTCAGCCTGCCCTTTTAGCTAGGTTTACAGGTGTGTGCCACCATGCCCAGCTAATTTTTTTGTATTTTTATTAGAGACAGGGTTTCACCATGTTGGCTAAGCTGGTCTCGAACTCCTGACCTCACATGACCCGCCCACCTCAGCCTCCCAAAGTGCTGGGATTACAGGCGTGAGCCACTGTGCCCAGCCTGTAAAGATTTTTTGTTGGTATAAAATCCAGAATGGTACCAGAATGCCAATTTTATTCCTTTTTAAGAAATAGCTCTAATTAAAGGTGCAGCACTTCAAACGTGATTTATACAGTTGTTTTTATAGGAAAATGGAAATATATTGTAGGGATAGGTAGCAGGACACTAATAGTGAGTCCCACTCATGACTGTAAGTAGTGACTTTGGGAGGTATCTTAAATACTGATGTCATTAAGTAATTAACTTGAATTACTTGTATTTTACTTTTAGTTATTAAGCTGACTGCTATTATAGTAAATATGTGTCTTAAACTTAGAGTGAAATGGAAACTGCTTAGAAGCTTAGCTGTGTAGGAGTTAAAGTGCAGGGGAACAGATGGGAACATTTAATTTATAGAAATAATTCTGGTGGAGTTCTAGGGCTGTGCCTATTTGTTTTAGTTGTTGTGAAGAAGCAAGCCATCTTGTATACTTAAAGAATGATGTCATCCCTAATTTAGTGGGGTGGGAGGAGTGAGAGTATTTAAAGATCATGTGGATATTAAGATACAGAAGTCATAAAATATTTGTAATCTTCATAGTATCTGTAGGTTAAGTAGTGGTTCTAATTTCTGGGAGGAAGCTCAAGTACTCCTTATTTTGTTGAACCATATTTAATTTAAAAGACCAACCAGCAGTTGAAAATTTTCTATTGCTGTTTAGAATAGATTCATCCCAACTTTGGTAGAGGAGTCCATGGCTGAATATTGCCATGAGTGAAGAAAGATTCTTTCTCACTTTCTTCTGGAAGCTTTGTTTTCATCCTCCTTTGGATTGGCTTCTGAGAGACCATAAAAAGAAATGGGTGTTGATTGCATTTAATGGTTCCTACTGTGAACAAGCAGTAGGTACCGTTCTTGCCCTTTCAGTATCTGCAGACTCATTTTATCAGAAGAGTGCAACTGATAAACTTTGCATAAGAGAAAATGTACTGGCCAAACATTGATTTTGCTTACATACACATACTTAACACGCACATTCTTGACCTACATCTATTTAAAAAAAAAAAAAAAAAGAACTTGTATATAAAAATCTGAACAGATTGGAGAATACTTTGCCATATAAAAATTTAGTATTTTGTATTTATTGTATATTTTCTCAAAATATTACAAGGCTTTAAAATATTTTAGAAATAACAATAATTGGATTCATACATAATTTTATAGTAATACTTTTGTATAAAACCATAACAATACTTTTGTATAAAGCAAAATTCGTTTTACCCTTTTAGTGACTTTTATGTCATAAAAGACTAAAGGATGGCACTTATAGATTAGCACTATGAACTAACTTGTCTCAAGGTTAACTGGCAGCCTCAACTCTCCAGAACCTGTCAATGAACAGAAAGCAAACAGAACAACACTGACTTGTTGAGAGTTGTGATAAATTTCATAAGAAAAACGTTTGACTTTCTAGCAAGTGTTTATTTACTCTTTTCTTATAAATACCTTGATTATTTGGTTTCCTGGCTCATAATAGATTAGAAGCAATAAGATGTTAGAACAAGAAGGATGAAATGGGATGATAATAGAAAAGACATGCTGTCAGCAGTGATAAGTGACATGGACAGGAAGGCAGGAACCAGAAAAACTTTTGAAAAATTCTGTGGTAGACTTTCTTATAGGGGTAATATCTTAAAATTATAATAATAACAAAAATGGTAATTAGCAAGCACAAAATTACCCCCCCGAATTCTTCACACTTTAGTAACTCACCCACCGGCTGTCTCTAGGCATCTTAAATTCAGTCCCATCCCTTCAGTGGGTTTGATGTTGCTTAAATCAAGAGAGGTGTTGTGTGGATTACATAGCTGAGATTGCATGTTGGAAAACATTTAGCACAATATCTGTCAGAGAATCTGCTCAACAAATGCTGGTCATTAGTTGAATCTTGCAATGCTTTGAGTCTCAGTAATTAAGTTATGCTAACTGTACTTTTACTTTTTTTCTTGTATCCCATCCAAAATGCCATCCATACCTGTTATGTACAGTCTGTAAATCCAGAAAGCTCCAAAAACCGTATGTTTGTCACAAACTCTTTTGACCGAAAAACTGCCCCAAATTGACATTAGACTACATAGTCTTTATCCTACTTTCTTCATTATTTGCTATTTTAATGTTTACCTAGAAATGTAAAGATAGTTGATAGGGAAGTGCTGCCCCAGGCCTGCTAGAGAAATTATGTGTGCACCCATACTGTCTTTCCAAAACCTGAAAAATGCTTTGTGCCAAAATACATCTGCCCCAAGAGTTTTGGGTGGGAGATTCTGGGCCTTTAGTATTTAATGTATAATTGAATGGAATTGAAAGGATAAACTCCATGTGATCTTACTTGATGAGAAGCCCCTGTATATTATTTGATCGCCTTGGAAATGTTGATTGAGCTAATAAACACAAGCCATTGTGTTCTCTTTCCCCACTTCACAGCAAAGTGAAAAGGAGAGCTTGTTGAAGGAAAGAGATCACATTTTGTCAACTCTGGGTGAGACAAAGCAGAACCTAACTGGACTTTGCCAGAAAGTTTGTAAAGAAGCAGCTCTGAGTCAAGAACAAATACAGATACTCGCCAAGTACTCAGCTGCAGATTGCCCACTTTCATTTTTAATTTCTGAAAAAGATAAAAGTACTCCTGATGGTGAACTGGCGTTACCATCAATTTTCAGTTTATCTGACCGGCCTCCAGCAGTGCTGCCTCCCTGTGCCAGAGGAAACAGTGAGCCTGGCTACGCGCGAGGG
Source organism: Homo sapiens (assembly GCF_000001405.40). NCBI lineage: Eukaryota > Metazoa > Chordata > Mammalia > Primates > Hominidae > Homo > Homo sapiens. Next base: position 29,342,708 of record NC_000021.9, read on the forward strand.
CAGGAGTCCCAGCAGATGTCCACAGCCACCTCTGAGCAAGCTGGGCCTGCGGAACAGTGTCGTCAGAGTGGTGGGATCTCAGATTTCTGTCAGCAGATGACTGATAAATGTACTACTGATGAGTAAACTTGCATTCACTTCCTTCAAACCATCTAATTTTCTCCTGAAGTTTTGGCAGCGTCTTGAAAGCCTAATATGACCATCTGTTGCTCAACAATACTGTTTTTTTCCTTTAGTAGTTTACCATAAGGGAATTTCCTTTAAGTCAACCATGATTTCTCCTTGATTTCTACAAGAGACAAAGAAATGATTTTGCCTCCTGGATATCAGAAAAATCCATGTGAAAATGTAGTAAACCTTTAAAACTCATGTTTTAAAGAATAATAACTCTAGTAATAACTCTTCCTGCTATTCAGAATAAGTAGGAGAATGAAAACTGCAGCATATCAGACAGCAATTTAACAGCTTGAAACATCTACAGATAGTTCCTACTAAAAGAAGTGGCCTGCAGAAGTTTAATAATTTGACTTTTTTCTAATATTTTAGTTTGAAAGAAAATTTCTTCCCAAGCAATGCTAATAGAGTTCTATTCTTAGAAGCAGGGTGTCAGCTACTGGGAATATTTTTGTAGAGCTGCATTGTGAAAAAAAGATGGTCTTACCTGAATCTTAGGGCTTTGTTCTTCGGCTCCTAAAATCAGGCTTTAAGCTACATTGGGAAGATTTAGTAAATAGGCAAGTGGTTGGCCTAAGACGGGGGCTGCTTCTCCTCTTCAGTATGGACTCTAGAAAGTCTGGCTACATGAATAGATTTAAGTGTCACTTTCCCTCCCTGCCCCCCGCTTCAGTCTCTACCATATCTGGTCCCATCATGGACTTCCTATTTCCTGGCATTTTTGTCCCTTTGGAAGAAGAAATAGGACTCAGAATACAGTGGCATGAGTGATTACACTGGCAGCATTATCTCAGGCTCCCTAGAATCTGGAGAGCTTACCAACATGTAAAGCTGTTCATTTTTCCACCGTGGGTCACCAATGCCAGAAAACCAGACATCACGGGGAAAGAATGTTGCTTACTTTTTACCAGGAGTGCAGTTCATTTTTTTCACCCTGTTTTTGAAGTCGTATTATTCACTTGTAAAAATGATTGTAACAGATAAAAAATGTATCTGCAGCAACTCTGCAGGTTTGTGAAATAGGATGAAACTCAATCTTTTTCTATTGTGGGTTTGCATTTGAAAAGCAGGTTGAATCCTTGCTCTCTTCTCCAAATTTGGTGTGGTATAAAGACACACAAATCATTTTAACTTGGACATTTAAAGATCAGTCTTAGTGTTTGTTCAGTCCTGTTACAAAATAGATAACTGAGCACCTATCGCATAACATTTTGCGGTGGCTTTTAGCCATGCTGGGGTTAGATGTGTTTGAGAGTCAAATGAAAGCTATGGATCTTCTCAGCAATTAAAAAAAATGCATATATTCACATTCACAGAAACATTGGCAGAACCCAGTTTTAATGGTACAGAGGAGTAGTTTATAGTGTTGATTTCACCAAAATCAGAGGGCTGAAAGAGACACTTCTATAGACTGCATCCTGAGCCTAGTGCAGGGCTTGTCTAGCTAATGTGGGCAGCCACCACCCACTGTGTATGAACAAGTCTGAAGCAAGTTGGCCTTGCCCTTGAGAGTATATGGGGACCAGTCTTCATGTCTTGGAGTAATTTGTCAAATGTTACCCTTTTTGATCAGGGTGTAGGGGGAGGATATTGCTAGTATATTTTCAGTGGTTTGTATGTTCTCTCTGTCACTGACTTATTTGTAAGAGAAAATTAGTTGGACTTGTTTATTTTCTAGTAGCTTTTATAAGTACACTCAAGAATTTGTCAGGGAGAATAATTCTGATAGTGCATCCCATACTGCAAAAGAATTTGTGTGTGTGTGTGTGTGTGTGTGTGTGTGTGTGTATGTGTATGTATACATATATATCTCTCCATATAGGTATTTCTTTGATACTTGTAATTTTAAATTTCAGCTTCACGATATAAAATAATATAAGAACTTCTGGTTTACAAAATGTAAAATCTTAAGCCAATGGAACCCTTGATTTCCTACCTCAGTGTACACCCAACTATTGGTTGTATCAGTTTGTGTATGTGCAAATGTCAAATAATCTTTTGCTTTAATTGCTACTGTACTTGCTTTGAAAGATTACCTACTATTTTATGATAAAATGTAGTTGTCTCCAGAGCTTAAATATAATTTGTAAAGCACTTGGTTTAAATTTCTCTCTACCTATAAACAGTTTAGCATTAAGGGTTTCTATTAATGACACAGAATTATTGGCCAAGTGTAATTTCTTAAAATTTAGCATTACTTTAAATAGCCAGCATGTAATACAAGTAACTACACTACCTCATATCTACATGATTTTCAAGTTGTAATGCAGATGGACAGATAAAAAAGATTTTACGTTTGTCTTTTGGCCATAAGTGGGAAAGTTTTCTGTATATTGCATAGCATTACACATTTATGCCTATTTTAACATTAACTTCTAAAGAAGTTTTTTCTAAGAAAATGTTTCAAGGCAATATTTTTTTTGAGGCTGCCGAAGACAAATGACAGGATTATGAGTATACAGTGTATGCCTTTTCCTTCATGCAGAATTTTGAAATGTTTTCAGTTTGTATATTGCATATTCACATGATCATTGTTCACTATTTTATGAACTGGCCTTCTCAATGTTTGATGATTTTTTAAAAGCTGTTATGTTGAATTCAGTAAAATAACATTACCTTATTTTTTTTCTTATTCAAATTCTGGAACTATAGCAAATAATTCGTTAAATTGTCATATTCAAAACAAATGTGGATACAGTCTTGGTTCTCCATCTGTAATTTTTTTTAACAGTTTGCTATAGCTTACTGCTTAACTAATTTTAAATAAGGAAATAAGTATGTTAGATGCAGTAGACGATACAGGTTGCATGTGGACACTCAGTCACATTAACAACTTGGGAAAAAAATGGCAATGTTACGGTGAATTCTCAGGTGAACTTTTTTCAGTTATAAAACATCTATTTTGAATCTGTAAATATTTTAAATGTTTTATTAAGGCATGTAATAAACTATTCTTTGAAACTTGTTGGGTAGAATGAAAATTAAAGCCATAATGGTAGAAGATGGCATACTGATTATAAAAGAAGCAGAAAAACATTGATTTTTTTATATCTTTCATAATATAATTTTCTAACAATGCAATAAAACCACTAAACTTTTGTGTCCATATTTTACTGAGACCATGTTTCATTAAAAGCATAGTTTCATAGTATTTAATTTACATTTCTCCCTAATGTTCTTACCCAAATGTACCTGAACTAAAAAATGTTAGATGTTGGTGATAAGTTGACAGTTAAATAAAATTCTCTAAAATTGCTTCTAATTGAATAGAATTGTACATTCCATTTTCATTTTCTCACTTCATGTGGATTTACTCAGTTTAGTCTTTTGATCGGTAATTAGTATATCTGAATTTGTAGGAGAGAATCTTTCCTTAGTTGATGATAATCATGCCTCAAAAAAAAAAAAATTCCAGCATTCAGGTGTTTTAGGAAGCACAGATTTTAGCTTTGCTTCTGATTTTACTTAATGTTAGTTTGGATAGAGAAGTATAGGGACTCTTAAGGGGTATTATCTCTATCAGTCATTAAGTTTTAAAAACTTATCTGCCGAGTCAGCTCTTTGTATCCTATTCAATTTCCAACCAGGCCCTTCTGACCAAGCTTTGGGCAGCTGCTCAGCGGTATTGGCCATCCAGGGCAAAGTCTTCTGGTCTAATCATAGTGATTCTCAGCTGGGGATGATTTTGCTTGCCTAGGGGACACTTGGCAGTTCCCAGAGACACAAATCTCGGGGGCAGGGTATAGGATATGGCTTCTAGGGGCAGAGGCCAGGACAGCCCTCACAACAATTACCCACCCAGGGTATCGATCTGGCTGACATTGAGAAACCCTGACTAGACCAACGATGGAATCAAGATGACTTGTAAGAAAGTGCTCAGTTGTGTGAGATAGTGTGGTGGCTGCAAGAGTTCAAAGGAGACAGGGTGAGAAACGTGGGATTTCACCAAGCTTTGAAAGATTGTAGTCTGAATCGGGAGAAGATGGTCTCTGGGGAGAGGAGGCCACTTGGCACAAATAAGCCTGGCGTGTTAAAGGAACAGAAGGAGGTTGTCACAGTGAGAGGGAGAAGGAGGAAGGCCCCCACTTGAGTGTTCACCAGTGGGTGTCCCAGCATCTTGCCCTACCCAGATTGACTTAAGTTATCGAAGGTCTGAGGTTAGACTGTAAGGGCTTTAAGAGCAACAGAAGTATAGGTAGTAGGTATTGAGGGTTTAGAGGAAGGCCAAAAATAGCACCCTTTCCCTGGCCAGAGTTTTGAACCATTTGAGAAATAAAAAGTAGGTGAAGTCCATATCGCTGATGGAACCCAGCTTGGAACCATGGCTTTCTAGCTGTTTAGCCCAGTGAACCTGCTAAAAGTGCATTCTGGAATTAGGCAGACTTAATCCATCCACCGGTCACCTTGGACGACCCCAAAAGGGGCAGAGCTCTTAGAGGAGCAGAAAAATGTAAACAGGGAGCAAATTCCACAAGTAAGGGGTGGGCCGAGCCAAGTAGACTTAATGACGCTAAAAATTTACTCATTAGAATCAGGGACTACTACATCAGGGCCAGGACAAAGTACAAAGTGGAAGTACAAAGGCCAGAGGGTGTTTCTTGCCCTGGAGATTTAAACTAGGGAAGTCTTAGGGAAGAGTGTTCCCCTTTCATGCTCCCCAGTTTAAGTTCTCTTGAAACATTGGCCCATTGCTCAACCAGGGCTGTGACTGATGGCCTGGAGGAGGAGAGCATCTGTTCCAGAGGGCAGACCTCCTCTCACCTTTGAGGCCACTTCCCAACACCAGCCTTTGCAGGTGTGACTGGCTTGGGCTGTCAGTGAACATTTGGTCTCAGAAGGCTCTGGATCCAGCAGTGTACTAGTAAGTAAATGAATTCAAAGGCTACTCTGTACCAAAGACTGAACATTTTTCTCATCCCTAATTCTCTCCTACCTCATCGTCCCGTGTAGCATGTAGCATATCAGATGTTCTGCATTGAGATTAGATCCCAACATAACATTCCCATAAGAAAATGCATGAAAGTCCAGGAATAAAATGCTAGCAACATAATGATATCCAAATTTGAATGGAAGTTTAACTTTTATTATTCAACTTTTAGAGAAAAAAATTCAAAGATTAAGTCCCTTTGGATTAAAAAAAATCTAAAGGCATTAAAGTCTAAAGGAACTAAAGCAAATCAAATTATTTTGTCCACCTGAGTTCGAAGTACAAAACTTTAAGAAAAATAAATCCCAAGACTATCCTGCCAGATTTCTCATTCAGATCAGCCTTGGCCAGAGGAGTTTTTGATGCCTAGGTCCAGTTGAGATTCTTTCAAGAGGCTGTAGCTGGAGTTGTCTTTAAGAGAGTGGTTGTTCCTACCGTGCTCCAGAAGGAACTAGGTTTGAGGCTGAGTCTCTGATGTGCTCACTTTAGAGTCAGAAGAGTTAACCACAAAATTATCATAGCCTTGGCCCCACAACCACCCTTGTTTCGAAACAAGCTAATTCCCAGGTACTAAAGCAGTCATCCCATACAACACTGCTCCCACAGCTCAGTACCTAGTGCTGCCAGAGACCATAGTAGAACCTCAATAGTATCTGGAAAAAAAAAAAATCTTGGTTTCAGTTCCCCAAAGATGCCCCAGTGTTCTGTAACTCACAACTCGTGATCCTAATTTCTATTGGAAGGACGCTCAAAAAGGGCTTAATTTTGGCCGTATACACTGATCATTCCTGGGGGAAAGACCACCATTGCATGACACCTTAATTTACATTTCCCCTTCCAACAAGCTGTTTCTGGTACCTGGACTGTTGAGTGAGGGCTCCCTCTAGGGGCTCTGAGCCAACATCCCTGTATACAGGCGTTTTCAGGCCTGAGCCAGAATGCATGTTTAGGCCTAAGAAAGTTGCCTCCTAGGGATGGAGGAGGCGTCTTAAATCTATCTTTACGGCCCGGCAGGGTGGCTCACGCCTGTAATCCCAGCACTTTGGGAGGCTGAGGTGGGCGGATCACGAGGTCAGGAGATTGAGACCATCCTGGCTAACACGATGAAACCCCATCTCTACTAAAAATACAAAAAATTAGCCGGGCGTGGTGGCAGGTGCCTGTAGTCCCAGCTACTCAGGAGACTGAGGCAGGAGAATGGCGTGAACCCAGGAGGCGGAGCTTGCAGTGAGCCGAGATAGCGCCACTGCTATCCAGCCTGGGCGACAGAGTGAGACTCCGTCTCAAAAAAAAAAAAAAAATCTATCTTTACATAGATTTAAGCAGTCCAGAATCAACTACAGATGAACCACATGGATCCAAGGTCCCTTCATGGTTCCCTCCTTGTGCCTGAATGCAGAATGGAATTTGGGGTGGCTGATACAGCAAGGGCCACAGTGGCCTGGCGCTACCAGTTAGAAGCTAGAACCTTACAAGCACTCTGTAGTACGTTGGAACCCAGCTGCCTTGAAAATCGGTGAAAATCAGTACCTATTATTTTTCCCAGCTACACCTAAAAGGCCTGTGAAGTCTGCTTTTCCCCTGGAAACTGCAGCAGTGGCATCTTGAGGCCACCTGCCCTGCCAAGCACCTGTGGGCGCTGGGCCTTTCCCTGTGAAACTGCTATGTTGCTGTTGATGGAGAGGGGCCCACCGGCGGCTGCTGCCCACATTTAATTTATTCCATGTTGCACCCACTTTCTAGGGCCTCTTGCAGTCCGTGAGAGGTGTGGAGGGAATTTCTGCCAGTTGGGTTTAAGATCATGGGTAGTACATTCCAGAAAGTGGGTGTTGACTGACAGGCATCAGGGGGAAGCTAATGTAAGGATTTTCCCCATTGACTTTCCTTGCCTCAGTTACCACTGAGTACCTTCCACAGCCTTTGGGTGCACCAGGTACCGTGTTCTAAGAATATAATTTTTCTTGGACAGCTGCTGTCTTGGCTGGGGATTGGCTTGATTTCAAAACAGGTGGTGCAAATGCTGTGATAATCTTGTGAGTGTCTCATTAATGCTGAGCCACTTAGACTCTTGGCATTGAGCCAGTTAAACTCCTGAGTCCCTGAAGGAATTGCACTATGAGAGGCGCTCCATATCTCTTCTGAAGTCCTTGCGCCTTTCACTTAAGATGCCCCTCCCCACCAGCCTCTCCAAAGGCCTAAGGAGACCAGTTAGGGCTCCACAGAAAGTCATTCTCTGAGGAAAAACACCACAAGCCACAACGATCCTCTAGATTCAATATGCTCACAGCCTGCTTTAAAACCTCTTACCCAGACCAACGTCACTCCTGTAAAAACCCACTTGGCCTAATACAAACCTCCACATACAATCGAAGGTAAAATGTCACGGCCTCTACTGCACCCCGTGGTTCACAAGACTCCCAATCACATGCGTCTCTTACTACCCAAACTCTGCTCTTCTGGTTTTGATTTTTCAATGTCTGTATACAATGCCGCCCTGCCAAATGTTGGGTTTCCAAAGGAACATTGCATATTCCTTTCCTGAGCTATGAAGAATTTGAGAGAGAAAATAAAGGAATGGTAGATGGGAAACCAAAACAAAACCTCAGTTGCTGATAATGGAGTAGCTTAGCGTGAGAGCCTAGTGCAAACTCCAGAATGAGTCAAGTTGACCTTATCAGGTTGTTTCTTGTTAGAGGGAAGTAACTTTTCCACCCTTGGTTTCCATGAAGGGAGATTTTCCTCTGGGCAGCATAGCACCACCTATACTCCGCTAATCAGCATGGTGGTGTGGAGGCGTAGAGTGCTAGTGGTGCTATTTGGAGACGGGCACATCCCAAGAGGAAGAATGGCCATGCAGGGCAGAGGACAACCAGTTATTTTCAGATTTATCAATCAGCCAGCGCACTCCATCTCTGCAGGGATGAGGGGAGCAAAGAGGTTGAGGGAAGATCATGTTCCAAGGTCAGAGTGTAGAAGGTGAAGGGAAGAATGTGGAAAGGAATTACGTGGAGGCAGAGTCTGGGGGCTTTGAGAAGCTTGCAAGAAGAGAAAGAGAAAGATACCCCAGAAGAGGAGCAGACTCCCATGAAAGCCACGAACTTGCCCTCTCATCTGCACACTCCACTACTAGCGGGAACATAGGTTCAGGTTTAAAAGCCAAGCCTGACCTTGTGTTTAACTGCAAACACTTCTTTTTCCTCTTCCTCATCTTATTCTTAAAGTATAAATGCAAAGATCATGGAAAATATTTAAAAATTGAGCACATTACCTTTTCATTTTAAAACAGCCATCCTTTAAAACAGACACCATTTTCATTCTGCACTCTTAGTTTATACTTAATCACTGTCCCGAAAGTCAGCTGTTTTCTAAACAGTTAATTTCCTTCTTTCAGGAGACCGGACCTAAATAATTTTCCAGATACCATCTTGATATGCAGGTTTCCCATGTGATGTGAATCTCTTGGCAGGAGATCCTGTTAACAATACCCAGCACGCTATATGAAAATATCCACTATAACTTAAGCTTTCTAAAGTAATACCTATTTGGTCCACCTCAGAAACTGACAGTAGTTCTGTTTTGAGCTATTAATTTCAGAGAATCTTCCTTTGTGAAATAAGCATGCTTATGTTTTCCTTGCTTTGATTTAAATGATAGCCTTAACTGCTGGGCACAGGACTACTATTAAAACCTTAAGAATAAGATTTTCTGAAGAAGGAACTCGTTTTTTAAGCACTGTGTTTTCATCTCATTTGAGCGTTTACTCTGGGCTTTAGAAGACCTCATCTATTATGCTCAACATCTGATATTTGAGGGGTTCTGTTTCAGGGTTCTGTGGAAAATCTGATGTGCCAAGAAGTGTTCCATACCATTCTGAGAACTCTGGATACCTGCTCAGACAGCTCTGTTTCAGCTAAACAGTAACATCTGGGAGGGAAGCTTAATGTGGAATCAAGGATGAAGTTTAACACAGGAATGAGAAGTAGAGCACATAGCTGCTAAGATAAGGTAGGAGAATTTGGCTAGTAAAAGCACTTAATGGCCTGAACTTGTGTTTACTAGGGCCTGGGAGAGCAGACAGCTGCCAGCATACTTAAAATAGGTTGAGTATGAAGTATGCACTTAAGGACTAAAAGAATTGCAGAAATTTAAGCAATGACTCAGTTACAAATCCAAGCCCCTTCAGAAAGTACAGGAACTATGGGGAGGAATAGAAAGAACATAAACCTGCAGTGAGACAGACCTAGTTTTCTTTTTTTTTTTTTTTGAGATGGAGTCTCACTTTTTTGCCCAGGCTGGAGTGCAGTGGCGCGATCAGAGCTCACAGCAACCTCTGCCTCCTGGGTTCAAGCCATTCTTCTGCCTCAGCCTCCCAAGTAGCTAGGATTATAGGTGTGCACCACCACACCTGGCTAATTTTTCTATTTTTGGTAGAGACGGGGTTTCACGTGTTGGCCAGGCTGGTCTTGAACTCCTGACCTCAAGTGATCCGCCCGCCTCGGCCTCCCAAAGTGCTGGGATTGCAGGCGTGAGCCACTGCTCCCGGCCTAGACCTAGTTTTGAAGCCTGGTTTTGATGCTTAGCCACAGTATAGCCAAAGGAAAATTACTTAATGTCTCTCAGATAGAATTTCCTTATATGTATGTCTTTCATGTTGGGACTTCTGGTCCTCGATAGCAAAGTAAGACTGACTCAAACTTCTACTCACACCTCGTGAAAATTCAAATCAATTCACCGCATTGAATGCCTTCTTTAATTTGCTCTGTTGCCCAGGCTGGAGTCTCAGCTCATTGCAACCTTTGCCTGCCAGGTTCAAGTGATTCTCCTGCCTCAGCTTCCCAAGTAACTGGGACTACAGGTGCGTGCCACCACACTTGGCTAATATTTGTTTTTGTTGTTGTTGTTGTTTTTGTTTTTTTTTTTTGAGATGGAGTCTTGCTCTGTTGCCCAGGCTAGAATGCAGTGGCATGATCTCAGCTCACTGCAACCTCCACCTTCCAGGTTCAAGCAATTCTCCTGTCTCAGCCTCCCAAGTAGCTGGGACTACAGGTGCTCGCCACCACACCTGGCTAATTTTTGTATTTTTTAGTAGAGATGGGGTTTCACCGTGTTGGCCAGGCCAGTCTTGAACTCCTGACCTCAGGTGATCCACCCACCTCAGCCTCCCAAAGTGCTGAGATTACAGGCATGAGCCACTGTGTCCAGCCTAATTTTTGTATTTTTAGTAGAGATGGGGTTTCACTATGTTTGCCAGGCTGGTCTTGAACTCCTGACCTCATGATCTGCCTGCCTTGGCCTCCCAAAGTGTTGGAATTACAGGCAAGAGCCACCGTGCCTGGCCGGTTACAGTTTTCTAAGAAATGGCAATGGAAGGCCTCACTGAGAAGATGTAAGAACTGAAGGAGGTGAAGTGAGTTTTAGTGGTTACACATTGCAAATTATTTTTGGCTAAGTTGTAAGTAAAAAATAGAGGAAATAACCAATCTTGTATGGTTGTAGTAAGAATCAAATGAAACAATGTATGGAAGAGTGTCTACCAGAAGGCCCCATGACACAGCTAGCACGCAATAAGCTTTCATCGTCTTGTATAGAATGGTACCATCCAATTCAGTACCCACTAGCCACATGCCACGTGTCACAACCCCCTTCTTTTCTTAGTACCTTTTTGTCAGAGGTCCCCTCTCTGTTCCTCCAACTTGCCAAAATTCACCTCCATCTCCTTTGCAGCATTTGAGAAGGAACTGGCCAAGAAGTGTTTTTGGAATTCTTAGCTGACCACCCACCTCCAGCCTACAGAGGTGGTTGAAAAGACTAAGAAGAGTTTTTTGGAGAAGATAGAGAATTTTGTTAGAAAATGTGGTAGTGCTGGGACTGTAACCTTCTTAATCTTAGTGAGGGGGGCTATGAGATGCCCACTAAAAAAGCCTTGACATGAGTCACCTAGAGTTTGGGAGACACAAAGGACTGGCACCTTATGCATAAAAAATATTGCTTGAGTAGATGGATGAAACTCCTGTGGCAGCAGAATAGAGTGGCATTTGGGAAGAAGAAGAATTGGCACTGGTGGGGGTAAAAGTTATAGGACTTCAGCCACCAGATGTGGAACCTAAATGAGGACTGTTCGTCTGAGGTCATTTCCAAGGGGATCCTATTCAACAGGGCTTCTGCCAGGGAGGGAGGTTGCCTTTGAAAGAGAAAATCTGAGATTTACCCTCAGGTACAGAAGCTGAGGGATTGCTCATGGTCAACCAATGGAGCTCTAAAAGATGAGCGGGAAGCTGGGTGAAGAGGAAGCATGTTTTGAGCCAAGGCAATTGCATATGCAAAGGCTGAGGGATGAGAGAGGGCCTCTCATGGTTTATTTGTAGAGCTGAAAGATGTTTGGTGTGGTTGCATGCCATGTATGTGTGGCCGGGGATAATGAGGGCTCCAGGTTGGAGGAGTGACATGTGGTGAGTCAGGAGAGGGGTGAGAAGAGTCCAGACCTTCTCAGGTATATGATAAAGTTTGACATTTATCTTAAGGACAATGGGAAACTTTTGAAAGGTGTGATATGATCAGTCCTGTGTTTCACAGTTTGTTTTGGCTGCAGTGAGGAGAGTGGATTGTGGAGTGGGAAGAGTGGAATGGGAGATACCAGTAAGAAACCACGGCTGTAGTCAGACAAGAAGTTAGGTGGACTGGACCAGGGATGTGTTCGTGGGAAATCAGAACAGTGGCCAGATTCATGAAACATGGCAGAGATGACTGTCCTGAGGTAGAAGAAGAGCTGGTAAAAAAGATAGAACCACAGACGATCCCCAGGTTCCTTTCTTGAACAACAGAGTGGAAGATGTTTCTGTTCAATGCGATGGTGAACACGAGGTCAGAGCAGGTTTGTGGAACCAGGTGTTAAATTCAGTGATGAGTGTACTGCAGGCAAGGCATGCTGTGTGGCGCCCATGTGGTTGTTGACATGTAAGACTTCTGCTCAGGAGGAAGATTTGGGCCAAAGCTTTACATTTATGCCTTTGGCATATGGTCCACTTTTGAAGCTATGTGAGAGGAAAAGCTTGCCTGAAAAGTGTGTGTGTGGTGAACAGAGGAGATAGCCCAGGACAGACCCCAAAGGAATACTGATGACTGGGAAAGAAGAACTCATAATGGAGATAAGGAACACTAGAGGAGAAGGAAGATCAGAAGCAAGCAAGATCTTGCAGCAGCAAGATTTATTGTGAAGAGTGAAAGAAAAAGCTTCCACAGCATGGAAGGGGACCGGAGCGGGTTGCCCCTGCTGACTGGGGTGGCCAGCTTTTATTCCCTTATTTGGCTCTGCCACATCCTGCTGATTGGTCCATTTTACAGAGCACTGATTGGTCCATTTTGCAGAGTGCTGATTGGTCTGTTTTTACAGAGTGCTGATTGGTGCGTTTACAAACCTTTAGCTAGACACAGAGTGCTGATTGGTCCGTTTTTACAGAGGGCTGTTTGGTGCGTTTACAAACCCTTAGCTAGACACAGAGCGCTGATTGGTGCGTTTTTACAGAGTGCTGATTGGTGCGTTTACAAACCTTTAGCTAGACACAGAGTGCTGATTGGTGTGTTTACAATCCTTTAGCTAGACAGAAAAGTTCTCCAAGTCCCCACCTAACCCAGAAGGCCAGCTGGCTTCACCTCTCAATCCCCCCTCTAAACAGGACACCCCAACTGCTGCTGGGAATTGGGCGATGACTGCTCTAGCTACTTCCTGCTGGATAGAGGCAAAGAAGGGTCCCTGCAGTTGCAGTGTCTTCCAGAGGGGAACTCTCTAGGCCAGTGAAAGGGCCAGCGGGTCGGTCCAGGGGTCCTCGGTAGAAGTTGTTAGTTTAGCTCATTTGGGGTTCCATTCGTAAGACCATCTGTAGCTTGATGGCCTCGATTCTAGAGGAAACAGATTTGACAAGGAGGTTAAAAATAAGGGTCCGAAGGCGAGTAATAGCAAGATGGCTGCCACAGGACCTAGAAAGGGGAGAAGCCATGTTGCCCAACTCCAGAGGTTGGTATAAGAGTTTTGAAAGGCGTTGTCTGATTTCAGAAGCCTTTTCCTGTAAGCGCCAGGTGGCATCTCTTACTATCCCTGACTGATTAGTGTAAAAACAACACTCTTCCCCTAAGAAGATGCAGAGTCCTCCTTTCTCAGCAGTGAGGAGGTCTAGGCCTCAGCAGTTTTGGAGAGTCACTGCTGCCAAAGAGTCTATTTGGGATTGTAGAGTAAGGATAGATTTCGTTATTTCTTGCAAACTATCTGAGAAATCCTGTGAGAGTGTGTGGTAGTAGGATAATGAAGTGGATATACTGGCTATTCCGGTTCCTGTAGCAGTAGCCATTCCTAACCCTATTAAGTAGGGTATTAGTTGTATGGCTCTGCACTGACGGACTTGAGCTTTGAGGGGAACAGATAGGGTCTGATTTCCATAAAATTAGAAGTTAGTACAATACATGTTACACTGTTAACTTTTAGCAAACTTTTGTTGAAAACCTTGTAAGTTTGGGGTTTTAATTTTTCTTTGCTATTAATAAAACCTCATTCAGTCCATATTAACTTAGAATTGGTATAGATGGCTCCTTCCTGATACTGTAAGTACTTTAAGGTTTGGCTGAGTGCAAACAGCTGCATGTTTGAACAGACCAATTATTAGGCAATTTTCTTAACTGCTTCTACAAGAGTTTCCTTATCACTTACTGAATACCCATTGTGTCTTTTTTCCTTAGTAGTTGAGGAGGAACCGTATATTATCCTGTCCTGAAGGGAGTTCCTCCTAGATCTGGTCAGACCTTTGTATGGTAATTAATTAAGATTTAGATCCCCTGTTAGGAAACCTGCTGGGTTAAGGATTTTTGATAGGAAGGCTATGGGTTGTCAGTGGCTTCAGTGCTTTCGGGCTACGCCCTTGTTTACACTGACAACAAGGTGATATTGGAGTGTTACAGGGTTACAGAGAAGACCTTCAATTATCAATTATAGGTTTTAAATTTACCCTGGCTTTTAATGGAATAGGGTACACTGTTTTTCCTTTACTACTTCTATCTCTCTCTTTCTCTCTCTTTGACTTCTTCTTTGTCTCTTTCTTTCTCTCTTCCTTTCTGTTGCCTCTGCCAGCTGCTTATGTTGCTGTTTTCCCCTCTCCTTCCCCTTTTGATGGCTTTGGCAGTGTAAGACTGCCACCTCCTTGGGTTTTTACACTGCATGCAATAACTCCATGGTTTCTTTGTGATATTTAATGGGCGTTCCCCCAGAGGTTAGTAACTCCCTTTCTTTCCATATTGCAGCATGGGCATGTAGGATTAGATAAGCATACTTGCTATCTGTATACACATTTATTCTTCTTCCCTTTCCCAGTTCTAAGGCTCGGGTCAGTGCCACTAGTTCTGCTAACGGGGCGCTGGTCCCTGGGGGAAGAGGCTTACTTTCAAGTACTGTTACTGTGGCATAACCTGCCCTTCGTATCCCATTCTCCACAAGTGAACTTCCGTCGGTATATAGGTTAAGGTGAGGATTAGCTACGGGGACTTCTAAGAGATCATGTCAGGCGGCCTAAGTCTGGACTACAATTTGTTGGCAGTCACGCTCGATTGGTTCCCCATCCTCTGGGAGAAAAGTGGCAGGGTTGAGGGCCACGCATGTACATATTTGAAGCACCAGTCCCTCAATGAGTAGCGCCTGGTATCTGAGTAGGTGGTTGTCTGATAGCCATAAACTTCCTTTGGCACCTAGTATGCCATTTACATCATGAGTAGTCCAGACAGTGAGATCCTTTCCTTGTATTATTTTGATAGCCTCTGACACTAAGATGGCCACCGCCACAACTACCCTTAAAGAGTGAGGCCAGCCTTTCGCTACTACATCAATTTCCTTACTTAGGTATGCCACTGGTTGTGGGGTTGCCCCATGAGTCTGAGTAAGGACTCCAAGAGCCATCCTTGCTCTCTCTGTGATGCATAAAGAAAAGTTTCATCCTGTGGGAAGGCTTAAGGCTGGAGCTTGAGTTTGTTCCTTCCAATGCCCAGACTTCAGGGTTGATTCCCTCCTCAAGTAGGGGACAACAAATGGGTAACTCGTTCCCCATATTCATGTAGATAATAACTCCAGCTTTGGCTACTCCTACTGGATCTAGTGGAGTCAGCGTGATCCGCTTCTCCCACTCACCTAGTCCCCACACGCCCTGAGAGCTAGTCCCTGTGGTCTGATGTCCACCCCTCACTTCTTCTGCCCTTTCCTTATACTTCCCTGCTGGAGTGACTGGAAGTGGGGATGCTCTTCCCTGGACACAGGGGAGAAGGAGGGCCCCTGGGGTTGTCACTTCCTCTGCCCTTTTGGGTGGGGCAGGAAGGGCACATTTGATGTTAGCAATTCAGCGTAAAAGTGAAAACTAATTTGGCCTCAAGATTTAAGAGTCATCCAAACAACAGTTACAGGGCTAATATCTTTAATCTTTACACATTTGACAATATCCAATAAAAAGAACACCAAACTACATCAAGACAAAGGAGCAACAGACATGGGCCTGCAGAGGACAAAAGAGAAAACAGGAGCACTCAATAACCAGGAACTCAGGGACTTTGGAGGCAACCTGTGTGGGTTAAACATGCTTTTGAAGATTTTTATCATTATTTCTCATTAGAAATATAAAAAGTGGGCTGGGCGCCGTGGCTCACGCCTGTAATCCCAGCACTTTGGGAGGCCGAGGCAAGTGGATCACGAGATCAGGAGTTCAAGACCAGCCTGGCCAACATGGTGAAACCCCATCTCTACTAAAAATCCAAAAATTAGTTGGGTGTGGTGGAGGGCGCCTGTAATCCCAGCTACTGGGGAGGCTGAGGCAGGAGGATTGCTTGACCTCAGGAGGCAGAGGTTGCAGTAAGCTGAGATCACACCACTGCATTCCAGCCTGGGTGACAGAGTGAGACTCTGTCTCAGAAAAAAAGAAAAGAAAAGAAAAGAAAAGAAAAGAAAGAAAGAAAGAAAGAAAGAAAGAAAGAAAGAAAGAAAGAAGAAAGAAAGAAATGTAAAAAGTGCTAAATAGAAAGAAGTAAAAAATATATCAAATTAGAAAATAAAAAATGAGGGGGAGTGAAACTGGCATTCTAACACAAGGGGGGTAGTATTTAAAATAGCTTTTATGCTTTGGGGAAGCAGTTTGATATTTTATTTAAAACATTTTAAACTAGCCATAACATCAGACACAGTAATTGTATGCCAAGGAATCCATCCTGAAGAACAATAATCTTAAATTTTAGGACTATTATTAATCCATAATAATAATAATAAAAATTTCTTCTTATATCAAGATGTCCATCATAGCATTTATCATAGTAAATAATTTTGAATAGACCTTTAGAAATGGAAAAAAGCAAAGCACTATATTGTATCTCTACTCAAACTAAGATTTGACACTGTACTCGGCTCTTTTTATAATTTTTCCCTTAATCCTCACAGTAAAATCAAATGTTTGACACAATGATTGTCTCTTTATGAGTTTTTAGCTAACAAAATGTTTATGGTAAACATGGAATAAAATGAAAAATACTCATGACAGATGCTAAACATGAAAGCAAGTGATTTATGTATCTAGTATGATTATAACCAGGTATATCGAAATCTCTCTGTGAATAAAAAAAATTGAAGTCCATCTGGGGTGAACAGTTGTTATTTATTAAAATTTGCTTTTGCGAGTACTCATGAATCTTGAGACAATAACCACCACCACGATTATAAAACTATCAAACACGATTTTAAGCAAAGAAAGAAATGGGGAAAACCGTGAAAGGAAAATAAATCTCAAGACTCCAGAATCACTAAGCCAAAGGGAAAAGTCAAGCTGGGAACTGCATCAGACAAACCTGCCTCCCATTTTATTCCTAAATAAAATAACTACAAAGAAAAACAATAAAAATAAAAAAGCTACATACCTCCCTCACAATTTGCCCGTAAGGAAATTCCTTGTGAGCCTCAAAGATCTTTACCCTAAAACAGTTCTGTTGAACTTCATCCTGGCCATATTAATTGATACCTTATCTTCACAGGCCCAGGACAGAGGACAGACAGAACTCTTGATCATTGCTCTGCTCACCTGTGACAAATGCATTTCTCATTGCTTCCTCTGACCTATTGTTTATGTAAAAATGCAGATTCACTGAGTCAGACTAAGGCATCAGTGACTATTCCTCTATTCATTCCACCTCACATGTATTCAGTGAAAGGCTGATCGAAGACCCCAAAGAATGAAACCTTTTGTCCCTTATCTACCTCTGACCTGGAATCCCTTACTTCGAGTTGTTCCACCTTTCTGGACCAAACCAATGTACCTCTTATGCATATTGATTGAGGTCTCATCAATGTATAAAATCAAGCTAAAATGTATAAAACCAAGCTGTGCCCTGACCACTTGGGTACATGTCATCATGTACCCAAGACTTCCTGACGCTGTCATAGGCACGTCCTTAGCCTTGGCAGATAAACTTTCTAAATTAATTGAGACCTGTCTCAAATACTTTGGGCTCACAAAACGTAGCTGTCCATCAGGCAGATATCTAAAAGCAAGAAGTGATATTTTACTCAGCTAAAAGCTGCTATTTTGTCGGCGGCCTCAGAGGCCTTCCACAATGAACTCCCTCCCCAACCCTCTGGCCTCATTCCCAGGCCCCTGTCCTCTCCTGGGAACTCCTGGGAATGTCATGTTTGCCCCATTGTCATCTTGTCAGTGAGGCTCCCCTGACTGCCCTCATTAAGACTGCATCTGGCCAGGCGCAGTGGCTCACGCCTGTAATCCCAGCACTTTGGGAGGCCGAGGTGGGTGGATCACCTGAGCTCAGGAGTTCAAGACCAGTCTGGCCAACATGGCGAAACCCTGTCTCTACTAAAAATACAAAAATTACCCAGGTGTGGTGGCACACACCTGTAATCCCAGCTACTCAGGAGGCTGAGACAGGAGAATAGCTTGAACCCACGAGGTGGAGGTTGCAGTGAGCTGAGATGGCACCACTGCACTCCAGACTGGGGCAACAGAGCAAGACCCTGTCTCAAAAAAAAAAAAAAAACAAAAAAAAACCCCACATGCTTCCTCCTTCCTACCATTCTACCTCCAATCCCCATCCCCATATCCTGCCCTCTTGTTTTCTCTCTTTGTAATGCCTGCCACCTCCCAACATAGTATAGAATGAGCTTGTTTACTTAGTCTAGTGTTTAATGTCTGTCTCACTCCACTAGAATGTAATCATCGCAAGGCCAGGAGATGCGTTTGGTCTGTGCTGCATCTCAAGCAGGACAATGGCTGGAACATAGTAGGGTCTCCAAAAATGTTTGTTGAACGTTGCTGATGGCGGCATCCTGGAGTAGGAAAAAGACTGAAGAGTGGAAAAAGAAATCCTGACATGAATTCTGGGCAAAGGCAAGCAGTAGCTGACTTGGAAAATGATTACAGTAGGTTTTGTGCCATTTGAGTTATCAGTATTGCAGATGTTTTTGCACCTGCTCCACCAACAATAATTGGGTTAAGGCTTGCAGCTGGGATATTATACAGCTTGCTTTATCTAGGTTTTGTTTTGCTTGCAAATCAATCAATACTTACAATGATTTTAACAAGGGGAAAGAGCCGTAGTTGTAGACCTTGGAGTGTATTTTTTTTTGTCTAGCTTTAAAAAAAATTGTTAATGTTTTGATACTGTAACTCTTTTTAGTAGTTGTGGCTTTGCAGACCTTGCTGCACTTTGATCTTTTTCTCGTTCCAGCTATAGATGGCAGCACACCACTACCTACGATCCGATCACCAGCCTGGGTTTGTAAGTCAGAGCTGTTGGTCAGGAGATGGCAGCTAATGAGTAATCAGTCCAAACTGAATGGCAAATTAATGTCTTCATTAAGTGAACAAACCAGCTTCCTCCATAAACAAGGTCAGAGTATTTATAACCCAGTGTATTTCATAAAAGCAAAAACGCATCTCCATTTACATAACTTTACTATGGAGCTCATGATTTATCTGCACAAAGCATATGCAAAATCTCACTTGTATACCGTCTTTAATAAGGACCCATGCCATTCTGATGTAATTATTAATAAAGTCACACTTGATAAGCAGCCTTGTTTTTCTTACACAAGGTAAATGAAAAGGTGATTGCTTTAAACAAAAGCCACTCTTATAAGATGATATTGGGTGGCCTGTTCCAAATTGAGTTCTTAGTAATAAAAATGAAGTGTGATCCTTATTGATCAAATATATCTGCCACTTAGGTTCTATGAGAACTTACTTAAAATTTAGAGTTGGTTACACAGGTATAAAGTTTGATATTTACCATATGCTACATGTCACTTCAATTCAGTGAATTGAATGCTTAATTTTGCCATCCTTGTCAGAGAACAATGTAGAAATTTCAGAAACTTTTCACAAAATGACCAGGTGTCAAAGACTCTGAATTTCTGTTTCTAGATCAGTGTCATCCAGTAGAAATATAAAATGAGCCAAATGCAAGTTGCATGTGAAGTTTTAAATTTTCTAGAAACCACATGTTAAAAAGTAAAAAAAGAGGTGAAATTAATTTGAATACTGTACTATATTTTATTTAACCAGATATATCCAAAATATTATTTTTATCAGGTAATCTATATAAAAATTATTGCAATATTGCACATTCATTTTTTTTAATCTGGTGTGTATTTTACACTCACAGCTCATTTCGATTTAGATTAGCCAGATTTTAAGTGCTCAGTAGCCACATGTGGCTAGTTGGCCACATCATGTTCCGCTCGGCTCTAAAGACTTAGTGCCTGTTATGAGGGGAATTGTGTGCCCCCCAAATTCATGTGTTAGAATCCTAACCCCCACTACTTCAGAATGTGACCTTATTTGGAGATAGGGTTGTTACCAAGTAAAAACGAGGTCATTTTAGGGTGGACCTTTAGAGTGGATCCTAATCCAGTATGACTGATGTCCTTCTAAAATGCGGAGACTGGAGACAGGCTCACACACAGGGAGAACTCCATGTGGAGAGGAAGGCAGAGACTGGGTGATGCATCTCCAAGCCAAGGACCATCAAAGATCACCTTCATCCCCAGAAGCTAGGAGGGAGCCATGGAACAGTCTCCCTCACAGCCTCAGAAGGAACCAACCCTGCTGATGTCTTGATTTTGGACATCCAGCCTCCAGAACTGTGAGAGAATACATTTCTGTCGTTTAAGGCACACGGCCTGTGGTGCATTGTTATGGCAGCCCTAGTCAACCACTACAGAACCTTTGGTTGGTGGCTGCCATTGTTCCAAAGCTTTCCTCTCCTTGCCTTGAATCTCCTCTTCTCTTCCTTCTGTGCTTTCTCTTCTGGCCTCTCTGTCACTCAACTTTCCTGCCCTCTCTCATCGTTTTCCATAGGATCTCCCTCTCATAGCACAGAAGTAAGCAGGGAGTTTCTGTTGTAGTAAGCGGGAGATGGGTTCCACCTGAGCAGGGAGATGCCTGACTTGCTTCACGTCTCCAATGGGGATAATATTATCTGCCAGCTGTCCCCTGGAGCTACTGTTGTGTAGGTGAAGGGCCGACTCAGAAAATGCTTTGAAACCCATAAATAATGACATGGATGAGAATGAGTATTTTGTGTGTTTTACTTTCACATGTTAGGACTCAAAGGTGGAATGAAGTGTTTTCTAAGTTACTTTGGTTTCTTCTCTCTGTAATTATCTAGGGTTCCTACTTCATGGTAGGGAATGTGTGAAAGGGCATAGGCCCTGCCACTTTCTTGCCATCTGTCAGTAGTGGGCTTCTACGGGCTGCCTCCCAAGCATGTTTTATATCCTCTCTACCCAGCGCAGAACGGCCTCCCTAACTCAAAAACCACGTGTTAAGGTGATATGGATCCCACTCCCATCTCTAGAAGTGGGTCCCAAATAGGGTCACTGCATCAGATAATTCCAAGGGGTATCATCTTGATATTGTTTGGCTTTGTGTCCCCACCCAAATCTCATCTTGAATTGTAATCCCATAATCCCCACGTGTCATGGGAGGGAGCCGGTGGGAGATAATTGAATCAGGCTGGCTGTTTCCCTCACACTGTTCTCGTGATAGTGAGTGAGTTCTCAGGAGATCTGATTGTTTTATAAGCGTCTGGCATTTCCCCTGCTGCACTCATTCTCTCTCCTGCTGCCCTGAGAAGAGGTGCCTTCCACCATGATTGTAAGTTTCCCGAGGCCTCCCTAGCCATGCAGAACTGTAAGTCAATTAAATCTCTTTGCTTTATAAATTACCCAATCTCGAGTATTTCTTCATAGCAGCATGAGAACGGACCACTACACATCTGCATTGTCATAAATGTGTATAGTGAACTTGAAGTTGTGCAGTGCACAACCTGCACAGTCATATCTGATAGCCCCAGTCCTGTACAATTAAATCATTCAGGCAATCCCGTCTCTCTGACCGTAGTCATAGGTACAGAATGGGTACTAAAATCCCGTAAAGCTGTGAGGAGAGATTGTCCGGGGTTACTGAGAAAAAAACCAAAAAACAAAAAACTCTTGCCTTCTCCAGGGACCTACTGATAGACGGCATTCTGAGTGTGATATAAACATATAAGGCTGGCAGCTGTGCTCATGAGAGAAGGGCCAGTACCTTTTGCGAAGTCACTAGGTGGACCTTGAGGAATAAGAGAGCAGAGATCTGAGAGAGCCAGGGCTTGTGCTTATGCCTCTGGATCAAGCTTTGCCTGAAGCACCTGTGCAGTTTGTTACATGAGCCCATGTATTTGCTTTATAGAATTGGTTTGGGTTGGATTTTCTTTCCCTTGCTACCCAAAGAATTCTAAATGCTACACTGGAGATGGAAGTAAAGAAAGGGGGAGATAGAGATATGTTTCTGGTTGACAGTGCAACAACTATCAAAAACAAAAACAAAGCTTCTTCAAGCATCCACAACCATTGCCACAGCAATTTGAATTACATTTTCTAATGAAAACCAGGCCAAATGATCGTTAACATTCTCAGCTAACTCACAGCAATGTTCTTAAGTCCATTTGTGATTGTCCAATGCTAAAAATGTATACCAGTTGGCATTAAAAACCTAAACTATTTCTACCACTGTATGGCTTTTAACTAGAGGTTTGTGGTCTACCCTGAAAACTTAATCTACTATGCATATCTTTATTTCTAAACTAATACGTTCTTTTGAGTTCAGCCTACCTAAAAGCATACTTCTGGTGTACTGCCTATTTGTAAATTGAAACTTGTCATAAGTATAATAACATTGCCCCCATTGTTCGTATTAATTCATAGCAAGGGGGAACACTACTGTATAGATGTTATAAATGCTTAGGCAAGGGAGACCATTCAGCTCTTAACCCAATTTCCTGCTGCAAATATCAAAAGTTGGATCAACATATGCCCCTAGTTACAAAGATGTAACATTATTTCTAAAGTCTTCAGCAGCAGAATCCTAAAGGGCCCCTAAATTTCAGTCTTAACTTTGTTCCAGCCACATCCCAGCTGTTTCTCCCAAGTACTTCATCACCTGCAGGCTGTTTTCAGTTCATTATGGGACCAAGGAGAGGCCACTGGGACAGTATATCAATAGAACAATCCTTGCCAAATAATGATATTTGGAAATAGGCTGGGCACGGTGGCTCATACCTATAATCCAAGAACTTTAGGAGGCTGAGGCAGGAGAATTGCTTGAGCCTAGGAGTTGAAGGCGGCAGTGAGCTATGATTGCACCACTGCACTCCAGCTTGGGTGACAGAGCGAGACCCTGTCTCTTAAAAAAAAAACAGTTTTTGGCTACTTTGTAACTGAAATAGATCAATCCCTACAATGTCCTTCCCAGGGAGGCCAGGCTCCTAGCCTAGCCTCTTTCTGCCTGCCTCTCTTTGGTGCGTGGGTTTTTCTGTTGTGCCCCTTCCCAAGGCAGGAGCTGGCATCTCTTTCCCTCCTGCAAACTCAGTCCCATGGATCCTCTTCTTGTTGTTTTCTGCACTGATTTTGTATCGATTCCTCTGGAGCAAACATTGGAAGCTGCTGTCGGATATGCCAGGGCTCTCTGCCCTGTTGTGTTCTGTGTTGCTAGCTGAAGATTACTCCCGGCTTTGTTTCAAGACCCTTGGAACCAGAATAGAGGTGACGCTGTCCTGTTTGTACTCTCTCTGGCTGTGATTTTTAAATCCTTGTTCTGAGCCTGCTGTGTTTTTTTTTGTTTTGTTTTGTTTTTTCTCCTCTGCCTCACTTTTCTAGCTCATTGCCTTCTATATCTTCCGCTGGCTCAGTTTGCCTGAGCCCTCTGCATTTGGCACTAAATCGTAGTTTATTCTAATCCTTTGCCTGGAAGCTGATGCTGGTAACCAGATGGCAATAAAAAGACACTGAATGCAACATTTCTACCTGTGAGTTGAGAGACAATACTCGTTACTTCCTGGGAAAACAGTTGGTGTTTTTCTCAGTTGGGGTAAAATGATATTTCTAAAAATCCTATTGTTTTCTTACTTGGATAAATGTTAAAATATGTTTATTAGAAAGTATGCTTTTAAATTTTTTTTAGTCTAAAGAAATATTGCTGCTTCTCAGAGTTTTGGCAAATATTGCTTTTCATTTGTTCTTCTTTTCCTGTGTCTTCTTTCTTTTCACTCTCTTACCACCTATAGATTTAAATTCCATGTCATTTTATTATTATTTACTGTATTAACTAAACTCACTTTTTATTTAGTTCAAAAAGATGGATGTGTGGAGTATTTTAAATTTGGCTCTTAAAACCACAGTGTATTACAGATTAGAAAGCTATTATTTTTTCTGACATCCAGCAGGCATCATTTCTGTTTTTTAGCTATCTGACAGCTTGGGGACAGATACGGGCCTTTGTTACGAACTGGGCCAGAGTATTCTTTCTCGAGACTTTTCAAACTAGAGCTAGAAGAGAGGTGCCCCCTGTATTAGTCAGCTACTGCTGCATAACAAAGAACCATAAAATCAGAGTCACTTAAAACAGTGAGCACTTATTTACTTCACATCTCTTCAGGTCTGATGAGTGGGCTCCACTGATCTCAGCAGGCCTGCTCATGTGTCTTTAGGCTGGCAGTGGGTGGTTTGATTTAAGGATGTCTCTAGTCCACACTGCATGTTTGCACATCTGTTGCCTATGTCTTTGCTATGGTTTGGATATTTGAGCCCTCCAAGTATCATGTTGAGATTTGATCTTCAATGTTGGAGGCAGGGCCTGGTGGGAGGTGTTTGGGTCCTGAGGGAGGATCCCTCATAAATGGCTTGGTGCCATTCTTGTGGGGATGAGTGAGTTCTCATGAGAGCTGGGTTTTGAAAAGAGCCTGGCACCTCCTCCTCTTTCTGTCTCTTGCTTCCTCTTTCACCACGTGGCTCCCCTTTACCTTCCACCATGAGTGGAAGCAGCCTGAAGCCCTCACCAAAATCAGATAGATACCAGTGCCGTGCCTGTACAACTTGCAGAACTGTGACCCAAATAAATTTTTTTTCTGTATAAACTGCCCAGCTGCAGGCATTTTTTTTTTTTTGTAGCAACGTCAAAACAGTTTAAGTCAGTCTTTAACCTTTTAGCAGACTAGTTGGGGAATATTCCACAAGAGAGCAAGTGAGAACCTGCAAGGTCACATAGACCTAGGCTGTGAAGGGTCATGTTATGACTTATACTCTTATGCCATTAGCCAAAGTAAGTCAAACAAACAAGCACAAACTCAAGGCACAGGCATACACCACCCGCTAGGAGGCCATGCCAAGGGTGTGGATACATGGAAGGGTGAAGAACTGGACTAGTCTTTCAATACCACAGCCCCTTTCTTCTCTAGGCGTGGAGCTGCTAGGAGTGAGCCCCACATCAGACATCTGTCTCTGGTAGGAGAAGACAGTCAAGATCCAGAGAGATGCAATGGAAGACAGGATGGGAGAAGGTCCCAATCATTTTCTAGTTATTAATAACAGTTTTGGCTGTGCTTAGATTGCTGCACTTGGGAGGTTTGGTTAATCAACTTTTTGTTTTGTTTTGTTTTGTTTTGTTTTTGTTTTACTAGGAGGTAGGCTACTCCACAATCCCTCCAAACTCTTCTTTCTTGCATTAATTAGTATAAACTGCATTTCTGGTACTTGCAACCAAAGGGTTATGACCCATCTATACTGTTTTTTCTAGATCAGATGGTTTTTATATCAAAAGTTGCTGTCCCTATCCCAATGCAAAGCTTTTTTAGGTTGATTTTTAGGGGGATAAAATCTTTCATATTGAAAATAAACATTATCACCTATATATCACAGGTTATTAGTTTATTAAGTTAAACTGAACCACATAAGTTTCAAATAAAAGTGTTACTGAATTTGCAGTAAAAATTACACATAATTAGTGTAAATTAGGAAAGATATAAAACAGTTGGCACAAAGCAATAGCATCCATACTTTTAGCCCATTAATTTTATCCCTAGGAATTTACCTCAATAAAATAATATAACAAAAGCAAATGCTCATATACATTACACAATTTATGACAACTGTGATAATAATAAATTAAAGGGACATGTCTAAATTAAGAGAATGTGTTAACAAATTATGTTAGTTTATCAGGATGGAATATTATGTAGTCTTTATGTTAATTAAGAACATTCTATAAAATTTCAAAATCCATTTATGACGTAGTACGTGAAAAAGCAAAACAAAATGCAAAATTACAGGGACATCCAGACTAGGTATATAATTTTCTTTTTGTACGCAGCACAACCATTTTCTTTTTGTGTGCAGTAGAAAAAAACATTTCAAATCTACCTGTAATTTTCTCTTGTTCCGCTAGGAGACATGCATCATCTTTGATTAAAATTATTCTTCACTGGGACCTTTATTTATGCAAAGGCAAAATTCTATTCTAGACTCAAGAAGCTCGAGCCAGACATCCTAAACATTTCTGAATAGAATTATCAAAGGCTGAATTTGTCATGTGCAGAATTGCATCTTTTTAGGGTTATGATGCTGTTGCCTGTGGGTGAGGATGTGGTGGATAACGCCCTTCTTGCAGTGAGGATAAGGGGGGTTGGAGAAGGTACCCAGGGGACTGGTGGCTCATGGTAATTGATGGACTAGGGGAGGCCACGTAGAGAGGACGCCGGTGGAGAGGCATGGCTGATGGACAGAACTCCAGGAGCAGTGATAGTTCATATCCAGTACAGTATTTTTCTTTTTCTCCATTATAATTCTCCTCATTATTCTCAAGCCAACAGGAAATTGTCTTAAATGTTTATCCAGATATTTGCTGTACTTTTGGAAATTAAGGGAGGAGCCTGTAACTCTCCTTGCATAAAACAAGAGCCTGACTTGTGTGAAAAAGTGATAAGAAGATATTCAGTAGAGATCTGCGGGGAAGTCTCAGAGCAGAGGTCCAGAATAAGTTAAGTGTGGACTGCATAAGAATTCCATCGGTATGGTAGACTGTATTTCTGTTTGCCAAATATTTTACTTTTCCTCCGTCTTTTGCCATGGAAGGAGTTTACTCTTCAACTCTGCCAGACTCAAGAGAGGCCATTCGCTTTGCTGTGGCCGATGAAATGGGAGCAGCAAAAACATTTATCATTTCTGGGAACCAGTGTACTGTTCTCCATGTCTCCCTTCTCTCACCCTGGACCTGATAATATTCCAGCTGGTTGCTGCTCCATCATCCTGGAACCTACAAGTTTGGGGAGGGCGTCAAAGCCAGAGGCAACTTTCATTCAACATGTTATGTGAGTGTGATGGTTAATTTTATGTGTCAACTTGACTGGATCATGGAGTGGCCAGATATTTCACTAAGCTTTTCTGGGTTTGTGTGATGATGTTTCCAGATGAGATTTGCATTTGAGTCAGTGGACTCCATAAGATAGATTGCCCTTCCCTGAATGGAAGTGTATTAGCCAATTTGCTGAGAGCCTGAACAGAACAAAAGATGGAGAAAGGAGAATTCACCTCCTCTGCCTGACTGATTGAGCTGGGATATCAGTCTCCTTCTGCCCTCAAACTGAGACTTAAACCATCAGCTCCACTGGTTCTCAGGCCTTGGGTCCGAAACCAAACTACACTACCAGCTTTCCTGGGTCTGCAGCTTGCAGATGGCAGAGCATGGGACTTCTTAGCCTTCATAATCAAGCGAGCTAATTCCTCATAATTAGTCCATCTGTGTTAGTCCATTCTCACACTGCTATGGAGAAATACCCGAGACTAGGTAATTTATAAAGAAAAGCGGTTTAATTGACTCACAGTTGTGTATTGCTGGGGAGGCCACAGGTAACTTACAATCATGGCGCAAGGTAAAGGAGAAGCAGGCACCTTCTTCACAAGGGTGGCAGGATAGAGTGCAAGCTGGGGAAATGCCAGATGCTTATAAAACCATGAGATATCGTGAGAACTCACTATCACAAGAACAGCTTGGGGGAACTGCACCCATGATCCAATTACCTCCACCTGGTCCTGACCTTGACACATGGGGATTATGGGGATTACAGTTCCTGGTGGGATTTGGGTGGGGACACAGAGCCAAACCATATCACTATCTCTCCCCCTCATCCCCTCTCTCTCTATTAAATCCCTTATTGGTTCTGTTTCTCTGGAAAACCCTGAATACAGTGGGAAAGAGGTAAACCTTTGTGGTTGTAAGCTACTGAGACTTTGGGGTTATTTGTTACTGTAGCATGATCTGGCCTATTCTAATTTATACAGTGGGATTTTTTTTTCCCCCACAAACACTAAGGAAGTAGCATGTGGAAGGCCAGACCTTCTGTTGCCATCAGTAGGGGGGTTTCTGTAGTCTGAGGACCTATGAGCCTTTTGGGTTACCTTTGACTTGCACTTGGGCTTTTATGTTGATGCCAAGCAGTATGTTTATACTTCTCTAAAATGTATTTTTCTCTATATAAATAGTGTTTTTGTTAACTCTCACCGGCTCCAGTCTCAACTTTTGCCTCTAATTTTTCCCATAATATTCACTAACTCTAGTGATAGCTGTCTATGCGCATTGTACTGAGACTAATTCAGAGAGTGGGTTGGATGAACTTTGGTTTGATTTGTACGTAATTGTTAAAAACTGTGTTTAAGAAAACAGTTGTACCCTTGGCAAAACCTGGAAGTCTCTATGTTAACAATTTTCCCAATTTTTGTTTTAGGAAGCCATTCTGCATATTATGTTTTTAAATAAAAGGATTTGACTTTGGGCTGACAATTTAGCATTTAACCACTGTCTCCGCACCAGTTCCACAAGAGCAGGGATTTAGATTAATTGGAAAAACCTCATTGGTTTCTGATGGAGGGGGCATTCATAGAAACAACCTACTGACAACTAAGGAGCTACTGCGATGGGATGGGCAGCCTGCAGCTTCACTCGGTGGGCAGCCTCCACAGGTACTTTAATTCCTCGCTCTTCTGGCCAGGCATCTCTTGGTAAAGGCAGGTAGAGGAAGCAAAGCAATTACCTAGATAATTAAGGAAAAACAAACCTGTATGTGGCAGGTAACTTGGGGAGCTGCTTCTGATTTTCTAGGCAACTATTTTCATTCTTCACTTCTCTGGTGTCAGCAGGAATCTGAGCTAGATCCCAAGAGCAACTCGAACAATTACAATGCTCTCAGTTGGCAAACCCGGCTTCATAGCAACTTCCCTCCTCATTGATCTAGAGTTTGAAATAGCTTTGTCAGATCTCGGGTGTGTTCCTGCTGATTTATGGCAAAATCCCAGTAACAGCTGTGAAAATGTTTGTCCATTTGTGAAACTTCAGAAAGCGGGTCTAGCAAATCATTCTCACCTGGTGATTCTGGGGCAAGGTGAGAACTGTACCCTCACAGGCCGGGTGAATAAGATTCTAGTTGCGGTGGAGGCCAAGGAAGAAGATGTACTATGAGTCAATCTCTCTATGAGGCATTTGCTGAACCTTCCCCTCCTACACCTTCCTACAAGGCAGGTCCGATGACTTTTACTTTACAGATGAGAAGATGGAGCCTCCACAAGGCACATAGCTGGTGAGTGACAAAACCAGAATTCAAACCCAGATCCATTTGATAGTGACATTTGTTTCCACTACCCTAGTGGCTCTGGGGGAAGCCAGGACACCCATATTTTTGTAAAGTCCCGTAGTTGTTTCTAGTGTCATCCGGGTTGGAAACTGTATATTAAGTCAGTGGTTCTCAAACTTTAGCATGCATTAGTATCCCCTGTTAGGCTTGTAAAAACACAGATTGCAGGCCCCACACTTAGATTTCTGACTTGGTAGGTAGGTCTGAGTTGGGAACCAGGAACTTGCCTTTCTAACAAGTTCCCAAGTGATGTTGATGCGGGGGCCTGGGCACTACACTATGGGAACCACCACCGCATTAAGGTGAACTCAGAGCTGAATCTGACATGAAAATCTGCATTAATGGAGATGACATCAGATATCTGCAAAGTCACTTAATAGAGAACGGTTGAGACTAAGTCTTGACTAATATTAAAACTAACACATCTAAAAAGACTATGTCCATCACAGGTGGGTGGTCAGAATAGAAACATTACATAATGGGAAAGAAAATGTAGCTGATGCTATTCATCTAGAAGGAAGAAGTGATGTAAGGGTCAGTTTCCACCTTTGCTTTGAATTCCTTGGACAGCAAGCAACCATATGAGCATTAATTTGATTTATGTTTTTCAGGTATCGTATCTGATTTCAGATACATATGATGGTCTCAAGTGTGTTTTTTACCACCACCACTTTGTAGGCCTGTTGATGCCACTGCTGTTGAAGTCTATGTGAATGGTGCCCCCTGGTGGAAGGAAAAAGGTAGTTTATTACAGTCCGTTGTAAATGAGTGACCTAGCGTTGTTATCATGCTCTGCTCCTAGAGACCACTCCACTCACCTTAAACTAGCGAGCCTGAGGACCGGTCCCGGGGACCCATGAGAACATGATCTCCGAGAGCCCTGCCCTTGAGAAAGGTTCTCCTCAGCAATACTCCAACTCACCCCAGACCTAAAATTTTTTTTTTTTTTTTTGGAGACAGAGTCTTGCTCTGTCGCCAGGCTGGAGTGCAGTGGCATGATCTTGGCTCACTGCAACCTTTGCCTCCTGGGTTCAAGCAATTCCCTTGTCTCAGCCTCCCGAGTAGCTGGGACTACAAGCGCACACCACCTCGCCTGGCTCATTTTTTGTATTTTAGTAGAGACGGGGGTTTCACCATGTTGGCCAGGATGGTTTCGATCTCCTGACCTTGTGATCTGCCAGCCTTAGCCTCCCAAAGTGCTGGGATTACAGGCGTGAGCCACCATGCACGGCCCTAAAATTCTTAAAACGTGAAAATGGGGGAAGATGGTTAACACATCCATATGCTATCATGATATATATCTTTCTTCTTAGTTGTATGGGATGAAATGATGCCAAGATTTTCCTTACAGAGTAGGGATTGTGACTGAAGCCTTTGGACAGGTATTTAGGCCCTTATGAGTGTCCCCTCTTGTCTAGAGAATGGGACGCCAGGAATGTCAGATGCTTTTCAGCCTCTCCCCTGCTCTCACGCCTAGAAACAAGAGCTCCACAAAGGTCTCTCATTCCTCAAGGCTGATGAAAAGCCCAGCAGCTAAATGGCCAGAAGCCTGTCTTTGTGAGAAAGCAAGAAGTCTCTCGGTTTGAACTCTTCGGTCTAGAGACAGATTCTTCTACCAGTGGTGTAAAACCCTAAAGAGGCTCTGCATAAGACCTACCACTGCTCTGTGTCTCATGACACCCTGCCCCCACCACTGGAAGGCCACACTTATTCTTTGTGTTCATGCTTCTCTATGATCTGCAAGTTTCCCAAGAACACCTGGATTCGAAGCTCAAGTCCACCGCTAAATAGCTATGTGACCTAATGTGTCAGATGGTTATAAGGATTACAGAGAAAGAGGTATAGATAGAGCTGGTAGCAGTGACAGACACATCTTTACATCATATAATTCTGACATGCATTATTATTGTAGTTTTCTGTTATTCAGACATACTTGTTAAGAAGGTGCTGGGGACAATTTGTACATGCTGGGTATGAAAGGGCTTGGAAAGTATTTCATGAATGGAGTTGGCATTGAGGAGTCCAATCCATGTACAATGGGTAGAATTAGAAAGGCATTGAGGATAGTGTATTAGTCTGTTTTCAAACTGCTGATAAAAACATACCTGAGAGTGGGTAATTTATAAAGAAAGAAGAGGTTTAATGGACTCACAGTTCCATGAGGCTGGGGAGGCTTCACAATCATGGCAGAAGGTGAAAGGCACATCTTACATGGCAGCAGGCAAGAGAGAATGAGAGCCAAGGAAAGGGGGAAACCCCTTACGAAACTGTCAGATCTTGTGAGACTTATTCACTACCTTGAGAACAGTATGGGGGAAACCGATTCAATTTTCTTTCACCGGGTCCCTCCCACAACACATGGGAATTATGGGAGCTACAATTCAAGATGAGATTTGGGTGGGGACACAGCCAAACCATATCAGGTGGTTACATAAGAGATCCAGTAGAGAGGTGGGAACTCCAGAGGAGATAACTCACCTGGAAAGTAGGCAATCAGGAATATAGGATCCCAGTATGATGAAAAAAAAGGGGCTGTGGGTATGGGAGGCATATCTCAGAGAGAAGAAACACTGCTGTTCATGCCTGTGAAACCCAAGGTTTCCCCTTCCTCTTAAGGGTTCTCTCCCTCTAATGAGAGTTGTTTACACTGCTGATTAGAGACTATTAAGGTCTAGAAATCAATTTGTGTGGGGTTGTGGCCAGCATTTAAAAAACAGAACAGAATATGAAATATCAATGTGCATTGCACATAGTGAGTAAATATTACTTTATGAAACTTTAATCAATTACACATGTACATGTTTATAGGGGTATGATGTAAAGTGTATCATTCCTATGGGTCTTGGTACAAGGAGTTGAGAGCTGCGTCTCTAGTGAATCTACTGGGGTGGGGAGTTTTCTCATGTCTGCTCTTACAAGGTCCTCTTGACTATTTACTTTCCAGGATGGTTTTTCCCCATCAGCCTTTTCTGAGGGTCTGAGTCAGTTTGGGCTGCTATAACAAAGTACCATAGATTGTGTGGCTTAGAAATTACAGAAATTTATTTCTCATAGTTCCAAGATTAGGATGTGAGCATGGTCGGATGCTGATGAGGACCCTCTTCCGGGTCACAGCCTGCCGTCTTCTTGTATCCTCAGAAAGAGAGAAGAGCCGGGCACGGTGGCTCACACCCGTAATCCCAGCACTTTGGGAGGCTGAGGCGGGTGGATCACTTGAGGTCAGGAGTTCAAGACCAGTCTAGCCAACTTGGTTAAACCCCGTCTCTACTAAAAAATACAAAAAATTTGCTGGGCCTGGTGGTGTATGCCTGTAATCCCAATTACTTGGGAGGCTGAGGCAGGAGAATTGTTTGAACCCGGGAGGTGGAGGTTGTGGTGAGCCAAGATCATGCCACTGTACTCCAGCCTGGGCAACAGAGTGAGACTTCATCTCAACAAAAGAGAGAAAGAAAGGAAGGAAGGATGGAAGGAAGGAAGGAAGGAGAGAACTCTTTGGGGACTCCTTTATAAGGTCACTAATTACAACATAAGGGATCCACCTTCATGACCCAATCACCTATCAAGGCTCCTCCTCCAAATACCATTGCATTGGAGGTTAGAATTTCAACATATGATTTCTGGAGGGACATAAACATTTAGTCCATAACACTGAGTTAAAGCAGGTACCTATTCACTCTCCTTCTAGTCGGGGCCTGGAGCACAGGCCACCTTCTGATGCACTGTTGCCACCTCTGCAAAGTCTGAGCAGTGAGGACTGGGTGGAGGGAGGTTGAACATGGGGAAGCTGCCCTTTCTCTCTTTTATTTTATGACCCAGCCTGTTACTCATTTCGAACTTGATATTAAAGCTGTACCAAATTTTATTACAGTGTTTGAGAAACTATAAGAGAAAGAATTTTTTTTTTTTTTTTGAGACTGAGTCTCACTCTATCACCCAGGCTGGAGTGCAGTGGCATGATCTCAGCTTGCTGCAACCTCCACCTCCCGGGCTCAAGTGATCCTCGTGTGTCAGCCTCCCGAGTAGCTGGGACTACAGGCGTGCACCACCACACCTGGCTAATTTTTGTATTTTCAGTAGAGATGGGGTTTCACCATGTTGGTCAGGCTGGTCTCGAACTCCTGACCTCAAGTGATTCACCCACCTTGGCCTCTCAAAGTTCTGGGATTACAGGCGTGAGCCACTGTGCCCAGCCTAGAGAAAGAATTTAAACCTATCTGCTTCATTCTACTTTTCCAGAAGTCCAAGGAAAGAGTGTCCTGGAATTTAAACCCTTGGCACGGGTCACTTCCTAGATGCTCCTGGTTCATCATTGTGCTTCCCTGACCCCAGGGCCACACCCTTTGCTGCAGAAGGACATTTTTTCCAACTTGAGCCCTGCAAACATTTATTTATTTTGTGGGGAAGTTCTACTCTGTACCCACAGAGTTTCATAAATTTTTAAATCCACTTCTGAGTATTTATAAAAAGCCAGTGAAGTTTTAAAAATCCATTTCAGATCCAATAGATTCCCCTTTACCTCCTCCCACCTCTGCAGAGCCCTGATCATGCTTCTCCATGGGGACTTAGAGTTGGGAGAAGGCTTGATCTGCTTTTTCTCTCCTTACTCCCCTCTCTCGGGACACTCTTCCCTTTGAGTGGGGAAGAAAGATGGAAAGGGATGAAGCCGTCATTCTGGATGATAGCTTTCCCTTGCTTGTTGCCTCTTTGGCTGAGATAGACCCAGTGGGGGTGCTCACTGATGGTGGGCGTCCCAGGCTGGTTCCTTCTTGGAGTACATATGTGGGTTCTATATAGGCCATTCAGGGTTAGGGAAGGGTTCCTCCCTAGGTTTTGGCCCAATTCTCTAACGTGAGAGATCAGCTCTAGCTCAGTCTTCTGAGTCCCACCCCAGCTTTTGCTGGCAATAATACGCCCTGCCATTTCCTGTTGCTGGGACTGCCACCTTGTGGTGGCCTTCTTGTTTTGGGTACAACAGGACAGCTCAAGCTCAGCTGCCTCCTGCAGTGTCCCCCTGAGCCACAGGAAACTCAAGCTTCCTTGTAACACTGAATAGCAAAAGGGCTTGCTTCCCATTGCTGGCCCCTCTCTGTCATGTAAGTTTTTATCTCCCCTGCCCATAAGCAGATATCCCACTGTAGATCAAGACAAATCCTCTTATTCCTGACACCTGCAATGGCTATGAGTGCTTCCCTTCCTTTCTTCTCTTCCTTCCTGGAAAACATCAAGGCTGTCTGTACTGATGACCCACAAAAAGCAACCCCTTTTCTCCCCCTCTTCCCAATCTTCTGCTTGTATGGGGTAGGGGAATGAGAGGGGCCTGGGGATAGTTGGGAGCAGCAGAGCTGGTTATGTCCAACCTAATAAAAAGTCTTCGGGGAGTATATGGCCTCCAGCTGTTGGCAGCTCTCTTCAGAATGAGAGATTCTTGATATGTCTTTGCCTTTGACTCTGGGTCTTGGTCACCAATTCTGCAACAATGAAAATAGTCCCATCAACACCACTGTATGCAGGACAAAAGATCCATATTATCTACCTGTCCACTTTGAAGACTTAAGTTGAAAGTCTCTGGAACTGAAGTTTTGAAATGGCCACGAACATGCCTGAGCACACTGCCAGGAAATGGTGCGTCAAGAGAAGCCTGTTCGATTGTACAAAGGCCTGTGGCCTTGAAGGGTGACCTGGCCCACAGTACAGCAGCATCACTGTCCCCTAGTAGATATTTTCGAGTTAAGAGCAGAAATTAAAAATGCACAAAGTTAGGAGAGGAACACTTGTTTTCCAGAACCAGGAAAGGCATTTTGGTATATAATGCATTTCCATTAAGTAGAAGTAACTTGAAAAAAATTCATATTACATTTACTATAAGAGTTTAGTTGCAGAAACCCCAGAATTTATTGGATTTCTAACTTTTTTTTTTTTTAAAGTATTTTAAAACTGTGTCTATATTATTTGGCTATTTTAGTAAATAACTCACCATACTTGTGTGTAAGTGCAAATTCTTGAAGTTTTTTCTTTTTTCAAATGGAATCTGTTAATTTATTATCATAGAAATAGGATTACCTGTTGTAAAAAATTCAGCTGGTAAAAACATGTACATTAAATGCACCTTCAGGCTATTTTTTTTTTTTTTAACCTGAAGTAGAAGTTACTGTGGAAGGCCAGGCACAGGTAGATCATTTGAAGTCAGGAGCTCGAGACCAGCCTGGCCAACATGGCGAAACCCCGTCTCTACTAAAAATACAAAAAAATTAGCCAGGCATGGTGGTGTGCGCCTGTAATCCTAGCTACTCAGGAGGCTGAGGTGGGAGAATCACTTGAGCCCAGGAGGTGGAGGTTGCAGTGAGCAGAGATCACACCACTGCACTCCAGCCTGGATGACAGAGTGAGACTCTGTCTCAAAAAAAAAATAGAAGTTATTGTGGAAGGGTGCAGGGGCCTGTTACCATATGAAGTGGTAAAGACAGTGTCTCTGCCCTAAGCACCATCCAGAAATACCCCCTAAACCTCTATCGCCATGACGTTTTGAACGGGCCATGGGGGTAATGCTCATATTATCAGTGGGGATGGCAGGCCTCTTGTTGAAGTAGTCAGAATCAATGCCCTCCTTTATCCTCTCCATCCTGTTCTCTGCACAGCCTTCCTTTCCTGATGCCCCCCAAGCATCCCTGATGCTCTGATCACTGCGTTGATGTATCTCTTTCATGGCTAAAGGCCCCAGTGATTCTCCCTGTAGTCCACTTAGGTGACTAACATGGAGGTGTGACTCTGAGATTCATAGCTCCCTTGTGGCTCTAACTTATCAGGAAAAGAGTAGCCTTTTCTCATCAGGGCTACTTTTGCTTTGATTCCATCTTTCAGGTTCTCATGACTTCCCAATTCACATAAAGCTTGACACAAATTACCCAGTGCCTAGACAGTAAGAAAACATCAGCCTACCTGGAAAACTACATCCCAAATCATGTATTCTTGACAACCACCAGTTTTGGGGGATTGCCCTGACCCTCTTGCTTTAGAGTGAGGTGCCATTCAAAATGCATATTTAATAACCAGTTGTCTTGGGTGCCTGATCAAATCAGTAACTGACCAATCAGTATGGCCAAACCATTGCGTACTGGCTGAATATCAGATTGGGCGGGAGGCCAAACAGACAGGCCTCTGGGCCATGTTTCCAGTAGATTAGTTTTGTTTGGTATTCGGAGTGATTTTGAAATATGGTATGTGTTTGAGAGCCTTTAGGCTAAGCAGGCATTCTTCAATTCCCAGTCTCCCCTCTTGTTCCCTGTCCTAGAGTTGGCTGGCTTTACTCATTTATGTTACCCTGGGTTGCTGAAAAGCATCTGCTTGTGCTAGGCTGCTCTAAACCTTTCCTTGTGGCCTGGTCTCTATCCGGCAGCTGATAGGTCCAATTTGTTTCTTACTACGTCCTCTCAGCTTGTCTCCATGTGCATAGGCCTTCATACAAGAGGAATTATATGAAGCCCCCATTCGTGGGGCCTAAATTTCCATAGAGGTAGGCTTCTTATTCTGGATCTGAATTATACCAATATTTCTGTGGCACATTAAATGATAATTTATTTGGAAATGAGAGACTGCATATACAAAGACAATGGCCAGACTGTATATGAAAATAGAACAGCTTACACCTACCTGCCCAGAAAACCAACTCCTTGTTTCTAACAAACAGCCCAGGAAACCAGCCTGCTTTAAGTCAGACTTGGAGGGGGTCAGATGCTATCTAGGGCAACGGTCTAGGAACTTAACAATCACTTCTGGAACAATTGGTCTAAAACGGCCAGGACTTGAAGAATGACTGACAGCTTCCCTAATTCTTGTCCCCACTTCCAACTTAGGACCAACCAGAGAAATGCAAATATGCAACAGGATGCCAGTTTCTAGCTAGGCGGCCCACAGCTTCCCCATGCCAGCTGCCTGCAATCAAGGCACATGAGAAGGCTTCCCCCTTTTCCACTGTAGGGCTTTTCCACTCTGCCTGCCTTTGAGTTCTTGGCCAAAATGCAACTGATGGTGGCCGACTCCCTTGTTATAGCAAGCCCTGAATAAGTAGACTTTTCTTTTCTCCTTTGGTTTATATTCATTTAGTTTCCACAGAAATAAATTCAATTACATTTAGATAATCAAAATAATAGTAAAGGCCGTTAGCAAAATGGCAAAATGGAGAGGAAAAATAAGAATCTTGTATTCCGTAAAAGTTTAAGAGGAGTTTGTTTTTCAGGATGCTTTGAATCTCCTCCATAGATCACTTCTCCAATTTTTCCTGTCACCACAGAAATTTACAATATTAATAAAACAACTCGTTAAAATTTTGAACTTTGCTACTTTCAAACTGAAAACTTTTTGAAGCTTAAGGCAGTTATTTCTGCAAAAGATGGCTTCAGGTTTATTAATTTAAAAGAATGCAGGCAGTTTTTGAAATATTATCATCTAAGTGACTTTTTTCTACATTTATAAATACTCTACTGTCCCATCATAATTAAAAGAATATGAAAAGAGTTTGAAATATACTTATAGCTTAAAACATGGAAATAATTCTTTTTAACATGAATAATTATCCCACCAGTTTTATAATCTAATAAAAATCAAAGTAAAAGAAAAATGCTAGGCATTTTAATTATGAGAAATCATATGTATTCTGGGAACTTAGAAACGTTACCCACATATTTGTACTCCAGAATCCTCATTCTAGAAATTCTTTCCTCAAAGATGTTGCAAAGAAGTGGAGCGCGTATGTGTTTTTGTCAACATGACCTAAAACTTATAAAGCTCTATATGAAGCATACCTGTTTTCAATCCAAATTTAACGGTAATTTACTTCACATTTGAACTGGGATGCAGACTAGAAATCCATAGTCTTTGCATATGCTTTTCTTATTTATTCCTCTAAAATTATAGGAATAAGATCTTTATTTATTTATTTATTTATTTATTTATTTATTTATTTATTTATTTTTGAGATGGAGTCTTGCTCTTGTCGCCCAAGCTGGAGTGCAATGGCATGATCTCAGCTCACTGCAACCTCCACCTCCCGGGTTCAAGCAATTCTCCTGCCTCAGCCTCCTGAGTAGCTGGGATTACAGGCACCTGCCACCACGCCTGGCTAATTTTTGTATTTTTAGTAGAGATGGGGTTTCACCTTGTTGGTCAGGCTGGTCTCGAACTCCTGACCTTGCGATCCACCCACCTTGGCCTCCCAAAGTGCTGGGATTACAGGCGTTAGCCACCACACCCTGCCCTGACCTTTATTATTCTTAACTCTAGGCAGAGAGAGGTAGAGGAGAGAATACTGTAGAAACTGTTTTGTGTTTTCTAACTTTTCAGGAATCACTTTAGAGTTGACTATAATATCCTTCATACATATGCATATTACTCATATTGTGATTTTTAAATTGTAAATCCTTCAGAGAATTCCCCAAATACTCCCTTTCTGGGTGTCTCCATTGGTTGATGTATTTTGAAGAAATGGATATCAAAGGTGTTCAAGGAATACTTTTTGGCAAATTGATTAAATGCAAACTGATTTTATATTAGACTCAATTTGGAAGATGAGTGTGCTGAAACAGTAAGTCACTTAACGCTTATTTTGTATTATTTGATTTACTCCTCCCTACTCTTTTCTAGAGTTAATTCACATTGACTGTATATCTTTTGATTTATTAATTATTCCCCTGCCTCTTGTGTAAAATAAGAATACCTTATATTCACCTGATCTTAGGTTTTTATGGATTGAAAGGAGTTGGAGGGCTGGTTATAACTTGGAGTGCTAGGCCGTGCCCCTAGAGTTTCTGATTCTGTGGGCCTGGGATGGGGCCCAAGAATTTATTGCGTGTATAATAAGTCCTCAGGGGATGCTGATGCTGCCAGTCTCAGGACCACACTTTCAGATCCGCTGCTATTGTGCCATCTATAAGTTAATATGAATTCCACAGCACACTTGTATGTGTGTGCCTGTGTGTGTGTGTATGTGTGTGTGTGTGTGTAGGCAGTGTTGGTGGTGGTAGGAATAGGGGTATGGTTTGACCAGGTAGGACCTGGACATAGAAAAGGTTGCAGGTATAGATCATTGTGAGAAGGCCACGGAGGTCCTGAAGGATCCCAGGTCCCAAAGGCATAAGGATGAAGGGAAGAGAGAAAGAAAAACCGACATGTTCCTGACAGCTGGATGCTTCTCCCATTTAGATTTCTCTGAACTGAAATTCTAGATGGTTTAATTACTCCATAAGGTTTGCTAAATTGCCACGTCTCAGCCTCACATACAATGCTGGTATCTACATTCTATGCTCTCAGACTATGTATTAAAACTGTGCACTGGTGGAGTAAGCTAGTTAAATATTTGTACATTTGACTGCACACAGCTACTGCTTATGTTTTCTTGTTCTTCTGCTCTATCTTAAGGAATCTGTATGAGTCAGCCAGTTAAAATGCTGGCTGGGAGGTAATTAGCTGGGAATTTTAACCCCATCATAGTCATTCACCTGCTTGAAGAATGAAGTGGATGGGTACTTTAGTGAGTCTAGCAACTGTTTCTTTCTCTGCCAAATGCAAGAAGTTCTTCGTGAGTTGCTGGATGGCTCAAATTATATTCTGGAGCTTATCCTGGAAACAGGCAAATGTCAGTCCAATGGAACATCAGCGCACATTGATATATAAAATTGCAGGTGATGAAAGGCTCTGAAAGAACTCTATGAGTCTCTGGTCTTAACGCTCTCTTAGATTTTGATGGTACATTGTCTTTTTCATTTCAACTCTGTTTTAAATTTTTTATTATGTAAATTTTTAGACATACCCAGAATTAGAGAGAATAGCATAATAAAACTTGATGGTACCATTAATTCAGTCTCAATAATTGTCAATATTTTGTCAATTGTGTTTTAGTCAGTCCCCACTCTTGGTTTCCTTGTGGCCTGATCTCTATCTGGCAGCTATTAACTCCAATTTGTTTCTTACCACCATTTCTCAGCTCGTCTCCACGTATGTAGACCTTCATCCAAGTGGAATTGTGTGAAGCCTCCCCTGGCTGTGGGAACTACATTTCCATAGAAGTAGCCTCCCTATTCTGGATCTGAATTATACCAAGAGTTCAGTGGCACATTAAATGATAATTGATTTGGAAATGAGAGGCACATATACAAAGACAATAACCAGAGCATATATAAAAATAGAACAGCTTACACCTGCCCGCCCAGAAAACCAACCCCTTGTTTCCAACAAACAGCCCAGGAAACCAGCCTGCTTTAAGTCAGAGTTGGAGGGGGTCACATGCTATCACTGGCAACAGTCTAGGAAGTTAACAGTCACTTCTGGAACAATTGGTCTAAAATGACCAGGACTTCACTAATTTTATTGGTAAATACTTTAATATGAATCTCTAGCAGATAAGGGCTTTAAGACAATATAACCACAATAGTATCACCATACTTAACAAAATTATTATTTTAAATATCATCAGTCCATGTTCAAATTGCCTTGTCTCAATTTTTTTTTTTTTTTTTTTTTTTTTTTTTTTTTTTTTGAGATGGAGTCTCGCTCTGTTGCCCGGGCTGGAGTGCAGTGGCGCAATCTCGGCTCACTGCAAGCTCCGCCTCCTGGGTTCATGCCATTCTCCTGCCTCAGCCTCCCAAGTAGCTGGGACTACAGGCGCCCACCACCACACCTGGCTAATTTTTTTGTATTTTTAGTAGAGATGGGGTTTCACCGTGTTAGCCAGGATGGTCTCGATCTCCTGACCTCGTGATCCACTCGCCTTGGCCTCCCGAAGAGCTGGGATTACAGGCGTGAGCCACCGTGCCCGGCCTCAAAAAAATTTTGAATAGTACATTTGTTCATATCAGGAGCTGTATGAGTTCCTTTGTTGATTTTGGTTGATATATCTCTTAATCCTCTATTATTATTTAACACTTTCTCTTCCCCCTTTTTTTCAAGCCATTTATTTGTTGAAAATATGTCATTTTTCCAGTTGAATTTCCCACATCCTGGTCTTATGTGATTGTATCCTGTGGTATTGTTTATATACCCCATATTTCTTGTTAACTGGCAGTTAAGTCAAGAAACACAATTAAATTTAGGTTTATTTTTTTCAGGGGGCAAAAATATTTTATGGGCAGTGTTTAAATCAACAGGCACCCAATGTCTACTTGTCCCACTTTTCATGATGCTGAAGTTGATGGGTTTAGATGTCATCATTCACCCATTATCAATTTTCCCATCAACTACCATTTATGATTCTTGCCAAAATCCATTGTCTCGGCAGGGGTTGCAAAATGACATTTTTCGAATTATTTTTCTAATAATCATTCTTTTTTAATTAGAATTCTTCTGTGGAGAAGAACTTTCCCTCACATCTATTTGGTTAACCTGAAGCACAGTTCATAAATGAGAGGCAAGGTAAATGCTGTATTCTGTACCTTTATTTATCCAATTTCAGAGCAATGAGTCCAGCAACAGCCAAAAATGATTAGTGTGGTTTTCATTTTTCAAAATATCATTATGAACTTACACATTTAATATATATATTTCTGTTATATATTAATATACTAAAAGATTTGATACGTTGTATATATCTAAAATATTTAACATATTTGAATCAATGAGTTTCAGTTGACAATCCATTGTAATGAATGCTAAATTTGTCTCCCCGTTGTTTAATAGGATTGCTCTTAAACTCAGTGTAAAACTGCTTGCCTACTATCCTGTTTATTTTTGAAATACAACTGTACTTAGTATTAAAATATTCCTATTATAGAAAATTTAGAGAATAAAGCCCCACATAAAGAGGAAAATGAAAATTACCTGTATTCTTCCCACTCAAAAAGATTCCCCTTTATAAATGTCAAATTTCCCTCTATTGTCTTGCTCTTTTATATATCATTAAATACTCTTCAACCTGTCATTGTAGTCACTCTGTCAGAAGTGCTTTCAACTACCCCTCATCTTAGCCTCATTGCACATGTCTAGCCAAACCTCAACCCTCTTCACCTCTGCACCTGTGTCTGTTACTGGAGACTATTAACTGAACCATTTCCTTCATTTGATGATCTAAAGCCTCCACAGGCATGCATTGTGACCCAGAAACCTTCTTGTGTTTCCCAGAACTATTCATATATTCTCCTCAAACCCTCCCCCAACCCTTCCCTCTTTAGTCCTCACTGGGCTATTGACCTTGTTCCACACTTCAGTGAAGTAAAAACCTTCACATGATGACTCTAGCATTCCCGATGAAAACTTAACAAAAACTCCTCTGCAGCTAATGCTCCCTTCTTTCCTCCTGGCACAATGGAGGGCATTTTCTCTCTCCTAGCAAAGTCCAGTCCCTCCCCTTCTCTGTATCCAATGCTCGTTGACCTTTTAAAACACTTCACTCTGGTTATCTTCTCTCCTTTATCAACTTGCCCTTATCATCTACTGGATCATTTCTGTAACCATATTCTAATTTACCAACCCTATCATAAAAACAACACCAACAACAAACACAGTCACTTCCTTGGTTCCCTGTCTCCCCTGTCTCCCATCCATTTCTGTATTATTTTGCATTGCCAGACTTCTCAAGAGTTGTTAACTATGTGATTTCCACTTTTTTAACTCATTTTTTTTATTCCAGTCTGGTTCCTCTCCAGCCCCGTCACTGTACTAAAATTTCTTGCCTCAGGGTCACTGGAAATCCACATAGCCACATGCAATGTACACTTCTCTGTCTTCATCTTACCCTTTCAGCAGCATTGGGTGGAGTGGGCCATTTGTTTCTCAAAATACTCTTCTCTTGGTTATCATCAGGCCATTGGTTCTCTGCTTTCCAAACTCACTGGTTTCTCCCAGCTGCTATTTCTCCTTTTAAGTGTTGACAGTATTGGGTCCTCTTCTCTTCTCCTGTTATCATTTTTCACTGGGTGGTTCCATTAATTCACAGCTTTAAAAATCTCATTATGACTCAAGACTCCAAAGTTTGTGTCTTCAACCCATTTTTTCTGAGCACCATATCCAGCTCTGCTTACTTGACAGTTCAACCTGGATGTCTTACAAACATCTCAAATTAAACGTGTCCAAGATAGAACTTCTCATTTCCCCTGCATGAATCAATTCCTCCTCTATCTGTCCTATGCCAATAAATGGCAGCATTATCCGTCGGTTGCCCAATTCAGAAATCTGAGTCAGTCCCGATTTTCCCTTTCCCATAACCCCTATATAGCAGTTGCAGCAACTCCATTTGATTGTTCCCCCTAAAATATCTTGACTGTCAACTTTTCTCTGTCTCCATGGTGAACACCCTGGCCATGGCTCATCCTTCACCTGCACTATGTCAGCACCTCGTTGAAGGGTCTCTCAATTCATACTTGTTCCTCTACAATCCATTTTCCACATTATGAGCAAGAACATAAATTAAACCTTACATTAAAACCTTCAGCGGCTTTCATTACATGTGTAATAAATCCAAACTCTGCACAAGGGCTGGATGGCTCTACAGATC
The DNA here is from genome assembly GCF_000001405.40 of Homo sapiens. Taxonomy (NCBI): domain Eukaryota; kingdom Metazoa; phylum Chordata; class Mammalia; order Primates; family Hominidae; genus Homo; species Homo sapiens. Next base: position 29,386,300 of record NC_000021.9, read on the forward strand.
CTGTCTCCTGATATCTCTCCAGCCTCAGGTTAAGCTACTCCCTACACCAGAGTCAGTCTTATTCAAACACACTTAAATCTTCCTGCCTCAGGCTGTTTGTATCTGCTGTACCCTCTGCTTAAAATGCTTTTCTCCGTACTGTTGCCATGTGTGACTTCTTATCCATTGGAAATCAGCTTAAATATTGTCATGTTGAAGCTTTTTCTTTTTCTTTTTCTTTTTTTTTTTTTTTTTTTTTGAGACAGAGTCTTGCTCTGTCGCCCAGGCTGGAGTGCAGTGGCATAATCTTGGCTCACTGCAACCTCCGCCTCCCAGGTTCAAGCGATTCTCCTGCCTCAGCCTCCTGAGTAGCTGGGATTACAAGTGCATGCCACCATGCCTAGCTAACTTTTGTATTTTTAGTAGAGAGAGGGTTTCGCCAGTTTGGCCAGGCTGGTCTCAAACCTCTGACCTCAAGTTATCTGCCCGCCTTGGCCTCCCAAAGTGCTGGGATTACAGGTGTGAGCCTGGCCCATGTTGAAGCTTTTTCTGACTGGTGTAATTAAAGTGCATCTCCCTCAGTTATTTTCTATTTTATCTTCTTGATGATTATATTCATAGCCATTTTCACACTATATAAATATTTATGATAATCATGTGTTGCATAATAAGAGGGATACGTTCTAAGAAATGCGTCTTTGTCATTGTGCAAACATCACAAGTGTATTTACACAAACCCAGATGGTATAGCCTACTACACACCTAGCCTATGTGGTATAGCCTATTGCTCCTGGGCTACAAACCTGTACAGCATGTTACTGCCCTGAATACTGTAAGCAACTGTAATACAATGGTATTTATGTATCTAAACGTAGGAAAGGTATAGTGAAAACATGATATTATAATCTCAGGGGACCACCGTTGTATAAGTGGCCTGTCTGGAATGTCATTATGTGATGTGTGGCTGTATTTGTTTTTTTTTTTTTCTGTTTTCCATCCTGAATGTGTTACAGGAAAGGGGTCCAGATCCAGACCCCAAGAGAGGGTTCTTGGATCTCACACAAGAAAGAATTCAGGGTGAGTCCGCAGTGCAGAGTGAAAGCAAGTTTAAGAAAGTAAAGGAATAAACGAATGGCTACTCCATAGACAGAGCAGCCCCAAGGGCTGATGGTTGCTCATTTTTATGGTTATTTCTTGATGATATGCTAAACAAGGGGTGGATTATTCATGCCTCCCCTTTTTAGACTGTATAGAGTAACTTCCTGATATTGCCATGGCATTTGTAAACTGTCATGGTGCTGGCAGGAGTGTAGCAGTGAGGACCACTCTCGTCGCCATTTTGGTATTGGTGGGTTTTGGCCGTTTCCTTTACTACAACCTGTTTTATCAGCACAGTCTTTATGACCTGTACTTTGTGCTGACCTCCTATCTCATCCTGTGACTTAGAATGCCTTAGCCATCTGGGAATGCAGCCCAGTAGGTTTCAGCCTCATTTTGCCCAGCCCCTATTTAAGATGGAGTTGCTCTGGTTCACATGCCTCTGACAAATACAATCTTCGTGAGAGTCAAGAATACATTGCTCACTTTCAAATCTTAGTGTTTAGCTTAGTGTCTGGCACATGGTACACTGTAATCATGTGTTGTATTAATAGAATAATTCTACATTATTGTTTTTAGTGGCAAACGTTTTCTGAATTCTTACTGTTTACAGACCCAAGCCTGGTTCTTGAGAACACACTGTTGAATAAGACAACATGGCCCTGTTTTCAAGGTGCTCCCATCTACCAGAGGGTACAATTGTGTACCTAGGCAGATACAAAATAAGCATGCTTTTGTACAAGTAGATTCAAAATCATATAATGCAATTAATCTCATAGGAGAAGTATAGGGCACTTTTGGATACAATAAAAAGGACACCTTTGGGGGCACATTTATTTTAATAAAACTCTCATTTGACACAGGCTCTTTCCAATTTTTCACTATTTTATACATCTTTATAGATGTATATTATGTATAATCTATACATAGTCCCTAGAATGGAATCTTAGGACTTACTGGGTCAATGGTCATTAAATAATTTTGAAACTTGGGATTTCACCTCCAAGTTTTGCTTTTCTAATATTAAGTGGCATATTTCCTATTTCAAAGTGTTTTTGCCATCATTGGCAAATTTGAAAATTTGACAATTTGTATGAGAACAATAGTGTCTCATTATTTTAATTTTAACTACAATGATTATTAGTGAAGTAAAACTTTTCTTGAACCTGTGTTTGCCATTTTGTATTTGTCTCTCAGATTGCTTCATGTTCTTAACTTATCGTTATATTAAGGCGTTCATCTTTTCCTTGATTTATAACATTTCTTTATATGTTATAGAAACAATGACATTACGATATATGACTTTATTATATCATTATATATGATAGTGCTAACTTCATTATCATATATGGTCTAAGTATATTTTCCCAGATCTTCATTTACTTTTAATTTTTGTTATCTTTATGTTTTTGATGTTGAAGGATTACATATTTAATCTTTTAAATATCAAAGTTTTAATTTAGAACTTCTTAGAAAGACTTTTTCTGCCTAAGATTATGAAAATAATCATCCATCATTTACTTCTAGCACTTACCTGTTTTCATTTTTTCATGGTTGAAAATTAATTGGTTTTTCCAAAGAACATTGCTCTTTACACACTTTTTCTCCCTAATTTGATCTGCTAAAATTATTTGAATAAAGATGGGAATCCTCAATTTTTAGCTGCGCAAAGACCAGAGGCCCTCCTGAATGGTCGTTATTAATTTTCCATGCTCTTTTGTGGAATGTTTGGCATATGACTGAGTTACAAATAATGGATGAAGGCTGAAGTCATAGGTATAACTTCCAGAAAGTATACTTGGAGGGTAGGTATTATGCATCTTTCTCCTTTTTCCTTTCTGCAGGGTAAATTCCAGACATCATATTTTTAGCTGGAGAATCCATATTGGCAAAGGACCACACACACTAGTATAGCAATGCAGGAAGCTCAGCATATCTGGGGTCCCCAGTGACTGTGGAACTTCTATGTCCGCCCAGACTGCCTGCTTCTGACTTTCCCCCACTTTTTTATGTCAGATATTTAATGTGCTAATGATGTAACAAGGTTTGAGGGAGGCACGTCTCACTCATGAGCATGCAAACCCAATCATCACACTTACGAACCACAAAATGGTCTAATTCTGGATTTTTTAAAATAAGAAATCAAAACCACATGTTTTAAAGCCACTATTAATTTAGTTTATCTTAGCTATTTCAATATCATGTTATTTAATAGTTTGTATTTTTACTCTACTTCGCAGTTTTTATTGTCTTATATTTTCTGATTTTGAGCCATATTTTGTTTGTTTCAGTTTCTCATGATGTGGAAGTTACATATCCTCCTCAGAGTCTTCTAGTAATTGACTTTAAATTTTAAAGATACATTCTTTAACACATTTTTCTTTAGTTATCAAGGAATTTGATCATTTGTCCTCATTTGAAATAGCATGATAAATTTATTGCACTTTTATATTTGTCTTCTACCATGCTAGACTTTGCTAATACAACCCATGTAATTACTCTTACATTATTTATAAGAATTTCATGTATTTTTTCTTTTTAAGTTTACTTTGTATCATTTGTATTTGTGTTTGTATTAATGCTTATTTAGATTAAATTCACCACAGTAATAATTTCAGTTCTTGATACTATTTATTTTCTAATACAATGCTCTCAGGCTTGTGATCTTAATTTTTCTTTCCATCTCTCTTTTTTTTTTAATTTGAGACAGGGTTTTACTCTGTTACTCAGGCTGGAGTGCAGTGGCGCAGTCTGGGCTCACTGCAACCTCCACCTCCCGGTTCAAGCAATTCTCAGGCTTCAGCCTTTGGAATAGCTGGGATTACAGGCGTGCACCACCACGCCAAGCTAATTTTTGTATTTTTAGTAGAGGGGATTTCACCATGTTGGCCAGACTGGTCTCAAATTCCTGCCCTTAAATGATCTGCCTGCCTCGGTCTCCCAAAGTGTTGGGATTACAGGCATGACCTACGGCACCTGGCCTCTTTCTTTCTTTTCTTAAAGACATTTTTAGGATTTTTTTTTTCCCAAGAAAGGTATTATTATAAGCCCGTATATAAGATCTTAGGTGTTTAAAAATATTTTTCCTGTTGTCTGAATTGAAAATTCTTACGTTCCACATTGTTTTCCTTAAAACTCTGTAAACATTTCCTGTGTGTGTATGTTTGAAACTTAATGCTATATGGAAGTATAAGATCATCTTGACTTCGTTTTTTCTTAGTGACCAGGTTTTTTCCAAGTGAATGTTTACAAGATGTCTTTCTGTTTTGTAGTTATAAAATAGTTTCAGAATGCTTTATGTGTAATTTATATATTCATCTATTTATTTTGTGGATCATGGGGAGTGAGTCTTTTTGCTTGCACAGTTAAGGCTTTTTCAGCTCAAATACATTTTCTTTGTTGATGATTTTGGTTATTGCTTTGCTTGTAATTATCTTGGTATTCTCCTAAGAAAGACACTAAATTATTTAGTTGGCTTTCCAAACTCTCCTTCAAGATCATCATCTTGCTCGTCACTTGTATCTTTGTTTTTCCCTTTTCTTTTAAAAGGTTCTGAAATTTGCCCTTCACCAGATGCCTTTGATTTGTCATGGTGACATCTGCTTTTCATGTGCTCTTTTTCCCTGCTATTATTCTTTCAGTCTCTCTCCTCTGCCCTTCCTGCGCACATCATCTGCCTCCTTTTAGTAAGTAGTGTGTTATTATTATGATTTTAAAATCTCAGCTTGAGATTTAATTTAATTTCATCTTTTCATCTCTTCTTGAGTTCATGTCAACCTATTCACTTTTTGTGACTCCTTGAAGAAGCCAGGCTGTCTTGTGGCCCGTTGAAAGCACCTAGTTTCCTACAGCTTAATTCTGGTTCTTTCAGTAGATAATTTTCAGAGATTGGTTCTGTCTCTGAGTCTATAGTTGTTGTTCCCTTTTTCCTTAGTCTCATATTGTTTGCAAGGCCCCATGCTCTCTTTTAAATATTTTAATTTAATTTTATTTTAAGTTCCAGGATACGCGTGCAGAACATTCAGGTTTGTTACATAGGTATACATGTGCTATGGTGGTTTGCTGCACCTATCAACCCGTCATCTAGATACTAAGCCCCTCACGCCTTAGCTATTTATCTTGATGCTCTCCCTCCCCCTCCCCCACTCCCCAAACAGGCCCCAATGTGTGTTGTTCCCCTCCTTGTGCCCATGTGTTCTCATTGTTCAGCTCCCACTTATAAGTGAGAACATGGAGTGTTTGGTTTTCTGTTCCTGTGTTAGTTTGCTGAGGATAATGGCTTCTAGCTCTATTCATGTCCCTGCAAAGGACATGATCTCTTTTCTTTTTATGGTTGCATAGTATTCCATGGTGTATATGTACCACATTTTCTTTATCCAGTCTATCATTGATGGGCATTTTGGTTAATTCTATGTTTTTGCTGTTGTCGATAGTGCTGCAGTGAACATACATATGCATGTATCTTTATGATAGAATGATTTATATTCCTTTGGGTAGATATCTAATAATGGGACTGCTGAGTCACATAGTATTTCTGGTTCTAGGTCTTTGAGGAATTGTCACACTGCCTTCCACAATGGTTGAACTAATTTACATTCCCACCAACAGTGTAAAAGCATTCCTATTTCTCCACAGCTTCACCAGCACCTGTTGTTTCTTGACTTTGAGAATTGTTATTCTGACTGGTGTGAGATGCTGTCTCGTTGTGGTTTTGATTTGCATTTCTCTAGTGATGTTGAACTTTTTTCATTTGTTTGTTGGCTGCATAAATGTCCTCTTTTGAGAAGTGTCTGTTCGTGTCCTTTGCCCAGTTTTTTTTTTTTTTTAAGTATTTATTGATCATTCTTGGGTGTTTCTCGGAGAGGGGGATGTGGCAGGGTCATAGGATAATAGTGGAGAGAAGGTCAGTAGATAAACACGTGAACAAAGGTCTCTGGTTTTCCTAGGCAGAGGTCCCTGCGGGCTTCCGCAGTGTTTGTGTCCCTGGGTACTTGAGATTAGGGAGTGGTGATGACTCTTAAGGAGCATGCTGCCTTCAAGCATCTGTTTAACAAAGCACATCTTGCACCGCCCTTAATCCATTTAACCCTGAGTTGACACAGCACATGTTTCAGAGAGCACGGGGTTGGGAGTAAGGTTATAGATTAACAGCATCCCAAGGCAGAAGAATTTTTCTTAGTACAGAACAAAATGGAGTCTCCTATGTCTATTTCTTTCTACACAGACACAGTAACAATCTGATCTCTCTTTCTTTTCCCCACATTTCCCCCTTTTCTTTTTGACAAAACCGCCATCGTCTTCATGGCCCGTTCTCGATGGTCGCTGTCTCTTTGGAGCCGTTGGGTACACCTCCCAGATGGGGCGGCTGGGCAGAGGCGCTCCTCACTTCCCAGACGGGGTGGCCGGGCAGAGGCGCTCCTCACATCCCAGACGATGCTTTGCCCAGTTTTTAATTTTTTTTTTTTTGTAAATTTGTTTAAGTTCCTTGTAGATTCTGGATATTAGACCTTTGTCAGATGGTTAGATTGTAAGAATCTTCTCCCATTCTGTAGGTTTTTTGTTTACTCTGACAGTTTTTTTTCTGTGCAGAAGCTCTTTAGTTTAATTAGATGCCATTTATCAATTTTAGCTTTTGTTGCAGTTGCTTTTGACGTTTTCCTCATGAAATCTTTGCCTGTGCCTATGTCCTGAATGGTATTGCCTAGATTTTTTTCTAGGGTTTTTATAGTTTGGGGTGTTAAATTTAAGTCTTTAATCCATCTTCAGTTAATTTTTGTATGAGGTACAAGGAATGGGTCCAGTTTCAATTTTCTGCATATGGCTAGCCAGTTTTCCCAGCACCATTTATTAAATAGAGAATCCTTTCTCCGTTGCTTGTTTTTGTCAGGTTTTTCGAAGATCAGATGGTTGTAGATGTACAGTCTTACTTCTGAGATCTCTATTCTGTTCCATTGGTCTATGTGTCTGTTTTCATACCAGTACCATGCTGTTTAGGTAATTGTAACCTTGTAGTATAGTTTGAAGTCAGCTAGTGTGATGCCTCCAACTTTGTTCTTTTTGCTTAGAATTATCTTGGTTATACAGGCTCTTTTTTGGTTCCATATGAATTTTAAAGTTTTTTTTTTTTTCTAATTTTGTGAAGCATGGCAGTGGTAGTTAAATGGGAATAGTACTGAATTTACAAGTTACTTTGGGCAGCGTGACCATTTTTGTGATATTGATTCTTCCTATCCATGAGCATGGAATGTTTTTCCATTTGTTTGTGTCCTCTCTGATTTCCTTAGCAGTAGTTTGTAGTTCTCCTTAAATAGGTCCTTCACTTCCCTTGTTAGCTGTATTCCTAGATATTTTATTCTCTTTGTAGCAATTGTGAATGAGAGCTCATTCATGAGTTGGCTCTCTGCTTGTCTATTCTTGGTGTGTAGAAATGCTTGTGATTTTTGCACATTGATTTTTTATCCTGAGACTTTGCTGAAGTTGCTTATCAGCCTAAGAAGCTTTTGGGCTGCCCAAGCCCCCTTTTTTTTCCCTCCTTAGTCATAAAGGAAAAAACGATCTAGATTTGGCATCTTCCATAGAAAAGAGGAATAGGTATGTTTGCCTTTCTCACATGGACAGTCGAAGGCGAGTCTTTGTGGGTAGTCCCATCTAAAGTGTCTAGGAAGCTCCTGTGGACATGGTGCTGGCGTACTGAAGTGGGATCTTCTACTCCTGCTTGATTTTCTGACCTTCTGAGAGTGAGATGGTAAAAACTGAAATCTCCAGCATGGTCTGCCACTAGAACCTTCATTCTTGCCCTGCCTGCCCCACAGTGCTTAAAATATTAGAACAATATTGCTATTGCTCAAGAAAGAACCACTTCTGCTAGTGCCAGTGACTCGCTGTTTCTTGAAGGAGTTACAAGCTTTGAAAACATGCAGGAAAATGATGAGGTAGAAACATTCTGATCACCTCAAAACAGTACCTGTTCAGTAGTGAAGCCACAGCTTTTTTTTTTTTTTGGTTATTAGCTAGGGCAGACTGATATGGACATTCAAGATGCCATTCACTTTATTTGGACAAAGCTGGGTGGACTACAGATTGATTTTCACAATTCCACTCCACCTAATTCATGATGAGAAATTCTAAAGCCAGGTATGGTGGCTCACACCTGTAATCCCAGCACTTTAGGAGGCTGAGGCAGGAGAACCACTTGAGCCCAGGAGTTTGAGACCAGTCTGTGCAATATAGCACGACCTAGACTCTACCAGAAAATCAAAAAATTAGCTGGGTGTGGTGGTGTGTGCCTGTAGTCTTAGCTACTTGGGAGGCTGAGGCAGGAGGATCCTTTGAGCCCAGAAGGTTGAGGTTGCAGTGAGCCCTGATCATGCCACTGCGGTCCAGCCTCAGTGACAGAGCAAGACCTTGTCTCAAAAAAAAAAAAATTTTTTTAAGTAATTAGGGTGTTATTTTTTGCCTGTATAAAGTGTTTTAGCAAGACTTTGGAGGGGGTGCTGTAGGGGGTGTTAACTGGGTACCCTTTAAACAGGAAAGTCCCCATGATGTCATTTCTGGATTAAAAGGTATGCATATGTAATTGACATTTCTTGAACGTTCATAATTTGCCAAGTACCATGCCCACTGCTTGATAAACATTATCTAACTTAATCTTTATAATAACCCTATGAAGTCAATGTTATATGGTTTCTATTTGCAGATGAGACACTGGCATAGGAGGGTCAAGTAACCTTCCCAAGGTCATTGAATTAAGGGTAGGAGGCCACATGGTGAGGGTTCTCATGAATGCCTTCTGGCTCCAAGTACATGGCCTTATAAAAAGTCCTCCTCAAACCCAGGTACCTGGAAGATAGAAAGGACTTTCTTTTTTCTTTTCTTTTTTTTTTTTTTGAGATGGAGTTTCACTCTTATTGCCCAGGCTGGAGTGCAATGGCATGATCTCGGCTCACCACAACCTCTGCCTCCCAGGTTCAAGCAATTCTCTTGCCTCAGCCTCCAAAATAGCTGGGATTATAGGCATGCACCACCACACCAGGCTAATTTTGTATTTTTAGTGGACATGGAGCTTCTCCGTGTTGGTCAGGCTTGTCTTGAACTCCCGACCTCAGGTGATCCGCCCGTCTCAGCCTCCGAAAGTGCTGGGATTACAGGCATGAGCCACTATGCCTGGCAGAAAGGACTTTCTAATAACTTTCTATTGTCTTTAATTTTGGAGAAGTGGCTCTTCCTCATTGCTATAATTTAAATGCATTTGTTACAGAGCAAGTTTTCTACTCATAGGCTGCCTCTTTTAAGGGAGGCAAAGGGAGCTTCCTTTAATCATCCCATTATGAGACAATTCTTTTGACTTAAAATTTGCTGCAACCTGTGACCTGGGAAGAGACCATCTAGGCACCACTGTTTATCTTCTACCATCTCATTTCTAGTCCAGCCACCCGGGAGTGAAGTGATCTGAATCTCTCAAATGCCAGTTGCTTCTTTTTAATCTTGTCTTCTAGGAAAACAATTTATCCTCCTATTAGCAATATAAATTCCAGTGATCTATCCTTGGAAAAGCCTATTCAAACATAAAAATACTGACTTTGATCTGATAACAACTTCATAAGTATATACTAGGATTCCAATTTAAATTTTGGCTTGTGACTTTTTGAATCAGTTCCTTCCTCCTCTATTTCTTAATTAGTAGACCCATGAGAAATCAAAATGGATGAAAGGAAGGGGAGATATGTACAGTTGCTGAATGATAGGATAACTTAATAGTTCTTCTTGCATTAGGGGCAGAGGAGCTGTGAAAGAGAAGGGCACACTTTCCTTAAATGCCTGCTCTGTGTCAGGAACTATATTAGATATAACTAGTTGGTTCCACTTCAGAACACTGCTAGACCTGAACCAGGACCTACTGACTCATAAAAGTTTAGAGTTGGAAAGAATCTCAAAGGTCATTTAGTCCAGCCCTCACCCATTCGGTGAGTCCTCCAACAATATGTTATTTTGTGCTTTCTAGTCCCCTTTTGAACTGTGTATTCCCCACTGCAGCTTATTCCATGGTTAATAATTCTAATTATCAAAAAGTTTTAGCATACATTGTATATAACTCTGTCTCCAGGTAATGTCCACCCAGGATTCCTCTTTCTATCCTCTATAGCCCAGACAGTATGATGCCTCCCTGTGGCAATCTTCCAGGTATTGAAAGTTGGACATGAAGTGGCCCACAGGGCTCCTCCAGGCCAAATGTTATCAAGATGAGTTTAGACTTAGGGTTAGTGTGACTCGAGACTCACCAGCCACCTTCAGGGTTCCTGCAGCCCTCCACATCTCATTTTTCCCTGTGGCTCTGGGCTAAGTGTGCATAGTTGATATCATTCCATAGCCCCTTTCCTCTAAATAAATACTTCTTTAGGCATCAAGATGTATTATTATCCATATATTCACTACCATTTAAGTGTCTAAAAAGTACACATGCTTTATGTATATTAACTTTATCCCACAGAAAATCCTTGGATGATAGGTGTTAGAACTATATGAAACTGTCATCTTTATAGGTCAGAAATGGTTGAATATTAGCAATTTCAAGTGGCTTAATTATTACAAATCAGATTTGACAGATGAGAAAAATGGAGACTTGGAAATGTTGCATATATCATTCAAGCCCACAAAGCCAGCAAGAGGAGGCTGAGGTCTACACCTGAATCTGTCTAGCTCTAAAGTGGGCTTGTCCTGCTGCACGTGCTGTTTCCATATGCATTATCTTGCAGTTGCATATGCAACATTCAAAGTAAAGATGAAGGGGTCACAGTCTTTTGGAAAGGAAAGAGGAATTTGAGACATTTACATGTTTGCTAAGTAAATCTTTATTCCCCATGATGTGGTTTGGCTCTGGGTCCACACCCAAATCTCATCTCAAATTGTAATCCCCGTGTATCAAAGGAGGGACCTGTAATCCTCACGGGTTGAGGGAGGGAGATGATTGGATCATGGGGACAATTTCCTCCATGCTGTTCTCATAATAGTGAGTGAGATCTCATGAGATCTGATGGTTTTATAAGTGTTTGGAAGTTCCTCTTTTGTGCTTCTCTCTCCTGCTGCCTTGTGAAGAAGGTGACTGCTTCCCCTTCCACCATGACTGTAAGTTTTCTGAGGCCTCCCCAGCCATGTGGAACTGTGAGTCAATTAAACCTCCTTCTTTTGTAAATTACCTGGTCTCAGGTATTTCTTTATAGTAGTGTGAAAACAGACTAATACACCCCACTTACTATGTGTATGACCTCGAGGAATTTATTGAACCTCCCTGAGAAACAATTAGCTCATCTAAAATTGGGTTATTAATATTTAACTTGTAGTACTTGTGTGAGGATGAAGTAGATTGATATTCTGTCAAGCTGCTGCCCAGTGCTCTTCGATGCCTGGCATGTCCTGCTCTACATAGAGTTTTAGCCCATTCACTCACTAACTCACCTCTGTCAAAGGTAGCCCAATTTGTTTCTGTAAAGGGCCAGTACTAATAATGTAGGCTTTGTGGGCCAAGAGGAAATTTCCTCAACTCTTTGAGCGTGTGGTCTTTCTGAAAGGCTAATAGTCCTTTTTATGTTTTACTTTTAAAAATGTAAAAACTATTCTTAGCACACAGCCCATACAAAAATAGATGTCTCCAGCAGCTTCCCACTCATCTCTCTCTCTCAATATTCCTTCCTCATTCATCCAGAAAACAGGAGCTATCAGATGGGATGGGCTCCCTCTGCCATGCCTCCCTTCATGCTGCCCACATTCTCTTTCCTGTCTCTGTTTTTAATTTTAATTTTTAATTTTACTGTTTTGGGACAGGGTCTGTTTCTGTCACCCAGGCTGGAGTGCAGTTGTGTGATCTTGGCTCACTGAAGCCTTGACCCCCCAACTCAAGCGATCCTCCCACCTCAGTGTCCCGAGTAGCTGGAATTACAGGTGCCCACCACCACACCTGGCTAATTTGAAAATTTTTGTAGAGATGGGGCCTCACTCTGTTACCCAGGCTGGTCTCAAACTTCTGTGCTTAATGGTCCTCCCACCTTGGCCTCCCAAGTGCTGGGATTACAGGTGTGAGTCACCACACCTGGCCTCTTTTCATCTCTGGTCACAGTGAAGGAGCTCACTGGTCTCCTGACCCAGCCAGCCCCTTCAATTGTACATTATGTCCTGTTGCCTCCCACTTATTCAGGAATATTGTTCCATCCATCCTCTTCTATCTCCTTTAAAGCACTAATATTTCTTCACTGGATCTTCCCTATCAACATGCAAACATGCTATGATTTGTCGCATTCTAAAAAATTCCCTTGACTCCACTTTCTCCTCCACCTGCCACTTCATATTTCTCCCAGCAAAACTCCATGAATGAATTAACTACATAGGCTAACTCCAATTTCACTCTTTCCATTCTTTCTTCACCATTACTCTATCAAGGTCAGTAATGACCTTCAGGTACTCCAATGAGCAGTTCTCAGTCCCCCAGGACTGACTTTGCCACAGATGGCCACAGGGTCATTCCCTTCTTTCTCGATGAGCCCTTCACTTGCCTTCTGGGATACCAGGCTGTACTGCCTTTCCTCCTTAGTTGCTGCTGATTCCTTCTCAGCTTCATGGTCTCTTGATTTTGGAGTCCCAAGGATTAGTCCTTGCATGTCTTCTATTTTTTTAAATCTGCATTCACTCTCATAGTGATTTTGTACAACCTCATGACTTTAAGGACCATCCATATGTTGATGATTCCTATATGTATATCTCCAGCCTGACCTGTTTCCTGAACTCCGGATTTATATACCTGACTGTCCATTCAACATCTCCCTATTAGGCATGTCAAACTTAGCATGGCCATAACTCAGCTCCTTATATTCTATTTCACCACCAACAAGATTGGCTCCTCTCACAATCTTTCTCATCTCTGAAAATCACAACTCTATTCTTCCAATTACTCAGGCTAAAACCCTGGCTTTACTCTTTTTGAAAATTATTAAAATCAACTCTATGACATATATGTCCAGTAAACTGTAATGTTTAAAGTGTACAACTCAATGAGTTTGGGTATACACCCATAATGCCATTGCCACAATTAATTTACAGAACATTTCTATCTCCCTTTGTCACCCATTCCTCCCTTCAAGTCTGTCCCCAAGAGACCACTGATTTACTTTTCATCATGGCTAGTTTACATTTTCCGGAATTTTATATAGATGGAGTTATACAGTAGGTACTCTCGTTATGTCTCTTTTACTTAGAGTGAATATTTTGATATTTATTCATGTGTGAAATGGTAGTTTGCTTCTTTGTGTTGTGATTAACATTTCATTATATAGACACACCACGATTTGCTTATGCATTCTTCATGTGATGAACGTTTGACTTGCTCCCAGTTGTTGGCTATTATGATTAAAGTTGCCATGAACATTCCATAGTGGTCTTTGTGTAGGTATTTGATTTCATTTTTCTTGAGTAAATCACCTAAGAGTGGCATGTTTGGGTGGGTAGGTGCATTGTGTAGCTTCTTAAGAAACTGCCAAATAATTTTCCAAGGTGGCTGTACCATCTTGCATTTCCACGAACAGTGGATTATAGTTCCAGTTCCTCCACATTCTCACTTGACTATATCTTTGCTCTCTTTTTCTCATGTCCAGCATCCCATTCATTAGCAAGTTCTGTTGCCCAAACCTTCAAAATATACCTAGAATCTTATCCCTTTTCATCCTATTACTGTGACCATTTGGGTCTGAGACAGTCTCATCTCTCATTGGATTTTTTGCAATAGCTTCCTGCTTGTACCCTTGTTTTCTTCAGTGTTCTAACACAGCAGTTGAAATAAACCTGTTAAAATATAAGCAGCTTCTATCATTCCACTGTTTTATTTTATTTGAGACAAAGTCTTGCTCTTTCACCCAGGCTGTCATAACCATAGTTCACTGCAGCCTTGAACTCCTGGGCTCAAGTGATTCTCCTGCCTTGGCCTCCCAAGTAGCTAGGACTACAAGCACATGCCACCACACCCAGTTAATTTTTAAGTTTTTGTTGTAGAGAGGTGAGTCTTGCTATGTTGCCCAGGCTGGTCATGAATTCCTGGCTTCGAGGGATCCTCTTGTCTCAGCCTCACTCCACTGTTTATAACTCTCAGTGCCTTCCCATCTCAGAGCTGATGCCAAGACATCCCAGTGCATATCTGGCCATCCCTCGCACTCTTTACCTTTCCACCCTCCTACTTCTCTTCCCCTCTTTTCTTTCTCTCTATGCTGTTCTTTGAACACACAAGTATGCTCCTATCTCAGGGCCTTTGCTGATGCTGTTCTAAGGCTCCCTTCTTTCCCAGATATATGTACATGACTTGCATTCTCATTTCCTTCAGAACTTTACTCCAATGACACTTTTCCTATGAAGCTTTCTGTGATTCTTCCATTTAAAATTGCACCCTCCCCACACTTTGTTTCATTTCCCTACTTTATTTTTTGTCATTACACTTATCACCATTTGGTATTCAATATATATTTGTTGATCATCTACTGTGTGCTAAGGATCATTCTAGGTCCCAGGGATGAAAATTAAATGGAACAGTCAAAACTCTATCATGATAGAATTTGCACATATATTACTAATTTATCTTGCTTCTCAATTGTTTCCCATTCACTAGAATAAAAGCGTTGTGATAACAGGGATGCTATTGGTTTTGTTCAGTGCTGCATCGCTAGTGCCTAGAATGCCTGGCAAATAGTAGGCTCTTAACAAACACCAAGCTGTTGTCTCTTTTTTTTTCCTTTTTTTTTCCAAATAAAAAAAAGCAATCCTTGCTCCAAGTGTGGAATAGATTGCTGCAGTGTCATACTTTAGACCTTGAGGGAATCTGCAGCCTGTGAAAACTGAAGACACAATTGAATTGCTAATTAAAGATCGGAACCAGTTCAATTCTATGATCCTCTAAGGAAAGGATTTTAAGTGGTGAAGTAGTATTAATCTCACTTTCCAGACTACTTATCATGGCAGAGCAAAGTTCTCCTTAGCCCCTTCCAAGACCTTTAGACCAGCCTGAGAGCTGAGTGATGAGGCTGGCTGCTCCACCAATTGCCCCTTCCTTAGGGGACATGTCTTTTAACACTTCTTTCTAGACCAGTGCTTCCCGAAATATAGTCTCTTGACTACCTGCATTAGCATTGATCAACTTAACCACTGAATAAGAATCTCTGGAGGTGGGCTTCTAAAAATCTTCATTTTTTACAAACTCTGGAGGTAGTTGGTTAGAATTTGAAGCTTGCAATTATTTGTTTTAAAATCTGAGTTAGTGCGTCTGGATCCAGGAGGATTAAATTACTGTACTTGATGGCAGTATGGCAGGAAGCATCCGGGGGTAAATTACAATGTCCAGGAGAGGATTAGAAGCTTTCATTAAAGCTCAACGTTAGTATTTTTTTGGCTATGCCCTCGTTACAAGTTGAATTTTATATTCCCCCCAAATGAAGTTCCAACTCACAGCGCCTCAGAATGTGACCTTAATTGGAAATAGGGACATTGCAGATGTGATTTGTTAAGACAAGGTCACACTGAAGTAGAGTGGGCCCTAATCGGACTGGTGTCCTCATGAAAAGATCTCCATGTGAAGAGACACAGGGAGAATGTTATGTGAAAATAAGGGATTGGAGGGATACATCTGTAAGCCAGGGAACACCAAAAATTGACAGCAAATCCCCAGAAGTTAGGAAGAGGCAAGGGTTTTCTCTACAGATTTCAGAGGGAGCATGGTCCTGCTGACACCTTGATTTTGGACTTCTAGCCTCCAGAACTGTGAACATTTCTGAACAACACATTTGAAAAATACATTTCTGTTGTCTTAAGTCACCAATTTTGTGGTACTTTGTTATGGCAGCCCCAGGAAACTCACAGGAAACCTTTATGTTTCACTAACAGCTACAATGATATTGTTGAGATGGGACTGTAGATGAAAGAACAAGCAGGAGTGATAACTTCAGGGATTTTTAGAACTCAGGAAATTTTAAATGGAGGCTTGAGATTTCCCTAAAGGATAGACAGATAGACCACTGGAAGACTGGGAAACCAAGAAAAATGTCAACACCTACATGAAAGCTGATGTATGATGTAAGTGGCATTGTTAAATCAGTGAGAAAGCAATGGACTAGATAACATGTAGGAGTGGGAAAATTGGCTATCCACATGCAAAAATAAAACTAGAGCTCATATAATAATAAGAGTAATCCCTTCCACTGCACTCAGTAGGTGCTGTTCTAAAAGGTTTTGTATATTCTAATTGCAACTTTACTCTTACCTATGAGTAATATTATATATTCTAATTGCAACTTTACTCATACCTATGATTAGGTACCCATTTACAGATTAAGAAACTGGAGTACGTGGAAGTTAAATGACAGGTTAAAAAGTGGCAGAGCTGAGAAGTGAACCCAGGTAGTCTGCCTCCGGACTCCATGCTCTCAATCACGATGCCATGCTGCTTTGCATCTCCTAGGGATGTGAACTCAAGGTTCGTTCAACACCTGACTGTGAAAATAGAAACTCTAAAAATTTAGAAGAAAATAAAGGATAATATCTTCAAGACTTTAGGGTAGGGAATAAAGAAAACAGAAAACATACAAATTATAGAGATAAATATTGACAACACAAACTACATAAAACATTTTTGTTCATCAAAAGGTATTATAATAAGAAAGAAAAATATTTGCAGCATGTATAATCAATAGAAGATTAATATCCAGTTTATATAAGAAATTCTCTACATCAATAAGAAAAGCACAACAAACAACATTATCAAAAAATGGTCCCCCCCAAAAAAAAGAACATGGAATCTCACAGAAATAATAAATTACAAATACTGATTTGAAGAGATTATTAACTCCACTAGTAATGTGGATAATGGTAAAAGAAATCACTGTGAGGTATAATTTGACACTCATCATACTGGCAGAAAATTTAAAGTCTGACAATACCAAATGGTTACAAGGATATAAGGCAATAACAATTCCTATGCACAGCAAGGGGGAATTTAGATTTGTGTAGCCACTTTGGAGATCAATTTTGCAATATTTAGTAAAGTTGGAAATTAATTTCCTCTGTGACTCAGCAGCTTTTACTCTAGAAATATACCCTAGGACATCTTGCCCATATTCCCAGGGAGACAGAGCCAAATGGTTTATTGTAGCAAACACTTAGAAACAGCTTCAGTAGCCATCAACAGAAATGTGGATTAACTCATGGTGGAGTGTTCATATGATAGATACTATGTAATACTGAAAATTAATGAACTAGAGCCAAATACATTCATGAAAGAACCTCATAAACATAATGTTGCTTGAAAAAGCAAATTGAATAAAAATATATAAAAATTTAAAACATACAAATAAGACTAAAAGTTAAAAAATAAAAGAAGAACATATAAAGGTAAAAAATATACAATACAAATACATGCACCTACTATGTACCCACTGATATGGTTTGGCTGTGTCCCCACCTAAATCTCATCTTGAATTGTAGTTCCTGTAATCCCCATGTGTCATGGGAGGGACCTGGTGGGAAGTAATCAAATCATGGGGGTGGTTAGCCCCATGCTGTTGTCCTCATGATAGTGAGTTCTCATGAGATCTGATGGTTTTATA
The DNA here is from genome assembly GCF_000001405.40 of Homo sapiens. Lineage (NCBI taxonomy): Eukaryota > Metazoa > Chordata > Mammalia > Primates > Hominidae > Homo > Homo sapiens. The sequence continues at coordinate 29,404,002 of NC_000021.9, forward strand.
AGGGGCTTTTCCCCCTTTTGCTTGGTGCTTCTCCTTGCTGCCACCATGTGAAGAAGGACGTGTTTGCTTCCCCTTCTGCCGTGATTGTAAGTTTCCTGAGGCATGCCCAGACATGCTGAACTGTGAGTCAATTAAACCTCTTTCCTTTATAAATTACCCAGTCTCAGGTATGTCTTTATTAGCAGCATGAGAAGGGACTAATACAGTAAATTGGTACCAGGTAGTGGGATGCTGCTGTAAAGTGCCTGAAAATGTGGAAGTAACCTTGGAATTGGGTAACAGGCAGAGGTTGTGAAACAGGAGAGTTCCCTGACCTCCTTCACAGGACATGTGACAAGGGTGTGGCTCTCTGTTCAGCCACTGTGAGGGAGGGGGAGCACACAGAGGGGCAGAGGCAGGAACTAGGGTGAGCACTTTTGGGCTCTAGCCCCGTGGCAGTGTCTAGGGGTGGTTGTCTGTGACTCCCAAAGACCAGTGGACACATGTTACAGTGTACTCTTTTAGCCTTGCTCTCCACCGATAGCTTAAGTGTTAACCAGCTCAGTGGACTCTATGCCTTTTTGCAAGGGCAGAGGGCCAGTGTGATAGCCTTCTGGATCCTGAGCTCTTGTCTAGCATCCTGGAAGAATTGGGTCACACACAGACTTGAAGGATGAATGTGGGGGTTTTATTGAGTGGTAGAGGTGGCTCTCAGTGGGATGTATGGGGAGCTGGACAGGGGATAGAGTAGGAAGATGATGTTCCCCTGGATTATGGCTGTCCAGTTGCCAATCTCCTCTCTGACCATACCCAGCTGAACTCCTTTTGATGTTCAGATATTCCTTCTCTTCTCTCCTTCTCTGCTGTGCTATTCTGCCACTCTTCTGCTCCTCTGTTCATCTGGTTATGGAGTCTGGGGTTTGGGATTTATATGGGTACAGAATATGGGGATGTGGTGAGCCAAAAGGCAACTTTTTGAGCATGAAAACAGAAATACCTGTTCTCAGGGCTGTGGGTATCAAGGCTTGAGGGTGGGAACTGCTCTTTTCTATCCAGTAGTTTCCTGTCTCCTGTCCCTGTCATTTGGAACAGTTTGGAGGTCTCAGAAGAAGATAGGAAAATGTGGGAAAGTTTGGAACTTCCTAGAGATTTGTTGAATGGCTTTGACCAAAATGCTGATGGTGATATGGATAATAAAGTCAAGGCTGAGATGGTCTCAGGTGGAGATGAGGAACTTGTTGGGAACTGGAGTAAAGGTCACACTTGCTGTGCAAAGAGACTGGTGGCATTTTCCCCCTGTCCTAGAGATCTGTGGAACTTTGAATTTGAGAGAGATGGTTTAGGGTATCTGGCAGAAGAAATTTCTAAGTGGCAAAGTGTTTAAGGGTAAGCAGAGCATAAAAGTTTAGAAAATTTGTAGCCTGACAATGTGATAGAAAATAAAACCTCATTTTCTGGGGAGAAATTCAAGATGGCTACAGAAATTTGCGTAAGTAACAAGAAGCCAAATGTTAATCACCAGCACAATGGGGAAAATGTCTCCAGGGCATGTCAGAGACCTTTATGGCAGACCCTCCCATCACGGTCCCAGAGGCCTAGGAGGGAAAAATGGTTTCCTGGGCCCTGTCCAGGGCTCCACTGCTCTATACAGCCAGCCTGCCTGCTTTCCTTCCTTCTTTCTTTTTCTTTCTTTTCTTTTCTTTTCTTTTTTTCTTCTTTTCTTTTCCTTTCTTTCTTTCTTTCTTTTTCTTTTTCCTTCCTTCCTTCCTTCCTTCCTTCCTTCCTTCCTTCCTTCCTTCCTTTCTTTCTTTCTCTCTCTCTCTTCTTTCTTTCTCCCTCTCCCTTTCTCTTTCTTTCCTTTTCTTTTTTGAGACAGGGTCTTGCTCTGTTGCCCAGGCACAATCACAGTGGCACAATCACAGCTCACTGATCCTTGACCTCCTTGGCCCAAGCAATACGCCTCTTTCAGCCTCCTGAGTATCTGGGACCACTGGTGGGAGCCACCATGCCTGGCTTTCAAAAATTTTTTGTAGAGATGGGGTCTCCCTATGTTGGCCAGGCTGGTCTCAAATTCCTGAAATCAAGCAATCTTCCTGCCTCAGCCTCCCAAAGTGCTAGAATTCAGGTGTGAGCCACCACTCCTGGCCCTGGGGATTACGTTTCAACATGACATTTGGAGGAGACAGACATCCAAACCATATCACTAGTTGATAGGTACATAGGTACTTATATTATTCTTCATTTCCTTTTCTATGTCTCAAATATTGCAAAATAAATTTTTATAAAGAAAAGAGATTGGGAGCCACTCGGGTGGAGAAAGTGAATCATTTGAATGTCAAATATGGGGACTATAGGTCAGAAGGGGCTGGAAGTGCCATAGTGTTTGTTCCTTCTGACTTCACTTCTCTTTTCCTATTCCAGAATAATGTTGGGAAAGAAAAAGTGTTATAAGAATCTCTTCCTTTTCTTCTGAGATCCAGGATCCTTACAGTTCTCTCCTACAGTTTGCTCTCCTTCTTGGTTTGGATAGGCTACTGTTAGGGCAGTCAAGTTCAGAGTGAGTACTTGTTTTTGTAAAGTCACTGTGGTTTCTTATCTTTTGTGTTTTCCAAGCTGTTTCTGATTTAATATTTTCTAGTGCTCCTTTTATGCACATGTTTAGTGTACAAATTCTCTCAGAAATAAAGTGTGACTGATATACAGCTAATATTCCTCCTCCACACAAACAAAAGGTCTTCTAGACAAGCAACAAATAAGAATCAATGTGCTTGGTGTCCAGAATGGCTTACAGCATATCTCTCTCTTTGGTCAGCTGAAAAGGGAGGTGGTTTTAACTCAAGTTAATAAACAGTCCTGCTATTCCTTATGCTCTAACATACACCTATGTCAACAGAAAATATGTTGGTTTTGTATGTTTTCACTTAATACTTTGCTGCAGTGAGTTTTGCCTAAATGTCTTATTATGGTGGCTAGAGTTCTGAGTATAGAATATTACTCTTTTTGTGTTATTTCAATGATACTGTCCTCTTACCAGTATTGTAGGACCAACAGGTTTGTATGTCCACTGTGCAGTAACATACCAATTACACGAAGACAACAGTGTTTGCAGCAGAGAAAGAGTCTAATGATTGCAGGGCACTAAGTAAGGTGATGGGAGGAGACCCTCATATCCATCTCCCCGAGGAGTCCTGGGTGGGGGCTTTTAAGGGGATCATGAAGTATGAAGGGCTGGAATATTGGGGCCATTAATTGGTCAGTGTATGAGATATGAAACCATCAAGATGTAGAAACTCAGAATCACATAGGCCTCAGAATCACATAGGCTTCTTCAGGGAGTCAGCATCTTGTGGGGCCCTTCAGACCAGCTGACATCAGTAGTTTCATTGATATACAGGACCTGAAAGAATATCTCAGATGGAAAACTCAACATCTTATAATGTTCATGTTGTTATCTATAGAGCAGGTAAGGGGAACTATAATCTTGTAATGGGTTGTAACCACCCAATGGGTTTACCTTGCCCACTGCCTAGACAGAGCCAATTTATTCAGAGGAATTGCAAGGAAGAAAGAGTAATTCATGCAGAGCTGGCTGTACAGGAGAGCAGAGTTTTATTATTACTCAAATCAGTCTCCCTGAGCATTTGGGGATTGGAGATTTTAAAGATAATTTGATGGGTAGGGGCTTGGGAAGTGGCGAATGAGGATTGGTCAGGTTGGAGATGGAATCATAGGGGGTCGAAGTGAAGTTTTTTTGCTGCCTTTGTTCCTGGGTGGGATGGCAGAACTGGTTGAGCCAGATTACTGGTCTGGGTGGTGTTACCTGATCCATCCACTGCAGGGTCTGCAAAATATCTCAAGCATTGATCTTAGGTTTTACAATAGTGATGCTGTCCCTAGGAGCAATGTGGGGAGGTTCAGACTCTTGGAGCCAGAGGCTCCATGACCCCTCAACCTTAATTTCTAATCTTGTAGCTAATTTGTTAGTCCTGCCAAGGCAGACTGGTCTCCAGGCAAGAAAGGGATCTTTTTGTAAAAGGGCTGTTATCAATTTTGTTTCAGAGTCCAACCATGAACTGAATTCCTTCCCAAAGTTAGTTTGGCCTATGCCCAGGAATGAACAAGGACAGCTAAATGGTTAGAAGCAAGATGGAGTCGGTTAGGTCTCATCTCTTTCCCTGTTACAATTTCCTCAGTTGTAAGTTTTGCAAAGGCAGTTTCAGGGTCTATGTGATTCTGAGGCAGTCATCACCAAACAACCAGGAGGAAGCAGGTCAGAGAGCAGCTGGCCTAGTGATGCACGCTGAGCCTGCTGCGAGCCTGGTTTAGTTTCCTTGCTCTTCCTCCGTTCTTCCCTGATTAATTTTATAAAGTATATAGGGATGATTTTTACCAGCATCCTGTGTATCAGACTCATTAATTCATGAAGAAGGACCAAGGTGGGGGTTTGGGGGGAAGGCAAAGGAGCCTATCACTCTTTTGTTTATGATAAAACCTAGAAAACTCGTGCAAAAACTGAAAGTTTGCCTTCTCATCCCTGAAAATCTCTTTTTTATAGAAATCATTATTTTAGTTATAGTGACAGAGTAATGCTTTCTCAGGAATTTAGTATTTTTCATTGTTGTAGATTTTTTGGGTTGTTTTTGTCAGTTGTCGGTTATTGAAATCTGATCCCTCTATTGAAATTGAATTTGGAAGCTGAAGAATGGAAAGATTTTTAATAATATTCTTAAAAATAAAAAGCTTTTTAAAGTGGCAATAAGGCTGGGTGCAGTGGCTCACACCTGCAATCCCAGCATTTTGGGAGACCAAGGTGGGCTGATCACTTGAGGTCAGGAGTTCAAGACCAGTGTGGCCAACATGGTGAAACTACATCTCTAGTAAAAATACAAAACTTAGCTGGGCATGGTGGTACATACTTGTAATCCCAGATACTCCAGAGGCTGAGGTAGGAGAATTGCTCAGACCCTGGGAGGCAGAGGTTGCAGTGAGCCGAGATAATGCCATTGCGCTCCAGCCTGGGTGACAGAGTGAGACTGTCTCAAAAAAAAAAAAAAAAAAAAAAAAAAGAGTGGGAATAGTAGTGAAGTATTACCTGGATATGCTAGGATTTCGATCAAGGGAAAAGGTTTCCCCCAGGGACAGTTCTCTATAAAGGTCTTGCTTAGGATGTGGTGTGGGTCGGGGGAGTTGGCCCTGGAGTCCTATTTACTGTGCATTAAAAAAATACATCAGGCACAATTCAAAGCCTTTGTCTGGTCATCAAAATCCTGTGATGCTGGAATGATGCATTTTATCACCTTGTTCTCAATCTTCTAACAGAATCCAAACACTTGACCAGCTATATGATGAATTTCTTCAGTAAACAATTTGCACCTTGCAGTCATCTGAAACAGAAGAATTTTTCTACATAATTATTTACTCCTTAAAATCATATTTATTTTCCTGAATCACTTGCATTTGCTTACTTAGCCAAGAAATGGTGAAAAAGTCCTAGTTAGATTCTAAAATGCAGTCTGTACAAATAGATATGTCGTTCTTGTTCATGCTGTATATTAATATGTAAAACAATGCCTTCCACATAATAGATGCCATTAACCACCAAAAGAAAAAAATGAATGAATGAATGTGTTCTTCATATTTATTCTCCTACAATTTCGGGATGCTGTTTTTTCTATTAATGTAACTCCAGCTAGTGGGAGATATGAAGAGCCTAGGAAATAGAAAAGAAGGAAACAGCTGGAACTCACAGGCAGGTCAGGGGACTCTAATCATCTTTCATTTTATACACACAAGATTAAAGAGTCCCTCTGAGTTTTGATTAAGGATGCACAGTTATAAGATTAAATACCAGTGAGCCAAATTAGAAAAGCTTTAACTCCAGTCTCAGGATTCATCAAAACTCTTCCTGCTACCCCCTCCCTCACATTAAGCCATCTTTACAACATGGGATTAGAGCAAACTATTTAAGACTTCATGTCCCCAGGCTCTTTGTCACCTTTGCTGTACAGCTGTCCTCATTCTGATCACAAACAATTCTCTCATCAAGAATCAAAGCTCATTTCCCCTTGAAATTTCTGTTTATATCCATGACTGAATTCATTCCAGCACCTCTACACGTATTTATTTATTTTGGCGACCTGCAGGGTCCTATATCAGGTACAACATGCACTCTTGTCTTATGCATTGTCATGAAACATATTAAAACTTAGTATGCTTGTCTGTTTTAGAAAAGACCTCTTTAATCATTCCAGTAATTATGCAAACACTCCCACAGGGCCAACAATAAACATGTCCTTCCCTTCCTGAGAAGCCTTCTGACTGTCTCCTTGGAAGCCACACCAAAGGGATTGGACAGAACGTGCAATTAATAACTCAAATGAGGAGAGGTTAATATGGTCATCAGGCATCTGAGAAATAAAAGTGTCATTGCTTTATTAAAAGCTGTAATTCAGGTACAAGCTTACATAGTAATGATAAGACAATTTTAAAGAAATAAATGAAAGGACCAGAAGAAAAAAAAATGTTGATCTTAACTCTAGATGAGATTTTAGATTCTGCAAACATATTTTCTTGGTTGATAAAGAATGAGATCCATTGACCTTTAAATGTATTATTTGTTGCAAGAAAATGTAGAAGTCCAAGGAAACTCTACAGGGACTTTGCTACTTGAGGTTTGATAACCTGTCCATGAGTTTCCTAAGTACAGTGAATTTTCGAGGGTCCGTTTTCATGTGGCCTCAGGAGATCAAATTTAATCATTTAGGTTTTCCTTTCTCCTACTTGGGAGGGGTGTAGGGGCTTGAGAAGCTCAGGGCTATTTAAAAAGACCTACATGGGCCAGACGTGGTGGCTCATGCCTGTAGTCTCAGCACTTTGGGAGGATGAGTGGGGAGAATCACTTGAGCCCAGGAGTTTGAGACCAATCTAGGCAATATAGGGAGACCACTGTCTGTATGTGTGTATATATATATATATATATATATATATATATATATATATATATATATAAATTAGTCATATGTGGTGTCACACACCTGTCATCCAAGCTACTCAGGAGGCTGAGGCTGGAGGATCTCTTGAGCCCAGGAATTTGAGGCTTCATTGAACCTTGATCAAGCCACTGCCCCAGCCTGGGCAACAGAACAAGACCCTGTCTCAATAAAGTAAAATAAAATGGCCTATACTATCTTTTTGTTGTTGTTGTTGCCTCACTTAGTATCAAAGAAGATTAAGAGAAATGTAAAGAGCTAGACTTTGAGCTCCTATGTAATAAGGTCCAGGTATATGAAAGAGAATAATGATGAGGCCCTGATGTACATCCCATAACGTGAGAAATGACAGTTAGAAGAACAGGGGGACTCTGTTTAGTGGTAACATGAACTCTTTAAGGAACTCTTTAAGGAAGCTGGGACAAGGGAGAGCCTTCAATTTCTCATACACAGAAGCCAATATGGGCTGTTTATGGTTGAATGAGGAGGAGGATGGTTTGGGTTCCTTGACCTATGTCACTGAGGTACAATCTTTATTTCAAACCCTCCCAGGCCACGATGAAAAGACTCCTGGAAAACCATGAGGTGGCCCTCCCAAACCCTAAGATTGGAATGTGGTTTTCCTAGGGAAAGAAGACTCATGAGCTGTCTGGAGGTGAGCATTGGTGGGGAAGGTCTTTTGGAGCAAGAAGAAAACCGTGGGCTTTATCCTTTAGGCTACGGAGTCATTGGAGAATTTTGGACAGAGGAATAATGAGATAGAAGTAATGTCTAGAGAATATTAATTTGATAACAGGGTACAAAATAATTTAGGAGATTTCTGGGAAGGGGGCCAGTTCAGAATCTTCTTCCCCCCATAATCTGTACGTGAGAACATGAAGTGCTGTTGGTTTATTGAGTGAGCTAAACTGAGCGGGGGTAGAACTAGGGAACGATTTAATTTTTCATCGTCTATTGCATTTAAATGTGGTCTGTTTGATCCCTTTTCCTTATCCCTGAATGAGATCTGAGGAAAATCACATAGCTTTCTTGTCCTTTTGACTTGTTAGACAAGTCCTATTTTGTTAAGAGTCACTGTGTCTGGTATTAAACAGCCCAGTCTAAATAAAAACTTCAGGCTCAGATCCAATTCTGAGCTTCTCACCTTCCCTCAACTCAGGTCTGATCTAGGCTAGGAAAGAGGTGTGGTCTTTTCTTATGCAATTCCTTTCTCCTTTGCTTCTCTTCCCAACTCCTGCTGCTGGCTCCTCCAGAACTGGGAAGCAGGGGTTAGCATGAAAGGGGGAAAGGCATTTTTACTCCGTTCATGATATTTATGGGTTTCTCTTGGCTGGTGATAATATGTGTGCTGGGCCTCCAAACGCTGGCTCATTTGTGGGGTGCAGATGGTCTGTGTGTGCTCCACGTGGGCTCTGCACAGGGTGTCAAGAGATGCAATACCCAGTTGGCCTTTTCCAAGCCTCCGGTGGTACCGTCTAGTGTGCTGCATCCCATCGAGATGGCTCAAGCTTGGCTCCCTTCCGGAGTTCACCGAACCCACCGGAAATGCATGGTTCGTTGCCGTTCCAAATGTGGGCTGCTTCCGGTGCTCCTTTCCTTCCTCCTGCCAGCCTCTCACTGTCTACATTCTCTGGCGGGAGGCAGGCACCAGCCTCTATGTTCATATAAACCCCTAAATTCTAGCTTATCCATGTCATGCTCTCCAGAGAGCAATTCCACCGTATCCTTCTTTAGGGACTTAAGAATTGCTGCAACTGCTTAGCAAGCCCCCAGCTGAGCGTGAGATACTGTTATGGGTTGAACTGTGTTTCCCCAAAATTCATATGTTGAATTCCTAACCCTTAGTACCTCAGCAGGTGACTGTATTTGGAGATAGGGTCTGTTAAAAGAAAAAAGTGATTAAATTAAAATGAGCTTATTAGGGTAGGACCTAATCCATGTGATTGGTACGCCTCTAAGAACAGGATATTGGGTCCCTGGGAAGACCAAGTGAAGACACAGGGAGAAGAGGAATACCTGCCAGGCAAGGAGAGAGGTCTCAGGAGAAACAAACCCTGCTAGTCTCCCGATCTCGGACTTCTAGCTTCCGGAATTGTGAGAAAATACATTTCTGTTGCTTAAACCACCTAGTTTGTGCTATTTTTTTTATGGTATCCCTGGTAAACTGATACAGATACTATTTTCTATTCTGTATGGGCACCCTCATTTCCACAAATTGGGAAGTGTCCGCTGGTTTCTTGGTTTCATGCTTCGTGACGCTTATTGTACTCAGCTTGGAGCTTCACCTGAAAATCCGAGACCAGAGGAGACATTCTACTCCGTCATTTCTTCTTTTTCTTCCCTTTTTTTTTTTTTTTTTTTTTTAAGATGGAGTCTTTCTCTGTCGCCCAGGCTGGAGTGCGGTGGCGCCATCTCGGCTCACTGTAACCTCTGCCTCCCCAGTTCAAGTGATTCTCCTGCCTCAGCCTCTGTAGTAGCTGGGATTACAGGTGCGCACCACCATGCCAGGCTAATTTTTGTATTTTTAGTAGAGACGGGGTTTCACCATTTTGGCCGGGCTGGTCTTGAACTCCTGGCCTCAGGTGATCCGCCCACCTCGGCCCCCCAAAGTGTTGGGATTACAGGCGTGAGCCACTGCACTTGGCTCCATAGTTTCTTTTAACCAGCTTACATAAAGATGTGAGTGCAAAAACTTGTGATTTACCATGACTGTTGCCATATGTCCTCAGTCTCCTCATTCCAGGACAGCTGCCCCACAAGCCACTGCCAGGGTCTTTCACCAAGTTTGTGCCAGGGCATCTCTCTAAGTTGCTTTCTCCAAAACTGCAGGAGCCTGCTTAACGTTTTTCATGCATGACACAGAATTTCAGGGGAGTTAACACCCTCGGAAGCAACCCTCAACTAAAGTGAGTAATACCTCCACACCCCATCACCTGGTGTGACAGTTCTAAGGAGTGTTCTGCACAGCTTCTCACAGGTTAATCCAGTTCATTAGACACCAGTTATTGATGTTTTCTCTTTTTTGTCTCACTGTTTCTATTCCATTCTTCTGTTTTCAACGTTAACTCCTGAATAAACTATTTGCACCAAGACTTCATGTCAGAGTTTGCTTCTTAGGGAACCTAAACTAAAACAAGTTGTGCTTTATAACTTTTGCAGTGAGGTTCGATCAGCGTCTACTTCTGAGTTTTTCTTGGTTCTATGTGTAGTTTTTTGCTCATTGATTTTTGTCCCCGATTTAATCAAACATGTGTATATGATGCAAAGCTAAGTAAGACGTGGCCCCTACTCTCAAAGCGTTTACAGTCTGAGGAGTTTAAACCCATAGAAGTGTATTGTCACAGACACTGAAAGATTCTTTGAGATTCTTCTGTAACTCTTGAAATGTGAAGAAGGAAAGAAGACAAGGGCAGTACAGGGTTCTTTGAACAGTGGGATTGTGGGTAATTTGACATTGCCTTCTCCCCTTCAGCTCTGACACTGCAAACACGCAACTCCTGTACATCCCTCTTTCTGCTGTTTTCACCATGTGCTGAATGCCACCAGCCATTCGAATTAACTATTGCATTCCAGCTAGGATCTCTGAGGCAATGTCCTCATAGTTATCACACTGGATAGAATTCCAGGTGGAATCTCTGAGAAAATATCCTAATGGTTATTGCGTTGGATAGAATGTCATGATTTCATGATTGTTTTGCTTTGAAAACAAAAACTTTTAATCTGCATAAGAGCAGGCTCAGGGAGGTGACAAAGCTGTTGCCTAATATGCAGAGAGTGATGTATGGTTGAGAGCAGAGACTTCAAATTTTGGCCCTGCTACTCACTGGGTTTGTGGTCTTAGGCTGGTTACTTAACTTCTCTGAACTTGAATTTATCCTGTAAAATGGAACAAAATATTAATACCTGCTGATTGAGGCTGTTAGGTGGATCAAATGAGGAGTGCCTATAGAGTTTTTAGCAGAGTGTCCAGTACATGAATAAAGGACCAAGACATTAATAAGCATGGGGATGATAATGATGATGCAAAGAAATTTAGTGTTTTCTGTGTGGTCTCAGAAGGTGGAGACAGACCTGGTGTTTGGGTGAATAGAACTAGCTGAGATTGGAATACTTCCCATGTGGTGGGTCCCCAGCAGAGCTTGGCATCACTTCTCTCTCTTAGTCAGGATATTAGAAGGGATTTAAGAGAGGGGCGGGATTTTCAAAAGAAGACATTTATGTGGCCAAAAAGCATATGAAAAAAGATCATCATCACTGGTCATTAGAGAAATGCAAATCAAAACTGCAATGAGATACCATGTCACGCCAGTTAGGATGGTGATCATTAAAAAGCCAGGAAACATGCTGGAGAGGATGTAGAGAAATAGGAACACTTTTACACTGTTGGTGGGGGTGTAAATTAGTTCAATCATTGTGGAAGACAGAGTGGCGATTCCTCAAGGATCTAGAACTAGAAATACCATTTGACCCAGCCATCCCATTACTGGGTATATACCCAAAGGATTATAAATCATGCTACTATAAAGACACATGCACGCATATGTTTACTGCAGCACTATTCACAATAGCAAAGACTTGGAGCCAACCCAAATGCCCATCAATGTTAGACTGGATAAAGAAAATGTGGCACATATATACCATGCAAAACTATGCAGCCATAAAAAAGAATGAGTTAGCGTCCTTTGCAGGGACATGGATGAAGCTGGAAACCATCATTCTCAGCAAACTAACACAGGAACAGAAAACCAAAAACTTCATGTTCTCACTCATAAGTGGGAGTTGAACAATGAGAACATATAGGCACAGGGAGGGGAACATCATATAGATGATGGGTTGATGGGTGCAGCAAACCACTATGGCACATGTATACCTATGTAACAAACCTGCACATTCTGCACATGTATCTTAGAACTTAAAGTATAATTAAAAAAAAAAGAACTTAAAGTATAATAATAATACTAAAAAAAAGAAATTGTGGTATATATATACCATGGAATACTACTCAGCCATAAAAAGGAACAAACTAATGGCATTTGCAGCAGCCTGGATGGAACTGAAGACTATTCTTCTGAGGGAAGTCACTCAGGAATGGAAAACCAAATATTGTATATTCTCACTCATAAGTGAGAGTTAAGCTATGAGGATACAAAGGCATAAGAATGATAAAAAAGACTTGGGGACTCAGGGGAAAGGCTGGGAGGGGCGTGAGGGATAAAAGACTTCAAATTGGGTTCAGTGTATACTACTCTGTTGATGGGTGCACTAAAATCTCACAAATTACTGCTGAAGAACTTATTCATGTAACCAAAGACCACCTGTTCCCCAAAAACCTATGGAAATAAAAAAATTTTTAAAAAGGAATTCCGACTCGTTTCCCTGCCCTAAAAATCCTCTGAACTCTCCCTTTTCATGTTTCCCTCTCCAATAACCTATGCCAATCTCTGATCTTTGTCTCCATATTTGCTTTTCAGAATGTCATATGGTTGGAATGTCATATGGTAAGTCATCTTTTCAGACTGGCTTCTTTCACTTAGTCATATGCATTTGAGATTCCTCTTTGTCTTTTCGTGGCACAATAGCTCATTTCTTATTGGTGTTGAATCTTATTCTACTGTTTGTATGTACCAAAGTGTAATAACTCCTACGCCTACTAAAGGGCTTCTCAGTTGCTTCCCAGTTTTGACAACTTTCCATCAAGCTGCTATGAATATCTATGTCCACATTTTTTATGGAAATAAAATTTTAACTAATTTGGGTCAAAGTCAAGGAGCACACTTACTGGAATTTATAGTGACAATATGCTCACTTTAGTAATAACCTGCCATACTGTCTTCCAAATTGTTGTACCATTGACATTCCCACCAGTCAATGAATGACAGTTCCTATTGCTCCTCAACTTGCCAGCATTTGGAGTTGTCAGTATAGGATCTTTTTTTAAAAGGAAAAGAAGAAAAAAAAGAAATGAACTAAATGAAGGAGCTAGCATGAGACGTCATTGATTAGAATAATTTATTTGAGTCAAAAAGTGAAATGCAGGGAGCAGCAAATACAGGAATCAATCTGTACCCACATCCAGCCCACCTCACATGTCACCACTACCAGATGTATGGATAGAGACAACCACTTTGTTACTTCACAACTCACACACCATCAGTGCCTGAGTCAGACCTTCTGGCTTTCAAACTGTGCAACTGTAGGCAGGTTTCTTATTTTCTATAAGTCTGTAAGTCAGTTGCCTCAACTATAATATTGGAAATGTAATAGCTTATATCTTATACTTTGGTAACAAGGATGTGAATATAATAACTTGTGTTTTGCAGGTATGGACATACAAACTGAAAAAAAAAAGAGAGGGGTAGGAAGAGAGGACCCTTAAGATAACTACGAGCCACAGGGTCTACCACTTCACTCCAGGGATGATGAGAGGCATTAAGTGAAGAAGGGATGTGACTCAGTAGCTTTGAAAAATTCAGAACACTCAGTTGACCTCTGATAGCAAGGGTGTAGCACTGGCCTAAATGGCACCAAGAACTTGGGTGTCTCTGGGATGTAGCAGTGCTGGCCAGAGGAGGTCAGCTCTAAAATAACCTGACATGGAAGGGTTTCCTGGTATGACCCTGAACTTGACCATTGCTCAACTGTGAGCACTCTGGGAGCAGGATTCGAGTCTGTGTCTATCTGTCCTTTTTCTCTACACCATGCTGCCTGTAACTGTGTGTATATTTGTTTTATCCTTCCAACTAAGGTATTCATATTTACATCTGTTTCTATTTCTATGATACAACAATGGGCAGAATTTTCTTTTCTTTTTTTTTTTTTTTTTTGAGATGGAGTCTTGCTCTGTTGCCCAGGCTGGAGTGCAGTGGCCCAATCTCTGCTCACTGCAAGCTCCACCTCCCAGGTTCAGCCCATTCTCCTTCCTCAGCCTCCTGAGTAGCTGGGACTACAGGTGCCCGCCCCACGCCTGGCTAATTTTTTGTATTTTTAGTAGAGACGGGGTTTCACCGAGTTAGTCAGGATGGTCTCGATCTCCTGACCTCGTGATCCGTCCACCTCGGCCTCCCAAAGTGCTGGGATTACAGGCATGAGCCAGTGCGCCCGGTCCAGAATTTTCTTTTGAATGTCAGTTGGTTTTAGGGAATTTTTCCTTATTTGTACTTTTTTGTGTATTTTTCTCTTCTGGATTCCTGTTACTCAAGTTTAAAATAAATGAGATGAAACTAAACATTTATTTGAATTTCAACTCTGTATTATATTTCTTTTAATTGTTTAGCCTATCTTGAAATTATAATTGGGATGGTGTTTGTTTTACGACTTAAAACAATTCAGGATTATTTCAGTCAAAAATATGAAATCAATGCCTTTTTGATGAATAGAGGCTTTACATCTGAATAATAAATAGGCTGTTCTTTGTTTTCATAAACAGCTGGGGAAAATTATAAACCCCAGTTATCTCCTGTCATTAAACTCATCCTGGAGATGTGGGAAGTCTACTTTAGAAATATTTACAAAAAGTAAGTTCACAAATGCAAGTTATCCAAAGAGAAAACATTAAGTGTTAAATATAAAGGGTAGGAATAACTTGTTATATATGAACAGCAAGGATGTTCACAGGGAGAGAATAGATAGGTAGCCAGGAGCACAGCTTCATAATGATGAAACATAAGGCACTTCAATAAAGACCTGAACATTTATGTTTATCTTAGGTTAATTTGCCAGTTAGCACACAGTCAGTCTTCTTCTAGAGGCATTAATGAATGATTTACATTAAGCACAATAAAGAGCACCTGCTTTCTGACTGTTACCTTGTTGAGGCAGGGAAATACATCCCAAGTAAATCAACACCATTGCTTTGGTAGCTATAAAATTAGTCTATCTGATTTAAATGTTATAGTCATGGTATTTGGTAGTCTTGTTAATTTTGGACTTGTATTAGCTAAGAAAAAATACGCCTCACACAAGTAGAGCCCTTATAAACAAAGTAAGATTCTCCTTGGTTTTTATGTGAAGGAACTAGTTGATTCTCCTGGGTGATTACTTTCACTTCTGCAATTTCCTTTCAGAAATGAGTTCTGGTTCATTGATTTTTAGCAGAGCATATATAACTTACTGTTTTTAAAAGGACTATCCTTCTAGTGGAGCACAAGGAAACAGAATTTTAAGGGGTGATCATAAAATTAATATATGCTCATTGTAGACGTTATATAAAGCACAGACAAGAAACAGAATTTAAATTCTGCTCTCTAGGTACAATCACTAATATATCAGTAGGGGTGTTTTTCTTTCTAGCACTTTTTGGAGGTGGTATATAAGTATGCATAGTTTTTCTGCATATATTGTTAATATATTGCTTAGGTTTAAAACATAATTTTTTCAACATTTTCTTATGTTATTAAATATTCTTTTAAAAGTTTTTATACTTGAAATAATTATTTATTCACAAATAGTAGAGAGAAGTTTCATGTCTCTCCCAGTTGTAACATCTTATATAACTATAGTACAGTGTTACCCATTTTCTCCCAATGGTAACATCTTATATAACTATAGCACAATACCAAAGTCAGGAAATTGCCGTCAGTACAATATGTGTCATTTTATTACATATATAGATTTGTGTGACCACATCATAGTCAAGACACAGAACTATTCCATTACCATAAACATCTCATGCATGCTAACTCTTTATACCCTTATGGTTACTCTATCCACCACCACTCCTGGTAACCACTAATTTTGTTCTCCATCTCTCTATTATTGCTTTGAGAATGTTATATAAATGCAATCATACAGTACTTGACCTTTAGAGATTGGATTTTTTACTCAGCATAATACCTCTGAGAGCCATCAATATTCTATGACATGTACCGCGGTTTCACCATTCCTCCATTGGAGGACATCTCAGTGGTTTCTGGACCTTTGCTATTACCAAATAAAGCTGCTGTGAACATTGTGTACAGGTGTTTTGTGGGCAGAAGTTTTCATTTCTCTGGGATACATTCTCAGAAATGTGATTTTTGGTTCATATGGTAAATACATGTTTAGTCGTTTATTTTTTTATTTATTTTTTTTTTGAAAGAACAAAACTGTAGATTTTTCTCTTTTTTTCTTTTTTTTTCTTTTTTTATTTATTTTTCTTTTTTTTTATTATACTTTAAGTTTTAGGGTACATGTGCACATTGTGCAGGTTAGTTACATATGTATACATGTGCCATGCTGGTGCACTGCACCCACTAACTCGTCATCTAGCATTAGGTATATCTCCCAATGCTATCCCTCCCCCCTCCCCCCACCCCACCACAGTCCCCAGAGTGTGATATTCCCCTTCCTGTGTCCATGTGATCTCATTGTTCAATTCCCACCTATGAGTGAGAATATGCGGTGTTTGGTTTTTTGTTCTTGCGATAGTTTACTGAGAATGATGATTTCCAGTTTCATCCATGTCCCTACAAAGGACATGAACTCATCATTTTTTATGGCTGCATAGTATTCCATGGTGTATATGTGACACATTTTCTTGATCCAGTCTATCATTGTTGGACATTTGGGTTGGTTCCAAGTCTTTGCTATTGTGAATAATGCCGCAATAAACATACGTGTGCATGTGTCTTTATAGCAGCATGATTTATAGTCATTTGGGTATATACCCAGTAATGGGATGGCTGGGTCAAATGGTATTTCTAGTTCTAGATCCCTGAGGAATCGCCACACTGACTTCCACAATGGTTGAACTAGTTTACGGTCCCACCAACAGTGTAAAAGTGTTCCTATTTGTCCACATCCTCTCCAGCACCTGTTGTTTCCTGACTTTTTAATGATTGCCATTCTAACTGGTGTGAGATGATATCTCATAGTGGTTTTGATTTGCATTTCTCTGATGGCCAGTGATCATGAGCATTTTTTCATGTGTTTTTTGGCTGCATAAATGTCTTCTTTTGAGAAGTGTCTGTTCATGTCCTTCGCCCACTTTTTGATGGGGTTATTTGTTTTTTTCTTGTAAATTTGTTTGAGTTCATTGTAGATTCTGGATATTAGCCCTTTGTCAGATGAGTAGGTTGCGAAAATTTTCTCCCATGTTGTAGGTTGCCTGTTCACTCTGATGGTAGTTTCTTTTGCTGTGCAGAAGCTCTTTAGTTTAATTAGATCCCATTTGTCAATTTTGGCTTTTGTTGCCATTGCTTTTGGTGTTTTGGACATGAAGTCCTTGCCCATGCCTATGTCCTGAATGGAAATGCCTAGGTTTTCTTCTAGGGTTTTTATGGTTTTAGGTCTAACGTTTAAATCTTTAATCCATCTTGAATTGATTTTTGTATAAGGTGTAAGGAAGAGAATTTTAGACCAATATCCTTGATGAACATTGATGCAAAAATCCTCAATAAAATACTGGCAAACTGAATCCAGCAGCACATCAAAAAGCTTATCCACCATGATCAAGTGGGCTTCATCCCTGGGATGCAAGGCTGGTTCAATATACGCAAATCAATAAATGTAATCCAGCATATAAACAGAGCCAAAGACAAAAACCACATGATTATCTCAATAGATGCAGAAAAAGCCTTTGACAAAATTCAACAACCCTTCATGCTAAAAACTCTCAATAAATTAGGTATTGATGGGACGTATTTCAAAATAATAAGAGCTATCTATGACAAACCCACAGCCAATATCATACTGAATGGGCAAAAACTGGAAGCATTCCCTTTGAAAACTGGCACAAGACAGGGATGCCCTCTCTCACTGCTCCTATTCAACATAGTGTTGGAAGTTCTGGCCAGGGCAATCAGGAAGGAGAAGGAAATAAAGGGTATTCAATTAGGAAAAGAGGAAGTCAAATTGTCCCTGTTTGCAGACGACATGATTGTTTATCTAGAAAACCCCATCGTCTCAGCCCAAAATCTCCTTAAGCTGATAAGCAACTTCAGCAAAGTCTCAGGATACAAAATCAATGTACAAAAATCACAAGCATTCTTATACACCAACAACAGACAAACAGAGAGCCAAATCATGAGTGAACTCCCATTCACAATTGCTTCAAAGAGAATAAAATACCTAGGAATCCAACTTACAAGGGATGTGAAGGACCTCTTCAAGGAGAACTACAAACCACTGCTCAAGGAAATAAAAGAGGATACAAACAAATGGAAGAACATTCCATGCTCATGGGTAGGAAGAATCAATATCGTGAAAATGGCCATACTGCCCAAGGTAATTTACAGATTTAATGCCATCCCCATTAAGCTACCAATGACTTTCTTCACAGAATTGGAAAAAACTACTTTAAAGTTCATATGGAACCAAAAAAGAGCCCGCATCGCCAAGTCAATCCTAAGCCAAAAGAACAAAGCTGGAGGCATCACACTACCTGACTTCAAACTATACTACAAGGCTACAGTAACCAAAACAGCATGGTACTGGTACCAAAACAGAGATATAGATCAATGGAACAGAACAGAGCCCTCAGAAATAACGCCGCATACCTACAACTATCTGATCTTTGACAAACCTGAGAAAAACAAGCAATGGGGAAAGGATTCCCTATTTAATAAATGGTGCTGGGAAAACTGGCTAGCCATATGTAGTTGTTTATTTTTTAAAGAATAAGAAACTGACAAGTCTAAAAAACTGCCCAGTTACATGGTTTAAAAGTAGCTCTCTCATTTTGCATTCCTGCCACCAAGGTATGACAGTTCTAGTTTCTCCACATCCTTACCAGCATTTGGTGGTGTTACTATTTTTTATTTTTATTGTTCTGATAGGGGTGTATTGACATCTCTACATCTCTTCTTGGCCTTATAAATATTCTTTGAAAATGTTTTTTAATAGCTGGTGCTATCTACTACTAGACTTTATTTGAAACCTAAATAGGTGAGTTTTTAAACTACCACCATAACCAATAACAGTTATTACCTGTTGAATGACCTTTCAACAATTCTGTTTTCACTGTACTCACTTACTGAGCTTTATGAACTGGCCAGGGAAAATAGCTTACAGGTTGTCTCTTTATTTAAAATAAGTCATTCATATTTTGCCCTTGTCTTATCCACTCTCTCATAGGCTTGCAGAGAGAGAGAGAGAGAGAGAGAGAGAGAGGGATTTAATTAAAAATGAGTACATCTGAGGCTCCTGCTCAGAGATCCCAGCTGAAGTGGCTGTGTTGATTTTTCCTGGTGTTATGTCATCGGAAGGCATTTTAAAGCCCAGGTATTGTATCAACATAAATGTTCTTCATTGCCTTGCACAATGAGTTCTTGTAATCATTCATCAGAGGGTGACTGAGGAGTCTGCCTCTGCCCTTCAAGAAGCCACAGCTCATTGTCTGCACTTCCTTTCATTGCCAACTGGGGAGAGCTTCAGAAAGGAGGAACATAAGCATTGGGATGCACGAGGAGGTGGGTTTATGTAGGTGATTAATGCAGTTCCATAAAAAGAGCTTCTCTAGGAGAACAAAGTGCTACTTCATTTGTGGGAAGACAAGATTGAAGAAGAGCTCTCTTTAATGCACTAGTCAGGAGCAGATGAATAGATATATTGCAAAACTCCCTTCCTAGGAAGAAACAAGTCCCCCCAAACCTGAGAGATAATGGCATGTCAGTCAATTTTAAAATGGACATTAGACCTTAAGAGAATGTGAAACCCATTAAGCTGTAGGGGTTGCAAAAGAAGGGGCACATAATTAGAGCATAAGTCTCCTGGCTGTGACAGCATGAGGTCTTGGGAAGATGGATTCACCAGCCTGGTGCTGAACTCCACAGCTGGGCTGAGCAGGTTCACCTCCTGTTGCTGTCACCACAGATAATCCTCCTGGGATACAAGGTCTTAATGTATGCCTTCACCAAGACTACCTTCCAGACTTAATAACCCCATAAATCCCTGGGAGATGTTCATTCTAATTGACTACTTAGGAACAGCATTTATTGATGACGAGCTAAATTTTCAGAAATCAATTGCTAATTAGTGACACAGCCAAGATAATGATATAAACAATGTCTAGGTTGCAGGAAAAGCTATGAAAAAAAGATAAAAGCTAACAGATGATTAAAAAAAAAAAACAACTAAAAGTTAAATAAGACCAGAATGAAAAGCAAGTCAACTATAGGAAAAGTCCTTAGGCAGGAAAGTAGCAGGCCTGATGTCTTGTTCTAACGTCAGCATGAGCTGTGTGACCCTATCTAGCTGTCTTTACCTGCTCCAAGTTAAAAGTTTACTTACACAAAAACAAGTGACCTAGGAGAGACTAATGGGGGCTCATTCATTTTTTAAGAATTAATAGACTTTAATTTTTAGAGGGGTTTTAGGCTTACAAAAATTGAGCGTATAGTATAGAATTACCACATGCTTCCTCTATCCTTGCCTCAGTTCCCCCTATTATTAGCATCTGGCTTTGGAGTGCTACTTTTGTTACAATTGATAAACTAATATTAATACATGATTATTAACTAAAACCCATACTTTACATTAGGGTTCACTCCTTGTACAATTCTGTAGGTTTTGTCAAATATATCATCATATGTATCCACCATATCCACCAGAATAGTTTCACTGCTCTAAAGAGGCCCTGTACTCCATCTATTCTTTCCTTCCTCTCTCTCCCCAAGTTCCTGGCAACCATTGATCTTTTTGCTGTCTCCATAGTTTTGTCATTTTCAGTGTCATACACTGGAAATCAAACAGTAGTAGGTAGCCTTTTTGGACTGGCTTCTTTCACTTAGCAAAATACATTTAAGTTTCCTTCAGGGTTTTTCATCTAGCATGATAGATACATTTTTATAATTAATTTATTCAATCATTAGTTATTAGACGCATGTCTGCTTCAAGTACTGGCTGGGCCCAGAGACATAAAGACAAGCAAGAAATTGCTTTACTTGTATGAATTTCACATGGGAACCAGTGGAGAGACAGATGATTGAACAGTGGCAGTGCCCTGCAGAGAGGAAAAAATGAGAGTAGAAGGTGAAGACAGTGCACTGTGTTAGATGATGTCTCAGGGAAGCTGGACAGGGGGTCCTAGTATGTGTAGAGGAGGAGGCAAACTCTGAACTGGACCAGCTTCCCATTTTACCAGCCAGGAAAAAGGAAGAAAGTGTGGGAGAAAACTCCATCGGTGTAAAAATTAATACATTAAAGGAAGTGAGAAAGTTAAAATAGAAGATAATAAGGAAGAACATATTTTTAGTTGTAATGGTTCTGAATGAATACCTGATATGAGTGTTTTCTATTATTTCCTCTTACAAAATAGAAGAATCTTTGCTGGTGCCTGAAACAAAATTAATTCATTTTCCTTGAATAACCTAAGTTTAAATATGGGTCTTTTTTTTTTCCATTGAGAATCATAGCATTTTACAACAGGAAGGAAACTTAATGGAAATTTAGTTTAACTTATTTATTTTACAGATGAGGAAACTAATGGCTAAAAATTGCTTTTCCCAGCTATTTAAGAAATGGAAGTATTTTTAGTAGAGATGGGGTTTTGCCATGTTGGCCAGGGTGATCCGCCCACCTCGGCTGACAGAGCGAGACTCATCTCAAAAAAAAAAAAAAAAAAAAAAAAAAAGAAGAAACAGAAGTGTGGGGGTGGAAAGTAGGGCTCTTTATTCTGATTCCAGTGGTCTTACTCTTACAGACTTTCTAAAGACACAGAATAAACAATGCAATTATCCAATAGCAGGTTCTAAAACATGGGTAAAAAGAAGAGAGAATGACAGGTAATCCTGTTTCTTACCCAAATAAGAGGCCAGTCCAGAAAGTTTGAATATCCCAGATGTGGCTGACCTAAGGAACTGTGAATAAAAGGATAGATAAGAACATTCGAAGTGGGGAGGGAAGACAGAAATGGAAAGAAGGTAAGAAAAAATCAGAGGGGAGGCAATGAGAGAATAATCTAAAGACACTTGTGGCATTAGATATGTCATTTTATTTTATTTTATTTTTACTTTATTTTATTTTATTTTATTTTATTTTATTTTATTTTATTTTATTTTATTTTATTTTTTGAGATGGAGTTTTGCTCTTGTTGCCCAGGCTGGAGTGCAATGGCGCTATCTTGGCTCACTGCAACCTCTACCTCCCAGGTTCAAGCAATTCTCCTGCCTCAGCCGCCTGAGTAGCGGGATTATAGGCACGTGCCACCACGCCCAACTCATTTTTGTATTTTTAGTAGAGATGCGGTTTTGCCATGTTGGCCAGGTTGGTCTCGAACTCCTGACCTCAGGTGATCTGCCCACCTTGGCCTCCCAAAGCGCTGGGATTACAGGCGTGAGCCACTGCGCCTGGCCTGGATACGCCACTTTGAAGAGAATGTTGCCAAGTCTGTGGGATTAAAAAAAAAAAGAAAAAAATAACAACAAATGACTGTTGGTCAACTTGGAAATTCCAGACATCTAGAAATAACATTAATTCAAGGAGAGAAATCAAATTCCTGTCATTATCTTCTGAGAATATCTCAAGTAGGAGGCCCTGATTCTGAGGTCAATACACTCTTATAGATTTCCCCAGTTTGGTTCCTGTTTCTCCAATTTTCCATGTTGCTTTTCTTCGTGGTTCGAGGGTGTTTGGATGTTTCACTGGGAGAGATGCTGGCAAGCTTACTTGCTTCGCCAGGCCTGCTATGCATCCTGTGGGATAGCTCTCCTGGGAGGCTGTGTGTGAGCACAAACAAGGGCTGGAGGAGGTTAAAATCTGTTGTTCTCTTCTCCCTTCTCTTCTCTTCTCTTCTTTTCTCTCTTTCCTCCTTCCATTTCTGCTTCCTTTTCTCTCTTCTCCTCTCTTTCTCTGTCTTTTAACCATGGAATAAGATTTTCTGCGTCCTTCTCACACTGCCTAATATGACTAAAACTCTTTCTTGTTGATTAATGGTTTAAATTGCTTTCTATCTTTCACCCTTCTCCCCTCCAGACAAAGAGGTTTTTGTCGATTCCGGGGATGGGAAATGGTGGGGTATAGGTGACGGTAACGGAAAAAAGAACTTTTATTTATTTTTTTGAGACAGGATCTCACTCTGTCACCCAGACTGGAGTACAGTGGCACGCTCTCAGCTCACTGCAGCCTCCTCCTCCTGGGCTCAATCAATCCTCCCACCTCAGCCTCCTGAGTAGCTGGGATGTGCACCACCAAACCTGGCTAATTTTTATTATTTTTGTAGACACGGAGTTTTGCCATGTTGCCCAGGTTGGTCTTGAACTACTGGGCTCAAGCAACTGTCCACCGCGTTCTCCCAAAGTACTGGGATCACAGGAGTGAGCTGCCATCCTCAGTCAAAAAACTTTTTTCTTTTCTTTTCTTCTTTTTTTTTTTTTAGATGGAGTCTTACTCTGTGGCTGGAGTGCAATGGTGGGATATCGGCTCACTGCAACCTCCGCCTCCTGGGTTCAAGTGATTCTCCTGCCTCAGCCTTCTGAGTAGCTGGGATTACAGGCACCTGGCATCATGCCTGGCTAATTTTTGTATTTTTGTGGAGATGGGGTTTCACCATGTTGGCCAGGCTGGTCTTGAACTCCTGACCTCAGGGGATCTGCCCACCTCGGCCTCTCAAAGTGCTGGAATTATAGGGGTGCGCCACCACACCCAGTCTCAGCCAAGAAACTTTTAAGAAGCTAAAATGTGATCCCCTATTTCTCTGTGTTTGTTGGGATGACAACATGGAACATGGTTCAGGCAATGCTCCTGCTCAGCAGCCTGAATGAGGAGAGGTATGAGGGGCAGTTTTAGGGAGAATTACAAGTTAACACTTCACAATATCGTCTCAGTATGTACACATCATTCTCAGTTTCTGAAGGAAAGGGTAACTTTTCAGAGCTGCACTTCACACTTTTTTTTCCAAATACATTGCCGATTCCAATTTTGCCCAGAGATTAGAACTCCTTTGTCTACTGAGTTTACTAATGTGCTCAAGCCTTTTCGTTTGAACATACTGAAATCTCCTTTTTTTCAGACCTTAAATTCTAAAGATATTTGTATTTGTTAGAAACTCTCAAGCAGAGTCTGATGGAATGATACGGCAAGGGAATGGAGGCAAAGGCAGGGTTTGAAGAAAATAAAAGCGGATGTGAAGTCCACATCAGTGCTATAAGAGCATGAGAAATTGTGGCCAGCCCAGACTGAAAGGGTCATGGCCGGCGGAGACGACATTTTAAATGATCCAGGAAGGATGAATGGGAGTAGCATAATCTGGTGTCATGCTGAGGAAGCATAGCCACCTGTAGTATGCAGCATAGGAGCATCGAGGTAAGTCCAGGATGGCTCCGGGTAGTTATAGTTTTGGGTGGCTGATTAGCTTATAGGCTTTCTTCCTCTTTAGAGTGAAAGGTGAACGGTATCTGAGTTATTGGTGACGAATCTGTACGTGTCTACAGCGACCTCAATACCTGCCTTCTCATTAGAAAGAATTCAACCGAGGGGCGTAAGAGAGAAAAAGAGACGGGCAAGTTTCAGAGGAGGAGTGGAAGTTTATGTAAAAAGGCTTTAGAACAGGAAAGAAAGGAAAATACTTTAGGAAGAGACTCAAGTGGGCACTGAGGTCAAGTGCAGTATTTAACCTTGATCTTAGGACTTTTTAGGCTGGTCCCTTGCCCATGGTTCTTCCCTTAGGGTGGGCCGCCCCCATGTGCAGTGCCTTCCTTATGCTCAGAGGTGAGCACGCGGTAGTGTGTTTAGGAAGTTGTGTGCATGCCCATCTGAGGCTTTCTTCCCTTTTCCGGTGGAGTGTCCCCGGAAGGTCATACTCCGCCATTTTGTCGCTTAATGTGCATGCCCAGGCTTACTTGCCCTATACCTGAGATTTTATTGGAAGCCCCTTTTTGCTTCTCCCTGGAACCTGCATTCAACTAACACTTTAATGCAACAGGTGTGGACCATCAGGAAATGGCCTCTTCCTGGCACTGGCTGCCAATTGATCACTTTTAGAGAGGCAATGTGATAATTGCACAACCATCATCCGATATTCCCAGTGGGTAGGGGAGAGCCCTCTCTTGCCCCGCTCATGCCTGTCTAACTCCCTGTAACAGTTTTGACCCATGGATGAAAAGTTTTCATGGTTGTGTTCCTACTCTGTGACCCTGTCAAGTTATAGTGATGAATCCCTGACTTAGGCTAAGCCCGTCTAGTTTCAAATATCTGAAATTTCATAGTTTGAGTTGAGACGAAGTAACTATTGGGAGATGAAAACTGAGTTGCTAGTGGCTGTGCTCTAGAAGGAAGTTTTATAAACATTGGGGCTGGTGCTGGGGCTGCCTGTTCACCTACATTCCAACGTGTTAAACTTGCTAAGTTGGTGGTAGATGCCAGTATTCTCCTAATTAATTCATTTTTGATGGTTGTTTTTACAAACAATTTCCAGGTTTTTTTTTAATACCTTAACTCATTAACTGTCCACAAATCTGTCATTCAAAATTAGCCCATGTGTTCCCAGTACTGTGATTTTCTCAGATTAAGAAAGTAGTTCTCAAACTTTAGATGACATCAGACTTGCCTGGAGGGTTTGTTAAAACACAGATTGCTGGAACCCCTGCCCCTCACCCCCTGCAGAGATTCATCTGATTCATCAAGTCTTGGGTGGGGCATGAAAATTTAAATTTTTATCTTTAATAAGTTTTTAATGCTTATGTTGCTGGTCAGAGAACCACAATATCAGAAATACTGATTTATGCAGTAATAACTTTTGAAGAATTCTGTAAAAATAAAAATACATTATGATATGTATTACACTTAAGTGTTTATGTTCGTATGGCGTAAAAGTCCAATCTCAAGACCTTTAACACCTTAGCATAAATGGGATAATATTCATTTCTAATGGGAAGTTTATTGATTTGGGTACAGTTGTGGTGATCATATGCCACAAATTATCCTGGGTATACCAATTTCAAGTAATTTTTTCCTTCCAATAAATTTGGGCCATCATATGCATAAACAGAATTTAATATCTATACTCTGATAAGATAGTTCATTTAAACATGTTCACAGAACAATAAAAGACATCTATCCTTAGGTCACAGGTCCTAGCTTTTTGTTTACCAAGGAATATCATCACTGTGGCATACAAAGAAAATTTGAGTGAAGGAAGAGAGAAAGGGAAGTCCAAAGCAGGGGTCACCAGAAAGATGTTCCCAGCGGGCTTGTGTGTGTTATAGTACGAAGGTGTGTCACTTAGCATTTGCCCAGAGAAGTAGGACCAGTAGGGAGTAATGACCTCCACCACACAGTACAAAATTGTTGTCTGCAGGTGGAATTCCGTCTCTCCAGGAAGGCTCGGGCCTGCTTTCCAACTGATTAAGCCAGGCCCACCCAGGTTGTCCAGGATAATCTCCCTTAATTAAAGTCAACTGAACAGGGACTTTAAATCTGCAAAATCCTTTCAAAGCAACAAGTAGATTAGTGTTTGAATACCTGGGGACTACAGCTTAGCTGGGTTGACATCAAAAAAGCCATTACAGAGGGTATGAGCTATACTCAGAGGGAGGGTGCCAAAAAGGGTAAAAGAATGGTTCTGAGGGCCAGGAGCACCAATCTTCTCTTATTTTCAGTTTTGGAAACTGGATATACTCTGTATTCAGCAATTGCCTTGTAATAGACTTCAAGAGTGAGAAAAAAGAATCCCTTAATAATAGTTTCTGCAAATGTGTGAAAGCTGAGTGTGAGGAGAAAAAGTTGTTTTCAGGAACTAGGAGCTGGTTCACCTTTAAAAAGAAAATCAGCTGCCTCTGGCAAAATGGAATTGCAGCATTGTCCTGGATGGTAATTTGCACTAGTAAATTTATCACCAACCTGGCAGGGGAGATGCTGAAGACAAAAGCTTTTATCTCTCAGTAAGTCAGTAATGAAGCCTCAGACAGGCAGCTGAGGAATGTGCGCGCTTGGTTGGCAAAGTCGTCTGCCCTTTGGTCTCTGAGCACATGGCAAGAGTTGGACAGGTGGTCGCAGTTAATTTTGGCGTATCGTAAAAATGACTATGGGTCCCAGGGAGGTTCCACGGGCTATTAATTAAAAATTCAGCCTTAATGTAAAATTCCATGATTGCCAAGGAATCAGTCACTTAGCGATATCAGGTAAATTCCTGTGCAAGGAAATAATATCTCAGTACTCCCAATTCACTAAGCCAAAAAGGAAAAGTTAAGTTGAGTCATGCAGAACACACACACACACACACACACACACACACACACACACACACACACAAACAACAACAACAACAACAACAATAGCAAACTACCTTTGCTTGAGTTCCTAAACAAATAGTTATAGGGTAGAAGGCCACATGTCTCTTCAGGGGGCTTCTCTCACTCTGACAATGTAAGTGAACAGCTTATCTTCACAGTATGGTACAAGAGGAGACTGGAAATCATTCCTATCCACCCTGAGATGAATGCATATTTGACTTCCTCCTCTACTCTATGTTTACTTTATCTTATGTAAAGTGCAGATTTACTGAATGTGAGATGAATACCTAATTGACTATTCCCTCTACCCCCTCCTTTCCATGTGAGTATTCAGTGAGCCTAATCAAAGCATCACAAGAATGTGACTGTATCCTCCCTCTTTTTCTCTCCCCTTTTCCCACGGCCCACTTTTTTCACTTTAAATATTGAAGCTCTCAAAGTCCTCTTTGGAAAAAATATGGGCCACAGATCCTTCTGGGACTTGTGTCTCTCTTTCCTGGATGCATCCTTAACTTTGGCAAAATAAACCTCTAAATTGATTGAGACTCACTTCAGTTATTTTGTTCGGTGTTACAGTCCTAAGAACTTGGAACACAATCTAATTTTTGTCTCAGAGAGTCAGAAATTAATGCCACATTCATGGCAGCTGGAGTGGGTAATTGTGTGTTTGATGAGATCCCACTGTGAGAGCCTACCACGGAGCTGAGTGGTTAACAGATAAATGCTATTATTGAAGGACAGGAGAAATGCCGCTTACATAAAGTATACCTTTCAGACGAAAACTACCTGAGAAGGGGTGGAGTCCACATGAAAACCTCAAATTATAGCACACATGAAAGAAAATAATCCAGCAGTTAGAGGAATGGAAAAGTAGCACTGCCTTAGCTCCTCTTTCAAAGCCTTTCCCTTTTTGGTCCCGTGTATTATCGTCTCCTAACACCATTTTGATGTCCTGTGGATATCCAAAGGTTTCTCTCCAAATCTCACCTCTCTGGTTTTTGGTCTGCCATTGATCCTTTCCCTGCCAACCTTATTCTTTTAAAATTTACCTCTCCTAGGAATAATACTCTTGGAAATCTGTTTCCAATTCTCTGATTTCTGAAAGATACTGTGATAATCATGTTGATGCTGACTGTGGAATTCACTCAGTGGTAGATCCTAGACTATAGTATCACTGTAATCCCAGCAGTTTGGGAGGCCAAGTTAGGCAGATCACCTGAGGTCAGGAGCTCAAGATCAGCCTGACCAACATGGTGAAACCCCGTCTCTATTAAAAATATAAAAATTAACCAGGCATGGTGGCAGGTGCCTGTAATCCCAGCTACTTGGGAGATTGAGGCAGGAGAATTGCTTGAACCTGGGAGGCGGAGGTTGCAGTGAGCCGAGATCATGCCACTGCACTCTAGTCTGAGTGACAGAGAGAATCAGTCTCAAAACAAAACAAAACAAAAAGGAATATAATATCAAGTTCCTCCTGGTTTGATATGGAAATTTAGCTGTCCTTCTTTCCTGCAGAAGAAGGATGGGATGCAGATACCTTGCTCCATTTCCTGAAAAAGAGAACTGATTGTTTGGCTGCTTGTGATGGCCTTTGATGGGCATCCTAGAATGGATGAATAGTCATTGTTGTTATTTTTGCCTATCTGAGCATCATTCCCATTGCATTTATAACTTGGGGGTAGCTTAAAGGTCTATTTTCCAATATTGTAAAAAATAATATTAAAACCAATGCTCAAGAAAGTTATGTGAGTTTCCCAGTAGCAGACAATCTTGAGGGTTTTTAATATGTATCACTCAGAAGTATGAAAAATCAACAGAAATGAATAGCTCCTTGTGGGCTTCCAGGCATTGGGGCACATGTCTAGGGATTTTTAATAGCTCTGGGTCCTTTCTGTTACACTGTAAATCCATAAACATGCAACTACCTATCTGTGCCTCAATAAACTTGTTATTTTGGTCATTACAAAGAGGCATTACACTAATGCAGGAATAGAAAAATAGAATGCATGTAGTTCAACATATGGCATCTCTGAATTTTATCACTTTTTGAATTAACCAAGTGTTAAGCATTTAATTGATGCCCTAGGTCAATGGAATTCTACTGAACTGTATGATCTTGGATAAGTCACTTAATTTCTCTTCTGAGTGTTGGGTTAGTTATACAATTGACAGGTTAAATTAGATCATCTTTTAGCACTAAGGTTTTATGATCTTCCATCTATATCCCATAGATGATATGACATCTATGGGAAATACGATCTAAGTTAGATGGTTCATCATTGCTGGGGAAATACAAAACCAACAATGATTCTGACAGAATGATTAGCATCCCTGAAAGATCGATTATACCAAGACTTATTTATCCACAAGCGAGGGATTGTTTAGTTACTCTGGACAATTATGGTTGTTATCTTCAAGTGGTCTTATCACAGACAGAACTGCAGCTTTTGGTCTTTTCTAAGAGATTTAAATCATTTTAATGGGGCTTATAATTCCACATCAAATCATGACTAACAATAAGATAAAGTTCAGAGGCTTAAAAATTGCCGTAAGAGCAGAGAAATAATCTGTAGCAAATCCACAAGTTAATGAGATGCCTGATGTGGGAGTGTGCATTTTCTAAGAAAAACCATTCCTCTGAAAGATACTGATCCCAGACTTCAGAGAAATGATGAGGGCCTTGGAACTTTCCTGCAGGCTAATCTGCCAGAGAACCAGTTTGCCAATCCCTCGGATATTTGCTCCTGCTTGTTTCTTTTCCAATTGCAGTTGTTTACATTCCTCTGCCCGGCTACCTCCTCACATTCCTCTTATATATATATTTTTCTTAGCTTCCTCCTTCCCTGCTGTATTTGAGGCATGCCTAACAACTCTCTTTCATTGTTATTTATTTATATTGCTAAGAACTATGGGAAAACACATAGATTGACGAAAGTAACAGATCTCAGAGAATGAATCTCAAAATATACTCAAGTAATTGATATGGTTTGGCTGTGTCCCCATCCAAATCTCACCTTGAATTGTAGCTCCCATAATTCCCACGTGTTGTGGGAGGAACCTAATCAGAGTTAATTGAATCATAGGGGTGATTTCCCCCATGCTGTTCTTGAAGTAGTGAATAAGTCTCACGAGATCTGAATGTTTTATAAGGGGAAATCCCTTTCACTTGGTTTTCATTCTCTCTCGTCTGCCACCATGAAAGATGTGCGTTTCACGTTCCACTATGATTGTGAGGCCTCCCCAGCTGCATGGAACTGTGAGTCCCTTAAACCTCTTTTTCTTTATAAATTAACCAGTCTCGGGTATGTCTTTATCAGCAGTGTGGAAACAGACTAATACAGCGATTGTCTCTAGAATTCACTGAATTGTAAACAAGGCTACATATACATTCTGGTAGCGTCCTTTCTAGATTCCTTCCATGGCTGTTCCCTACTTCTTTTGTTAGTGTTTTCTTTTTTTTCCCTCTAGTTCTGTCTATGTTGGGCACTTGCTGGGGATGCTTAGAAGTCAGCCTAAGGTCCAGTAGGTCTGGTCCTGTTGTCCCTGGACTGTGCTGGTCTTGTCTTCCTGTTTTTTATTGTTCTAGCACCCCTTTACTAACCTTTAGGCTAATGTTTAAATTGACCTTAGTCTAAATGGCATGTTCAAAGGCGAAGTGGCCTTTATGATGTGATCATCCTTGGATTAATTTTTAGGTTATTATTTCCTCTCTCAGCCTTGATCCTTGGGGATGCCAATTTTATTTGCTGGTTCTGCTACCGGTGGAGGGTGTCCAGGTTCTCGGTGTCTTGAACATAAATTGGACAAAACGTACAAAGAAAGAAAGAATGAAGCAACTAAAGCAGAGATTTATTGAAATCAGAAACATACTCCACAAGGTAGGAGTGGGCCGAGCATACGGCTCAAGGGCCTGGTTACAGAATTTTCTGGAGTTTAAATTCTCTCTAGAGGTTTCCATTGGTTACTTAGTGTACCATCCTATGCAGATGAAGAGGCTAAAGTGAAGTTACAAAGTTATTTACTTGGTGTACACCCTATGCAAAGTGGATGTGTACACCCTATGCAAAGTGGATGTGTACACCCTATGCAAAGTGGATGTGTACACCCTATGCAAAGAAGAGGATGTTTCCTGTCATAGCTGAAGTAGAGTTACAAAGTTATTTACTTGGACTTAGAAGGCTGGGTTGGGGTTTTTCCATTTAATTTAGTTCTAGGAAGTCCTTAGGTTCCCTGCCTCCAGACCCTATTTCCTGCCTCAGTTCCTAGTTCCAATCCTTGGTTCTGGTTAAAAGTTTTCTACAGGCCACCTGAATTTTAGACGAAAGGTTCTTTCTAGCGATGTGGTGGTAAATGTTTAACAACTTGCTTTTAGAAAAAAAAGAAAAACCTGATTTGTAGCATTTGCCAATTTCTCTCGTGTAAATACTACCACTATGGTCAATTTCAAATCCCCAGTGTGATGCCATGGAACTCAGAATTGGAATGGAATGAACGTAACTGACTCTCACTAGCTGGCTCTATCACCCCCTTAGTCAGTTCTCTAACTCATTTGTGGAATGGAGAAAGCAACTTAATTCTTTCTTAATTTTTGCATTTTGTCATTCCCCACCCCTCCCCCCACCATCCCTGGAAGACACACCAGGCTGATCTCATAGTTCTTCTGGTGATTTTTAGTATTAAAATATTCACTAAAGTCTAATACAATTGTTTATTCAAGTTAAAACTTCTTCCCTATTCCAGTTTGTACTTGACCTCATCTGTAAGCCTACTGTTGAGCAGAAAAACATGTACCAGTTACCAATGCCAGGTGAAGATTCCAACTATCTGGAGGATAGACAAGGTCATCATAATGCCAGCCACCTGTAATAGAAATCCAAACACTTATGCCCACTGTATCTTAGTATTGGAGTCGCCAAGGAAAACGCAGTACTGTCAAGCACTGGCTGGAGCAACGCTTTTACTCACATAGAGAAGAGACAGGGTGAGATCAGCTCCAACAATGTGCATGAGTCTTGCATGGCTAGTGGGCCCCTCTGGCAGCCAATGCAGGGCAAGAGGCCTTCACATACCCATCCTGTACTGCAGTAGTAGGACGCTGACCCTTCCCCTGTGGGGCCTGAAATACTGAAAGCTGGGGGTGTGCTTGAGGGCCGTTGACACATATGATTAAGACTAACAGAGGAGCACACACAGAGCCTGGAACTTGGCAAGGAAGTGTTCCAGGCACAAGGCCCATTCTTATGGGGCAGAGCATGGGGACTGCCTTTCATCTCTATTTTTTTGTCTTGCTCTTTTACTCCTCCCACACCCCCGCCCTTGCTGCTTCCTGCTTCTCCGGGCTTAAAGACTGTAGTGGTGCAGCGTATTGGTGAGTGGGAGAGAAGGCCTTATTTCTCTGTTAGACTTGGTGGGTCTGGGGGTGGCAGATGTCCCTAGCTGCCTCTTTCTCTTATGGTACACTATTATGGCTTCCTTGGAGAGTCCTCCCTGAGGATCTCCAATTCCGGTTTTCTGGCAAGGAGCTTCCTCTTCCAGCTGGCTGTTTCCTGTTTCCCCTTAGATCCTGGATCTGTCTACATCTAGCCTCTTTATTCACTTTTGTCCTCTTCAACTCTAGACATACATCTGACACCAATAAATCCTGCCGTTTGGCTGTGTCTCAGGCAGGCTGCTACAGGTGCTCTCTCTCCTTTGGACTTTCTAAGAGTGAGGCTGGTACCATCCTGGAAGTTGAAGGGACACATGCCCTCCACCTGGTTCCCTTAAAGCCATCTTCTCTTCACTACAGGTGAGGAAGGGAAGTGCCACAACACAGAATACCATACACATCCTTCATCTTCAATCTCTTCAGCCTCTTGTGAACCCCAAATATCTGAGACAGGCCTCAATCAATTTAGAAAGTTTATTTTGCTAAGGTTAAGGATGCGCCTGTGACCCAACCTCAGGAGGTCCTGATGACATGTGCCCAAAGTGGTTGGGGCACAATTGGTTTTATGCATTTTAGGGAGACATGAGACATCAATCAATATGTGTAAGATGTACATTGGTTTGGTTTGGAAAGGCAGGACAATGCTAAGTGGGGAGGGGGCTTCCAGGTTGTAAGTATATAAGTGACAAGTGTTTGCAGTCTTTTGAGTTTCTGATTAGTTTTTCCTAAGGAGGCAATCAGATATGCATTTATCTCAGTGAGTGGAGGGATGACTTTGAGTTTATCTTAGTAGCTATCTTTCTTAGGAATAGAATGGGAAAAAAGTTTCCCTAAGCAGTTCCCAGCTTGGCTTTTCCCTTTGGCTTAGTGATTTTGGGGTCCCGAGATTTATTTTCCTTTCACATTCCTCATGAGGATTTCCTTTCAAATAGTTCTTCCCTTTGAACAAATAATTTCATTCCTGGGGATCAGTCCTAAGGAACTAAGCCCAAATAATAAAAAAGCTTTCTGCTCAAAGATATTCTTTTCATCTTTTTTAAAAAGCTTTTCCTAACATGTTCTGATGGGGGCAGGTGACTGGCAAAGGCTGTTAGAACTGGTTTTAGCCACACGAAGGATCCTTGGGAGGTAATTTAGGGTCTCAGGTGAAAATATGAGGCAGGAAGGGTCACATTTTAACATCCTGCTACAAATGATTTCTTGGATCCCACCAAAGACCGTTTATTAAGTCTGTATTCCCCACATTCTTCTCTCTGGCTAGATAATTCCCTACTGTGACTTTTTGTATCTTTACAATTATTTTCTAGTGGCAGACTTCGGCAGCAATGCAAGTTTACCACATATACTGGCTTTCTGGTCTATCTCAACATGTCTTCCCACCACTCACTTTTTTTTTTTCTTCATTTTTGGCCCATACTGAGGGGTTGCCAGAATATTTTCTCTTATTTTTTTAAACAAATTCGGTTTTATGTCAAGATTACTAAAATTAATTTTGACATGGTATTGCCCATGGTAATTTTGTGTATGTTACAATTCATAATAAATTAACCAGAGTATTTTTTCACAGGCTCCTACCCACTGCATATTTTTATCATCTAACACATAGAAAATGTGTCAGTCTGTTAGATTCAATGCAAGTGCTCAGAGAAGTCTTTGTAACTGTACTTTAGATTTTGAGAATTCATTCATGGTTCCAATACATGGCATTTTACATGTAACATCGCAAATGGGTTTCATTTTAAGCATTCTTTAAATATGGAGCTTGTGAATTACAAAAGAATCTTTTATTTTACACCAGAATACTTCACATCTTATGGAAACTCATCATTGATTTTATTTAAAAGAACTAGTTTTTCAAGAACACCTAAACATTTAATTATCATTAAATCAATTAACTTGTAACCTCAGGATTATCTAACTATCAATCTGGAATGTCCAGTCAAGACAATGAAATATTAAACATATTTAAGGGGTTATAAATATGTGGAGGGAGGAACTAAGTGACAGTATTGAAAACTTTAAATATATGGGGATTACATTATATTAATGTATTTAATTGGTATGTTTATTATATATGGATTATGATATATTATTAGAAGTTTAAATAAACACAAAAAATATTAAATTTTATAAAAGGGTAAATAATGAGGCTAAATATAAGTTAAACATAAAATATTTGATTAGCTTTTCTTCATAACCCTATAAGTACTTAGGTTACATAGTATAATAAAATAGAATGTCCATGTGCATAAATAGCACAAATCTGCAATTAGTAGAAATGACCTGAATAGGCCAGGCCCAGTGGCTCATGCCTGTAACCCCAGCACTCTGGGAGGCTGAGGTGGACAGATCACTTGGGGCCAAGAGTTTGAGACCAGCCTGGCCAACATAACGAAACCCCATTTCTACTAAAAATACAAAAATTAGCCGGACATGGAGGCACATGCCTATAATCCCAGTGACTCGGGAGGTTGAAGCACGAAAATCACGTGAGTCTGGGAGGCAGAGGTCACAATGAGGTGACAGCGCACCATTGCATTCCAGCCTGGGTGACAGAAGGAAACTGTCTCAAAATAAATAAATAAATAAAATAAGATAACCTGAATAAAAATTATTTAAAAAATTTTTAAAAACTGTAAGAGATTACCTAATGCCCTAAAGTAAAACTGTAGCAAATGAAAGATGTACATTTTATCAGGAGGTAGGGTTAAATAGTAAAAAATTATCTTTTTTCAAATTAATTTATCATTTTAATATTATAATTCAAAGTCCAGATGGGATTCTTTTGAGAGAAACTTTGTAAAAAAAAAAATTAAGAAAAATATTTTTTTTCTTAAAATAGAATATTAATAAGTGGTGGAGAATTGTACCATATATTAAGAAGTATTATGAAGCTTGGATTCCTTAAGCAGTGTGGGCTTGATATAGGCTAATCACTAGAACCAGGTAGCTCAGATGAACTCTATGATAGGTAAGCTGCAATATATGGTAAAGGAGGCACCACAAACTAATGGTTAAAAAAGTAGTATTTAATAAGTAGTGTTGGGACAACTGGTTATCTGTTTACAAAAAAAGATATCTTTGGATTCTTACCTCTTACCATACACCCCCCAAAAATCTACAAGAATAAAAGAGACTTGAAAA
This sequence comes from Homo sapiens, assembly GCF_000001405.40. Lineage (NCBI taxonomy): Eukaryota > Metazoa > Chordata > Mammalia > Primates > Hominidae > Homo > Homo sapiens. Next base: position 29,439,686 of record NC_000021.9, read on the forward strand.
AATCATATAAATTTAAAAGTTTAGAAGAAAACTATCAAATCTCTGTTTGGGGGAAGGTTTACCAACTTAAAAATAATGGAAAAACTGTAAGGACAGAGATAGATGTTAATGCCATAAAAATAATAACTTATGCCTATAAAAAAATCAAAGGGCAAATACTTTGGACATTTTTTGAATCAATTGTGAATCACATTCATTTTCTTCCTTATGAAAAGCCACAGAAATCAATACTGGAAACATTTATTTATTTATTTATTCATTATACTTTAAGTTCTAGGGTACATGTGTATAACATGCAGGTTTGTTACATATGTATATATGTGTCGTGTTGGTGTGCTGCACCCATTAACTCGTCGTTTACATTGGGTATATCTCCTAATGCTATCCCTCCCCTCTTCTCCCACCCCATGACAGGCCCCGGTGTGTGCTGTTCCCCATCCTGTGTCCAAGTGTTCTCATTGTTCAATTCTCACCTATAAGTGAGAACATGCAGTGTTTGGTTTTCTGTCCTTGCGATAGTTTTCTCAGAATGATGGTTTCCAGCTTCATCCATGTCCCTACAAAGGACATGAACTCATCTTTTTTTATGGCTGCATAGTATTCCATGGTGTATATGTGCCACATTTTCTTAATTCAGTCTATCATTGTTGGACTTTTGGATTGGTTCCAAGTCTTTGCTATTGTGAATAGTGCCGCAATAAACATACGCATGCATGTGTCTTTATAGCAGCATGATTTATAATCCTTTTGGTATATACCCAGTAATGGGATGGCTGGGTCAAATGGTATTTCTAGTTCTAGATCCTTGAGGAATCGCCACACTGTCTTCCACAATGGTTGAACTAGTTTACAGTCCCACCAACAGTGTAAAAGTGTTAATAATGGAAACTTTAAAATCATGATAGATAATGTGCAAAAATCATTGCTAGAAAATCATAAAAGATGAGCAACAACTAATAAATGAAAATGTGGAAATATTTCAACACATGGTGATCAAGATTTGCAAATTAAGATAAGAAAAAAAGTATTTCTTCCCAGCAAATTCACAAACATAAGCTGTTTTTAATGAGACAACTTACTGCTAATAACTTAAGGGTATCTTGTAGAGAGGAGTGCCAATTGTTGCAAGTCTTTTGGAAAAACTTTGATAATGTATACCAAAACCCTTCAAGTATTTCTTCCCTTTGAACTAATAACTCTATTCCTGAAAATTTATCCCAAGAAACAAAGACCAAATGAAAAACCTTTCTGTTTAGGGATATTCTTTTCTGGCTTAATGTGATAGCAAAAATTGGTAACCATTTTAACATGCCATAGAATAAAATAGTTAAGTAAGGTCAGGAATCACCACTCAATGAGATATTATGTAATTGTTTTGAAATACTTTGTAAAAATTTATAATAAGAGAAATGTTCATGCCATAATATTAAGAAAGCAAGGTACTTTCATTATATGTTATGAATGTTTATATATAGGAGTTCAGAGTTCCATATACAGAATGATCACAATTACATAAAAAGGAAAAAGGAATAAAACAAAACCCCAAATTCCATTTAGATAAATGAATAAAGAAAATCATTTCATCAAGTGTTAACATTGATATTGTTTTGGTTAGTGGGAGTACGGTTGATTTTTTGTCTCCCTTTTTTTCCTGTTGTTTTCCCTAATGAGCATATATCACTTTGAGAATGGACAAAACAAGAAAGTTTTGAAACGTAGTATACTCACACATAATGGTTTCCCTGTATTGATCTACATAAATGTGTGATTTTATTAAGCGGAAGTCTATTAGTACAAAAATCTACTTCCTATTACAGTTTGTCACTTCAGGCAGTTATTAAGGTCTTTCCCACCTTAAAGAATATAAACCTATTTCTTTAGTTCTGCAGCCTAAGTTAAAAGGTGAAGTAAGTGCTAACATTTCTTTTTTTAAGAAAGAGCATCAATTTCAGCACAGACTTTCCACCTAGCACTGAAAATGTCACTGGGAAATTGTAGTCCTTAACCTAAAAGCTTAAAATCTCAATTATACGGATGAATCAGTTGAGACTCATGAATAATATGAAAAGGTCTTTTAATCATAAAAAGGCCTGGACAATGAAATGAATCACTTTGAGGTTAGCTATTTTTATAGAAAATGAGATTTTTTTTTTTCAAATAGTTGAAAGCGTGAATGGTGCAACTGGAAATCATTCCAACAGTGCAGGAAAAAATAGAGCTATAAATAAAATGAAGAAACAAGTAAGCAACTAGGAAACGGAAGAGCAAGCTGAAGCAGCAATAGAGGCTGAAAAACCAGCAGTGAATTCAAGACAGGAATCTGTAAGTGCACTCAAAAGATGACATAAACAGAGAGAAAAGACCCTCTTCGTAATGTGTGGACCCATGTGATTTTCAGAATCTGGTTTTATGTACTGTAAAAGAGGATTATAAGTTAGGGCCTTTGGAAAGAAATAATTTTTTGCCACTATTTCTATTTTATTGTATTTTGATATGGGGTCTCACTCTGTTACCGAGGCTGGAGTCAGTGGCTAGATACTGGTTCATTGCAACCTCAACTTCCCCTGGCTCAAGTGATCCTCCTGCCTCCGCCTCCTGAGAAGCTAAAACTACAGGTGCAGGCCACCAGGCCTGGCTAATTTTTAAAAGTTTTTGTACAGATGGGGTTTCACCATGTTGCCCAGGCTGGTCTCAAACTTTTGAGCTCAAGTAATCCTCCGACCTTGGACTCCCAAAGTGCTTGGATTACAGGTATGAGCCAGCATGCCTGGCTGCTATTATTTCCAAAATAATAACACAAATAATTATTAGAAGTAATAATAATCATATAATTTCCAGATTCTAATAACTCATTTTGAAAAATATGGTTTTCATAGCTGATTGAAGAACTACAGATTGTTAGACAGGTATTAACCCTAGTAAAGGTGTGATACCTTCATGGAGTCAACCTAAAAACGCAGACAAGAGAGCAAAAATCCCAGTCTTATGGGAATTTCTAAAACTGGATTGTCCTTTAGTTTTCTAAAAGTGCTTTTTCATGCAACATCTACAAAATTCAACTCATTCTACAAGTTTGATGTGCAGAGGAAAACAATTATTTTTTTCTATCATTGATCTCTCCTTCCTCTTGGGAACTCACCTGCTGGTTAGAGGGGGATATGTGCAGCCAGTTTAAAGCATGCACCAATCTGATGAGTTAGGCCTTCAAAGCAGCATTCAGACCCTGTTGTGTAATAGTTTTTAGTGTCTTAAAAGAGCATTCTCTCCCTAAGCTTCTATCCCTAGATGGAGTCCAGGAATATGCCAGATTTCCTTCTGCCTTTGGGTCCTTTTGGATCCTATTTTCTTCAGATGGTGATATGGTTTGGCTGTGTCCCAAATCTCATCTTGAATTGTAGCTCCCATAATTCCCACATGTCATGGGAGGGACCCAGTGGGAGGTAATTGAATCATGGGTGAGGTTACCTCCATGCTGTTCTTGTGATAATGAGTGAGTTCTCACGAGATCTGATTTTTTTTTTTTTATTATTATACTTTAAGTTTTAGGGTACATGTGCACATTGTGCAGGTTAGTTACATATGTATACATGTGCCGTGCTGGTGCGCTGCACCCACTAACTCGTCATCTAGCATTAGGTATATCTCCCAATGCTATCCCTCCCCCCTCCCCCCACCCCACCACAGTCCCCAGAGTGTGATATTCCCCTTCCTGTGTCCATGTGATCTCATTGTTCAATTCCCACCTATGAGTGAGAATATGCGGTGTTTGGTTTTTTGTTCTTGCCATAGTTTACTGAGAATGGATTAAAAAGTCAGGAAACAACAGGTGCTGGAGATGATGTGGAGAAATAGGAACACTTTTACACTGTTGGTGGGACTGTAAACTAGAGCTGATGGTTTTATAAGGGGATTTCCCCCTTTTGCTCAGCACAGTTCTGTTGCCATGTGAAGAAGGTCATGGTTGCTTCCCCTTCCACCATGATTGTAAGTTCCCCAAGGCCTCCCCAGCCCTGAAGAACTGAGTCAATTTCACCTCTTTCTGTTATAAATTATTCAGTCTTGGTTATTTCTTCATAGCAGTGTGAGAACAGACTAATACAGATGGCCAAGATTGTAGCTGGAAAACTCCCAATCCCTTGTAATGGCTTAGGCATTGTTAAAGGAATGGCATGCCATTTCCCCTTCTGTTCTCAGAGCATAAAGCTTTTTTGATTAAATTATTTTCTTTAAATTTTCTGTGCTTATATATAAGTGCATGTATGTTCATGTTTGTGTGTGTGTTTCATGGGGATAAGAAAGATGAGGAGAAAAAACATAGGTAATACAATCCATTTAGTGTCTCTAAAGTGCTAGGCATTTATAGTATCATTATCTTATTTGCTCTCTGTGGAAATCTTAGCCACAGTTATCATCACTTTCTAATCAATGAAGATAGTAAAGCTGCAGTATATCAGAATGGAGCCTGTGTCTATTTGATCTCAAAGATTGTGTTCATTCCATTCCTTAAAGAACTAAAAGTAGAACTACCATGTGATCCAGCAATCTCACTCCTGGGTATCTTCCCACAGGAAAAGAAGTCATTATACAAAAAAGATACTTGCACACACATGTTTATAGCAGCACAATTAGCAATTGCAAATATATGGAACCAGCCCAAATGCCCATCAATCAATGAGTGGATAAAGAAATTGTGGAATATATATACCATGGACTACTACTCAGCCATAAAAAGGAATGAAATAATGACATTTGCAGCAACCTGGATGGAATTGGAGACCATTATTCTAAGTGAAGTAACTCGGGAATGGAAAACCAAACATCATATGTTCTTACTCACAAGTGGGAGCTAAACTATAAGGATGAAAAGACATAGGAATGATACAATGGACTTTGGGAACTCAGGGGAAAGTGTTGCAGTGGGCTGAGGGATAAAAGACTACACGTTGGGTATAAGGTACAGTACTCGGGTGATGGGTGCACCAAAATCTCAGAAATCACCATGAAAGAACTTACTCAGGTAATCAAACACCACCTGTTCCTCAAAAACCTATTTAAATAATTTTAAAAATGCAAAAAACAAAAAGAGATTGCACTCTTTCCTTTATCTCTTGGGAGTGGTAAAGTGGAAAAAATAGTTTTTTATGGCCTTTGGTGTTCAATTTGTAATGTTGCCATCCAAATCAGTTGTACCAGTTTGCAGTGTTACAAATTGTACAGAGTATTTCTAGTGTGGTAACATCCTTATTCAATCTGTGTGCTATTTCCAGAAGTGTTTTCTAATTTGTAGGTCCATGTTAATATTTCAAGTTTGCTTTAATGTGCAATCTTTGATGTTTAGTGAGAATGAACACATTTCCATTTGTTTGTTTAAATGTAATTGTGTTCTTTCTTGTACAAATTGTTACATATTTTCAATTTTAATGCTAGGGCATTTTTGCCTTTTAAAATAAATTTTAATGAGATGATATTTTATAGAAATATTTGACATACTCAATATCAAATATTGTTCATAGTCTACTGGTTTCTTTATCAATTGAGTTTTTAATATATCATTTTAAGTTTTACATATCTAAATTTGTCAGTTTTTTCTTATGATTTTGATTGGTACTTTAGGCTTGAGAAAAATTATTATTTGTCTGCAGATATAATCAATATTTTAATTATTCTAATTTTTATGAATTTGTTAATTTTATAATGTTTTATAATGTTTTAACATCTAACACAACTTAATTCTTCTAAGAGCAATACTTTGCTTTTCTTATATTTTAAAAACCAGTGACACTTTTTTCAGTGTTTTTATAATATTCCAATTATTCTAAACACTTTTCTAAAATTGATTTTGGAAATATTTTGTTATCTTCCCACCCCTCTCTATTGAGAGTTTGAATGCAATGGTAATACTTCTACAAATTAACTTTGAAGAAATATTAATCTCTTTATCAAGGTTTAAATTATAACTTCACTTATTAAAGTTTTTCTTTATATTTCCTACTTAACATTTTTCATTATAAAAGTTCTATGTAGCTTTTAATTAAGCTTTTTCATGAATATTTGCTAACTCTATTATTCTTGAGAATAGATCTCTTTTATTATTATGCTTTAGCTTCCTTTTACGGGATATAAGACTTTGATGAACTTTTTGGATGTTCTATCTTTTCATTTCACTGTTATTATTTCTAATTGGTAATTTATCTCTAATAGCAGATTTATTCGGCTCTTTTAATGATGCAATTATTCTAATTGTGCATAATAATTTTTCAGTTCCCAATATGATTTTTATATCTTACTTGAATCTTAATGATATTTATTATTATTTTAGAAAAACAGTTGTAGAAGAGACATCAATTAATTTGCCGGTCTTGTCCAATCTCCCTTTCTAACTGTTCTGCTTGCTAGCTCAGCACTATATGTGTGCTTCCGTAATGATTGATTGGATAAAAAATGGGCACACGCCTTAGGGAAAGCTGATTCATCTGCCAGCCAGCAACCAGCAGGTTAGGAGTCAGACAGGAGCTATAAGTTCATGTACTGTTGATACTGAGTTCCCACACACATGCACACTCACATGTATGACACACGTGTACACACACATACATGTGCACACACACACCAACCCACAAAAGCCAATCCAAGAGAACATTCAGACTCGGAAAGAGCTGTTTTGTTATCTTTCAACTTCTCGTGAGAAGCAGTTTTCCCTTTAGGTTTTTCAATTAATTAATTAATTAATTAATTAACTTTTTGAGGCAGGGTCTCTCTCTGTTGTCCAGGCTGGAGTGCAATGGAGCTATCGTGGCTCATTGCAGCCTTGACCTCCCAGGCTCAAGTGAGCTTCCTACCTCAGCCTCCCAAGTAGCTGGGACCACAGGCATGCACCACCACGCCTGGCTAATTTTTTAAAATTTATTATAGAAATGGGGTCTCAATATGTTGCTCAGGCTGATCGTAAACTCCTGGGCTCAAGCGATCCTCCTGCTTCAGCCTCCCAAAGTGTTGGGATTATAGGCTGAGCCACTACACCTGGTGTCCCTTTAGGTTTTAGATTCTACTATAATAAACCCTCCTTTCTGTGATCTATCTCTAGTGGGATTCTGTTTCTCAAAACCAAAAATTCTCTGACCAACACAATACTGATAATAGGTATCCTTACTCTTTTCTTGTGTTTAAAATGAATGCCACATATGTTTCAAGTTTTGATTTAATATAAATAATTATAGTAAAGTAAAATTTTTTATTACTTTAAAATTATTGTTATAGGGTATAAAATTTTATTAGATGTACGTGTGTGGGGAAGATCTGTTGAAATTATCACATGCATAATTTCAATAGATGCCCACTAACACATGGATATTTTCTTATTTAATTTATATGTTGTATATTATATCTATAGATAACCAAATATATTAAACTATAACTTCAGCTTTTCTGGTATTTGGTTAAATAATCTTCTCATCACATGACACAATGATGAGAACAGACAATATCTCAAAAGACAAAGACCAGCTGGGTGCCATGGCTCACACCTGTAATCCCAGCACTTTGGGAGGCCAAGGTGGGTGTATCATGAGGTCAGGAGATCGAGACCATCCTGGCTAACACGGTGAAACTCCGTCTCTACTGAAAATACAAAAAATTAGCCAGGCGTGGTGGTGGGTGCCTGTAGTCCCAGCTACTCGGGAGGCTGAGGCAGGAGAATGGCATGAACCCGGGAGGCGGAGCTTGCAGTGAGCCGAGACCCCACTACTGCACTCCATCCTGGGCAACAGAGTGAGACTCAGTCTCAAAAAAAAAAAAAAAAAAAAAAAAAAAAAAAAAAAAAAAGAGACCATGACTTTCTTATTTTTTTCTAGGGGAGCACCACAAATGTATTAACAAAGATACATTTTAACAACTTTTATTTTAGTATTACTGAGTAGCATAATGGTCCTGTTGATGGTTCCATCCCATCCCAAGGCTCTGACTCTGTCCCAGATTCTTAACTTTTCTTCTTATCAAAGCTAGTCTTTTTATAATTTAGGAATAGACTTCCGATAAATATCTGCTTATACCATGTCAGTCTGGAGTGCTGCTGAAAGATATTTTTCCTATCCCTATCCTTCCTAGCACTGCTAAGGGAGTGAGGTCAGACACCACCCAGTAACACAAATAGTGCCATCTTATGGCTCAGCTTCACCATCTTTGCAAAACATGTGTAATACTATACCATGGAATAGTATACCATGTATACCACTTACTAGTACCTGGTATAGTATTTTCATGGTATTATACTATAGCATGTATAACATTAATTTAATCTTTTTTCTCCAACCTTTTAATATGAATACATTCTAACATACAGGAAAGTTGAAAAAATAGTACAGTGGATAAAATGCTTAACACCTCTTCTGTTACCATGGCTTCTTCATTCTCAAGTTTTAAATTTTGACTCATCTATTAATTGGCTAGATTTTATTGTCATTAAGAAGGAATTCATGGATTTTTTTACTTTTTAATATTTATTTATTTATGAGACAGAGTGAGTCTTGCTCTGTCACCCAGGCTGGAGTGCAATGGCACAATCTCAGCTCACTGCAACCTCCACCTCTCGGGTTCCAGCAATTCTGCCTCAGCCTCCCAAGTAGCTGGAATTACAGGTGCACACCACCATACACAGCTGAATTTTGTATTTTTTTTTAGTAGAGACAGGGTTTCACCATGTTGGCCAGGCTGGTCTCAAACTCCTGACTTTTGATCCGCCTGCCTCAGCTTCCCAAAGTGCTGGGATTACAGGCGTGAGCCACCGCGCCTGGCCTCATGGATGTTTTTATTCCTTCGTTTCTTCTATGTTCAATAATGTCTACCTGATGCTATGTGAACAACCTCTCTTGGCTGGAGATAATTCTCTTGGGGGAACCATTTTTTTTCCCTTAGAGATTAATAGACATTATTCCATCATCACCTGGCATTCATTGGTATGGTGAATAAATCTACGGCCAGCATGATTTTTTTTCTTTTTGTGAGTGATGTGCATTATTTGTCTGGATGACTGTGTAATTGTTTATTCTTGATGTTACTTAGTCTACTAGATGGTTCTTGGTGTTGAAAATCCCCTATAACACTTGATATGTTCAATTATGATATGAGCTTTTGTTCAGGCTCATTGGTTGCTCTTTGAATTTTGGGATATATGTATATATATATCGTATTGTATAATACGATATATATATTGTATTACAACTTACAACATATTTTTTCAGTTTCACTTGTTGATTATCTCACGGGCACCAATTCTTCTTTGGCTATATCATCTTTGTCCTCCATGTAACTTAGTTCCTTTCTAATTGTTTAGATGTCTTTGTTTTTTAAATTTGCATTCATTATTTTTATGTTCAATTTTCCACATGTTAGTAGCTTGCTCTTTAGCAATGTCTATTCAGTTCCTTGCTAGTTCTAATACGTTTTTTAGTTCAGAAATGATGTTGATTTGAGCATCAATTTATTGCCTCAGCTAGGCAATTTCTCTTTTCATCTTATTCTATCCTTTTACCATCTTACCGTATTCATTTAATAATTACGTTGTTTCATAGCATAACACAGTGGTAGAGCACTTTCCCTCGTTCATTGAGTAATTTTTCCTTCTAGCATTGGTTCTTTGTCTTTTTGACATTCTGCTCCCTTTTCTACTCCCACCCTTTTGGCTGTCACATGTTTGCATTGTTGCCGTGCTATTTTTTTTCTTCTTGCTTATGACTTGGCAGTCCTGTGCTGATGTTCCATTTGATCTGGTATAGAGCTGGGTGATTTCTTAACCCTCTTCCTGTCATATGAGAGTTTGTTTTCCTCTGTAAGCTACAGTTTGATAGTTAAGTCTTTTGCTTCTACCCATTTTTGAGTCGCCTAAGGAGAAAATAGAGGATACGAAGAAAGGTCGGCTGAGGAGCTCTCTTTTAGGATATTTAGGATCTTTTGTGCCTTTGAGGTTTTTTGTCACATACGTGTTCTGTAACACTTGGCTAGGAATCATATATTTTATTTCCGCTTGGAGGCAGGAAGGGCCTTGAGCTTTAGCTTGTTCTTCAGTTGTACTTCAATACAGGATGTAGGTCTGTAGTTTCCATTTTCATCAGAGAGAGTTATGTACATTGTCTGCTTTCTCCATTTAACCTGCCTCACCCCAGGAACCACTCCATCATTCTTCTGTTAAGAGAGAAAATGATACAGATATATGTTCAGTCTGCTTCTGTTCAGGTTGAGGGTATTAACAACAAATTTCAGAACTTTGTAACCTCAGTGACACTCCTTCTGGGATAAGCTGAGGTCCACTAGGAGGGAACTGGTTTGGATGCCAGCTGTACTGCACCCCTCCCCTCCACTGAAGAATGCCCCCTCCCCTGCAACTTTCCTTCCACGATTTCGTTTAATTATTTTTCCTTCTGTAGGTTGCTGTAGCTCTTCTTTGCTCACTTGCTAAGTGTCAGGGGAGGCAAGTTCTGTGTTGCACTTTAAATTTATTATGTTCATTCAGAAACCCTGCTAAACACCTTAATAGCAATGCTGGGAGGAGAATATTAGCATGCCCAGGCAGCAAAGGAACAACAAAGCCCAGGGTTGTTAAGCGATGTGCTTATGGCCGCATAAATTAGTATGTGGAAGATTCAGAAAGCAGGCCCATTTTTTTCCATTCCAGACCATAGCTTTTTTTTTTTTTTTTTTTTTTGAGACTGAATCTCAGTCACCCAGGCTGGAGTGTGCAGTGGTGCGATCTTGGCTCACTGCAACCTCTGCCTCCCGGGTTCAAGTGATTTTTGTGCCTCAGCCTCCTGAGTAGCAGGAATTACAGGAGCCTGCCACCACGCCCTGCTCAGTTTTGTAATTTTAGTAAAGATGGGGTTTCACTATGTTGGCCAGGCTGGTCTTGAACTCCTGACCTCAAATGATCCCCCCAACTCAGCCACCCAAAGTTCTGGGATTACAGGCGTGAGCCACTGCGCCCAACCCAGACCATAGCTTTTTGTATTACAGTCCCAAATACAAGTTAATTATTTCATCAATTAAACAAAAATATACACATATATATTATATAATGTATATACATATATATACATATGTATATATTATATTGTATATATGTATATATAAACATTATATATATATGTATTTATACGTATATTTTATATATACATATGTGTGTGTGTGTGTATGTATAGTTCTACAGTCCTTGACGTATTTTGAAAATTCCAAAATTGGCTGGGTGCGGTGGCTCACATCTGTAATCCCAGCACTTTGGGAGGTTGAGGCATGCTGATCATCTGAGGCCGGGAGTTTGAGACTAGGCTGACCAACATGGAGAAACCCTGTGTCTACTAAAAATACAAAATTGCCTGGGTGTGGTGGCGCATGCCTGTAATCCCAGCTACTTGGGAGGCTGAGGCAGGACAATCATTTGAACTCAGGAGGCGGAGATTGTGATGAACCAAGATCATACCATTGCACTCCAGCCTGGGCAACAAGAGCGAAACTCCGTCTCAGAAAAAAAAAAAAGAAAATTCCAAAATGAAGGGTTATTTGGGAAAAATCTATAAGCTTACCTTTGTTCAATAGACACATTCATGAACAGCTGTGTGTAAAGTTATGTCTAGATAGAACAATATTTAAAATGCATAATTGTGTACACTATTTTAAATAACCCTGGATAAGATATTCCAAAATTTAAGGAAAATTGTAGTAATTTGATTTTTTAAATATACACATTTTAGTTTTGTGTGTGTGCATGTTTAGAGTGAAGCACACTCATATAGGAAGTTATTGGCTGAGCATGGTGGCTCATGCCTGTAATCCCAGCACTTTGGGAGGCTGAGGCTGGTGGATCATGAGGTCAGGAGTTCGAGACCAGCCTGGTCAACCTGGTGAAACCTCCCTCTCTACTAAAAATACAAAAATTAGCTGGGTATGGTGGCACACGCCTGTAATCCAAACTTACTCGGGACACTGAGTCAGGAGAATCACTTGAACTTGGGAGGTGAAGGTTGCAGTGAGCCAAGATCATGCCACTGCACTCTAGCCTGGGCGACAGAGTGAGACTCCATCTCGAAAAAAAAAAAAGAAGCTGTCAATATCAAGAGGCTTTGTAAAACCTCCTTTGAAGGCATTTAAATGAGAATTTTTTTTTTTTTTTTTGAGACAGGGTCTCATTCTGTCGCCCAGGCTGGAGTGCAGTGGTGCAATCTCGGCTCACTGGAGCCTATACCTCCCGGGTTCAAGTGATTCTCTTGCCTCAGCCTCCCGAGTAGCTGGGGCTACAGGTATGCACCACCACGCCTGGCTAAGTTTTGTATTTTCAGTAGAGACGGGGTTTCACCATGTTGGCCAGGCTGGTCTTGAACTCCTGACCTCAAGTGATCCGCCCTCCTCAGCCTCCCAAAGTACTGGGATGACAGGCGTGAGCCACCGCACCTGTCCTGTTTTTCATTTTTATTTTTTTACCTAAGCTAGGACGTTTTGTTTTTGTTTATTTTGATCTGTACTTGCTGTCCCTGGGTATAATGTGTAGAGGGTTCTGTGTTAGGGCCTGAGTCTTATTTGTATACTCATCGCTCCAATTTTCTGATTCAGTGGTTCTTATCCTACCCTGTACACAAATATTATCTAGGATGTTTGTTAAAATATAGCTGGGACCCAATTAGAAATTCTGACTCAAAAGTATTGGGGTAGGACTTAGGAGTCTGCATTTTAACAAGATCTCTAGTTCCTTTTAAGGAAGATAGTCCATTGACTACAATTTTAGAAACACTGCTTTAGATCATTTAATAGTTGAGATTTGGTGTATCAAGGGGCATTTCCCCAGCTTGGTTATCAGAGATGGAAGTATTCCTCATGTCTCACAATAGCCCTAAAGGATAGAACACCTGATATAAAATGGTGCTCTTAGTCACATAGAAAAGAATGTGGAATTTAAGATAGTAATGTTAGGGGTAGACATTTGAATAAATAATTTTTGCCTAATTAGCTTTCAATGGTTAGCTTATGACAGAAAATGTGCAAAGGCAGATATTAGAATTTTACAATCCTTCTGATTGAAAATAGTAATTTTTTATTTTTTTTTCTGTTCTATTTAGACCTTTAATGGCCTGGGTGATATCCACCTACCTCGGTGAGGACAGTTTTTTTTACTCAGTTTACTGAGTCAAATGCTAATCTCTTCCAGAAAGACCCTCACAAATACACCCAGAAATAGTGTTTTACTAACTATCTGGGCATCCCTAAGCCCAGTCAAGTTGACATATAAAATTAACCATCACACAGGAGGCCATTTAAAAGTTTTTTTGTGAGGCTCAATTACGATAATCCATGTACAAGCTTTCTGAAATGCGTAAGTTATGATACATTTGAAAAGTGTAACATCACTGATGCTCCTTGCCATAAACTTAGGCAATATGAAACAATCTTGCTCTTAGAACCACTTCAAATGATTGGTAAATTGGGGTCACTTATGGTAATTTTATTTATAATCTTTAATCTTGTATCTACATCTCTTTTCTCCTCTTCCTTCTCTTACATTCAGTAAATCTAAGGCTTCTTTGAGTTTCTGTGCCCTCTCTTACCTATTGGCAATGTCTGTAAAGACACAGCTCACCTCTTTCTTCTCTTCTGGGAAATATTATTAGCCATTATGCTTTCAGCCCACATTTGTTCACTTATTATTTCCCTGTGTAGACCCTACAAAATGGGAACCAGATCTTTTTCTATAGTTTTAGATAAAGGTAGTCTGGCAGTTTTCTAGAGAAATTCATTATTAGAAATTTATTCTAATGGGAACCCATTTTTGGCTTACTCTGTTGGTTGCTTTGACCTCTGTTTTTCCTTGCAGAGCTCGACTTATTAATATCATTTAGGAGCACTGGGAAACATCATTCTGCATATTTATCAGGCAATTCATACACACATCCCTACAGTTCAGTGTATAGAGCTTCTCTGTTTTGGACTTAAACTGAAAGATTTTAATGACTGGTCGTATTGGCCCAGCTCCTAATATGCAGATGAATCATTGTGTCTGCACTGCGGAGTGTTGGCCATCTTTTTACTTCTGCTTTTCTTAAGTAGATGCAAATATTGAGGGGATCCTAAAGAAGGACAGGAAGAGTACCAGCATTTTTTTTTTTCTAAATCTGCCACTAAAGTCCCTTTGGATTGGATTTTAGATAGTCATGGCATTTGAATAACCTGCATTTATTAATCTCTGGAAATAAGTGAAAAACTAGAAAAGGCTGAACGTACAATCAATATAATGCAATACTGGGGCCTAACAAAGTGGATAAATGATATTTATCAGCAGGCGACTGCTGTTTAATTCACAGGCACAAATGCCCACATTCATCTGTGACACTGAATCAGTTTTCTTGTGAGTGTTGTCTTCCCTGAGGTTTCTTTCTCTTACTCTTCTCTCCTTGCTCAAATTTCAGAGTTGTCATCCACAATTCTGGGAAAGGTGATGTTTCACTTGCTTCATTCAATAAAGATGGGGTTTAGGGGGGTGACACAAGGTATGGCTACCAATGTCTAATGCTGGTATTATATCCTTTATCCAGTATGCTGGGGAGAAAGTACAATCATTTTGCTTTACTTCATAGCTATCTGGTTCATTAAATCCCATGAGTCTTGGTAAATTATGAAGCAATTATTGATTTTGTTGTGGTCAACATCAAGATATATATTGATTTTCCCACCAGTCAATAGTTTCCAGAGGCATAATCAATATTGATGTTTGCTGAACATGTGTGTTAATGTCAGTGTGGGTATATGTACTTAGATCTCTACACTCAGATATTTATTTTATACTCTTTCTGAACGTTTTTGTAAAAAACTATTTTCTCCCAAAGATCCTATTATTTTTTGGCTGATTTATTCAGTTCTTCCTTTTTGCTTTACATTTTTAATCTCATTTATTCTTCCCCGGATTGATAATGGAAAGGAAAACTAAGGCTTTGGAAGAAGTCTATTTGCCTTTAATGAACCGGTTGGGGGTGAGTCTTCCTGATGAGATTGTGATTAATTGCAAAGTGAGTATTACTTCTTGTCTCCATCCTGTCGGTTCGATAGAATGACAAAAAAAGTTGAAGACTTTCACTCTCCATTCCAGCATCTACCAGACCAACATAACTCAGTAAGCACATCTGAGAATCCCCCTCATTTACTCCCAGTACTTTTTTCAATTATGTGGAACATAGACGAACAGGTCAAACTTGGATTTAGACAAAGTTAAATGATCAACTACATGATGCAATTTAATGGGCACAAAAATAAAAAAAAAAAAAACCTCTTACTGTCTTACATAATAGCCTAAAGTCTACCAGTAGGAATTTATTATAAATATCCTCTTAGAAAATTCAGATTGCTCCTGAGTAAATTAGAATATCAGGAAACTCACCCTTAGCCATCTATTGAACACATACTAGATATCTAGTTCTTTGCTATCATTTTGAGTTGGCACTTTACTTGGTTGACTCCGTGGTTCTTTAGTCTTTATCTGCACTCCACGTTTCTTTAAGCTAGCTGATGTTTCTCATATATTAATTGGCTTCTTCGACCAGTGAGGCAAATGAATTAGTACTCATTTCATCAGTGAGTTTTTTCTTTTCATCTAGAAAGATGCATTCCATCTAGGAAATGGGGGATTTGATGGCATGTGAGAAAGGTGAGAAGAAAGGAATAAATTTAAAGTACAGCAAATTGCCATCCTATACATGCATGTGTGCATGCCCTCTGGTATATATGTATCAGATGCTAGGTGGTAAGCAATAATTTGCCATGAAGCAGTTTGGTAGGGGTGAACTTCTCAGAGTAATTTCAAGCCAGTTATTGACTCCCAATAACAACTTAGCATTCTGATTCCCAGAGGATAATGTGGTCAAGAAAAGAGAAAGATAACGCATACATGACAAAATCAACCTCCCTCATTAAAACAATTTCCCTAATTGATCAGTGCTTCAGAGCATTCCATGTAGTGGCCGGGGAAAAAGTGCAGTACAGAAAAAAACTGGTTCTTGCAAAAGAGAGATAGCTTTGATGTGACAGAGACAGTGTGACAATAACCAAGTCCACTTTTCTGTAATACTGATCTGCCAATGCTTTGTATAGTGCTTAAGACCCATGTGGAGAAAATAGCAGTTCACATTCTGTTGATGCATATTTAAAGCTAAGAACTTAAAAATGAGATTTTATGTTTGAATTGTTTTTGTTGCTATACTTTTGAGCCAGTGTGATTCTTTATAAAATGCATCAACATGATTTTCAAACGTTACATGGGGATAAAAGAAAAGCCATTCTAAAGTTAAATATATAGATTTTCGCGAAGCTTATATAGTCAAGGTAGCCTTTTTACTTTTGACTTCTAATATAAAGAGGAATTATGTTGAAAGCAGTTCATGTGGAAGCAAAGTATTGTTCCTGCAGAATACAGGAATAGATGGACAATTTGTGAATGGCTCCTTTTTCCTTCCCCTTTCATGCTATGTAAAAATCTGGATTATAAAACATATCTGTACAAGGGCCTTTTTTTTTTTTTTCTGAAAGCCCACATGGATCTGGAGGATATGTAACATCAAAATGTTTTGTTGTCTCTCCTGCAGGGACCCCATGGGGACCATTTTTTTCATGGCTACAGACTCAGTTTGACTTGGGTCTGGAATGGCCTTGGTGTTTCGAGGAAGGAGACAAGCAGTTCTTGCCTTTCACGTGAATTGTCCATCATTAATCCCATATTTAATGGCTCCTGGTGGAGCTGTACTCCATTCCTTGCTGTGATATCCCAGGAAATGTTCCTACTGGCTCCTGGAAAATTGTGAGGAAAATTAAGTTTGATTTGGATACCCAAAGCATCCACTGTGTACCATTTCATTCCTCACCTCAACAATCCCTCTTTCGTGGCTCATGGTCTTATGTTCTTATGTATTACACAAATATTATTATATGTTCATATATTTTACCTTATATTTTCATTTATTAAGAGTAAGGTTTTGATATGAGTACTATAAATATGAGCCAGTATATGGTTATTAATAATTAAAACAATATTATTTATACATTTATTATTATGCAATGAAAACTTGTTCCTTATATAAGAGAAATTTTAGGAATAGCAGCAAATGGGGAGATACATTCGGTACAAGGACTTTAATAGTGACACTGAAGTGACTGGTTTCAGCAGCCACTTTGGCCTATATGGCCTTGCCTCGAGACCTCTAGAAATGGCATCATTAGGCCTTCTTCTTTCTGAGTTCTTTCCTTCATAAGTTATGTACCTGATAAGGACTTTATGCATCAGAAAGTATGGCGTAGTATAGAACAATACAGGCAGCATGGCACAGTGGAAGGAACTCAGGGCTAGTTGTCAAGAGATTTGGGTTCTTCTGCGTGCTTAATGCTAGTTTTATGATTTGGACAAATCACATCGCCTACCTGGACATCGGTGTCTACATCTGTGGGATGATGATGATGATGACAGTTAAGTGCTTAACAATAACGAACTCATTTAATCTTTGCAACATCCTAATGAAGTAGATACCATTTTTCTCATTTTACAGATGAGGATGCTAAGCCATAAAAAGGTTAAATCTATTGCTTAAGTTCACTCAGCAAAGACAGGGTTAAGGTTATGTCTTCCTGTCCTGGGCTCCTCTCTTCTTGACAGTGGCTAAAGTTCCTAAAGTCTCAGATTCTATTTTAATGAAAACTTGCATCGGTGAAGACACAGATAAAACACAGTTCTGGAACAATGTATTCCAATGGATTTGAAAGCCATTCAATAAACATGACCATAACTTAGTAGTTTGTTTCAAAAATACATACTTGTCTATCCTCTCTCTCTCTCTCTCTCTCTCTCTCTCTCTCTCTCTCTCTCTCTCTCTGTCTCTCTCTCTCTCTCACATCTATTTTAAATGTAGACCCAGGAATCAATGTGGTCAAGCTGCTCTCAAAATTCTAATACATGGAATTAATGGCTAATGGCTCCTAATAGAAATGAATAATTATAGACCATTGCTAACCACCACTGAGAAGTATAATAGCTAATCATTTCTCTCTAATGGCTGTTTGTGTCACAAACAGAAATTTTATCTAAGAAGAGAGAGAAAACAACAACAAATGACAGGGTCTTGCTCCGTAACTCAGGCTGGGGTGCAGTGGTGCAGTCATAGCTCACTGTAACCTTGAACTCCCGGGCTCAGGCAATCCTTCCGCCTCAGCCTCCTGAGGAGTAGCTAGGTCTTCAGGTGCGGGCCACCATACCCAGATAATTAAAAAAAATTTTTTTTCTTGTAGAGACAAGGTCTCGCTATGTTGCCAAGTTTGGCCTTGAACTCCTGGCCTCAAGCAATCTTCCCACCTTGGCCTCCTGAGTTGCTGGGATTTCAGTTAACTTATCAAAACAGTAATGCTATGTCATAATATCACATAGTTTTGAAACCGTTTTCAGTGGGAAGTGCTTTGTAGATTTCTTCTCATTCATTCTTTTGCTATCTGTATTTTTAATATATTATTTATAAATTTGATCTTGTTTGTTCCTATGTCATCTCTATTGTAGGACTTACCATCATATAATCTAGTAGTAAGTTTTATGAGAGCTCTCCGTGCCCCATAGTCTCATTGAACCAACCATCTCTGTTTCTTCAGCACCTCATGGAGCTGAATGTTTCTTTTTACACTGTGAATAAAGGGACAGGTGAGTTGTTGGAATGTTCTCTGATTTTGGGGAATGGAGAATCTGGGTTCATACAGTGAAGGCTTTCGTGACAGCCTGGTCTGCTTACTGAAAGCTTCAGCTTTCTTTTAATGCTTAGTGTATAGATGTGATAAAATCACTCACAGAAACAATGATTCGTCTTCCTAGACACATCTGTAGGAGTTCCTTGAAGGACAGTGGATCTAGTCCTAAATACTTTATATTCACCCCTTCAATGAGTAATCAACTTCACTCCATCCAGAAGTTGGGTAGTTAGGAACTTGAAAACAATCTAAGAAACTTTTGCAATTTCAGGCTTAAATGATAGTGTATGTAAATGTACATGTTTCTGTCACATCATAGAAATTAAATCCAGGAGCCAAAGAAGCCTTTGTTAATTTTCCTAGAAAGAGAAGCAAGGGGAAAAAAAGGGCGAGTCTATCCAGAAAACCGCTAAGTGATCTGTGGCTAGCAGGGCATCCCACAATTATAAACATTTTTTTGAAATTATCTAGGCAGTATCATAGGTCTTATTTCATAACATCTCAAACTAATATCAAAGAGAAAAAAAAACTTCTAACTTATTCCTTTGAAATATAATTGATGGCCATAAGTCCCAGTAGGCTTACCAGATTCTTCCTTGGGAGCAGGAAGTAAATATGACAACAGACCAAGACTAAAGTGATACCAACATGGAACTTCAGTCTGTTCAAATAGGAAGATGGGCCAGGACCCATCTTAGAGTTGTGGTGTCCAGTATGGTAGCCATGAACTCCATTTGGCTCTTTAAATTAATGAAAATGATAAATAATTTAAAAACTGGTTTCTCCCTCACACCAGCCACAGTTCAAGTGGTCAGTAGCCACATGTGGCTGGTGGACATCATATTGGAGAGTGCAGATTATTATACAATGTTGTATGTACGCATTATTGTCATCGTGGAAAGTTCTTTTGGACAGGACTGGCTTACAGTCAGAGCTTTCACTGTTAGAAAGTGACCAGTCTAACTGATTAGAAAGCAAGGGGTCACTAGCAGCATTGGTTAGTTAGATTGAAGGTCAATAACTACAGTTTAGCTAGGTTTAGAAATACAAGCAGAACATGATCTGGATAATAACTCTTTGCTGCTTAATTGCTAACCAAAAACAGCCAGATAGTGACCGTTTTGGAGGTGAAGGGGATGGGAGATTAGATTGGCTTGTCTTTCATATGAAACCACTCTTGACTTTGATGTGAAGTTTAAAGATTTGATCCCTTCCTAGGTCTTCTGCATCCTATTTTAATATGCTACCACTTACTTTAGAAATTCTCATATCTGGATTTTATGATGATTGGTCTGGTGCTCCACAGACCTCACCAGAAACTTTAACGCTACGTGCCTTGGGCTTTCTTGCTGGAAAATATCCTGTGTAGAACACTCTGTCTGCCTCTAGGTAAGTGTCATTTTCGGGGAGGGAATCTCCCTGAGGACTTCTGCCATTTCAGATGAGAAAGCCCAGAATTATTCTTACAGCATAAGATGCCACATAGTGGTTATGATATGAATATAAGAAATGACTTAGAGGAGATGCGGGGGGGGTGCTGCTGCAAATATACATTCAATTGCTTGAGTAAAAATCAAGGCAAGAAAGGTGGGCTTAAATTATAGAAAGGAAAATGTGGGGTGGATTTCTGAAAAATGTGAGTGGCTTGTAGGATTTCGCCGTGGGAAGTTTTTAATCAGAAAAATTGAATACTTGATGAACATCTCTTACCTGGTCAATTGCAACTATCTTCCAAATAGACTTTTTGTCATTAGCATTCACCATGACTGCCTCTTCCCCACCTCACACACACACAACAGATATGTCCATGTTCTAATCCTTGGAAGGTGTGAATGTGACCTTATTTGGAAAAGATGTTTTGCACATATAATTAAGCTCAGAATGCTGAGATGAGATCATCCTGAATTACTTGAGTGGGCCCTAAATCCAATGGCAAGTGTCCCTGTAAGAAACAGAAGAGGAGAAGACACGCATAGGAGAAAAGGTGAGGTGAAGATGAGGGCAGAGATTGGCATAATGTGGCCATGAGCCAAAGAAACTGGCAACCTCCAGAAGCTGGAAGAGACAGACGATGGATTCTTCCCTATGTGTCCCTGCTAGCACCTTGATTTCAGACTTCTGGCTCAGATCTTTGGCTTCCAGAACTGTGAGAAAATAAATTTCTGTTGTATTAAGCCACCAAGTTCATGGGAATTTGCTATGGCAGCCATGAGGCATAAATACAGATACCCTCTGATATATCCTCCAAGTCACTTCTAGAATGACCCATTTAAGACATAAACATTATGCACAGCATAAAGTCCAAGTCTCTTAGGAGAGCTTCCAAGGACCCCTTGATCTGGCCTCTGGCTTCTTCTCTCAGTACACAGCTCTCCGGCACCCCCATAACATTTAATAAGACTAGAGTCTCTTATTACCTGGATATACTGTCTGTTTTACCCCACCGTATCTTTGAACTTGCAGTTCTCATCGTCTGTGATGTCCTTTTGAGGCTTGTTCATCCATGGTAACTTTTTTTTTTTTTTGGAGATGGAGTCTTGCTCTGTTGCCCAGGCTGGAGCGCAATGGTGTGATCTCAGCTCACTGGAACCTCTGCCTCCTGGGTTCAAGCGATTCTTTGCTTCAGCCTCCTGAGTAGCTGGGACTAGAGGCACGTGCCACCACACCCAGCTAATTTTTGTATTTTTAGTAGAGATGGGGTTTTGCCATATTGGCCAGGCTGGTCTGGAACTCCTGACCTTGTGATTTGCCCGCCTCAGCTTCCCAAAGTGCTGGGATTACAGGCGTGAGCCACCGCGCCCGGCCCATGGTAACTCTTGATCATCTTTCAGTGTCCCACTCAGTGTCCCCTGTCTGTGAAGACATGTTAGCCGACTTCCCTCTCTCACCCCCTTTTTCTCTGTGTCATCTCTACATCTTGAGTATGTTCATTATGACACAGTGCTTTCTTACATCCATCCATTCAACAACTTAGAACATTAAATTAATTTTTAGTAGGTAAGATGTTTATGTTTCAAAAATACAATGATAAAAACGGTATCCATGGAGAAGTCTTACTCCTATCCATTTTTTTTCTTTCTTTTCCCTACAGGTAATCATTAAATTTTTTTTTTTAACTTCCACAGTTTCTTTATGCAAATACATAAATTTTCATTATACAAAGGCAGTGTACTACATATATTGTTATGAACTTTACTTTTTTCCATTTTTCCATATCATTACATAAAGATCTCCCCCATTCCTTTTTTTTTTTTTTTTTTTTTTTTTTGAGACGGAGTCTCATTCTCCCTGCACTCGCTGGAGTGCGGTGACGCGATCTCAGCTCACTGCAAGCTCTGCCTCCCGGGTTCACACCATTCTCCTGCCTCAGCCTCCCGAGTAGCCTGAACTACAGGCGCCTGCCACCATGCCCAGCTAATTTTTTTTTTTTTGTATTGTTAGTAGAGACGGGGTTTCACTGTGTTAGCCAGGATGGTCTCGATCTCCTGACCTCGTGATCTGCCCGCCTTGGCCTCCCAAAGTGTTGAGATTACAGGCGTGAGCCACTGCGCCCGGCCTCCCCCATTCCTTTTTTATAGTTACATAGTATTCCATCATATACATGGTCCTAGATAATTTAACTAATTCTCAATTGTTGAACCACTGAATTGTTTTCATTATTTGTTATTATAAAAAATGCTTTAATGAAAAATTTTGTACATGCATTATTTCATATATATGAAAGCATAGGTAGATTTCCAAAAGTTGGATTTCTGGGCCAAAGGGCAAATGTTACTGTCACTGTGCTAGACATTGCCAGATTTTCCTCCATAAGCATTGAACCATTTCATATGAGACAGCCCATGGGCATACTCCGCAACACAATATTGTATATTTTGTTTTTTTGCCAATATGGTTGACAAGTGTCATAGTTTTCTATCGCTGAATAACAAATAATCATAAACTCAGCAGCTTAAAGCAACATACATTTAGTATCTCACAGTTTCTGTGGTTCAGGAACCCAAGCACAACTTAGCTGCATCCTCTTCTTAGGGTCTCAGGAGCTGCAATCAAAATGTGGGTTGTGACTGTGGTCTCACCTGAGGCTGAGAGTTCTCTTCCAAACTCATGTGATTGTTGGCAAAAGTCAGTTCCTTATGGTTGTAAGAATGAGGCCCTCAGCAATGAGAAGCTGTCTGCAGTTCCTGGGCACATGAGCCTCCCCATAGACAGTTCACATCACAGCAACTGGCTTCCACAAGGCTAGCAGGAAAGTCCCTTGCTATGGTCTGTTAAAGTGGTGGAGTCTCATACCATGTAACCTAATCACGGGAGTGTCATCCCAGCACATTTGCCAAACAACAAAACCTAGTCCAGGGGGTAACACCCTATCACTGTTGTCATATTCTATTGATTAGAAGCAAATCACAGGTCCTGGCCACACCAAGGAGAGGGGATTGTACAGGCCCTAACACCAGGGGGTGGAGGTTGGCTATCATAAGATTCTTCCCATCACTGTGAGAAAATAAAAATCCTTTCTTTTTATTATGAGTATTTTCATAGATTTAATTACCACCTGTGTTTTTTCTTAGTGAACTGTCTGTTCATATTCTTTGTTTATATTTCCATCCAACTTTTACTTTTCTTCTACATTTCTATGTGACATGAATTGCAAATATTTTCTTCCGTTTTGCACTTATATTTTTGAATGCAAAGTTTACGAACTTACCAATCTTTTCTTTTGACTTCTCATTTTTGAGTCATAGCTGTAAACGTCTCTTCCATGCTAAGTATATAAAGAAATTAAACTATGTTGTAATTTTTTTACATCTAAATCCTAAATCCCATTAGGAAGATTTATTTGAATATGGTATGATATATGAATCTAACAGTGTCATTTTTGAGAAGACTATTTGGTTGTTCCAACATTGTATATTAAAGTTCATCTTTACCACCACAGAATGAGTATCACCTTTATCATATACTAAATTCCCACATAAAGTAGATTCTATTTCTGGAATTTATCTCCTCTTCTCTAGTATATTTACATATGTCTCAATATGATATTGTTTTAATTATTGAAGTTTTGTTATGTATTCATTGGCTTCTAAGACTTCTATTCTGGAGATTTCCTCATTACTATTACTAGTTTATTTTCCACATGACCTTTAGAATTAGCTTATCTAATTCTAGAACAAAATTTCTTTTTCAGTATTCTTATTAGTACTGTTAAATTTATGAATTAGCTTAGAAAGAATTGGCATCTTTACCATATTAAGTTTTGGTGCATTTACAAACTTGGTGTCTTTGTTTTTCAGATATATACTAATTTTTCTTCCCTCATATTGTTTTTGCATATTTATTTTTATTTTTATTTTTATTTTTGAGATGGAGTCTCACTCTGTCACCCAGGCTGGAGTGCAGTGGCACGATCTTGGCTCACTGCAACCTCCGCCTCCCAGGCTCAAGTGATTCTCCTGCCTCAGCCTCCCAAGTAGCTGGGATTACAGGCACATGCCACCATATCCAGCTAATTTTTGTATTTTTAGTAGAGATGGGGTTTCACCATGTTGGCCTGGCTGGTCTTGAACTCTTGACCTCAGATGGTCCACCTGCCTCGGCCTCCCAAAGTGCTGAGATTACAGGTGTGAGCCACCATGTCCGGCCACATATTTCTTATTAGGTTTATTCTTTGGTATTTTGTGCTTTATAGATTTATTGCTTTGGCCATTATACATGACTCTTTTCCATTACATCTTCTACACGTTGTTGTTTGTATAACGTGAAAACTATTGCTTTCTATAAATTTTATATATGCATACATTCTCACTTAGAAAACATTTATTGGGTCTCTAACATATGATGGGCTTCTGTACTAGCGCTGAGCTCACAGTCACAAAATAGCCATGGTCCTTCCCCACAATGAACAAATGGCCTAGTAAAGAAGGCAGAAAGTAAACATGTAAGCAAACTAATTTATAATTACTATTTGAATAAATGCTATGAAGATAATGAGGAGTGTTCAGTCATACAGAATAATTATTTAAGTGTATCTTCTTACCCACTTAGAGTCTTCGAGGGTTTGGTCCATAACTTATTTGTCTTTGGGTCCTCAGAGCCTCGCACAATGCCCAGGAAATAAAGCCACCAAATATTTATTGAACAGAATGGAACCAAATTTGCTCTGAGCTCAGGGCCAATGTTTTAAGTCCTTTAGCCACAATGATCATGCAGTCCAATTTTTCAACCAAATTTATATTTTAAATATTGTGTTTCTATAAATATATTATTCCAGTACTGGCCTAAGTATTTGTTTGGAAAATGGCCACTAGAGTTACAGCTTTCACCTAAAGTGGCCTTCCATGTCTCTGGCCCATGAGCAGAGTGGGCTTTTAATCCTTAGCCTGAGTGTTTCAGAGACAAGTTAGCTGAAAGGGATGCTCCCTTTGTAAATTTTTGACTGAGGTGTCAAAGTTAAACTTAGGGTATTGAGGCTAGCTGGAGCTTATCTGTTCTTCCAGTCCAAGGTGTTAAGATTTACATCTTTAATAACAGTAGGAAAGCAAGAGAAGACTGTAGTGGAAAAAATTTTACTTTTATGTACAGGCTTTCATTGTTTCACTTTCCCTCTCCAAGTGTTAATAAAAGGTAAGTAAAGAATTTAGGGATTATTCTGTGAATTTTTATTTATTTTTAGCCTATGTGGCTCTGGAGCGAATTTAGATCAGCTTACAGGAATATATAAAATGCAGCCAAATTAAATACACTGGAAGAAGGTGAGAAAGAAATGGGGCACGAAACAAAGTTGGAGACATTTGATAGACTTGCTGTGAGAAGGCTCAGGTTTTGGTTCTTATCAGTTAGAAAACATATTGAGCATAAGCACAATTTATAGTTCAATTAAGATTTAAAAAAATTCCTAGTAATGGCAAAAATATATGTGGTGCTTACTCTGTCCTGGGCATCATTTTAAGCTTTTTAAATGAATTAATTTAATCCTTGCAACAACCTGATGAGATGAGTCCTAATACTATTCTGTCTTACAGGAGAAGAGCAACTATTACTAATATTGAGATAAGGGAGAAAACTATTCAGAGGATTTTCATAAAGACGATGCTGTGCAATAGAATGAGTAGCATTCTCCAGTGTTTATACTCTGGCACTGCAGTGAATCTCACATGTCTGCCTTTATATTATGTAACATAATCCTGAAACTGTCATCTCCTCACATTTGCCACACAACATAACCTAATCAAGGAGTAATATCCTATTACTGTTGTCATATTCTATTGGTTGGAAGCAAGCTGCAGGTCCCAGCCACTCTCAAGGGGAGGAGATTATACAGGGCCTAACACTAGAGGGTGGCATCTCTTGATCTAATGGCCTCATGCCAAGCTCAGAATGAGTCTACAGTGGCCAATGTGATAAACGTAGCGCTGCCAATATAACTTCATTCAGAGGTAGATTTCAGGGTACCTAGAGGAATGTGCTATTTGAATATACTTTAGTTAATTCTCTTTCTTCTTCTTCTTCTTCTTTTTTTTTTTTTTTTTGAGACAGGGTCTTTCTCACTCAGGCTGGAGTGCAGTGGTGCAGTCACGGCTCAGTGTAGCCTTGACCTTCCAGGCTCAAGCGATCCTCCTACCTCAGCCTCCCGAGTAGCTGGGACTACAGGCATGCACCACCACATCCAGCTAATTTGAAAAATTGTTTGTAGGGATGAGGTCTCACTATGTTACCCAGGGTGGTCTTGAACTCCCAAGCTCAAGTGATCCTCTTGCCTTGGCCTCCTAAAGTGCCAGGATTACAGGTGTGAGCCACCACTCCCAGGCCCTTTAGTCAATTCTTTGAAAATATTATATCTTCTAATTAAGTGACAGGTAGAAATGGAAGTGATGGCTTGGAGATGGTTTCAAACTTTGAATTAAAAATGATGAATGAGATGCTAATGAGTAGTAGGCGGTTATTGGCCTGTACTCACAACTAAGCAACCTTCCTTTTCCTGTTTGTGACCGTGTCAGATGGGTGAAATAAGGTGAATCAGTTAGGTTATGTTATGCTATGTTGTGGTAACAAATACATCTCTGAAGTGCATTGATTTTGCACCAAAAAATGCTCGTTTTCTTCTCATATAAGGCCTAGTTGTGTCTAATAGCTTTCTTTGATTTGTAGTCATGCCACTTAGAGCAAATGGTCTCCAAGGTCAATGTAGCAGAGGAAAAAAACAGCCTTGGAGAAGGCATACCCACTCAGACCTTCCTCAAATTGGAACTGGCATATTACTTCCGTTTGTGTTCCATGGAGAAGAGTTAGTCACGTGACACCACTGCTCCAATGCATGGGGTTGGGAAACCTGGAGAAGTGCATGGATATTTAGTGAGTGCTGGTCATCTGTGCTGCATAAGGACTAGGCTCTTCTTATATCTACTGGGAATTTCTCTCCTGCTACCTTTCTCTTTCTTCTTAACCCTTTAGACCTCTTGCTTTATGAAACCATATCCTTATGGTACCAGATTTCCCCTATTCAGACAATTCAGTCTTGACTAGAGGAGGCGTCTCTGAGGGTGGGTGAAGTGGCAGAAAAGTAGAAAGGGGAGGGAAAAGGAAAGAAATAGTTCCTTAGTTGTCACTTCTCATTTCTCTCCCGCTGCTGGTTTCTTTGCTGCTCCATTTCTCACGGCCCAGCTCTTGCCGATGGTTGCAAGTTGGAAGGAGATTGAAGAGCGGAGAGAATCTACTCTGCTATTTATACTAAGGGACCTCTGCTATTTTTCCTCCTTCACCTCCCTTTCCTTTCGTTTTATTTAATGAACTCCTTTTTCTTTTTTTTTTTGACAGAGTTTTTGCTCTTGTTGCTAAGGCTGGAGTGCAATGGTGCAATCTCGGCTCATTGCAACCTCCACCTCCTGGGTTCAAGCGATTCTCCTGCCTCAGCCTCCCAGATAGCTTGGATTACAGGCACCCACCACCACACCTAGCTAAGTTTTTGTATTTTTTGTACAGATGGGATTTCACCATGTTGGCCGGGCTGCTCTTCAACTCCTGTCCTCAGGTGATCCACCCGCCTTGGCCTCCCAAAGTGCTGAGATTACATGCATGAGCCACCGCACCCTAAACTCCTATTCTACAAAGACATTTTAACATGCTTTGTGAGCCAAACACAAGCAGGGTTTGGGTACTGAGAAATGCATAGTAGAAGGCATCAGTGCTCCAAGAACTCTTGGTCACTGGTCAACACCAACAACTGTAAAGTGATAGAGTGCAAAATAGAAATGTTTAAAAAGTGAACAAGTAGATGAGTGACTTAATGCTTGACTGAATAGAATGCTCAGAACTTCCACATTGTGTGAAGAGAGGAGGATTCATGAGAGTGGAGGCTGGCCTTCTCAGGGTAGCACTGAGTTGGAAGGCAAGTAAAGCCAGTCAAGGGAGATGCGGAAGTTACAAATCTCATTGCCCTTGTGTTATCTCCAGTCTCTCTCTCACCTCTTTCCTAGCCCCTTGTTTGTTTCTCTCCTACCTTACAACACAGGTCCTGATCCTACTCACAGCTCTCCCCTCACTCCTTTCCTCAGCCCTCTGGTGCTTGCACATGGGGTAGAGATAAATCATGCTTCTGCGTGGAGTTTGGGGCTTCAAATGTGTCTGTGTATCTGCCACCCCAAATTGCGACTATAATCTGATCCTATTTTTTTCATACAAATATTATGATATAGAGTGGGAAAATGGTATCATACTATGTGTTTAGTACATGCTAGATCTTTATGATGTAAAAATATATATATATTTTCTGAGATGGAGTTTCCCTCTTGTTGCCCAGGCTGGAGTGCAATGGCACAGTCTTGGCCCACTGCAGCCTCTCCCTCCTGGGTTCAAGCAATTCTCTTGCCTAAGCCTCCCAGGTAGCTGGGATTACAGGCGCCTGCCACCACACCTGGCTAATTTTTGTATTTTTAGTAGAGGCGGGGTTTCACCATGTTGGCCAGGCTGGTCTTGAACT
This sequence comes from Homo sapiens, assembly GCF_000001405.40. NCBI lineage: Eukaryota > Metazoa > Chordata > Mammalia > Primates > Hominidae > Homo > Homo sapiens. Next base: position 29,468,403 of record NC_000021.9, read on the forward strand.
CCTGACCTCAGGTGATCGCCCGCCTTGGCCTCCCAAAGTGCTGAGATTACAGGCATGAGCCACTGCACCTGGCCATGAAAACAATTTTATAAGGTAATCTGGAGTCTTAATTGCCTTTTAATAACATTGTTTACTTGGTAGAGATGATGTAATAGATGATTAAATCCCAGAGCATTGACCTAAATGATCTTTGAGGCTCTTTCCAACCTGTAGAGTATATGATTATGCAGGAATATGTACTCTAAATTCTGAACACATGGTTTCAAAATGAGTCTTTGGAACTTAGGGTATTATTAATAGAAGGATTGCCTGCAATGTGGCAAGTTCTCATTTCTTCAATCTTTCTTCCTTCTTAAGTTTTCACTCATAACTTATTCTGTGATGTTTCTCTACCATTTCTGCATGTTAACATAGGATTATTCCTTAATCCAAAATTGCTTTTTGATTATAAGCAATTCTGAATTTCACTAGGTTAAATAAATATGTCTCTAACAAGGTAGAATGCATTTCCCAGTGGATGACAAGGGAATATTTTATTAATTTGCTTCTAAGTCATTGAAATTACTGCATTAAAATGTTTAGCTGATTCTTTTACACTGATGAAATAAGAAATGACTAATTTTTTAAATCACTTCCCTAAATAAAGCATACCATCCCTAATGCATGTACAACTGGAATTAATCTCAAAGAGCAATCATAAGTGACATGCAAAGAGGATTATGTGATTTTCTTTCTTCTTCTTCCTTTTTTTTTTTTTTTTGAGACGGAGTCTCTCTCTGTTGCCCAGGCTGGAGTGCAGTGGCGTGATCTCAGCTCACTGCAACCTCTGCCTCCCGGGTTCAAGCAATTCTTCTGCTTTAGCCTCCCCAGTAGCTGGGACTGCAGGTGCGTGCCACCACACCCAGCTAATTTTTTGTATTTCTTTTTAGTAGAGATGGGGTTTCACCATGTTAGCCAGGAGGGTCTTGATCTTCTGACCTCGTGATCTGCCCGCCTCAGCCTCCAAAATGCTGGGATTACAGGCATGAGCCACCATGCCAGGCCGTGATTTTCTTACAGTACTTTGTCAACAGGTATATTTTCCTGAAGGCAGTTACTTTTGCATTCAATTGCTTTTGTGTCACACATTTTGATTATTAAAACAAAGACAACAACAACAGTTTGTATACCACTTGGGCATAATAGTATTGGATAGAATGAGACTTACAGAGGTCATTAACATTACCCCCTGCTTCCTTCCAGGCAATGAGAATTCATCTTGTAATTTCACCCACTCAAGGGCATGGGCTTCACAATCTCCTTTGGTAACTGATTTGAATATCTAACAACAGTTTCTGTCAGGATTTTTTTTTTCTCAAAAAGTACAAAACTGAAATGCCTCTTGTCTGTTTTTTTTTTTTTTTTTTTTTGCTTTTTCAAGCTTTAAGGAAAAAGATAAATGGTTACAATTCTTCATAAACTCTTGAGTTTATATTTGAGCATTTTATTTTATTTTATTTTATTTATTTTATTTTATTTTATATTTTATTTTATTTTATTTTTTGAGTGGAGTTTTGCTCTTTTTGCCCAGGCTGGAGTTCAATGGCATGATCTCAGCTCACTGCAACCTCCGCCTCCCAGGTTCAAGTGATTCTCCTGCCTCAGCCTCCTGAGTAGCTGGGATTACAGGCATGCACCACCACGCCCTGCTAATTTTTGTACTTTTAGTAGAGACGAGGTTTCACCATGCTGGCCAGGCTGGTCTCAAACTCCTGATCTCAGGTGATCCACCCGCCTCGGCCTCCCAAAGTGCTGGGATTATGGGCATGAGCCACTGAACCCGGCCTGAGCCCTTTATTAAACTCTTCAGACTCAGGTTGCCTTTTGTTCATTGTTTATCATTTTTCTTTAAAATGATCCTTGATCACTTCTTCAAGTTTCTTAGCCAGGGCTAAATTTATTATTACACATATTTAGGAAAGATGCTGCTCAAAGAGATGAGTGTAGACCTTTGGGAGTAGATATTTTCAAAGGAGAGTCTTGGTGAAGGAAATTTCTGAGGGACTAGGTTTTGGAAAGAGACCATTAATGGAGAATATTAATGGCTGCTACTAAAAGGAGGGTGAGTAATTGGTGCAGGGAAGAGATAAGTAAAGAAGTAAATGGACTGAAGTGGCTTAAGTTAAACAAACAAACATATTTTAAGTTCAAAGTCATTCAGAAGGGGGAGTGTATGGGATGTGGACTTTGTACAAAAATGAAAGCCATTTCGACCCTTGTGAGAAAAGAGTGTATTTAGAGGCAGAAGGCAAAATGCACACAGCTTGTGGATAAATGACCCATCTCTGGGATGAGGAAGGCACAAGTGGTGCTCCGAGAATCCCCCCAGTGAGCTGAATTTATGGTGGTGTGCAAGGCTGAGGACGTTTATTAGTAAATAACAAAGATCGTGTGCTAATGACCTGATCACTGGTCCATAATCAATCAGAGGTTGGTCTCTGTGCATAATTCTCCTGGGGGATTGTTAGAAGGAAATCATAGCTAAGGCCAGACACTGATTCACTGGGGGCCCCTTTGTCGTTCATGGGGGGCAGATATTCTATTTCTGTACATGTAGAACTTCTCTTTATTAGGGAAGCAGGAAGGAGTGACTGAAAGACGCTGTGTTTTTCTCTTGTGGTGTGGTTTCTAAATGCAGTGTATATCTGAGTAGAACCAAATTTAACTATGAATATTTGGGGGAAGGTAATGAGATGGTACATTATTCCTTTAGCAAAGGTTTTGATGAGCACAATGTATAATATAAGTATCTCCTACTTAAGTACAAAGTATATTTACAAATATGTTTGTTTATGTATAAAGACAGAATAATAGATTTATATATTATGAGTAGGAGGGTGATGTGGTTCATTTGCCAATCTATTAAGAAATATTATAAAATTACACATTCTTTCAGCCTTTTAATCTCAATATTTAATATATTTCTTGTATCTTGTACATATTATTTAATTGTTTTCATACAAAACTAAAGATGCTGTTAACTGGTTTGCATCCAGTAAGAGGCAATTTGAGGCTAAATACATTCTGCTTTCTTCATATAAAGTGAGTCTTATGTTTATTTCATCATACTTCGAATTGAGGTGGCCTATGCCTTTTGTCTTTAGTGTTGGAACTCTTGTTTTATGTTTCCTATTTAACTTATAATGTAACACATGCAATAAAATAGTATTCGAGATGCTTTGACAAACTTGGTGTTTTGATCGAGGTGGCGCTGTTGGTAGAACTGTTGGTAGAACCTGTTGGTGGGCAGGCACAATGCCACTTTATCACTGAGCAGTAGAGGCAGGAGAGTCCCTATCTGTCACATAAAAGCAGATTTAGGGGGATCAATACAGAGTGCATGAAAGTGAAGGTTAAGAGAAAGTACAATACGTAAAAGTCAGGAACTGTCAATATGCAAATCCTCAACTCTGGCAAAACCCCAGATCACCCATGATCCAGTGTGATGATAAAAATAAGCTCCTAAGTACTTTTTTTTTTTTTTAACTTTGGCATCTTGTGCAACTCATGAACTAGTAGTGTTTTCCTCCTTATTATTATTAGTGTTATTATTCAGCATTTTGCTACACCCTCCCCTTCTTTCCAACATCTAAATACCAGCAAATATGTTATGAGATGAAAATGATGACATAGCACCTCTTTTCTGTCAGGTAGAAACATCTACATTCAAGGTTATCTGAAGGTAAAATATTTACTAAGTTATTTACTCTGTCTTTCTCCCAGGAGTCAAGGCAGAATGGGGGTCTCCAACAAGAGTGGCCTGGTACATCACCATACGATGGGGCCTATGTGTGTCTCTCTTGTGTTTAGCTTCACGCAAGATGGGGCTTGGAGGTACCTGGGGGCTTATTTTTGTTGCGTGCCCACCATTGATTTTCCTTTCTAGTGTGTGTGAAATTACATTTCCCTGCAACTGAAAATCTGATTAATAAAAGTATGTCATTATCTTCCATAACAACAAATCCAGACATAGCTGCTTCCAGACGGAGGGTAGCAGCTCAGTCATGTCAGTAGGGACAGGGACTGTGTTCATCCTTCTAGTTCATCACCCTCAGTCTGCAGGCTTTTAGACCTACTTAATTGTTGCAGGATTCCTGCCGAACTGCTGCAGTATTCTCTTTTTTTTTTGAGACGGAGTCTCACTCTGTCGCCCAGGCTCTGGAGTGCAGTGGCACGATCTCGGCTCACTGCAAGCTCCGCCTCCCAGGTTCACGCCATTCTCCTGCCTCAGCCTCCCGAGTAGCTGGGACTACAGGCTCCTGCCACCACGCCCGGCTAATTTTTTTCTATTTTTAGTAGAGACGCGGTTTCACTGTGTTAGCCAGGATGGTCTCGATCTCCTGACCTCGTGATCCGCCTGCCTCAGCATTCCAAAGTGCTGGGATTACAGGCGTGAGCACCGCGCCTGGCCTGCTGCAGTATTCTTGGCATCAAGATGGTACTCCAAGATAAGGAGAAGAGGAGAGAAAGAGAAATTCTCAACTGGCTTTCTTTTCTTTCAACCGGGAAGAAACATCTCTCCCAAAAACTTCCATTTTCATTTCAATGGCTAGAAACTTGTGACATGGCAACCCCTTCTTGCAAACTGCAAAAGAGCCTGGAAAAGGAGCATGTGAACAAACACAACAACATAGCTGTGACCAGCCTAACCAGTTGCCCTGCACTTTGTGTGTACATCCCTCCAGATCTCTACCCCTGCTAGCGTGTTGGCCAGAGCATCTTTCACTGCTCCTGCCCGGTCAGCTGGGTCCCTTGTGCTGCTGCCACAGCTGCTACTTGCCCAGTGACTTGCCACAGTGGCTGCCCCATTGTGTTGTCCTAGACACAACTTGACAGCATTTCCTGAACACACTCTGCTTCCCATCTCATGTCCTGGGAGTTCCCTGATGTCACTAGGGTAAGTGATGTAAACAGACCCTCACTTCCGGCCCCCTGTGTACAATCTGGAAGTTTAGGGGAGGAGGTCAACCCATGGGGTAGACTTTGACTAACAGAAGATTGAAACTCATGGATAGCTTTGCCTTTCTGTCTGTGGCAGGACTGTCCTGGGAGCAGTGGCTGAGAGGCCATCCCCATATGCAGTAGCCAGCTACACCCATCTCCTGTATTTTCTGCATTTCTTTTCCATCCTTCCCTGCTTAATCTGTGACCTCATTCCTGCTTTTTGGAACTATACTCCCCAACAAAATAGTAGCACACAAGGCCTTGCCCCAGGCTGTGTTTAATAAAGACTCTGACTCCATTTTTGATGTTCAATTGCTGACATCCTTTAAGCCTCCCTGCTCCCTCTGTCTGTGAGCAGAAGCCCTCACGCCAGCCCCATCTGCCACAAAACACCACACCAGTCTCCTCTTCCAGCTCTCTCAAACCATTTTCAGACCTGCCTGGAGCCTTCCTATTCCCCCCAGAAAGCCTTCTCTTGTGAATAATAAACAATTTCATACCCCCTAGGTGTGCGTATGGTGTCAGCAGTCTCAACATCAGGACCAAATTCTGGGTGATGTCCATTCTGCTTCTGCAGAGTGACTGCAGCACTCTGACACCAAACATTGTTTGTTCTCTGGGACTAGGCACACTGCCACCCTGAACAGTGATCAGAGTCCACTCAGTGAGGCAGATGTGGGAAGGACAGACGCTGTCCTGGCACTAGACCACAATGTAGAGAATTGGGGCCAAGACCCAGGAGGGGACACTTAGATCTCCCACCCCCATGGTGGTTACAGAGGGCTTGGTAGGAGAGTGTGGGGAGAAATGCTCCTTTGGAGAGAGTTGACCTTAAGTCCCACTGTCAGCCAGGGGAAGTGGTGGGGGTGTTTCCCCCTCACCTGGAGCCTAGTGAGAGGTGTCTTAAGAAGATTCCTAGAGAAGGGTTTGGAAGAGAATCTTTAGGGACAACTGTTGGTTGGGGATAAACAAGGGGATGCTTCCTCCCTTTCCTCAAGTCACTAGTGAGGTTGTAATAGGGTTGTCCAGAGAAACAACCAGTAGGATATATAGACACGCGCGCGCGCGCACACACACACACACACACACACACACACCACAGAAAGAGAGATTGGCTCACACAATTGTAGAGGTTGGCAAGTCCAAAATCTGCAGGGTGGAGGGTAGGCCAAAGATCCAGGGAAGAGCTGATTTTGCAGCTCAAGTCTGAAGGCAGACTGCTGGCAGAATTCTCCCTTCTCTAGAGGAGGTCATTCTTTTTCGATTAATGCCTTTAACTAATTAGATGAGGTCTACCCACATTATGGAGGGTTAATCTGTTTTTCTTAAAGTCTGCTGATTTAAATGTTAATCTCATCTGAAAATGACTTTCAAAACAATATCTAGACTGTTTTGACCAAATATCTGGGTACTGTGGTGTAGCCAAGTTGACACATGAAATTAACCATGACATGGGGCTTTAAGGAGTTTGCTGGGAGGACTTTCTCTATGTACCTGGAATTTTGGTGGGCACACAGTGGATTATCTGACTTTTACGGGGCAAATTAAAAAGACGAGAGGCAGCTGGCCAGTCACTCTTAGGGCAGAAGTAAAAAGAAATTGCAGTTCCCTTAGGGTTGGCCTCTGTCGCTTTGTTTTAAGACAAACATTGCAGGGGTGTTTCTCATGGTCCAGCTATGGGCTATGTCAGCAAAGGCTGGCTTGGAATTCTCTTGGGGTTTTGTCCAAGAAGGCTACCTGCAGAGGCAAAAAGGTCTCAGCAGAGAGGATCTGCCTGTATCAGTGCATTCCTGGGGCTGATGAGGAATGAGGGTACATGATACCTACAGTCAGAATAAAGACATGTTCATCCAGTGTCTTAGTGTGCTTGGGCTACCCCAGCAAAATACCAAAGAACAGGCATATTGCTTGATAGGTAGAACAACAAAAATGTATTTTCTCACAGTTCTGGAGGCTAGGAGTCTGGGATCAGATGCCAGTATGATTAGGTCCTGGAGAGGGCCCTCTTTTTCACCTGAAGACAGTGGCCTTCTCACTGTGTCCGCATACAGCCTTTCTCTGGTGCATGTGTGTGGAGAGAGAGTAAGCAAGCTTTTTAGTGTCTTCATATAAAGGCACTAACTCCGTCATTAGGGCCCCACCCTCATGATCACATCCAGCCCTATATACCTCCCAAAGGTCCCATCTCCAAATACCATCACATTGAGGATTAGGGCTTCAGTATGTGAATTTTGGAAGGATACAATTCAATTCATAGCCCACAGTCTGAGCAAATACAGGGGAGACTTCTGGTGGCAGAGTCTCTCAAGAATCCACAAAAACACCAAGGAGAGAGGCTACTCTTTAAGTTAGAAATTTCCCATCTCTTCCCCTCTCTTGGACCCTCAATCTTAAAGGAGTCAGAAACTGAAGCTAGCAGAATGGAAAAAGAATGCAAAATGCTATAATAAGCCAGGAAGAGAGACTATATCCCCTCCTTTTCCAACGCCAGCTGCCTGCTAGATTCTGGCCCAAGGTGGAGTGGACTCACCTTTTAACACTAGATTGAAATTCAGACCTGTACATGGAACCAATCATTTTAGTTACTAATTTGTGACAATGTTTTACATATCCAGAAAAGTCTTGGGCTGCCTGGATTTTCTTCCTGGAGCAGGGGAAGAACTAGTCTGACTGAGTACATTTTAAGTGAGAGTAGGGGAACAAAAATAAATTTACATTTTATGAGACATATGTGTTCTACTATTAGCTGTATTTTGCCTCCCTATCCAATTTTAAAGGGGGAAAATTTAACTTGTTAAATGATTGTTTGATAGGTAGAGTAATGAAAAATCCCAAGACATGCTCTCTAGATTTGAGAATTTCACAGGTAGTTTTCTCTGGGGGAATCTTAGGAATTAAAACATTTTGGCTGGGCGTGGTGGCTCACGCCTGTAATCCCAGCACTTTGGGAGGCCGAGGCGGGTGGATCACCTGAGGTCAGGAGTTCGAGACCAGCCTGGCCAACATGGTGAAACCGCGTCTTTACTAAAAATACAAAAAATTAGCTGGGCTTGGTGGCGGGTGCCTGTAATCCCAGCTACTTGGGAGCCTGAGGCAGGAGAATCGCTTGAGCCCGGGAGGTGGAGGTTGCAGTGAGCTGAGGTCGCGCGCCATTGCACTCAAGCCTGGGCAACAAGAGCGAAACTCCGTCTCAAAAAAACAAAACAGCATTTTAAGTAGATGTAATACCTGCAGTGGCCACTTGGTGGCAGCCGTCCACGAATGCTGCTTTCGGCTCGCTGCCCTTGGGGACTCTGTGGTTTTGTGTGACAAGCATTTTTTTTTTTTTTTTTGTCCAGCCTCCTAGAAAATTGCCTGCTCCTGTTTTGGTGGAAACTCTGTTTTCCCTGACAGTGTTTGTTTTGTGGTTGAGCCCTCTTTGGCTCCGCGAGGCCAAGTTTTGTGATGCTTTCTGAATATCAGATATTTTAGTTCTATCATGTTAAAGCAGTTTGGAATCTCTGTTGGGTTTGAGGTTTTTTTTTCTTTAGTCTTCTCCTTTAACTCAAACACTGACTGACACATTGAGAATGAAAAGCTGTTGTTACTTTTTCCTGGAAAAGTTTTCTCAAATCTCAGACTTTCTAAAACTCCTGACTCACATCAGAGGGAGAATGCTGTTTTTCTGCCACCCTCAAGCCCTCATTATTCATGTTTGCACATGTCATTAGCAGGGTGAGTTTTCTCTTGATTTGTACCAGATGGTGTGATTTTTTTTTTGGGGGGGGTGGGGGAAGAGAGTAGAAACTTGTTTCTTTAAACTCCACCAAAAATTGTTTTCTAATAGGTTCATTCCTTTAATAACAAAATTTCATTTATGAGGGCACAGTAGCACCCAGAACAAATTTTGATTTTGCAAACCAATGACCTTTTTATGGTTCTTTAGAAATGGAAGTCAGCTGTTGTCCAGAAGGGTTGGTGGCATGGGGACTTAGAAAGCCATGAAGTTTGAGCGCCGCTTTCTAATGTCTGACCTGATGTTTGTGGCTGCACTTGCTGTATGTCCTCAGGCACAACAGCTATTAGCTTTGTTGTGAATTTTAGAGGGAGTCACTTGTTCAGGCAATGGATACTGCATATGTGGCACTCTTTGCAGGTCCAGCTGGGTGACATGCTGAGAACAACCAGGTGTGCTCCCCGAGCTCATAGCACATATGGTCAGGTGGATAAAACAACCTTGATTTCAAACAAAACACCCAAAGGAGTGCATGTGTAATCACACACTGAAGGAAGAGCTCCGAAGGAAAAAAAAAAAAAACATGTTGTAGAATCACAGCAGACAACCACAGACCTGCTCTAGCTGGGTGGTCAGGCCGGGTCTCCCTAAAAAGTTAGACTGAAGGTGAAATCTGAAAGATGGATTGACATTAAGCAGGGAAAGGCAGTGAGATGGGAAGGGGAGTGTTGGTGGAAAAGAATGGGCCCAGGCAGAGGACAGAGGTGGGAATGGTGTGTCTAAGGAATGCAGGTTGGAGCACAGACAGCTAGAGGAAGAGAGCGTGAAATGAGGCCGGGGAGAACAGGCTGACCCAGAGGGCTACGGCAGAGCTGGTGTATTAGTCAGGGTTCTCCAGAAGGACAGAACTAATGGGATAGAGGTATATACTAAAGGGTGTTTATTATGGAGAATTAGCTCTCAAGGTCACAAGGTGAAGTCCCATCATAGGCTGCCTGCAAGCTAAGGAGCAAAGAAGCCAGTAGTGGCTAAGTCTGAGTCACCAAACCTCAAAAGTAGGGAAGCCAACGTACAGTCTGTGGCCTAAAGCCCAAGAGCACTCAGCAAACAACTGATGTAAGTCCAAGAGTCCAAAAGCTGAGGAACCTAGAGGCTGATGTTTGAGGGTAGGAAGCATCCAGCATGGGAGAAGGACGGAGTCCAGAAGACTTAGCCGTTCTAGTCTTTCCACGTTCTTCTGCCTGCTTTTATTCTGGCCGTGCTGGCAGCTGATTAGATGGTGCCCACCCAGATTGAGGGTGAGTCTGTCTCTCTCAGTCCACTGACTCAAATGTTAATCTCCTCTGGGAACACACTCATAGACACACCCAGAACAATACTTTGCATCCTTCAATCCAATCAAGTTGACTCTCAATATTAACCATGACAGCGGAGGAGCTGTTGTTGATACAGGAGGGTGTAATGAGTTTATACATTGAAAATAGCCCTGTTGCTGTAGAAATAGCACATGGAAGTGAAGTGGTGCCCAGGATGCCACAGGAGCAAAAAGGTGGCCATGCAAATCCTGGCACAAGAGAGAGGAACTTGGATGAGAGGACAAGGGCCTGGAGACTAGTGGCCAGATTCAAGAGACAGGTGGGACCTAAAATGGACGGAACTTTGGGAGGAATTGGGTAGGAAGGGGTGGTTAAGGGAAGACAGCATCATGGGTCATTCTGGCTGGAGTAACAATGTTTGATGGTCTCTTCAGCAAGTGAGGGGACACAGACTGAAGACAGGGTCAAGGTTAGAACATGACTTGGCTGCTTAAACGCAAGGACAAAGGTTGGGATCTCCACAGATGGACACAATGGAAAGAGGGAGAAAGACAAAAGAGTTTGGAGTATTAGCAAGTCATACAAATAAAATGTTTCTAAAATGCTGCTTTACACATCATTAGGAGTTTAATTATGGTTATTTTCATTCTCTGATCTGCTTCTTCTGTTCTTTTTCTCTTCCTTCTTTCTTTTTCCTTCCTTTCTTTACAGAATTTTATCTCAGCTTGCTCAAGTTTAATTGCAGAAAGTCTCACATTTTTCTACCTTATGAATCTCTAAGATCTTTTCCAGAGTTTTTACAAAGGGTTTATACAAATTTTGGTAAAATTGAGTAACTTTTCCAAAAGACCAGATACCTGGACCAGCTGGTAATTTGTCATAATTTAAAATTATTTTTATTTTAATGCACCTTTCACTCTATGGTTTTGTATTTTAATGCATCTCTTAACTATACATGGTTGATTTATAGTGTGACTTTGGATAAGTTATGTGACCCTTCTTTGCTTTTGTTTCCTAATTTGAAGAATAGATTAGTAAAAAGATGATATAATAATCATCTTTTTAATGGGTTGTTTTGAGGACTAAATGAGTGAAAACTCATAAGGTGCATTATAAGCACTTAATAAATATTAGTGTTGTTGGTAGCTATTGTTATGGCATGGGCCAGAATGGTAGACTGGGAGACCCACAGACAGAGCTAGAACTTAAGCAATGGAGGTTAAAGCTATGCTTAAATTACCTATGTGATGAAAGCTGGTGTTTCCTGGAGTTTACGATGCAGTTTGCATTATGGACGGAAAGTTTTTCTGGGTAGTGAAAGGAGAGTAGCCAGTGGGTGTTCATGCTTGCATGGCGAGATGAAGAATACACTTGGGTTTACACCCCTTTGTGTCTTTTTGGATGGGCCTTCTCTGAGTGACATGAGGAATACTGATACAGCTCCATAATAGCAGTAATAAGACCTGATATGGAGTAGGGGGGAGCTCAGCAGTTGCCAGCCCTGAACACACTTTATCTCGTTGAACTCCATAAGAGCCCTGTTGGGTTGAGTCTATTTTTGTTTCCGTTTTAGCAATGTGAAAAACCGAGATTACATAACTTGCCAAAGTGGTGGAGCTGGAAATCCAGATATTCTAGCTTTAGAGATCAACCAATGTGAATAAACAACTTCCATTTTCCCAGTCACATTTCCACTCCTAAAGTTTTCCCTAATCTCCAAGTTTTTACACTATTAAGAAGAATGCAGTCATGCAGATTTTGTTTTCTTTACCTTGAAAGAGGAGAGTTTAACCAGCTAAGGTATGTGTTGGTTGCAACAATCCTTAAAGACACATAATCCTAAGTTTCCATATTTTTTTTTTTGAGATGGAGTCTCACTCTGTTGCCAGGCTGCAGTGCAGTGGCGCAATCTCAGCTCACTGCAATCTCCATCTCCTGGGTTCAAGAGACTCTCCTGCTCAGCCTCATGAGTAGCTGGGACTACAGGCATGCGCCAACACACCTGGCTAATTTTTGTATTTTTAGTAGAGCCGGGGTTTCACTATGTTGGACAGGATGGTCTCGATCTCTTGACCTTGTGATCCACCCGCCTCGGCCTCCCAAAGTGCTGGGATTAGAAGTGTGAGGCACCGCACTTGGCCAAGTTTCTATACTTTAATGAGTGAAGAAATGGATGAATTCAAATATATTGGTAATGACAGAGATAATAAACATAGTTGCATAATCAAACCACTGTCTCCAACGGCCAGTTGCTAGAAGTAGGAAAGACATCTAAGTGAAGGAAGACAGAGCAATCAGATTCTGACCTTCCATATTTTGCAACTTATTTTTTTATTCATTCAATATAAACTTAGTAAGCTCCTACTATGGTCCAGGCCCTGTGTTTTGCTTTTATATCAGAATCTCGGTCATCAAGATGCTTATAGCTTCATGGAGGAGAGATGTAGGAAAATAAAAAAGCCTGCTAAAGCACACGGATAACAGAGGGTTTTCACAGAAATATATAAAAAATGTTGTGGGGACAGAGATATGAACTCACCTCGTTCATATCCAGGTGAGTAAGTCAACAGTGATGAGGAATACGAGAAAGTCCCAGTAGATTTTGGCGGCAACAAATTATTAGCAATAAAAATATAAGAACTAGTCTTTGGCTCTGTAGAGTGAAGAGAAGGACAATTTTGAGGAAAAAGGAAGAAACTCCGTGAGAGTACTTAGTATTAGGTTGGTGCAAAAGTAATTGCGGTTTTGCCACTAAAATAATGGCAAAAGTAATGGCAAAACCACAGTTACATTTGCATCAACCTAATATGCTGGATTAAAGTTTGATGCTGGAATTTCCTCTTTCCTGGGTCTCTTAAGTCACAACAGATGTGGAATCATAGCAAAAACTCTGTAACCAAACTTAACGCATAAGACCAACGCACAATTACAGACAAGAGTAATCAGAGGACAGACACAAAAGGGTGGAAGTTTACATATTTCTCACTCCCGCAGGCAGTGTTCTGTTGACAATTTCTAACTCTGTTTTGATTCTGTAGTGACAATAGCTGCTTCCCCACCCCCCCCCCTTTTTTTTTTTGAGACAGGGTCTCACTGTGTCACCTAGGCTGGAGTGCCGTGGAATGATCACAGCTCACTGCAGTCTCAACCTCCTGGGCTCAAGTGATTCTCCCACCTCAGCCTCCCAAGTAGCTGGGACTACAGGCATGCACCACCATGCCCGGCTAATTTTTTTATTGTTTTGTAGAGATGGGATTTCGCCGTGTTGCCCAGGCTGGTCTAAAACTCCTGAGCTCAAGTGATCTGCCTGCCTTGGCCTCTCAAAGTGCTGGGATTACAGATGTGAGCCACCAGCCTGCTTCCCCTTTTATTTGTCCTTTTTATAACTGCAGTTGCTCCATGTGGAATGTGATGGCAAAGGGTGTCCATAAATGGGCAACTTCACAAGGGTGGTTAGGAATATAGTAACTTCAGATTAGTCAACAAGGAGGAATTTACATATATTTATGCTCAAATGAAAGAATGAAAATGTTGCCAAATTCTTTCCTTGAGTATTTCTTTCATTTACTATATTCCTTTAACTGTATGAGTTTATGTTTTACTGTTTTCTACATAAAACTCAAGACTTTGTCTTTCATTGTCAACATTGCTAAAAACAGGAATATTGCTGAGCGGTATTTGGGTTTTCCTGCCCTGGCCTGGTTTCTGAGATGACTCTTCAGACTCAGTTCATGTGGGCTGTATGTATAAAAGGAGCTTGGCTAATAATGAAATAACTGTCCTAATTAACTAAGCCTGAAGAAGCAATTATCTCAGCCTACAGAGCGGGCTACCTTTGACCTCATTCAAAAGACTCAGCAGATGGTGGGTTCTGGGAGGTTTGAGGTGGGTTCTGGGAGGTTTGAGGCTCTTTAGAACTTCAAATGGAAAGCTTGTTGAAAGTGAAGAGTTAGCTTTGGTGTCTTTTTTTTTTTTTGAGATGGAGTCTCGCTCTGTCCCCAGACTGGAGTGCAGTGGCGCAATCTCGGCTCACTGCAACCTCTACCTCCCGGGTTCAAGCGATTCTCCTGCCTCAGCCTCCTGAGTAGCTGGAACTACAGGTGGCGCCACCACGCCTGGCTAATTCTTGTATTTTTAGTAGAGACAGTGTTTCACCATGTTGGCCAGGATGGCCTGGATCTCTGGACCTCGTGATCTACCCGCCTTGGCCTCCCAAAGTGCTGGGATTACAGGCGTGAGCCACCGTGCCTAGCCAGCTTTGGTGTCTTTATCCCTGCACTTACCAACCAGACGCCTTCAGGGGCCTCCCAAGGCAGGAGAAGGCACTGTGTTTGAGGCGGTAGGCACACTCTCTGATGACTTGGTTTATAGACTCCCTTGACCATTTGTGGCTGCTAAGATTTATTCACAGTTTCCGCCTTTTGACCTCAGAGGAAGTAAATATTTTCCTCAAGCGGATTGCTGCTCACTGGCCCCCTTTGTGCTTCTATCCCCTCTCAGGGGTCCTCATTCATTTCTTCCTCTCTCAGGTGGCCCTTCATCTATTCATTGTTGGCTGCCATTGTTACGTGGGACTCAGAGAATGATCCTAGGCAGATGCACAGTCCAGTATTCTGGATGTAATGATATTTTCCCAACCTCATTACCATTCCAGCACAATTTTAAAAACAAAGAAACAAGCAAACGTATTTGCCATCACTCCTTCTAATCGGTCTGATATCAGTTTAATACACTGTTATAAATAAGTATATAAATAAATACTATAAATACACCCTATAAATAAACACACAAAATAAGCCAGACTGCTTTTCAGGCAGGAGCCTGGTACATTGCAAAAATAAGCAAAATAAAATAGCTTCAATAATCTTCTGGAATGAATTGATTTTCTTTCCCCCCGGCAAGTGGCTATGTGTACAGCTGCCTACGTGTGGAATAGTCACTTGGTGGATCATTGGCTGAGAGGGTCAGTGTACTTGTCTCTGAAAGCCCGTTTCTTGAACTGACATATAAGAAAGAAAATGTAAGAGAAGCTTCAAAGCTAAGGTAATGAGGGTGACCTAGTTGGGAAAAGTGCTAAAATATCTCCAGTGTATAAAACCTCTTTAATTCTCACCAACGATAAGACAAGTCATTTGGAGTTCTGAGTACTTCCAATTAGCAAGTGAGAGACTCTGATTGAAAAACGGGGCCCACTGCATGGCAGAGTGTGCTTTGGCTCTTTATTTTGATAAGTGGTTTTAAGTATTTATTATAATAATCCATAGCCTACCGACTAATGGGCTGTAGTATGTCTTTTAACTGCGATAAAGTCTTGAGAAAATGAGACCTCACTGTAAGCGCTTGCAGTTAAATCTTGGTCGGGAAGTAGAATGAGGCCACTTTTTTTGATCACAATGATCATGTGTTCTGATTAATGAAGTGAAAAATAGATCATTTTACTATGTGGAAATTACAATGCCCCTTGCATAATACTACAAACAAAAGACATTAATTGCTATTAATGGCCTTGATGTCTATCCTGAAGCATCACATTTAATTGCTTTACTTAGTTGCCTTATTCAATTATTTGGATTTTTCTTTTATTATGGAAGAACAACTCCCCATATTTTATGTCTAGGCCTTCTAACATCAGAAGTGGAGTTAGATTTCCAATGCTGCTGCTTCTGCTGCCCTGTTCTGTAATGTTGGAATCCTATCTACTACTTACCCCTCTTTGGTTCTTTTCTTCACGGCTCACAAGTGGCTGCATGTTGAGGCTGGTGGGATGACATACTGATGAGTTCCTGGTTTTGTACCAATCATTATCACCTCTTCAAGTTTTACTTAACCTACCACCTTGGCATTGACTCAGTATAGCTTGCGGATGAAGTTGCTCTTGTGAAAGGCGTTGAGGAACTCCTCAGCAGATGCTAACAATCTGTTAATGACTTTCCTAATGTGTAGACCCAAGCTGAACAAACATGAAGGCAAATTTCTGGGCCTCGATGTGTTCGCTCAGACTGTACAGGAGCCTTTGTAATTTGATGTTACCAGTTCCTTGGTCAAGACAAGGAGGCAGTTATTATCTATGCCTCTTAGCAGCTGACCTTCAACTGTAAGAGACCATTCTGGATGTAGCAAGTTCCTAAATGACATATTGCTATTCCTTTTAGCTATCAAGATGCTTGGCAGAATTTTTTGTCTCTAGAAATTACCATGGGATCTACAAGCACTGAAGACCAGTTTTATTAGTAGACTTTTGTGGAGTGTTGCTGGAATTAGTGATGGTATCTTAAGTCACAACTGGGTCTTTGAATACTGACTGCTTCTTTGGCTTCGGGTACCCCAAATCCTCCAAGCTCTTCTTGATTTGGTGGATCTTTTGGAAAAACTTCTTTGGTTTGTCTACTTTTGCCATACTCAACTCTCAGGTTTTCATAGCCTTTTATCTTTGAAGACCCCACTGAAGATAATGCAGTCCCCTGTTGTATTAGTCCGTTTTTACGCTGCTGATAGACATACCCGAGACTGGATAACCTATAAAGAAAAAGAGGTTTAATGGACTCAACAGTTCCACGTGGCTGGGGAGGTCTGACAATCACAGTGGAAGGCGAAAGGCATGTCTTCCATGGCAGCAGACAAGAGAGAATGAGAGCCAAGTGAAAGGGGAAACCCCTTATCAAACCATCAGATCTTGTGAGGCTTGTTCACTACCACAAGAAAAGTATGGGGGAAACTGCTCCCAAGATTCAATTATCTCCTGCCAGGTCCCTCCCACAACACGTGGAAATTATGGGGGCTACAATTCCAGGTGAGATTGGGGTGGGGACACAGCCAAACCATATCACCTGTGATCTCCAGAGACTTCCAGGGCGTGGCTCATTTCCACTGACACATTTACAGAGATGTTGTTAGTGGTGTCATACCAAACATAGCTGCCTTTTTTTTTTTTTTTTAAGACGGAGTCTCGCTCTGTCGCCCAGGCTGGAGTGCAGTGGCGCAATCTCGGCTCACTGCAAGCTCCGCCTCCCAGGTTCACCCCATTCTCCTGCCTCAGCCTCTCCAAGTAGCTGGGACTACAGGTGCCCGCCACCGCGCCCGGCTAATATTTTGTATTTTTAGTAGAGACGGGCTTTCACCGTGTTAGCCAGGATGGTCTCGATCTCCTGACCTCATGATCCTCTGCCTCGGCCTCCCAAAGTGCTGTGATTACAACCATGAGCCACCGCGCCCAGCCAAACATACCTGACTTTCTCTTTGCCTTTCTTCTGCTGGACTCCCACCTTGTCCTGTAGCTATTCTAGGGTTCTAGAGAAATTTTATACAAGGGACAGTCTTTGCTCCTGGCTATGACTTCTTCCCCAGATCCGTCTTGTGCTCCTCTCTAGTAAACTTGACCGTACCATGAAGAAGCACAAATGATGACCCTATGATCTCACCTCGTCTGGTAAAGCCCAGCGACAGTCCAGCCTGCACCTTTCTTCTTCTCCACCTGGACCTCTTTGATTCTCCTGAGCTGTGGACTTTCTAATCTGAAAATCCTACCAACCTACCTTCTAAAATTCCAGAGGGAGATGACTCAAGATAGTGTCTATGCAATTTTCTTCTGGTTTTTCTTTAGTGACCAAAGCTGTAGGTTAGTTATTTAAGTTATACTTTATGCCCTGAATAGACATATTGGCAAATGAAAATGTTACCTGTCCAGACTTTCCAGCTTCCCTCCAGCAGGTCTTGTCACTTGGTCTTTTTTCTTTCCATCATGCGGAAGGCTTGTTCTTCCAACAGTTTCTTGCCTGCTTCACCTTGGGACTCACTGTGTGCCTTTAGAACTTGTCTAATCAGAAATTAGATTGCTATTCTTGGCCAGAAAGCAGAGCCAGAGAAATTCGGACCTAGCCTCATTAGAACAGGACTTTAATCAGTTGAGCCTACCAGCCACACACAGGCTAAACATATATATTCTATATAAATAACTACACAAACATATTTATATATCTTTTTAATGTGTGTGTATGCACTGAAGTTTGCAAAGAACTGGGATAGAAAAGCAAATGCATATGATGATTAATGAAACCAGAATTTTAAGTGGTTCCTTGTTGTATATTTGCTGACAACATATTATTTTCCTTTTTGGAGTGGAGTGTGTAAACCTCTGGGCAGGAAAGAACTATGAATTATTCTTTCCCTTCTAATCTACATAAATAAGAGATTCTAAAACTGTGCTTTTAGCCATTTACCATGCAAATAGTCACCAGGGATAGAACTGTTGTAGATCTAGAATATTTATTTAATGGCAGCTGCTACAGGACACATGCTTTTTGAGTTCAATGGCCTAGAATCTCCTCACCCTTACCAACCCCTCCCTTTTAAGGTTCATTTCTTGTGAGTAGCCTAAGATCTGCCTTGTAATCATGCAAAAGGATTTATTTCAATTATAAGAAATTTCATCTCTTCCCTGTGCCTTTTAGGAGCTCCTTAGACTGTCTGAAATACTCCATCCGGACTCATGATAATAGCTCCAGATTTATGCGTTATAACTGGGTGTCTTCATTTTTTTCCATATCAGCAATGTAGATCAACCTTTTTTTTCTAACATATAAAAATCGATTTAGTAGGCCCTTACTTTGCTTTTGGTGGGGAGTTTTAATCTCTTATTATAGACCTTATTTCCCAAACAAAGGCACAAACAAAGAGGAAAAAAACAAGGTTAATAGTTTTCTTTATCACTGGACTCTATCCCCCTACCCACCAATAACACTTAACTGGAACCCTGTCTGTTTCCTTCAATGACCTTTGCTTATGTTAGTTCTCTGAGACAAGAAAATGTGTGGACGCGCTAATAGACAATTTACTTTTTGTTTGCAAAAACAATTCAGTTGCCCAACACGGGACTGTGTTGTAGCTGTGGTGATTAGCAGGCAGGGTGGATAAAGCTTCGAGAACATTATTCAATGCCTAAATGAAGGTCACATTCCCAGTGCTAGTTTTAGTGTGCATGCAAATGATGGCAATTGCTGGGCTGTTCACTCTCACACAAGCAAGGCTTTGTTAAATATGATAATCAGTCAGCTGGGAAGGTAAAAGTTTCCTGCAAATAATATTGAAACATTTAAAATTGCATTGTTATGGAAAAAGAGACCACTCTCATTCATTCAAGTAGTATTTAACTAGAGACAAAATAAAAATGATTGTAGAAATCAGGTTGGAACTCTTGATTATTTAAAGTAATAATGAGGGACCTACTCATTGAACTACTTAATTTACCCAAAGAAGAGTGTTGAGGTTTCAAAGGCAAAACTTAAAAAAAGTCAAAAAAAGAAATGAGATGTATGGCAATGTATTTATTTCTGGGAGAGAATGTTTTAGTAACAGGGAGCTGTGAGGTGGGGGAGAAGTGGTTGGAATTATAATAATCAGCTTGGTTTATTGAATCACAATAATGAATCTCTCCCTTTGTCGACGTATGGCTAGTTATCCTCAGATTATCTTAATGATATCAGGCAGAGTGTGCCGTTGATCCGTGCTTGAAAAGTAAAAATAGTTGACAGTCAAACTGATCTAATCTTGAATGCTGTTTGTGACAGAGGGAACGATTTTGTGAAAAAAGACGAGGTGGTTTTTATGTCGTGCAAAAGGCTGAAATAATGCTTTACATTATTGCTGATATCAGTTCCATTTAAAAAGTTTAACAAAGTGAGTTGTGTTTAAATGATTCCTCTGGGGTGCGCTCCTATTAACTCTATTAAATAGCATAGATACTTCTGGAAGAAGGCTGTTTGTACTCTATGCACTGGCAGAAGTGAAGTTAATTTCTGCACCATAATCTCACACTTCTCCTGACAAACACACAAACACCTAATGACCACCAGCCAAAGTCTAGCAAACCAAAACCTAGTCCCAGATACTGCACAGATAACATGGCTGAATCTACAGGAGATGTATTTTAAATCACAATCTTAGGGTGAGAATATTAGCAAGTTGTAGACAGAGACACTTTAATTTTCCCTTCTCATATTTACAGAGGCTTATAGAGCACCTTTCTTAAGATAGGCATGTTAAGGGAATGAATATGTGAATGATTGCATGCCTGCATGACGGAAGCCATTCTGGAGGATTGGACCAGGGACACATCTTGAAGGGACTCTTGGTATTTTAACGTGGGTGGGATGTGATTCAAAGAAATATTAAATACTCTTGCTAAAATGGAGCCAATAATAATAATAATACAAATAACATGGAGCTAATAATATTACAGTAGCTAGCTAGCTAGTCAGGCATGAGCAAGGCAGGAGAGGGCTCCTCTGTGCCCATCAGGAATGTCAGGTGACTATCAGGTATGGTCAGGTGGTTGTTAACTGTCTCTGTAAAATAGTAATTGGTCACAGCTGGCACCAAGAAAGGCCGTCTCCCGATAGATAGAAACGCCTGAAACTGGTGATCAGCAGCTTCCCAGTAAGATCTCATGAGCTGGGCAAGTGGGTTCAAGCATGCACATTAAGAGGCAGAATATTCCTAGAATGTTCCTTCTAGAACATTCAGCTGGTAAGGGAAGAAGAACTCCTCAAGTAAGCATGTGTACAACTCCAGTAAACACCACACTTGCGGTCACTCCCAAGTGCTAGCAGGCTACCGCGCATGCAGACAGCCCACCCCAGGGGATGAATCAGGGGAGAAGAGATGCAAGACCCCGCAAGTATTTCAACTTATAAAACCCCATGTCAAAGGTTAAACAGGGCATTTGATCTCTCAAGTTGCCTGCTTGGCCCTCTTCCAAGTGTACTTTACTTTCTTTTGTTCCTGATCCAAACTTTTTAATAAACTTTCTCCCCTGCTCTAAACTTACCTCTATCTCTCCTTCTGCCTTCTGCCCCTCATTCAAATTCTTTCTTCTGAGGAGGCAACAGGTTGCTTCAGGCCCTCGTGGATCTGCCACTGCTAACCTGCTTTGGTACCGTGCAACTCAGATGCTTTCTGCTGCTAACAATAGTAGCAGCTTCTTCACAGGGGTTTGTGAAGAATGCATATAAAGCTCATATATACATTCCTGGCACATTGTAGAAGCTATAGAAGTGTTGGTTATTGTTATTTTATTATATTGAAGAGGAAAAATTAGCTCCAGTGAAGGGCCTTAGAAAGGGAGAGCGTGAAGTTTCTATTCCTCTGTCAAGAAGATGGTATCTGCCAAATTCTGACTTTTCTGGGCCTCGAGTGGGCACTTTCGCCCTTTTTTCATAAAAATAACTAAGCTAATATTATATTTTATGATTATGTTGATATAAAGATGAACACAATTCAGGCTGGATTTATTATCATATATTTATTGTTATTAATATTTTTCTTCTGACTTAAATAAAATTAAAATATTTTTGTGGATTCCTAATGTTCTGTGGGCCATAGGCACTGTGTCTACTGTAACTGGCTAGGGGTCTGGGGTAGGGCTGGGAGTGAGGTTGCTGGAGAGAAAGAGGTAGACCAGGAAGACAGTCTTCATTGCATGTAGTGGCTTAGAATCTAGGCTCTGGGTTCAATTCCAGGCTCTACCACTTACTGATTTTTGTGACTTTGGATAATTTATTTAACATCTAAACTTTAAAATTTCCTCATCTACAAAGTGGGATAAAAACAATAATACATACTCACAGGGCTATTTGTAACATCAGAATGCAATTATTTATATAAAGCACTTAGTATGATTTCTGGTACACAGTGAACATACAATGACTATGAGCATGACTTTTAGCTCTATGTGTTTCTGGGTTTTAACCACCAGTGTCTCCTCCCCACTCTGCTCGCATTGCATTTTTCGTGGCGGTAAATTCCAACCTTCTGTGGATTTAGGGTCATGGCCCAGAGTTTTCATAACTTAGCAATGATTCCTGCCATTGTTCAGAAGTTTTTGAAAGTCCAAAGAGACAGGGCTTGATTCAAGAGCTCAAAGTGTTTATACATCTTTCTGGGGCTTTTCTCTACCCTTCAATCTTTATACATCTTCATATCATTTACAGAATTCTTCCCTGTGCTTTGTATCCAGTGGAAACTCATTAAATCATACCTGCTAAATTGAAGTGACCTGGGGCAACAGAACATTTGAAGTAACATTAGGAACCCAATACTGCCCCACAAAGCTCTATGTCTATATGGAGTGGGGCCCTCTTGACTGCACAATAAAAATGTTATACAGAAATACTAGGATTTTGATATTTGAATTCAAACCCATGATTGAGACAGGAAAGAAAGAGGAGAAGATTCCCATGATAACTCATCTTAGGGCAGAAACGCCTCTGTCAACAAGTGCAAAATGTAGGAATTATCTGGAGGTTTACTTTCTGATTTACTTGTTTCAGAACCGGCCTCCTTTTCCTGGAAAGATTGTCCATCTGAGCCCACTAGTTCTGTTAAAATACACACGGAGGGGAAACAAGGATTAGTCAACCCGATTAGCCAAATCAACCCTGATGGCAAATGAAGCAATAGACAACACTGCCAATGGTCACACCAATATTGTACTATCCCATTGGCAAGAAGACAGATTTCCCTCCCAGGGTTCATATGAAAACATAAAAACCAGAGATAATTTTTTTTTTAAAAACTTAATTATAACAGTTTTACTCTTCTCTTTTGCTGATTTTTTTTTTTTTAAAAACCTGTTCCAAGGAGGAAAAGGATTTCATTGGAATCACATAGTGAGACAATTTACCTTGTCGAATAAAATTGCCAAAAGTTAGCAAGCAAAGAAACAAAGGATGTCAATAATGATCAAACTCAATGATCAACTTCAGAGTCATAGCGGGTTACTTGCAATCCCCCTATTGTTTTTTTAGACAACGGGTTAAATTTTCTTGCAGTGTCTTGCAATGAATCTTGTATATTTTGCCAGTACTTAAAAAATTAAGAGATCAGAATGCCGTGGTTATTATACTGCTGGGTGAGATTTTTTGCCCTGTGAAGAGGTGCCTGCTGCACCTTCTGTTATGATTGTAAGTTTCCTGAGGCCTCCCCAGCCATGTGGAATTGTGAGTCGATTAAACCTCTTTCCTTTATAAATTATCCAGTCTCAGGGAAGTTCTCTACAGCAGTGTGAAAATGGACCAATACAGATGTTTTCAAGATGACTTAAGAAAGCTTGTCATTAATGTGCCTATGCTGTTATCAGCATCCATGGTATCATCCTAGCCTTAATTTGTCTCCTATTGTGATGGTTCCTCAGTGTCCTTTGCTGTCACTCATCTCTACATAACCCTTGGCTATTGGATTCCCTGGGGAGTCTTTTCTAAGCACTTTTGTCCTCTCACCCCACATGCTTTCCTCTAAGGTCTCATGCATTCCCATGCTGTATGGTTTCTACAACTTTATCCTTAACCCAGGCCTCTCTCTGGAGTACCAGGCTAGAATATCCAATTGTCTATTTCACATTTCCATTTAGAATGTTTCCAGATAACTCAAATTTAACCCATCCCAAACTTGATTCATTTTCTTCTCTTCTCCTTTCCCCTTCAAAAACTGCTCTTTTTCCAGTTACTCTTGTTTCAGGGATTGGTAATCACCATCCTCCCACTTGTCAATCATCTGGGTTGTCACCCTTGACCATTCCCTCTCTTTCTCTTGCAGCCAAACACCACTGTTGTTGGCTTTGCCTTCTAGACAGCTCTGCCATACATCCACTTGTTTTTGTTCCCACTGCCACAATCTTACTCCATGCTACCACTGCTTCTCTCCCAGATGACTTGCAATGGCCTAATAATTAGACTCCTGGTGACCATTTTAACCCACTCCCTTCTGTAAAGGAGACCATGCAGAAGTAGAGTAATTTTTCTTTGAAAACTCAATTCTGATCATACATCTCCTGACCTCCATGGCAATTAGCAGTGTGGGACACTCAGTATTCCTGCCCCACAAAACTGTCCACCTTCTTCAAATGCTCTGCTTTTTGTTCACTTGGTGTAGCCATCAAGTCTTCCTTCAGTTTCCTGAACATGCTGTGTTGTCTTGCAGAAACATAGGTGTCCCTATTTATCACTTAACTACTGGGCATCTTTACATCTTAAAGGTGACTTTCCTGATAGGACTTTTCTGAACTCCCTTTGTTTACTCCCTATCGGATCCTGTATTTTCCCACTTGGTAGGAATTGTAATTATTTGTTTAATGCCAGTTCTGTTAAGAAAGGATCATTTCTATCCCCAGAAATTAGAACCAGGTCAGGCATGTAGCAGTAGCTCAATACATCTGTGAAATGAATGAAAGAATAAATAAATAAATAAAATAAATAAATAAAGGAAATGAGAAATATTGCTTGAGTTTTGGAAAAGACAGTGGAGCATCCTGCACTTAAATATAAGGCCACCTGTATATCTATATATCTCTTCAGTTGAATGAATGCCAAAATAAGAATTTCCATTTTAGGGCAAAAAAATTACTGCAAGTCAGTAAGGTCTAGTGGAATGAGTTTGTCTAGTTGTCAGGAGACCTGGGTCCCATTGGCAAGAACTAGCTGTGATCTTGGTTAAGTCACAAAACTTTTTTTAATGCTTGGTACCTGAAATTTAAAATGGAAATAAAATAGTTATCACCTTAGAATTTGAAATAAACTTACAGTTATAACAGTACTTTATTTATTTATTTATTTAGACAGAGCCTCACTCTGTTGCCCTCGCTCTTGTTTCAGGGATTGGTAATCACCATCCTCCCACTTGTCAATCATCTGGGTTGTCACCCTTGACCATTCCCTCTCTTTCTCTTGCAGCCAAACACCACTGTTGTTGGCTTTGCCTTCTAGACAGCTCTGCCATACATCCACTTGTTTTTGTTCCCACTGCCACAATCTTACTCCATGCTACCACTGCTTCTCTCCCAGATGACTTGCAATGGCCTAATAATTAGACTCCTAATAATTAGACTCCTGGCTGGAGTGCAGTGGCACAATCTTGGCTCACTGCAACCTCTGCCTTCTGGGTTCAAGAAATTCTTCCTGCCTCAGCCTCCCGTGTAGCTGGAATTACAGGCTACCACCACCACGCCCAGCTAATTTCTGTATTTTTAGTAAAGACAGGGTTTCTCCATGTTGGCCAGGCTGGTCTCGAACTCCTGACCTCAGGTGATCCGTCCGCCTCGGCCTCCCAGAGTGCTGGGATTACAGGCCTGAGCCACTGTGCCCGGGCTGCTTCCCAATTTTCAAGACTCATCTGATGTCCCTCACTTCATCTTGTACTTTGCCAGATTACTCTGGGAGTTCACACTGAGCTTCCTTTTGGTGATATTTTAAGGCACTTAAAATTCACCAAATTCTTCATCTAACTGATATATTTTGAGAACTAATTGTTCCTGTGCTAGTCTTACTTCTTCAAATAGATTCTAAGTTCCCTAAAGTATGGAAATCTGGTTTATCATATTTCCATATGCCCTCAGTATCTGACACATGTTGAGTTCAGAGTAGGTGCACAAGAATTGAGGGGAGAAGTCTGGAAGGGATGGACATTTAGGAAGATGGAGGATCTGTAAAACCCTCTTGTCCATTTTTCACCAGTTGTCCTTGTTTTCACCAGTTTTTATTTCATCAAATATCCCCCCTAGATTTAAAACTCTCTGTTTAGCTCTTTTAAATCCAATAAAACACTAAACAGAGGATAAATTTAGCTCCTGGTAGAGGGTCTGCAAATGCAGATGTAGAGCATGTGGGAAGATTTCCAGGAGCTTTAGCAGAAAGTACCATATATTGGGCATTAGCTTTGGAGGCTGATTATAAAAGTCATTTTCTGTTTGTGATTTTGTAATCTTACTCTCAGGTGAGCTGTGGTCATTGCTGACAGGCAGGTCCATGCACAACAACCGTATCATGGTGCCTTTTTTCATCAATCATGAATATTTTTGTGGGGGGGGGCTTTTTTTTTAAAGAAATCAATTGAAAGAAAAGGTAAAATAGGATGATCTGTGCTAGTTTGAGAAACAGATTAAAGAATACTAGAATACTTTCAAAAATTTATTCAAAGAGATTCTAAGAAGAAGACAAAAAGGTTTCTCTTTTCTTGTTGTAAAGATTCTAAACTCCTTTGGGAGGCTGAGGCGGGTGGATTACCTGAGGTCAGGAGTTTGAGACCAGCCTGACCAACATGGTGAAACCCCGTCTCTACTAAAATACAAAAAAATTAGGTGGGCATGGTGGTGGGTGCCTGTAATCTCAGCTACTTGGGAGGCTGAGGCAGGAGAATCACTTGAACCCAGGAGGCGGAGGTTGCAATGAGCTGTGATCGCGCCATTGCACCCCAGCCTGGGCAACAAGAGAGAAGCTCTGTCTCAAAAAACCAAACCAAACCAAACAAACAAACAAACAAAAATATTCTAAACTCACCAAGGCATTATCTTGAGGGCTGCTCTCATAAGACAGAAGGATGCCCCTGGACACCTGTGAAGTGTATGGGTGTGTGTGTGTGTGAATGTGTTTGTGTTGAAAGTGTTTTGGGGGAACAGGGCCTAGAATGGGGAAGCCTGGGAATAGTAGAATCCAACTACCATGGCCGTTTGTTATTTCACTGTTGAGAAACCTTCTACCTGTAATAAGATGGTTATTAAAATTTTAATCAGAACTTTTCTGTGCACCTGAGGGCCAGGTCACCGAGTTTGCAGCTCAAGTATGTAATTCCCATATAAAGGACTTTAATTAAAAATAATAATGATAGTGTTATTTTCAATTTCTGAAATCTTGATCGTGTTTTCATTTGTCTGATCTCATTTTGATTTTCATTCTCTTAACAAGCCCATGAAGCAAGTAGGCAAGAATTACTACCTTCAGGAACCGCAATCCATTCTATTTGTGAAAATTTTCCCTTGGTGATCCATTTCATAGTGTATCACAAATTCCATCTCCTCTTTTCTATACCTGTCTAGAAATATCAATACATGTAAACTACACATCTTTTAAATAACACTGTGTTATATGTGAAAGCGTAATTAACATAAAAGAATATATTTTACATACATCAAGCATAGCTAGAGGTCTCTCTTGGCAGACTGAGAGGCAAATGATGTGCTCTGGGGTTGCCTGTCATTCATCTGTGAAACCCAAAGGGCCTTCTTGAGATCTGACCCAAGGTGATGTTTTGTCCCTGTCCACATAAAAAGATGCTAAAATTGCTGTTGCTAAAGACGAAAAGAGTAATCTCACATAGGGCACCTAATTATATCAATATGATGACTGTGGACTGTATATGGACACTGAGAATTCCTAGGGAGCCCACATATACAAACCCACTCATCACCACCCAGGAGACGTCAGGGTGTGGTCTGCTTTAAGGAGCAGTCTTCCTGTTATAGTAGCCTACTCTGAATGTGCCCCCTTGGGTTCTCTCCCAAATACGCTGAACATCTAGTCATGGATACATCTCCCCTGCCCTTGGACACCATGTGCTCAGCTTTCTGGATGCAGGAAGTAAGCCATCTCTGAGTACCTGCTGCGTCTCTGGCACTACCAATTAGGGTTCTGTGTGCTTGTGCTGTGATGGAAGAGGGATGTAGAAGCTACGGGTAGGGCCTGTGTCAGTGGCTGTTCAGTCACCTTCTGTTGATTCCTGATGCCTGAGCAACAGTCCCTTGTTGGCGCATCTAGAGGTCTAGGAGTCCTTCATGAGTTTGCTTTAACTCCAAACCCTTCCTTCTTATCCTTTTCCTGGGCTGTACAGAGACTCGTTACCATTTTATCCTCTACAGTCCTTTCTGTTTACTTAGTTCTACAACTGCCTCATCTCACTGTGTTCTTGTAGTATAACTGTGGGGCTCTTCCCCTTTTAGTTAAGAAAGAAGCAAGACCTGGAGAGAATAACATGCTCAATTATGGAGCCAGGACTTTACATAGGTCTGTCTAAGGCCAAAATGGATGCTTTTAACCATAGTCCCCAAAGATTATTTCTCTTTCAAGAAGACTGCCTCTTATGTATGGCAAGGGGGAGAGAGTAATAGTATCTATTCCTTCTTCAGGGAGGAACATGGTGGAGAGACAGAACGTTATTATTTTTGTTTGTTTGTTTGGTTGGTTGGAAGGAATTCAAATATGTGTTTGTTCCAGAGAGTGGCCTGAGAACAGAGGCCTGCTGTCAACTAGAATACTGAGTGAGGAAGTCTGGAAAGACCTAATAATCCTTATCTTGGGCAGTTAGACATAAATTACAGGAACTGTAGGTTCTGCAATTCTCAACTTATGGATGGCTTGTTTTGCTTGTTGGTGGGCAGGGGAGAGTGCATTGAGTTGCAAAGTGAGTGGTAGAGTTAAAGTGTATTAATTTTAAGTCCATTCACATGTTGTCTAACTAGTGTCTATAAGATTAGCTGGAAGAACCCTAAGAAATCTAGTGTTTAAGTTTAAGGAGTGTCAACAAAATGGTCTTCAAGGAAAAGACACCAGACGAACCCAGGACTGTGCTCAGCTAGGACTCAGTTGTTCGTGCCTAGAGGGGTTAGGAGGCATCTTTTACTTCAGTTTCTATTTGCCTGAGTTTTAATTTTTTTCACTGAAATAAGTAGAAGGACAGGTTGGGGCTTCAGGAGTAGGATGACAGCTATATTTTTATGAGGTTTTGTTGAAATTAGCGTCTACATTTCAATAGCTCTACGTTCCCACCTGCTTGATGGCGGCACTAAAGGGAGCCCCTCAAAACCTCCTCTGCTATTCCAGGCATTCCAAGGTGGCCTTGCAGGACAGCAAGGAAGAAATTTGCTCCTGGACTATGATTTCAACCTCGCCTGCTGTCCATTGCCTGTCATGAAGAAGGCATCGTGATGAGGTATTGCTTTCACACCCTCTGAGAGAATAGGACTGCCACATACTACCATAAGCTTGATGGCTTAAAACAACAGAAATGCATTCTCTCATGGTTCTGGAAGTGAGAAGTCCTAAATCAAGGTGTCTGCAGGGCCACACTCCCTCTGAGGGCTCTAGGGGAGAATCTTTCCTTGCCCCCTCCAGCTTCTGATGGCTCCTGGTGTTTCTTGCTTGTGGTAGCATCACTCCAATCTCTGTCTTCATCTTCAGCATTGCTCTAATCTCTGTCTCCATCTTCCTATGGCCTTCTTCCTTCCTGTGTCTAGAATCTCTTTCTCCTTTCTCTTGTAAGGACACCAGTCATTGGATTTAGGGTGCAACTGAAATCCAGGATGATCTCATTCTAAGATCCTTAACTATATCTGTGAAGACCTACAAAAGACCTATTTTCATATGGTCACATTCATGTGTACTGGAGGTTAGCAATTGGATATATCTTTAAAAATTATTTATTTTTAATGTTTGTGTGTACATAGTATGTGTGTGTATATATATATATATATATATATATGGTATATGAGATATTTTGATACAGGTATGCAATGTGTAACAATCACATCCGAGTAAATAGGGTATCCATTGCCTCAAGCATTTGTCCTTTCTTTGTGTTACAGACAATCCAATTATACTTAGTTATTTTCAAATGTACAGTAAAATATTGTTGACTGTAGTTAGCCTGTGGTACTATCAAATACTAGATCTTATTCGTTCTATCTAATTATATTTTTATACCCATTAACCATCCCCACTCCTTACCCCAGCTACCCTTGCCAGTCTCTGGTAACCATCATTCTACTCTCTATCTCTATGAGATCAATTTAAAAAAAATTTTTAGCTCTCACAAATAAGTGAGAACATTCGAAGTTTGTCTTTCTACGCCTGGCTTATTTCATTTAACATAATGACCTCCAGTTCCATCTATGTTGTTATGAGTGATAGGATCTCATTTTTTTATGACTGAATAGTACTCCATTGGGTATATGCACCGCATTTTCTTTATTCATTTGTCTATTGATCAGCACTTACATTGCTTTGGATATATCTTTTGAGAAGACACCATTCATCCCATTGTAGGGACAAAGGCAACTGGAGAAAAGAGAAAGAAGAGAATAAATAAGGGTACGGAAGGAGTGGGGGCACTTGTGTCCTACTCCCTTTCTAGAGTATGGCAGAGCCAATTCTCAACCCTAGTAAGGGAGTAGGTTAAGTCAGAAGCCTAAGGACTTGCGAATCCAGCATGAACAGAGCAACTTCAGGGCTTAAGTGGAAAAGGTGACTGCGACCATGATCCTAGTATTATTGAGGCGGCCTGTGACCTTGGGGTGGCTACCAAATAGTACCCAAAGTTGTAGTGGAGAGATCCATGACCCCTATTCTCTCAGAGGATCTGAAAGCCATGGAGCAATATCTCATCAAGGTGCCTTCTGTGGTACAGGCAGTGGACAGCAGATGAGGTTGAAATCAAAGTCCAGGAGCAGATTTCCTCCTTGCTGTCCTGCAAAGCCACCCTGGAATGCCTGGAATAGCAGAGGAGGCTCTGAGGGGCTCCCTTCAGCACTGCCATCAAGCAGGTGGGAACTTAGAGCTATTGAAATTGAGACACTATTTTTAATAAAACCATATCCGTTCTCCTACACTGCAGAAGCCTGGGAGGATCTGCTTATAAAGGTACAAGAAAGATTAAAAGCACGTCCACATCATGTGTGCAGAAGCATGCGCTGAGTTGCTGCTGGTTGTGAGCTTGAAGCTCACAAAAATGAGGTTCCAATTTTGCCTCATTTGGAAAATCAGGAGGAAACAGCCTCTGAAGCCTGTGGTTAGAGTTGGGCTAAACATAATTGTCAGGAGCCCGGGAGAATGTGGATGGTGGTGGAATTTGAGGGATTGATTGGAGGAAGAGATAAAAAAATATTAAAAAGGAAAAAAAAAGAAAAATAGAAAATAATTTTAGAAATAACAATATTCCATGGTCTTTTCTAATGTGCTACTGAGCAAAAATTCCTGCTAACCAATACGCTAATGAATTGCCTGGGACATAGGGAGCACATTGCGAAGGTAACACTAGGGTCTGTGTTCCTTGGGCTGGTACCAACCAGGAAAAAATGAAGAAAGAGCCGCAGTGTCTGGCTAACCAGCTTGGTCTATGGGGGTCTTTCCTCAAGGGGAGTCTTTCCTCAAGGGCTGCCATGAATGGCCGAAGACTGAGGGAAAACCTTTCTGAACTGGGGACACATTCCCCCATAGGTGCTCAGTACTCTCCCTGAAGGCTGGCCTCCTCCAACCCCACCCTGTCTGCAACCTTGGGTGTATTCTTTATTCTTTTTTTCAAGCGGGAAAGAGACACAGAAACAATTGGCTTGTTAAGTTGAAAAAACAGGAAACACTGGTGTGGTGGGGTTCTCTCTCTCTCTGTCTTTCTCTCTCTCTTTTTTTAATGCTTTCACTTTTTAGAAGAGATAAGCAAAAGATCTGTGGGCCCAAAGAGAGGGTGCTAGTGGGGTTCAGAAAAATGCTTCCCCTTGGGGAGGAATGAAATTGGCTTGGTCCCTTCTCAACGACCTCCTGTCCATACCCGAGGCAAAAAAGTCAGCACACACCCATGGCTGATGTGGGGAGCCACAGGGCCCCTGTAGAGAGATTCTGGCTCAGGGTTACTGTCTCTGCTGCCCTCCTGTGGCAGCTGGGAATTCAGGAATTGCTTTTTAAATGATGGAGGATATTGTTAGGTTCAAGAAAATGTTTCTGGGAATAAATGAGCCCATTTACCGCAGGCCCTGCAGGGGCAGCAGAGAGCAGGCCGCAGGCAGGGCAGCCTGGGCAGCTCTGCGCCATGGCATCCCCTATTGCTCCTCCAGATGGTGGGAGCCTGGGCGCTCTTCAAAGAAAACAATGAAGAGCACAGAATAGGGGTCACTATAGCGGACTAGGGAAGTTTGGATAGACCCGTGACCACTCTGTCCAAACTTTGTAGCTCCCTCTGCTGTTTTCTGGAAGCTCTGAGAAGGCGGTGCCTACAGTTCACAACTCCAAAAGCACCCAACACATTGTTATCACAATAATTTATAGCCAGGATGCCTCTTCCACCTGAGAGTGAGCTGCCTGAGCCCTCAGGTTTATGTCTCCAGCCCCGAACACAATTCCAGGCACAAAGGAAGTTCTCAATAAATACTTGTGAAATGAAAAAATTGGCAGCCCATTTTAGGTTCTACAATATCTCTCCATCATTCATGATCAGAAGTTCTTTCAAATATCCAGAGTATGACATGGGTAAGTAGGATGGAAGGAATAAAAATGACCAACCCAGATAGGCTGAGAAAAAGTAGAGTCAGACCTGAGTATTTTAGTGCCCTTTCATAGCAAGGGAGCTGGGCAGAGGTTATCACATTCTGGCTCTTAATGTACTACCAAGCAAAGAAGACTTTAGTGGGGTAAATGGGGAGAGGTTACAGTAATAATAATTCATGTAATTGGTAAAATTCTTCCCATTTTACATAGGAAGCACATGATACATCCTTGCGATAAAGGGTCAGCCACAAAGCCACCAATCCCATCTTTCCTTATGGAGAGGAGCCCAAGATGCTGTCATGGTGAATGGAATGATATTGACCCATTATAGATTTTACCATATGAAGAGAGATCACAGGCAAAGATAATGAAAGACTCTTTTGCAAGAAGCCACAAGGCATCTGTTGGGTTCAATTCTCAGGTCACTCTATGCAGACTGACAGTCATGCTGAGGAGAGAATGGGAGTAGGCTGCTTAAAATGTTCTGTGTGTCCAGGATAACCTTTGCTTGGCGTCCTATCTTTGCCACATTATCCATTTAAAATTTTTATTTTATTATCAATATTTCTCCTATGAAAACACGTTTTTTGGTTCTTCATTATGCATAAAAAGATGTGGCTCTTAGGTTTTTTTTGTTTTTGTTTTTGTTTTTTTTTTTTTGAGACAGAGACTCACTCTGTCGCCCAGGCTGGAGTGCAGTGGCACCATCTCGGCTCACTGCAACCTCCACCTCCGGAGTTCAAGCAATTCTCCTTCCTCAGCCTCCCGAGTAGCTGGGATTACAGGCGTGTGCCACCACACCCAGCTAATTTTTGTAGTTTTAGTAGAAACGGGGTTTCACCATGTTGGCCAGGCTGGTCTCGATCTCCTGACCTTGTGATCCGCCCACCTCAGCCTCCCAAAGTGCTGGGATTGGCTCTAAGTTTGAAACTTTTCTTATTTCCCTTTCTTTCTCTGAAAAGATCCTACTGACACAGAAATATTCTCTGTCACACTTGTCATTTGTGGCTTCCCCCACCCCCTTGGCACATATCTGCCTCATTAGCTTCACATTTCTTTTGAGGACTCAGCTTGAGATGATCTTTTCCTTCCTCGCCTAGCACCAGTTCATTTTTCCCTGATGACTATTATTATTTGTTTAACCTAGAGTCATATTTTTGGGCACATTTTGCAAGGATGATGCTATAATGTATAAAAACATGTAATGCCATATTCAAAAGTCACAGATAAATAACTCTTTAGGTGATGGGTGAAACTGGAGATGCTTTTGACTTAATGTTCTCAGAGTAGAAAAATAAATGGGAATGTCATACCATGCATTTTTATTAAGCAAA
This sequence comes from Homo sapiens, assembly GCF_000001405.40. Classification (NCBI taxonomy): domain Eukaryota; kingdom Metazoa; phylum Chordata; class Mammalia; order Primates; family Hominidae; genus Homo; species Homo sapiens. Next base: position 29,501,821 of record NC_000021.9, read on the forward strand.
TGATGAAAGCAAAATGAAACATAATGTCCTTAATAGTATTTCCAACAACGCTGAAAAGCAGAAACTTGGGCATTTCCCAAGCTATTGATGTATCTTGCCTTTAGGCTCTGTTCATTAGTCATTTGTAATGCCTATTTATATAGATCTTTTATTTTATTTTGATTTGCAATTTAACAACCAGAGCCAGTGAAGATTCTGTTCTCTAGAACACCAGCTGGGTTTCCTTTCCACTAAAAGGGCATAGTGTTCTGGGAGATCAGGCATCTAGCATGAAAATGTTCTTTCTTTGTGGAAACTGTCTAAATTTGAAAGTAAATTTTTTAAAGTAGCAATTTGTTGTAGCAGGGACAATGGCTCATCATCACTTACTGAAGATTAGGAGTAGGAGAAATGTGAGGTGTTATTTTCTGAAGAGACTGGAAGAAGATAAACCTTCCCAAAGGTGCTCTGTCCCTTTCATGTTCAAGGAAAGAAGGCAATTTTGTTTAGTGGGTAAGAACCATAAAGAATCATAATGGTGGCTGGGCATGGTGGCTGACATCTGTAATCCCAGCACTTTGGGAGGCCGAGGTGGGTGGATCACCTGAAGTCGGGAGTTGGAGACCAGCTTGGCCAACATGGTGAAACCCTGTCTCTACTGAAAATACAAAAAATACACAAATGAGCTGGGCATGGTGATGCATGCCTGTAGTAGCTACTCGGGAGGTTGAGGCAGGAGAATGGCGTGAACCTGGGAGGCAGAGCTTGCAGTGAGCCGAGATCGTGCCACTGCACTCCAGCCTGGGCAACAGAGCGAGACTCTGTCTCAAAAAAAAGAATCATAATGGTGCCACTCTCAAGTCCTAGGTATGTCCCACACTGCCTCTGCGGGACTTTTTTAGCAATTATTTCTCACTTTCTGCTTCTCAATGAGGAAACGGAGAAGTGAAGAGACTGAGAACTACTTCTCTCTATAATTGGTAGGGCTGTCCTCTTCAGTGACAAGTCAACACTGACAATATTTTATGTGTGGCACAGAATTATGGAACCAGAGAATGAAATAATTAATATATAGCTCAAAGGCAGAATAACCCTTCAGTCATTCCAGGCAAAAACAACTGCATCTTACATTCAAAGACTGAGAAAAAATAAACTCCATAGTGGGGTGCCTGGGGAAGAAGAAATAACATTTTCAAATATATAGACAGAGAATTGCCTTTTTAGGGTGGAAGTTACCGGTAATTTAAGTTCCTGTAGAAAATAACCTACAATCTTTCGAAGCTGAATGTCTTCTTTAAAGGGGTCGTTTAAGCTCTGTAAATGGAAGACTAGTAGTTATCTATGATTCTTAGGAGGAAACCTTGACATTTCCATCTGTTGCCATCCAGATTCTGCTGTTTGCTCATGTAAATTGAGTATTTTTTATCTGGGCTATGTTGTAAAGGTGACTTTTAGAAGTTGTCTCCTCCTTCCATTAGCTTATTTTACTTATTGTCTCCCACATGGGACTATGAATGGTTGAACAGTCTACACTGTTTTTTTGGTTTTGTTTTTTGAGCAGCTCAAAAAATTAAGTTGTGGACTAAAAATAAAGAAAGCTATTCCACGAATGGTTGAATGTAGGGGCTGGGATTGAGCCATTTCCTATAAGGGAGTGAATACCCTGGGGGTTCCCGAGGCTTCCTTTTACGTCTTTTCTTGTTTTTCTGGAGAGTTAAGAGAGAAAACTATGTCCAGGCTTGAAGAATATTAGTGGGGAAGATTTGGTTCTGGGCTCAAGGTATGGTGATGCTAGAAGCTGGTATGACCAACCACCAGAGTAAAAAATATTGACTCGGAAGTGCACAGAGTCTGGGTAATACTGGAAGTATGTGGTGTGTGTGTGTGTATCTGTGTGTTTTTGGAGGGGAGAACTATGGGTCAAAATCAGCAGGCATTAATAGGGATTTGGGATACTGGCATTTCCTGACAAAATTAACCCCCAAAGACCTGCTGGATTAGGTCAGCCAATGTGAGTCCTCCTTGGAAATATTGGGGGAGGAGTAGCTTTCCAAATTTCATCGAATGGTAACTCAGGATCAAAACTCACTGATATCTGAGGCTGTGTCTATAACCAGATTACATGACTGTGCACACAGAAGAATAGGAATTCAACAAATTGTAGATGCTTTGGGCTATAGAAGAAAACTGTAATGAGACTGAAAATGATGGACTCTCACAATCTGTGGCCCTAAATCCCTGGCAGGTAGAGTGTATTTAGCAAAATACTTGAGGTGTGATAAGTTTTGTTTGCTTATTTTTTCTCAATTTATTTCATCTTTTAACTTCCACTGCCTGTAATTCAGTCAGATTATTGGCGCCTGGCTTATTGCCTAAGGGGAGAGACGAAGAGGTAAGTGTTTCAAAAGTGTAATGCCTTAGGTAATTCCAGAGGATTTGAGGCAAAGACAAAATGTTATGAGGATTATCAGTTAGCTTTTCTGTAGGACCAACTGCTCCCAAATGGAGTGCATAACACAAACATTATTTACCGTTGCCCGAGTTCTGCTGAACTGAGACAGCCTTAGTTGACTGTGTCTGAGCTAGCTCGTGGGTCTTCATTACAGTTCATGGCCTCCCTCCTATGCCTAGGGATTGTCTAGGAGTTGGCTGGGGCCATGAGGAAACGTGGTCCTGTGCCTCCATCATCCAGCGAGCTAACCTTGGCTTCTTCACATGGTGGCTGCAAGATTTCAAGAGTGGGCAGATGTGCAACGCTCCCTCAGGCCTGTATCCCAACAGGCACTGCATCAGTTCTGCCACTTTCTATTGACCAAAGAAAGTCTCAAGGGCACCCCAGATTCGAGTGGAGAAAAACCTTTCACTTTGATGGGAGGAGCTATGAAGACACATTGCAAATGGGCAGGAAAGGGTGAGGAATTGCAGCTATCTTTGCAATTTGTCACACATATCACGAAGGAATGGGGAACATGGACACTGACAGCAGGACGGTAGCCTTCTCTGTAGCCACTCACATGACAAAATATTGGCCTTACAGTTCCCATTCTGGGAAAATGAAGAACCCAGATGGTTAGTAATGATTGTAGTGATTAGAACAATGGTTTTGGGGCATAGTCCACAGTAGGAAAAATGCAAAACACTACATTGATTTGTGGGGCCAGAGAGAGAAGGGTGCCCTGATGAGGCAGAAGCTCCCAGAGAGAGAATGGCTGTAATGTAAGGCCAGACAAGTAGCCCACAGATAGATAACAGAAATTGCTAGTTACCAGCCAACCACAGCAAGCAATGGAATGAGTTCTGTGCCTTCAGGTATGGCAGGGAACCAGCAGAGAGCCTGAGTCATCAAGCCTAAATGAAGCTCTGTGGATAAGAGTGACAGCCATCTTGAAGCCTCTTGGATGGATTCACCGCTAGGGACACAGAGACTTCCCCTGCCCTTGTCACCCCAACACTTCAGCACCAAGTAAGTCACCCCACCAACATAAACATAGTAACAAGTATGGAAGGTAAGGGAGAAGAGATATCCTGAGGTTATATTTTTGAAATCCCAGGAGAATATAAGCTCAAAAAGAAAAAAAAGAAAACAAACAAAAAAAAAAACGAAGAAAAACCACACAAAACAAAACAAAAAACAACCAGCCAAGCATGGTGGTTCACTCCTGTAATCCCAGCACTTTGGGAAGCTGAGGAGGGTGGATCATCTGAGGTCAGGAATTCGAGACCAGCCTGGCCAACATGGTGAAAACCTGTCTCTGCTAAAGAAAAAAAAAAAAAAAAATTAGCTAGCATGGTGGTGCGCACCTGTAATCCCAGCTACTTAAGAGGCTGAGGTGGGAGAATCACTTGAACCTGGGAGGCAGAGGTTGCAGTGAGCCGAGTGTGCCACTGCACTACAGCCTGGGCAACAAAAGTGAAACTCTGTCTCAAAACAAACAAACAAACAACAAAAACAAAAACAACCAAAATAAGATGAAGTACAGAAAAATTTTTAAAGCGTGTGTATTCTTTTCAATGGTTGAATTTGGTGGTCGTGATTCAGCTCATTTCCTGTAGAGGAGGTAAGAGAACACGTATGCAACTTCCCAAGAGTTTTTAATGACTCTCTTATTTTTATTAAGATGTTAGGACAGGGCACTATGTGGAAAGCCCCTTATCTGGGGCTCTAGAGCAGGAGGAGTGAACAGCCTAATGTGACCAGGTTTCTTGGGCATAAGAATAGCTTCATGGCTCCAAGTCTGATCATTTGTGCATAGGTCAGTATATTGTGACCAATCTCCTTAAAGGCTGTTCATCCCGTGGTAGAAATAATAAAGTATCCAACACTGAGAGTGTTCTCGACATTGTTACTCCAGCCTTGGGAAGAGGTCTTCGATGCATGGCTGAGGCCAATTGCACCTGGGTGAAAGTGGCAGGTGCAAAATGAAAGTGAGGAGGGTTGTGACAAAGTGTCTCAGAGGTGCCATGTTTGAACCCGTTCACTCTCAAGGTGAACAATGCTTCGACACCGAGGCCAAGTGTTTACAGAATGTTGAACTACCGCTGGGAATGTTGGGAATTTCTTGCTATTTTTCACTGAGTGGGAGCCCAAGTGTCTGCGTTTGTGTTCAGGCTAAAGACATTGCTGTAGAACTCGGAGAAAATGGAGTGGGAGATCAAGGAAACTGATCAGCCTCTCCCAGAAAGTGAAAGCAGGGGATGTACTAAAAATGCTCTGATGGACCCTATGTTTCCTAGATTCTTCCAGTTACTGGTCTGGCAAAGGGAGGTGGTGGTTTGAATTAATGAGAAGGGGTTACTGGGATGAAAACAAGGTCTTTTATCCTTACTGTAACTATAGAGTTTGGTTAAGAAAAATAGAAGTCTTAACACAGCCCTGCAGGAATTAATGAAAGAGCCAGACCCTTGGGCAAAGGGGCAGAGTTGGAAAAAGGCTAAAAGAAGAATTCTTAGAGCTGAGGGGCCAATGAGCACATGTAGACACCTAGAAAAATCAACTTTAGTGTTTCATTCTGCAGTGGTGGATTATTTAACCTCTTTAAGTCTCATTTTCATTGACAATAAAACGGAAGTAAATGGTAGTACCAACTTCCCAGAATCTTGGTTTCATAAAGCCCTTAACAGTGTGCTAAGCACTCAGGAAATGTTATCTCTTGTTATTATTACTTGTCACACTGACTAATATCAGAAAATCATGAAGGAGTTGTGAATTCAAGATATCTTTCCTCTCTCCTCGTCTTTGCCTCAGTTGAAAAGCCTCAACCTAGTTTAAGGATCTAGCCTCTAAGACTGATGAATCATGCTGTAGCAAAAGTGAATAGACGTGATTGGCATTCACTGGTGCTAGCCAGAGAATTAGGTTCCCCATGATAAAAATGGAATGGATTGGGCTGGCCTCATCTGATTAGAGAAATCTGCCCTTATTGCTGCTATGTGATTATGAGGCTGGACTTCTTGGACAGCCTGGTGGAGGTCTTGGGAGATGTGGGTAGGAGTAAGAGCTAAAATTCGTTGAAGTACTTGGTGTGTGCTGGGCACAATACTCCTTGTGGGGTTCAGTGAGGCCTCAGATGCAACATGAAAGGGGATTCCAAAAACTCAGTCATCAAGAAAAATATGATTTTGATGCAATATTAAAAAATAGAAATTAATACAAAAAGTCTATGGTGAGCAAAGTAGCAAAATTTAAAGTAACAACAAAATCACTGAAAGTGCCATGTTGAGCAGTGTTGGAGTCTGAGACAAAAGGAAAAATCAGTTACATTATTCCTGTCTTTATTTATAATTTTGATATTTTGTTCAGTAACATTTTTTGCACTGTGATTTAAAAAAAATGTGCACTCACATACTGCCTTTGTTACTGAGTTTTTCACATCTGCTTAAATTTTATGCCTAAGGAGAGTGCCTCCCTTGCCTTCTCCTACTCCCACTGCTTCCCTATATAAGAATTTATTGGCCAGGTGTGTTGGCTCACACCTGTAATCCCTGCAGTTTGGGAGGCCGAGGTGGGTGGATCACAAGGTCAGGCATTCGAGACCAGCCTGGCCAACATAGTGAAACCCCGTCTCTACTAAAAATACAAAAAATTAGCCAGTCATGGTGGCGGGCACCTGTAATCCCAGCTATTTAGGAGGCTGAGGCAGGAGAATCTCTTGAACCCGGGAGGCGGAGGTTGCAGTGAAATATTTTAAAAATATTTTAAGTTTAGGGGTACATGTGCAGGATGTGCAGGTTTGTTACATAGGTAAGCGTGTGCCTTGGTGATTTGCTGCACAGTTCATCCCGTCACCTAGGTATTAAGCCCAGCATCCATTAGCTATTATTCCTGATGCTCTCCCTCCCCCATCCCCCCACCCTCAACAGGCCCCAGTGTGTGTTGTCCCCCACCTTGTGTCCATGTGTCCTCATCATTCTAGAGCTGCATTCTTTGTGTTGCTTGGCTTATGACCCCTCCTTTCAGCTTCAAAGCCAGTGGGGAAGTGTCTTGCTTCAGTTATTACATTGCCTCCTTCTGTTGTAATTCTATCTCTCTCTGCCTCTCTTTTATAAAGACACTTGTGATTACATGTAGGACCTGCCGAGGTAACCCAGGATAATCTCTCCTATCTCAAGTTATGTCCCCTTAATCAGATCTGGAAAGTCCCTTTTGTCTATAATGTGACATTCGCAAGGTCTGGTGATTAAGACATGGATCCCTTTGAGGGCCATTAATCAGCCTTCCATCAGCCATATAGTAAGTGGCAATGTTCACATCAGACTGAGGCTGACTGGCTTCTGCATCCCTTTGTTGGAGTTTGCTGACGTGCAGTCAAACCAGGAGGCAGGCACCGAGGAGGCTGCATCAAGGAGCATCAATTTCAGTCTCATTAGAAGGCCTGACAAGCTCTGTAGGCAGCATCAAGGCAAATTAGTGGGGAGTCCTCCTCATCTTTGTCCTGCATCCAGAACCCTGCTCAGAAGTCACAGGCAACAGAAAGTCTCATGCTTAATGTTTGGAACCAAATTTATTTGACTATTCTAGGTAATGAGACCTTATTTTATGCTCTGAGCTGGAGAGGCAGGAAGTTGTAGTAATGCAGAGAAAATGGATGGCAACCTTCTTTCATCCCCAGGTGTCAGTTTCTTCCTATCAGTGTGGACATTCTTCTTTTGATGTATCTTAAGTTCTTACTGACTTAAGTCTCATTTTCCTGGCTTCTTTTGTTGGGAAGATGGAAAGCAATCACCTTCCACTATCTGAATGATAGCATTTATTATTTCAGAGACTAGTGACATTTTAGCCAATTTTGTCTTATTGCACAGGAAGTAAAAAGGAGTCAATGTGTGGGATAGTCATTGTGATTTATTTGCTGTTGGGTTTCAACATATATAATAAGAATTACCTTTATTTTCTGCCAGCAACTCTTTGTAAGTTATGCAAGGACATTCACAGACTATACCATTTAGAGCAGGGTTGTGCAAACTTCTGTAGAGTGACACCGTAAATATTTTAGGCTTTCCGGGCTAAACAACCTGCATTGCAACTACTCAACTCTGCTGTCATGTCACACTGACAGATAGGAACGATATGCAAAGATGTCGGTGTGGCTATGCTCCAGTGAAACTTTATTTATCGACACTGAATCTCATATAGTTTGCAAGTGTCATGAGATATTCTTTTGATATTTTCAACCACTTATAAACGTTTAAATGTGAAATGTATAAACCATTCTTAGCAAACACTGGTAGTGGACTGTAGTCTGCTGCTCTCTGACCTGGTAATCTTCAAATTTTGTAACCTGTTCCTGGATGATGGCTTGAGGGCAAAGTGAGGTAGGCTGGCATGACATTATCCTGTTGGGAGGGCCAGGTGTATTTAATGTCTTGCCCCTGATCCTGTCTCATCTTCTATCTTCAAATCCATCAATGACTCTAAAATAAACTGCTGAGATTCAGTTTTAAAATAGCTCCTCTTCCATCTAGTTTGCTGTCAGCCTCCAGATCCTGGTTAGACTCTTTAACATCCACCTGCTCCCAGACTCCTCCCTCTTGCTCCTCCCTTTATTTTCACCCAACTCTATTATTTGTGTATATTTCTGCCTTCTCCATTTTCCCTGCCAGAATGTAAATTCCTTGAAGAGTGAGAGCGAATACTTATTAATCTTTGCTGCTGTAGTGCACTTATATCAGAATGGTGGCCAGAGCTCCATAAGTGTTTTTTACCTATAAATTCTTCTCCAAAATTACATGATGAAATTGGGTGCCATCTAAAAAACATAGAGATAGTATGTCCTCTGTTGTTTTTCCATATGTCATGCACTTTTGACCCAAATAATGATAAAAAGCAACTGTGTGAATGTCTGCATTTGAAGATACTACTCTTGGGAAATGGGTCTTCTTTCTCTCAGCACTGAATCTTCCATCATCCTGGCTCTAAGCTGTGCTAATTTGAAAATAAGGGAGAACAAAGAAGCTTGGTCTGGAGATGAATCACAGTATGAAAGAACACACAATCAAATGGCAAAGAAAAGGTGGACATGCTTAGGCTGATTCATACCCTGGTAAATTAATGGCACAGTTGCCTCCTGATTACAAAGATCTACTTCCAAAGAAGCTACTCTTGTTGATAAAAGACTCCCAGCCCACTGAAAAGGAAAAGGAAACGGAGTCTCAGAACACTTCAAATAACTTTTCTACTGTTTGGAAAATATTTTCCTGAGATGCTGAGTTCTATCATCAGCAAAGAAATAATTTATTCAGAAGTGTGGAAGGATTTAGAATTTCTCCAGTGCTCCCTTTCATTCTGTTTAAGATGTGGGCCATATCTTTGAGGAATTCCTGCCTACAGGTTGTCACGGGGTGGTTAACAGGATGTAAGAGCAGTTGCTACAGTATCGAGGGACCTAGACGTCATCAAAGTTTGGTTTGGATGGATATGACAACAGGACGTGTGCACAAAACATTGTATTGATGTTAGGCCAAAGATATCAATGAACAATTTAAAAATTCTGCTTCTGTGCTAAGGGCAGCCACCCTGCCATGTGAGCAGCAGTGCATGAGGGCCAGGAAATTAAAAGGCTTAACCGCATGCCCCAAACCATCCAAGCTACTTTATTGTTCAAGTGAAGTGAAATACAAACACAAATAGCCAGGAGGGTGAAATTTAAATTAAACTTCAAAATCATTTTGTGTTTTAACCATCGACAGTGTTCTTTGTGCTGCAAATAAGGCCACATTTATCGGAAACCTAGAAAAATAACTCCCTTGGCTCTATAGTCTCCCTTTTACATACTCTGCACCTGTTCACTTTGAAAGAAAGTTTGACCAGGTTCCCAGGAATGCAAAGTAACTACCTAGGAGGACTTTCTAAACCATGATGACCATGGCTAATGCTCTTCTCCAAGATGATGATCTGGATTTCAGCAGGATTTCAGGCCAAGATTGTCGTGCCTTTCATTGTTAGGTGGCTGCATTTGGAAATGCCTTGCAAGAGAGACATCTGCAAGGGATTCCTAATGATTCACCACGTTCTGGCTTTGTGACTTGGATACGCATTTCTGTAGACTGGTTTTTCCTTGGCACAGTTGTGCTACTGCTCTCCAGTCAGGAGCTGGATGTGAATGAGCAGGATGTTTCCCTGAACAGTTGAGCTTTTATTCTTTGAATCACAGACCACCTGCAGAAATTCCCCCTTATGGAAAGAGGTTGGAACCCACGCTGGAGCTAGGCAACAGGCTCAGTGGATTGGCAATTCCATGTTTTTTTTTTTTTTTTTTTTTTTTTTCTGAGACCAAGAATTTTTCTGCCTTCGGAGAGATTTGGGTTCATTTATAAAAGAAGATTTGATTTCTAAAAGTCTGCTATTAATGTGGCAGGCTAAATGAAAAAGTGTTGAAAGCAATAAGTTAAAAATCAATTTCTCATGAGAGGAAGCCAGGTGCAGTGGCTCACGCCTGTAATCCCAGCACTTTGGGAGGCTGAGGGGAGCAGATCACCTGAGGTCAGGAGTTCGAGACCAGCCTGGCCCACATGGTGAAACCCCATCTCTACTGAAAATACAAAAATTGGCTGGGCATGGTGGCATGTGCCTGTAGTCCCAGCTACATGAGAGGCTGAGGCAGGAGAATCCCTTGAACCCAGGAGACGGAGGTTGCAGTGAGCCAAGATCGTGGCACTGCACTTCAGCCTGGGTGACAGAGTGAGACTCTGTCTCAATTAAAAAAAAATTTTTTTTTCATGAGAGAAAATAACAAGGTTGTAAATGTCACTGCCTGTGCCATGTAGAAAGAGGTATATTTTTCAAAGACATCTATCAGGTTTGCTACATAGATATTGTTTCTTTAAGAGGATTTAAGAAGGGTGTTCATACAAACTTGTAGATATGGGGTTTGAAGTAGGAGGAAAAAAAAAACAGAAAAAAAGAAGAAAGGGAGTCTAGCGAGTAGGTTTTAAGAACAGATGCAGTTCCTCCAGGCAAATCTGGTGAAAGGGACCAGCATGACTTCTGGCCCTCGTGGGGGGCTCTGGGGTCCCGTGGTCACCTCCTTCACAGCAGGCAGCAGCCTCTAAGTTGCTCAAAAAAGCTTCTCCTTAAGGCCAAGAGAAGTCTTTATGTTTGAGCCTAGACTTTATATTTTTGCCTTGATTAAAGAATTCTCTGTGTTTATTTCTTTTTACTTGAAGGTGCTTTCTCTTTAGGTTGAGGCAAAAAGAAAAATAATTCTTATTAATAGGAAAGACACAAAGAACTTTTCCTGTTACTTTGTGGGTGAGTACTGGCCACCATCTGTGGTGGTTTAAAAAATCTATCCATAAATGCTTTGATAGTTCTGCCATCATGAAGTGGAGTCTATGAACCAATCCCCGGAACATGGGCAGCCTTTGTGATCGGCTTGATGAATAGAATGAAGCAGAGTTATGCTGCCTGACTGACTTCTAGGCCTTGGCTAGATGATGCCACATGGCTGCTATGGTTTCTCCTGTGACTCTAGTTCTGGGAGTCTTCTGCCACCATATTTGTAGTCTGGCCATTCTTAGGTAACGTGGAAAGAATTAACTCCGCAGGGGTAATTGTTCAAACTCTTCACATTTCGAAGAAGGTTTGGCCCTTGTTCAGCCCCTGGAGTGTTTTTATTTACCTGAAACTTTGGGCCATGCCAGATAGTTAATAATAATGTGAATAATGGTAGCAGACTTTGGGCTGTGGTATCAGCTTGACCTCTGGAGGGGCTGAAGAGCTGAGGTCAAGCATGGGGGTGGTCAGCCATGCCAGTGTAATCCTCAGTGAAAACACTTGGTCAAACCTTGGCCACCAAAGTTTGAGTGAGCTTCCCTTGTTGGCAATACTTTGTGAATATTGCCATATATCATTCCTGGAAAAATTACGTGCTATCTCAATGACTCCACTGGGAGAAGGCAACTGGAAACTTTCCCTTGGTGTCTCCTAGACTCTTCCCTAACCACCTTTTTCCATTGCTGATTTTAATCTGTATCTTTTTGCTGTCAAATACCATAACTGTACATACAACAGCTCTGGTGAATTCTGTGAGTCACTGTAGCAGAGTATTGAACATGAAAATGGGTTTTGGGATTACACACACACACACACACACACACACACACACACCACAGAGAGAGAGAGAGAGAGAGAGAGAGAAATAAAGAGATGAGAGAGAGAAAAATAGAGAGAGAGAGAGATAGAGAGTCCTTTCTCATGAGGGATGCCCAGATGCTCCTATCCCAGCTGTTTGAGTCTTCCCAGTACTGGTGTTAGGCATGTGTGAAGAAGGTTTCAAGATGAGGTCAGCCCCAGCCACTGTCTGATTTAAACCACGTGATAGATCCTGAGTGAGAATTGCCTAGCTGAGTCCAGTCAATTCCCAGATTTGTAAACAAAATAGATGATTATTATTATTTTTGGCCATTGTTTTGGTGTAATTATTGTTACTCAGCAATAGATAACCAGAATAGGTTTTGGTACCATGAGTGGGATGCTATAATAGCATGTGTGAAGAGGCTAACAGCAGAAGTTTGATGGCCCTCAAAGAGACTTTCAGTAATGGATTAAAGGACATTGACAAAAGTGTTGCTGGAAGCTGGAGGAAAGGAGACCCTTGTTACATAGTGGTGAAAAGTTTGGAAACACTTTTGCCTAATGAATCCAATGAGCTGGAAGATTTGGCCAAGTAGATTTTCAGGTGGAATATTAAAAGCACCAACTTGTTTCTTTTGGCTGTGTATAATAAATTGAGGATAAAAAGAAATGGGCTACAATTGGACAATTGGAAAATTCTGTCCCCTGACACATGCACAATAAGGGGAATGAAGCAGTATGGAGTCTAAGGGTCTGCATGTGCATTAGGAGGACAGGGTGGAGCTACCAATTGCAAAAAATTGGAGGATAAATGAAAGAGGTGGGGCTTACAGATTTGAAAATAAAATTGGTTTTTGTCTTCTCCAGAAGGCAAATGATTCTAAAATTAAGACACAGCTTCAGACCAAAGATTATTTCCAGGGTGGGACTTTAAATCCCTTCTAACATAATGCATCAGAGAATCTCTCAGACATACAAAAGGCTTCTAAGGTCTTAAGGCAGTGCCTATTAGATCTTCTCTAATCAAAAACAGAGCTTACAAAAAATCTTAAGGGTATTTCCCACAAAGTCCTACAGGTAACCTGAGGTCTAAAGGGGCTCATCTTGAGGAGATTTATGTTTGTGGCTTTTGTCTAATGGTATGAGTGATAACACAATCGTAGGCTACCCACAGAACTTAAAGAGCGTTTCAATGGTAGAAACATCGGCAGCTTGGACTAAAAGTGGCAGAAACAGTACAAAATATAGAAAGGGCTTGACACTCCCCAATTATTGTGAACAGAAAGCAGACTAAGGAATCTCCTCAATTGGAAATGCCAATACTTTCTTATGGGAAAGGATGGGTGAACCAGAAGTGAGAACCAAGAACAAAAAAGGCACAACAAAGAGCAATGAGAATCATTTCAAGGCAATAAACTGAATTCTAACCAGTAAATTGGCAATGTAAGCCCAGCTAGATTTCAAAATTGCTATGGATCAGTGTTTGTTGTGCATATCCCATTTTCCTTCTTTTGAATGTGTCTGTTGGAATATCCTATGCATATATCACCATTGTATGTGGAATATGGGATGAAGGAGTTGAGAATTTGTCTCTTTAGTTCACAGATATTCATACTGAGAGAAACCGTACTCAATGTGCCGCTTCTGAGGAAATACACCCCAGGAGACTCACTTACCCCTGGACATGACTAAAATGATGGGATCTTGAACCTTGAGCTTGAGCTGAATGCCATAATAGGTGAGACTTCTGAGAATATCTTAGAGGTCTTAAAAGGACATGAGTGTATTTTTCACATGGGAAGAATATAAATCAACTTATTTATTTTAGCTGTATATGGTAAGATAAAGATAGTGATAAATTAGTTATAAGTGATGTTTATTTTCAATCAAAATTCAGAAGACAAATAAAAGATTCAGGCTTATTGAATTTAAAAATAAACCTGCTTCTTATCCTTTCCAGATGGCAAAGAATTCTAACATTAAATCCAACCTCAGGGCCCCTGCTTGGTGCTCACACATTTCAAATTGGAAGTGTAGGGAAGTTATTGTTTCGTAGAAGAGAACTTTAGCCATTGAGGGGAGGAAACCAATAGATAAATTCTTCTCTTTTTCTTGGCTAACAAAAAAATAATCCCGAGATGTGGATGCAGTGTTTATTACAGCTTTCAGCCACAATCCCAACAAGGTGTGCAATCAGTCACATTTAGTGACGTCCAGGTCAGTCACACATCTCCTACTCCTTTCTTACTTGCTTTCTTCTCCTTCTCCCTCACTCTTCACTCCCATTCCTTAAGCTTGGATACCTTTATAGCACATACACCCTCTACTTCAAGCTTTATTTCCTGGTGGTCAAGGCTAAGAAAGAGGCCATTTGTAGAGATTTGGGATATCTAGCAGTGAAGGGAGAATATATATCTCCCCACAAGTCCACCACACACATGCTTTGAACTATAAAAACTTGTGGACCTGCTCCATGGTATTTCCAGACAGATATTGGCTAGTTAGTTGTTGGGAAAGAATTGCTTGTATCTGCCAGAGTTTTGGAGACATAGACATTGACCTCTAAATCATTCTGGAGAAGTCTAAAGGTCAGAGGCTTGTTGGGGCTACACAGATATGTATAGTGGAGAAAAGATGCCACATTTTCCCACTGTTTAAGTGGGTCTTGTTGTAGGTCAGGTTCTTTGGGAAGCGCACTATAAAATGAAGAGTAGTGGGCAGTTTATTAGGAAGCATTCTTGGGATCAACTCTTGTAGAAGGGAAGAGAAGAAGGGAGAATTGGCCAGAGAGACAAAGTAGCTGTGATACAGTCCAAGTGAAGTCCTCAACTGATGCCATCAGGAGCTCTGAAGCTGAAATGGCCCTTCAGAGTTGTCCCAAGTTGGGGCAAAGGAGCTGGTCTTTTGTACTCACTTTGGCTGGTCATTGGAGGCAGGCCGCCCATGGTGACCTAAGGCAAGGAATCTGTCCTCACTCAAGGTGGTTATTGATGAATTCCTGAGAGGTGAGTGCCAGCAGTAGTCCCACCATCTGGGGAAATAAATCATTCAGTCTTGAAAGGAGGGTGTGGGTGACACATTGCAGCATCCACTACAGATGCATTGGATGGTAGCTGGGCCAGGAGAAGCTTCTTCCAAGTAGAGGCAACCCCAGGTGACAAACCTTCCTGGATGTGCCTTGAAGTAGGGCCTATAAAGGAGTCAAAAGCAGTCAGCCAGAGAAGGTATCTCCCAAATCAGAGCACAGCAGAGTACAGGAGCTTCCTACAGAGGGAACTCTGAAGAATTCATTAAAATTTCCTGCTAGAAAAAGTCAGCCTTTGGGCATCTGCTCACAAGTGAGCACCCACACCTGATAAAAGCAGCACCTGTCAAGATAGACCTTTGTTCCCTTAGCTGTCTGCTGCTGCCTCTCCCTTCTGCATCTTATTTGAGGTCTCCAGAAATAACATAGTGATGGGGAAGGAGAGGAAGAGCAAAGTAGAGTCAAGGGAAAGGACTGTTGCAGTGCAGAATTTGCAACCCAAGCTGGGGAAGGGGAAAAGTTCTAATTGGATAAGAGACAAATGTCACTTTAGATTGGACTGGATGCAAAAACGAATTGTTCAAATACCCAGAAATCCCCTGAACAACTCTGAGACCTGCCCTAAGTTATCATGCAATGATGGAAAATGGGGAGTGATTAGCACTTTTCCATTTAGTGGTAAGAAAGAATAGAGTTAGTTTCTGCTTCTACCCTGTTGAATATAGTACAGTCAAAAGGAGGTTCTACTTATGTTACTGAGCTAAATCTTCGCAAAACTCTATGGAATAGTTGTAATTACTCTCATCTTAGAGATGAACAAACAGATTTGGGGAGCCTCTGAAATGGGCCTTGCTCTTTGTGTGTGTTCCTTCAAAAAAAGTGATCCCAGCCCTAAGAGTTGGATTTTAGAGAAGGAAAGTAAACCTTGGAGGGTTCAAGTGACTTGCTCATGTCCTGTAACTAGTAAATGGGAGAGTGAGAATTCCAACTCCGAAGACTTTGCTTTTCCCTCTATAGTTGGTTTCTTCTGACCTACAGGATGTGATGGTTGGACATCACCTCTGAAATTATTTGTTCTGAACATTTCCCTGGGAACTGACTTAAGTCCAATAATACATTTTGCAGATGAGGGAAGTAAAGCTTGAAAAGATTAGGTGCCAGTTTCAATGCCATAGTAGTTGCTATCTCCTCATAGGACCATATTTAAGCCTGTCCAGCAAGTTCTGTAAAACACTATTTTGAGGGAGCATTTATGAGGTTTGTAATTTCATTTGATGCTGTGTTCAAGTAATTTGGCCAATAATAAAGTCAAGTATGTTTTAAAATTTCAGGTTTTTGGTGAAGTTTTTTTGTTTGTTTGTTTGGAGACAGGGTCTTACTCTGTTGCCTATTCTGGCCATTCTGGAGTGCAGTGGCGTGATCATGGCTCACTACAGCCTTGACCTCTGGGCCTCAATCCATACCCCCAAGTAGCTGGGACTACAGATGTGTGTCACTATGCCTGGCTAATTTTTATATATTTTTTTGTAGAGATGGGGTTTCACCATGTTGCCCAGGCTGGTCTCAAACTCCTGGACCCTAGTAATTTACCTGCCTTAGCCTCCCAAAGTGCCGGGATTACAGGAATACGCCACCACACCCAGCCTCAGGGAAGTTTTGAGACCAATATTTCTCCTGATTTTGTGGCTTTGTGTTATCAGTGAGTGTAATGGTGATATGCTTTAACTTTATATCTGGCCCTGATGGTCAGTGATGCTAGTCATTTATTCATCTATCCATTCAGTTCTCATGCATTTATTTCCTCATTTGAGTTTGCTGCAAGGTACACTGCAAAAGGTTTTTTAAAGGGTATGAAAGACTGCACATGTCCCATTCTGGACACTGAGCCATGCTTTTCCTCTGTGTTCCTCTGTCTGCTGCTGATGTGTGAAAGGGGTTATCCCACAAGAGGACAATTGTGATGTTTCTGACAGTTCTTGAAGGACACATGTGGCTCTACAAGGGACAATTCGTATTTTATTTAAGAGATTTAGAAGGACTTTGGCTAGTAACTACTTTCATTCCTCAGAGATGGGAGGTTTATTGCTGGAGGGAAAAATTGCACAGACAGGGAGACATTTTGGAGGTTGAGGATTTTCCTCAACTCCTCTTTTCCCTTTCTACATAATATAAAGCCTCCCATATAAATTAGAAATCTAATCAGAATTGTATGCTCCACTCAACAGGGATGAGCTTAATTGGGAAATTCGCTTAATCAGGACATCTCCCAGGGAACTGATTTCAGCCCGATGATACATAATAGCTATGATTGCAGTTTTAAAGGTGGTGGTAATTCTCCTTAATTGAGACACTTTTAGGTAATTTAGTGCTGCTTGGGACTAGGTGTGTGAGAATGTGTATGCTCTGGCGTCTCTGATTTGTTTTGTTTTCTTCTGCAGTATGGAGTGCAGGATTAATTCACACAACTGCATACATTAGTTCAGCGGTGCCCCGGTACCTATTTTCATTCACAAGACAAAAGTCTTAGGCTCCTTGGCAAAGAACTGCCATGCTTCTTGTCAGCAGTTTGGAATTGATACGTCAGCCCATTTCAAGGTGTGATTGTGGGCTGGTTAGCATTTTCTTTGTAATAGTTTAAGGGGAATTTCTTCAGGCAGCAGAAGTGATCTCCTTCTGGCTCTTTGATTCTTGCTCCACCTTAGCTCCTGAGTGGCCTTCCTACTGGGACCTTATACAAATTCCTTTACGTTGACCTAAATTCTGTGGGGTTGAGCAGCATTTGAGAAGAATCAATTGCGGGGCAATGGTAAATGCATCAAATTCTTTTTTTGAGACCTACGCCTGAATTAGAGATGAAAAGTTAGAGTGATGGTTGTTGTTATCAACGTCGTTTGTGCATTTCTTTAGCCCCTTTCGTTCTTTTAGGAACTGGGTATGCAATTGATCATAGTCCTCACTTCATATTACACTATCACTATTGGGCTACGCATGCCACTTTCTAAATCTATTCAGTCATTCAATCACACACTTTTTGATTTCCTTTTATCCCAAACCTGCCATCATTCTTCTCTTCTTTCTCCCTCTGTAGGCCAACGTTATACCATGTTTAATGTGTAACCTTTTCTTGTGTGCCTTCCTGAAAAATGTGTATGGTTTTACGTGAAGGTAAATTAACAAACAAGATAGTTATTTTTTTCATATAACATAATTTCAAATGTGGCCTGATGATTCCATCATGTCATTAGGAACTCCTCGTCAGGATGTACGCTGCTGTCTCTAGTCTTGGTTTCCATTCTCAAAGTCCAAGAGAGCAGCCCAAACCCTAGTCTTCACATTTGCTTTCCAAATTGCATGAAGGAGAAACAGGAAAGAACAGGGTGGTATGCATGTATTTTAAAATTAAGATACATAGTATTGTTCCTCACTTTTTTCCACTAAGCACTACATATTTAAGATCTAACCGTGATTTTATATATATATAAAATAAAATATATATATATATATATATATATATATATATATATATATATATATATATATATACACAAGTTATTACCTTTAATTTCTTCACAATACTTCATGGTGTTTATCCACCATATTGTATCTCTTATATTAGTTAAGGTATGACTTAATACACAATTGCTAAACCTTTCGAATTTCAGGGGCTTATCAAACCATCTAATCAGTTAATAAAGTTGAAACAAAATTAATAGTTCAGAACATAGAGGTCCCCTCCACCCTATAATTTAGGGACCCAGGCTCTTTCCATCTTGTGGTACTGCAGTTTCATCACGTGCATCCCAAGGCTGCTCCAGGGCTTATCTCCATTCAAGCCATTGGGCAGGAGGAAAGAGCAGGGACATTTGCACTGGAGAGGGTTCTTTTTGGCAAAGCCTGTAAATTAGTCTACTGCATTCCAGCCAAACATTCTTTTGTTTTTTTGGAATGTAGTCATGGATTTATAGCTAATCTCAAGGCGATGCTAAGAAATATGCTTTTTGTGCATATTCTGGAGGAAGAGGAAAAAAGCTTGGTGAGGAGCCAGCAGTTTCTTCCATATGTATGTCCTGTGTCAGAAATTCATAGCCAGATTGCCTCTAGTTCCCTCCATCAAAAATAATGCTGCAGGGAACATCCCGTTTTGTACACTCTGTGGATCTGTGTGACCATGTCTTTAGTTTCTACACCCAGGAGTGGAATTGCTGCACCGTAGGACATGCACAGACTAATTTAGACTAAGCGGTGCTAGTTGTACTCTGGATTGGCAATACCATCTGTACTTACCACCAATGTATGAGGATGCCTCTATCCTCACATCTTTGTCTACACTTCATGCTTCAGCTTTCTTTTTTTGGAAGACTAAGGTGTGTAAAGAAATATATCATTGCTGTTGTAATTTACATTTTTTCCAGTGGCTATTGATTTTGAACATCTTTTCATATGCTCTTATAAACCCTTGGATTTTCACTTCTATAAATTGTCTAGCAATATTCTTTGCTCACTTTTTCATTGTGGTTCTTGTCCTTTCCTTGAGTTGAAGAATATTGCTGAAATTGAATTGATGTATTTATGCTCATTCTAAATGCTTATTAAAAACTTCTTCCGGCCCTATGGGTCACACCTTTGACACTGAGAGTCTACTTCATCTTTTTTTTAAATTTTTTTTTTAGGCAGAGTCTCGCTGTGTTGCCCAGACTGGAGTGCTGTGGCATGATCTTGGGTCACTGCAACCTCTGCCTCCCAGGTTCAAGCAATTCTCCTGCCTCAGCCTCCACAGTAGCTGGGACTACAGGCACCCACCACCACACCCAGCTAATTTTTTTTTTTTTTTTTGTATTTTTAGTAGAGACGAGGTTTCACTATGTTGGCCAGGCTGGTCTTGAACTCCTGACCTCGTGATCCGCCCTCCTCGGCCTCCCAAAGTGTTGGGATTACAGGTGTGAGCCACCATGCCCAGCCCTGTTTGTTTGTTTACAGGATCTCATTGTATTGCCCAGACTGGCCTCAAACTCTTGGGCTCAGGCGGGAGTCTGTTCTCGGAGTGTTGTTGAGTAGGGAGTCAATTTTATTTTCTCCACATAAAAAATCATTTTTGACCACATCATCTATTTTTGTTTTTAAATATTTTTAAAAAATTAACATATAAAGCAGTATTTATCATATACAAAATCTATGTTTTGAAACATATATACATTGTGGAATGCCTAAGTTTAGATAATTAAGATATGCGTTACCTCAGAAAGTTATCATTTTTGTGGTTAGAACATTTATGACTGCATCATCTATTGAACCATCTGCCCTGTATTCACTAATTTATGGTTCTAGCCTTTTCATATATTAACTTCCCACATATTTGTGCATCTGTCTCTGAGCTCTATTTTGCCCTATGTTTAATTTGTCTTTTTTTTTTTTTTTTTTGCCAATACTATTCTGATTTACCTTTCTGTGCCTCTGAGATATGTCAATATCAGGTACATTAGGTTTCCTCTTTCCTCTTCTTTTGAAAGATTGGTGCTATGGTTTGAATATGGTTGTTCCCACCAAAATTCACATTGAGGCTTAATCCTCAATGCAGCAGTGTTGGGAAGCCAGGCCCAGTGTGAGGTATTTGAGTAATGGGGGTGGAACCCTCATGAATAGACTACTGTCATCTCTCAGGAGTGAATGAGTTCTTGTTCTTGCAGGAATGGATTAGTTCCCCAAGAACGGATTGTTATAAAGCAAGGCTGCTCCTTGTGTTTGGTGTCTTTGCACATGCCTGCTCACCTTTCCACTTGACTCATTCAGTACAAGGCCTTCACCAGAAGCTGATACTAGATGCCAGTGCCATGCTCTTGGGACTTCCAGCCACCAGAATCATGAGCCAAATAACCCTTTTTTTTTTTTTTTTTTTTTTTTTTTTTAAATAAATTACCCAGTCTCGGGTATTCTGTTACAGCAACACTAAAAGGACTAAGACAGCTGGTTTAGCTACATGTGGGCTTTTATTCTTTTATGTAGGTATTGGAGTATGTTGATCCAGTTTGTTAAAGAAATACCACTATAATTTTGACTCGGTTGCTGTTCGATTTGTAGATTAATTTGGAGACCAATACATCGTTATAATATAGTCGTTTCACCCCGGAGCTTGGACTTTGTCTTTACCTAGTCAACTCACCTTGTCCTTTATTAGCATTTTAAAATGGGATTGATTATGTTCTTGTGAGTTTTTGGTTAACTTAGTTTTAAGACAGTTTATAGTTTTTATTGTTATTATTAATAAGATCCTGTTTATATTACATATTCCAAGTAGTTATTGTTGGTGTAGAGCAATGCTATTGATTTTTGTAGTTGGGTTGGCTGCATATCTGGCAACCATGATAAACTCTCATTAGTTTCAATAGTCTATTGAGACTGTTGATTTGTCTGGGTAGATGATCACAACACATAGAAATAATAACATTTTATCTCCATAATCCTTATAAATGCTCTCTTTTTTATAATAATTCCTTCTCTCTAGTGCTAGACTAAATAGTAGCTCTATTAATGAATATCCTTGTTTTGTTCTCCTTCCTATAGAAAATACAATTAAAATTCTTATATGCATAATGTTTGGTGTCTTTAGATTTTAGTATTTAATCTTTATTATGTTAAGGGGAGTTTCTTTTGATTTTCCTCACATCAGAGACTTTCAAAATATTAGAATAGAAATAGGACTTTATTCAGTACTTTTATTTTCCTTGAGATAACAATACATCTTTTTTTCTTAAGTCTGCAAATGTGCTATTATACTGGCCCACTTTGCACTTGAAAACTCCTTGCATTCCTGAGATACACCCAGTTTGTTCATGATATATTACGACCCTCAAAGATAATGCAAGTGTTCTTGCCACTGAATGCAGAACCACTGAAAATTAGGCCTACAAAAAGAGGGCCATAATTAATTTCAATCTTCTGTTTTATCCTCCATCTCTCTCCATATAAAGTTTCTAGGCACTTACATAAACTGCTTTTGCAAGTTTTTGAAACATTAAGACTCAGTTTTTAATAAAAATTATTTTTTCATTTTTAAATAATGAACATTTTGAAAAATTCAGAGAAGTAAGAAGAGGGAAAAAAGTCACTTAAATTACTGACATGAAAAGACAGGCTTACCAACATTTTAGTTCGGGTAGCTGCAACAATAAGATGCTTTTCCAGAAAAACTGTATTCAGATACCAGGTGGGCTGAATAGAAAAAAAAGCCAGAGACCAATACTAGCCACACCAATGGACCCTCTATTGTCAGCGTTTTCAGGGAGGGACTATTTGTTGAAGTCCCACAAAAGCCATGGGTATTACTCTTGTGTCTATTGTACAATATAAACAATGAGTAGTTCTTCCAGTTATGGTGCCAACTGGCTGAAGAGAGTTTGGGCTCAGCTTCAAGTCATATATCTCTTAATTACTTTAGTAGGGAATAAAAGAGACATGGATCAGCTGTAAGACCTGGTGTGAGCTTGGACTCTGGAATAGCATTGAAGCCCAGCCCAGAATATTTTGAAATATCTGCTAAAGAGGCAGAACATTATGACATCCTTTCTGCTTTTTGGCCAAGTGATTCAACAAGTTCTATTAAAACATGTTGGGCATTTTTATTCATTGGTGTTCTCTCAAGAATGGGCAATAATCCTCTGGGTCTGAATGTGGCTTACATCTTCTTATGAATAATTTTGCATGTGGTCTTAGTTTTTATGTGATATCACAGAGCTTGTGGTAGTGATTCTTTATAATCCCTGCAATTCATTTTGTGTATTTTCTTGCCTTGCTTTTTGTATATTGGAAGAAACCTGACCTCTCAGAATGTTCCACTCACTGACGTTCTCTGGCCCTGTGGCTTCTAGTTGGGTTTGTCCAGTGGGAAGTCTAATTGCATAATGTTCCATACCACTCCCCCTTCCCATCTTAAAGTGGTGTCAACAGAGGCTGTGTTCTTCTACTGATAGCCACAACTTCTATTTGGTGGGTATTTTATGGAAACATCATTCATTCTAGCTGCCCCTTCTGGCTTATGGATGTTAAATACCATAAGATGATGTGATTCGACCACATCATCTATTTTTATTTTTAAATATTTTTTAATTAACATACAAAGTGTATTTATCATATATGAAATCTATGTTTTGAAACATATACATTGTGGAATGGCTAAGTTTAGCTAATTAACAAATGCATTACCTCAGAAAGTTATCATTTTTGTTGTTAATGCCATGTTGTTAATGTTATCATTTTGATGTTAGTGCCAGCCCTTACTGGTTTGCCTAAATCTTGCCTTTACTTCTGTCAATAGTTATTTTAATAAACCCTCTTTATTAATTCCTTAGTGTGTCATGTATTTCATGGCAGGACCCTGGATGGAGACTTGTTGATAGGACCAGATACACTCCACATATTGGTATATTTTGGGGCTTTCAGGATACTATAAGCTTAGGACAAAACCTTCCTGCTCTTTGGAAGTAGGTCACAGCTTATTTGGCTTTGATGTCCTCCAAAAAGGTGTGTTGCAATTTAAAGATGACATTGAACATGAGGCATCCCTATGAGAGCTTGGAGAAACATCATTTTATATGATTCTTTAGTGTGCAGGTCCTTTGACCACTGAATATTGTATTTTAATTGTGAGCAACATAAGGGAACCTCATGGGTGCCCATTGTTTCGCTATGATTTTATTTTGAAACAAGCTAGAGAGTCCCTGGAGGTGTTGCTTTCTCTTTGTATTGACTTCTGACTTAATAGTAATAATAGTAATAATAAAAAAGTAATATTTTGTCAGGCATGACATATGTACCCTTGATAGTCTCACTGATGATATGAGAAAACTGAGGTCCAGAGAGAAGTAAAGAAACTTATTCAAGCTCACATGTGTAGTAAGCTGCTGAGCAGAGACTCATCCCAGTTCTATTTAATTTCAAATTCTGAACCTTGAACTTAGTTTCTTCTCCTTCCCCTTCTAGAATTCCCCCTGTTGATTTTATTTTACTCCTCTTCTCTCTCCCAGAAGCAAACTATAACATCAGAGACTCCACATGTATTAAAGTAGATATCAGAAGACATATTGAATTTCACTTTGATGACATTGTAGCTTTGAATAGTATTTATTACTTATGGATCCACATAAATCCTATTATAAAAGAAGAATTTTAGTTCTTTGTTTGCACCTCCATATCAATTTTCCAATTTGTTCTAGGTGGTTGACATTTAGAGTCAGAATCACTGGACTTCCTTGACCAGTGAGCCAAATATGGGTTCTGGTTGGATTAAGCCAATATGGGGCATGACCAGAGGTCAGAGACTTGGAAAAGAGTGATGTGTTAGTTCATTTTCACACTGCTATAAAGAACTACCTGATACTGGGTAATTTATAAACAAAAGAGGTTTAATTGACTCACAGTACAGCAGCCTGTACAGGAAGCATGGCTGGAGTGCCCTCAGGAAACATACAATCATGGCAGAAGGGCAAAGGGGAAGCAAGTACCTTTTTCACATGGCAAAGCAGGAGAGAGGGAGTGAAGGGGGAAATTGTACATACTTTTAAACAACCAGATCTCATGGGAAGTCACTATCATGAGAAGCAAGGGGGAAATCCACCCCCATGATCCAATCACCTCCCACCAGGCCCCTCCCTCAACACTGGGGATTACAAATCAACATGAGATTTGGGTGGGGACACAGAGCCAAATCATATCATTTTACCCCTGGTCCCTCCCAATCTCATGTCTTTCTCACATTTCAAAGCCAATTATGCCTTTCCAACAGTCTCCCAAAGTCTTAACTCATTCCAGCATTAACTCCAAAGTACAAGTCCAAAATGTCATCTGAGACAAGGGAAGTTCCTTCTGCCTATGAGGATGTAAAATAAAAAACAATTTAGTTAATTTCAACATAAAATGGGGGTACATGTACTGGGTAAATGCTCCCTTTCCAAAAGGGAGAAATTAGCTAAAACAAAGAGGCTACAGGCCCCATGCAATTCCCAAAGCCAGCAGGGCAGTCATTAAATCTTAAAGCTCTAAAATAATCTCCTTTGACTCCACGTCTGACACCCAGGACACACTGGTGAAAGGGTTGGGCTCCCAAGGCCTTAGGCAGCTCCGCCCCTGTGGTTCTGCAGGGTACAGCCCCTATGCCTGCTTTTACAGGCTGGTGTTGAGTACCCGTGGCTTTTCCAGGCACACAGTGAAAGCTGTTGATGAATCTACCATTCTGGGGTCTGGAGGACAGTGGCCCCCTTGTCACAGCTCCACTAGGCAGTGCCCCAGTGGAGACTCTGTGTGAAGGATCCAAACCCATATTTTCCCTCTACACTACCCTAGTAGAAGTTCTCCATGAGGGCTACACCACTGTGCAGACTTCTGCCTGGACATCCAAGCATTTCCATACATTCTCTGAAATCTAGTCGGAGGCTCTCAAACTTCAGCTCTTGCCTTTTGTGCACCTGCAGGCCCAACACCATGTGGAAGTTGCCAAGACTTGGGGCTTGCACCCTCTGAAGTACACAGCCTGAGGTGTACTTTGGCCCCTTTTAGCCATGGCTGGAACTGGAGTAGCTAGGATGAAGGACACCATGTCCTGAGGCTGCATAGAGCAGGGGTGTCCTGGGCCTGGCCCACAGAATTATTTTTCCCTTATAGGCCTCCAGGCCTGTGATAGGAGGGGCTACTGCAAAGGTCTCTGAAATGTCCTGGAAGCATTTCCCCCATTTTCTTGGCTATTAACATTCAGCTCCTTTTCACTTATGCAAATTTCTGCAGCCAGCTTGAGTTCTTTCCTACAAAATGAGTTTTTATTGTCTGCCACACGGCTGGGCTGCTAATTTTCCAAAATTTTATGCTCTGCTTCCCTTTTAAATATAAATTTTCTTTGTTTATGCAGATGAGCATAGGCTTCTAGAGACAGCCAGGCCACATCTTAAACACTGCTGCTTAGAAATTTCTTCTGCCGGATACCCTAAATCATCTCTGTCAAGCTCAAAGTTTAACAGATCCCCAGAGCAGGGGCACAATGCCAAGTCTCTTTGCTAAAGCATAGCAAGAGTGACTTTTACTCCAGCTCCCAATAAGTTCCTCATCTTCCTCTGAGACCTCCTCAGCCTGTACTTCATTGTCCATATCACTATCAGCATTTTGTTCAAAACCATCCAACAAATCTCTAGGAAAGTTCCAAACTTTCCCTCATCTTCCTGTCTTCTTCTGACCCCTGCAAACTGTTGCATTCTCTGCCCATTACCCATTACCCATTCTCTGCCCATTACCCATTACCCAGTTCCCAAGTTGCTTCCATATATTCAGATATCTTTTAGCAATGCCCTACTTCTCTGGTACCAATTTTCTATATTAGCTCGTTCTCACACTGCTGCAAGTAACCACACAAGACTTTGTAACCCATGAAGAAAAGAGGTCTAATTGACTCACAGTTCCAGAATTTGTATAGAACACATGGTTGGGGAAGCCTCAGGAAACTTGCAATCATGGTGGAAGGGTGAAGGGGAAGCAAGCACCTTCTTCACATGGTAGGGTGGGAGAGAGAGAGTAAAGGGGTAAGTGCTACACACTATTTTTTTGAGATGGAGTCTTGCTCTGTTGCCCAGGCTGGAGTGGAGTGGCAGAATCTTGGCTCACTGCAGCCTCTGCCTCCCAGGTTCAAGCAATTCTTGTGTCTCAGCCCCCTAAGTAGCTGAGACTACAGGTGCACGCCACCACATCTGGCTAATTTTTGCATTTTTAGTAGAGGCAGGGTTTTGCCATGTTGGCCAGGCTGGTCTCAAACTCCTGACCTTAGGTGATCCACCCACCTTGGCTTCCCAAAATGCTGGGGTTACAGGTGTGAGCCACTGCACCCACCCTTACACACTTTTAAACAACCATGTCTTGTGAGAATTCACTCACTATCATGAGAACAGCAAGAGAGAAATCTGTCCCCATGATCCAGTTACCTCCCCCAGGTTCCTCCCCCTACACTGGGGATTATAATTCAACATGAGATTTGGGTGAGGACACAGAGCCAAACCATATCAAGTAAAATTCATGGTTCCATGAGCTTCATCTCATCAGGACCTCATGTTTCCAATGAATGAATTTCTCTACTTCAGGCCATAGCTCCTGTTGGGTGGCCCTTTTTTTTAAGGGAGCCTGAAGATTCTAGTATTTGTCCCTTCCTCTTGCTCCTTTGTGCTTAGGGCTAGTGACAGATCCCCATTGTTGCTACCCTTGGACCTACCCTCCACTCAGGGAATAGGTCTTCATAACACTGCCTCCATTGCCCCATTGACTGTGACAGTGGGTTCTTGCCATGATGTTCAGGTGAGAAAATCGTATGATTTGCCTAAAGTTAAAAAAATGAGTTAATGAAAGAATAAAACCCAGATTCCAGAATTACTTTTGACTCTTGAAAGAAAGATTGAAGTGGTCTAGCCAACCTTAAAGAATCTCATGGGGAGAAATAAAGTCAAAAATCTCACCTGAAGACCAACAAACATTCTGCAGTGCTCCAGCCAGCTTCTGAAGTATCTATCTCCTGTCCAGTTCCTTTAAAAGTCTCAGAGAACCACCAAAGTAAGCTGAGCTGATGACCTTGGAACTCTTTTAGACAGTCAGCTATAGAGTTGACACCAAATCTTACCCATGGAAAAACAGAGCTTTAATACTATTTTGATCATAAATAGATTTCCCCTGTTCTCACTAAAACTCTTCAGTGTTCTAGTTATACTCTCAGTAAAAGAAAGAATCTATTTATCCTTGGCTTAGCGAAATTACCACCTTTTCATGATTCATAGCTGCATAAATAATTTTTAACCATAAAAGCAATGTGATTTGGATTGAAGATTTTTAGAGCGCAGCTCAGGAATGGAAAACCTGTTGTCACAGGGCCACAATCTCATTCTCAATACATGTGAGGTGGAAAATGCCACTGTCGCTTCTCTTGATCCTGTGATTAAGGGTAATAATGTGTCATTTGGAAGATCTGAAGTGAAGAATAATGCACTTGTAAAAATGGTAGTTTGAAAGAAGATATTCATGACGAGCCCCAGCTCTTTCCTCTGATTAAGCTGTTCATTCTGTGCACATAGCAAAACTGTCCCCATGTGTCCCCATGCTGAAGAATCATGGGTATGGGGTCATCTCAGCTAGTTTGCTGCAGGAGCATCTGATGGGGGAGTAAAATGCTCATCTTTCCTGCTTGAACACCTCATATTCTCTTAGACAAATTTGCTTGGAGCTCCCTGAATGTGATTAGTGATGGTGGTTGGGAGTACATCCTTCCCTCCTCCATAGGGAAAAGCCACCACTCTCCGATAGGTGGATAATGTGGAAGGACTCTCATGCTTGGCCCTTGGTAAATCTCTGCTTTTGTGGGCTGGGGAGTAGGAAAGGGCAGCAGGAGCATGGTTGCAGTGATGTAGACCTGAAAGATGAACCTGGCTGTGTGTTTTGTGCATTGTTTAGAAAGTGGGATACTCGAAGCTACCTTGCAATAAAACTGGCTAGGTGCTTGGTAGTTCTTACAGCTCATCTTTTTATCTTAAAGAGGCACAATATTTTAACCATCTTAGACAAATAAGAACCCCTGTAATCCTTTCAAGGAGGCAGCATTAGTAACCTTTGATAACTGATGTTAACATTTTATCACTACTGTCAGGAGGATCCAACACAGTCCCAATCTATTTCCTTCAGGTTACAGCATAAGCCCCTCCTTTTTCCTTCTCAGTGGCAACAGATCCACCCATGTCTACATGCCAGTCTATCACTCTTATAAATGTGGAGCTAGCTGCTCCTTAACTCATCCTAGGAACCCACTCTTCTTCCCTTCTCTCCATTCCTCCTTCCTTTCTTCCTTTCTTCTTCTTCTTCTTTTTTAGTTTATTAGTCCTGAATTTTTGAGTAAATGCATTTTGTGAGTGCATAGGTACTGTGCTAACATGTTATATGATTTTAAGGTATGAGTGAGACTTCTATCTTTTATTTCACGAATGACTTCTGAGATATCCAAGGCAAATACAGACACTTCCACCTTAACAGAATCTCCTCAGACATGGATCCTTGCTTGGAAGATCTGATTTGTTTGTGAGTGTCTGGGAACTTGCAAAGTTTGTTACGTATTTTGGGAGAAAAATCAGATTTGAAAAATATAAAGAGGGAGATAGTGAGGGAAAATATAAATCCAAGTTCTCTTCAGGAAAATTTCAGAATGGGAGAGGAGAGGGTTGAAGGTTTATATTTGGGAGGTAATTTAATGGCCTTGGTTGGACACACTTGTGCAGGTATAACATCTTGCATCGTGTGAACCAGTCACTGGGAGTGGTGGTGGAAAGGCTGATTTAGATGTGAAACAAGAGGCTTATACCAGTTGCCAACATAAACCAAATAACTTTAATATCAAACCATCTAAAGTCAGATAAAGATCACTGAAGAGACATGGGAAAAAATCAGGGAAAGTTTCATACAGTCAGTGGCATTTGATGTTGGGTCTTTAAGTCAAGTTTGGATCTGGAGAGATGGAGGTGGGAAGGGAGGGGAGGAAAGATGAAACTTCCACAAAAATGGGAAAACATGAGCCAGGTACACATGGAGATAATGGATTGTTCTGGTTCGATAAAATTAACCTGTTGCATGGCCTCTAATTCTCAGAAGGAAGTTAGAAGGAAATCATCCAGGAAATCTGTATGATGAGATCATTAAACATTTCAGTGAAAAATACCCTTGCAATTAATTTCATTTGCAACATGCATGCTTATGAATCACTATATTTGTTGGGATGTTATGAAAAGGTCAAAATGAATTATATATTTGTTATGATTAGCTCAACATTCTAGCTGTCATTTGTTATTTTGGTTCCCTTGAGACAATGAAGACTCAGTTCTTATCCCTACATTGGAGTTTTGAGTGTCATTTTTTTAGAACTTTAATGAAAATGTTTCTTTTATCACTGTAATTTGGTTTATTATGCTTAATGCCACCAAATTACTTTTAAATCTTGGCATGGCTTTATTAAAAATGATCTCATTTTAATTTGCTGCTCTAGATACAGAATTCATCATGAAGACAACACAAACAGCTGCCTCTTCAGAGATGTTCTGAAAGTAGCTTAATGAGAAATCCACAAGTACTGAAGACATTATGAATGCATTCCAAATTCTCTCTAATGTTGGTTACCTGAAAATCTTTATGTTTTGTGTGTGTGTGCTTTCTTTTCCAGAAATTGCTAGACTTTCCTGGTCTCTGACTGGAGAATTTACCAGTATGTATTTCCTGTGGGCAGATGGAGATGCAAATCTGAGGAAAACTCAATGACATCCACAATCATGGTCTATAAAAATCAAGTGTCTCAACAAAGCATCAGATTTGAAACGTTACCTATTTAATTCTAATATTATCAAAGGCAGGGACTATATTTTGTTCAAAATCTGTGGCAGGTGTCTGTGTGGCACTTGCTTAAGGGGTTGTCCATTCTTTATTCAGTAAGTCTGCATTTATTGTGTACTGTATGCAAGAGGATGAACAATTTATATAGAGTGATTGGAATTTAAAAGGAATATTTGGATTAACCCTTCTAGAAGTTTATAATCAGCTGGAAGTTTACAATATAATAGTCTCCTATGAGACCGTTGGAAACAGTAAAGTTTGAGACACTCACTGGAATTATCACATCATGACATCCATATGACTTGAATGGCTCACTTTAGGAATGAGAAGTAATAAATCAATAGCACAACTATTCCGAAGACTAAGTGGTGGGCACTTTATTTTATTAAATATTAAGGTTAGAAATGACATTTTCCTACTTAAGCACCTTGGCAATGCACTGGTATGCTTAAATATTGTATCGAGGAAACACTGATGGCTATCTCTCCATCTATTTTACTAAGTGATGGTGGTAGGCAACTAATTACCCTATGGATAGTTCTTTTAAAATTGAGTCAAAATTTGCATTAAAACAAAAAAAATATTGTAACATGCCTTAGTTAAGAACCCGTGCTCTGGACTCTGACAGATTGAAGTCAGAATCTTGTTCTTTAACCAACAGGCAGTCTGTCCTTGGGTTAGCTACTAATGTCTTCTCTTGCAGTTTCTTTTTGTGTAATGCAGATGATAATGCAGAGTGCCAGCCTCATACACTGAGGCTGAGAGGACACTCGAGATCATGTATGCCCAGGGTCTCCATAGGTTTGGTCAATGCTACTTGGTCTCTAAGGGTTAGTAGGGAGTGGGGTCTGGTTTTGATGCTGTGGCGGGGCAGGGGGTAGTGTTGTACCATTCGCCACTTTATAGTTAAGTGATCTTGGACAAGCTATCTAACCTCTCGGAACCTCAGTTTTTAAAAATATAATATTTACCTTAGGGTTTCTATGAGCATTACATGAGCAAATGTGAAGGACACGCAAAGCACTTGGATTTAGTACATCCTTGTTAAATGATAGCTGAAATTACAGTTGTTAATGTTACCTGATGATGTGAGCTTGATAATTTACTGAGAGTGTATCCCAAATGAGACTAAGGCAATGTATTTTCTCTTTTTGTATATAGAAGATACATATACATTTTTATATATGTATATATTTCTCATAAAGTCCAGATGAAATGTCAAGGTTGGTCTGACTCCTCGGGGTCATCCTGATTACTGTGATGCAGGGTGGAGGTCCCTTGCCTTCTGTTGGCTCCTTTGGATTGGACCCCTATTTTTTCATCAGTGAAGGTTTCAACTTTATTAGTAGAACTCTGTGGCTGCCAAGAAGAGAAAGCTAGGGACTAATGAGTAAAATGTCTTATGATTTATTGTCCAAATCAGGACACTTTTGTGAGAGAAAATAGTGTTTAACCTATAGACCTTGATTTCAGGCTTAATGCCTAATGTTCTGGGCAAACTAGAATGTCTGGTTACTCTCCCAAAAAAGAAAAATGGATGGGAAATGGGGAGGGAAAAGAAGGAAGAAGGATACAACTGTAAACAAACAAACAAACACATCAGACAATACCTGCACACAAATCCATTTTGAAGTCTCCATTTACCAAGCAGTCTCTCTAAAATGGAAGAAGCTTCTCTAATTGGATATTTTGTGGGTAAATCTTAAACACAAGTCTCTCCAGTGCACCTGTGACATGACTAAGAGTGCACTCACCTACAAAGCCAGCCTGCTTGTTTCTGGATTTCTAGATGTTCACATGTCAGGATGGTTTAATGCTGGTCATTTCACTCCCAAGGCTTATGGGACTTTGAGTTATTACTTGTAAACACAGGAGGTCTGTCTCCACTCTGGTGGATTTACTGTTCCTATTTCCCTCTGTTTCTTTCTTCCACACTGTCATTATTTTAAAAATACAGTCTAACCAGAAAAAGTTCCCCTTCCTATACAGAACTAGACCTGAACAAAACTGAGAACTTAGTGTACCTTTGAGGTCCCAGCCTCTCCCTTCATTACTTCTTCCACACATCCATAGGAGCTTTCTCCGGACATTCCATTACCTTGCTTGCTCTAGCCCTGCATACATTTGTCACTTTTTCCTTTGGACATCCTTGACCAGTTAATGCTTGTTCTCTTCTCATTCTTCTAGGCTGGAGGCATCAACTAAGCAGATTGTCACTTGGGCTTCCTTCAGTCAATGCTCCAATTTTTACTCAACCATGGCCTCTCTGATGTTGGGGAACATCTGGTGGGCCATACATTTTAGAAAAGGTAGATTTTATGTTTCTTTAAAAATCCCACTACAAGGATAGCTCCCAGAGCTACCTTTCCCTGAGCTGATGCTGTTACCCTTTACATTATTCCTTCTTTGAAACAACAATTTCAGCAGATTCTTGACTAAGAACCCATGTAGTCCTTTTGTTGAAGGCAAAGGGTTAAATTAAAGCCATAGCTGCTGAGATAGAGGGGGAAAAAGCTAGTTAGTTCTATTTTATCTTCATCTAGTTTTCTTTAAGCTACTTTCTCCTTATTTCTGTCTTCCTGCAGCTTCTTTTAGGCTAAGAATAAAAAACTTTGAGCCCTGCACTATATCTCCAACTCTGTGGGGTCTTGCCTTTTCTCCTACAATAAAGATGAAGCCCAGATTCGAAATCTGAAAGGAGAATAAATCTTAACTGTGAACATCATCTTTCAAAACAGCTGACCTCCATTTGTTTCCCTGAATATCTCACCTGGGCAATCTTTTTCTTTTAGCACTAAGAAATTGCTGAAGGAAGAAATGTTAAATCTAGTTTTTAATTAACTTCGCCATTGATTTCTACATAACTCTGTATGAGTCACTGTTCTTTAGTGAAAGGGATGAAAATCTCCAAGGTTAATGGTTGTTACCAGGAATTTTTCTGGACTGGGTTCCAGATACTCTACACTTTCTTCTCTCCTCTGAACTCATTAGCTTACTCTCTTCTTCACCCTAAAACACAAAGATGCACACAGAAACGTAGGTACATTTGTATGTGTCAAATGTACTTTCAGAATGAAAATATCAGGGAGAAAGGAAGGTGATTATGCATTACATTTAATAGTTGACATTAAAAAAGTCCTGTTCTACAGTTTTTCAATATATTTTTAATGAAGTTATTTATAGCAAGTGTTATATGTATTGAATGAAAATTTAGTTATGTATAAGTGAAGACGAAAGAGGCTGGTGGATCTTAAAATATCCATAAACCAGATTGATATACTATATATTTTAGATATTAGAGGTTGATGTACTTCTTTTCTCACAAATTTCTGTAATAGTATGTGAAAAGATAGAGTAATATTTTCTAAAATAAGAGAAAAATTTAAAAATGGGAGAAAAATATTAGAAAATGTAAAATAGAATGCCTTGGATATAATTTTTAGTGAAGTGAATAAACTTTGTATTTCCTCCTTCTGATATGTTATCATTCTAGACCATCTTTAGCTGGTCAGATTCATCATACTCCAATTTATAAATGTTTAATTTAAGTCTTCTAATGCATTTTAATGAACGATTTTCTTCTATTTGTTGTCAATAAAAATTCTGATTGATATGAAATCTGAATATTGATTACAATCAAGCAAAACCTTTGTCCAATATCTGTTATTGTTATTGCCATTTTTAAGATCATTATTTTTCCCTTTCATGTCTGAAAATATTTTTGTACTTTGAAGGACTAGATTAAGTTTCCTAGAGATGTAGAATAATCCTGAAGAAACCAACCAGTTGTATGAAATACTGACTAATACCTATTTCTTTCCATTATTTCCCAACACAATGAATGCCACCTCAATTTTCCAGTTAAGCTCTCCTCCCACCTCCCTGAATCCTGGAATTTTCCTTTGAGACCACTTTCTGAATCCATGGCTGTTCGGATTGTGCTTCAAAATTACCTCCTTCATCTGGTGGTCTCTCTGCTTTTGGTCTGGTGCAGTTACTGAAAGAATATTTTGGGTGACCTCCCTCTAGTCTCCCTTCTGGTCTTCTTTCCTTCAATTCTTCCTCTACCCTCAGCCAGAGTGACTGCTACCTATCAGGCCTATTGGACTTACTTGCATTTTATATTTTAGCTACACCAAACTCATTTTTCCTCTAACATAATAGCCCTATTCTCTCTTATTTCCATGCCTTCTAATATGCCGCGTCCTCAGCCTGGCTCCTTTCACCTGATAATATCTGAGTGAACCTGCAAATCTTCAGTTAGCTATTCCCTTCTCCAGGAAGCCCTTCTTGACCCAGCCCCAGGTTAAATACTTCTGAGGGCTCCTTCAGTTTTGGACTTCCTCTGAGGAAGTTCTAATCCTGCTTTGAGTAATATACTGTTTTTCATCTTTGTTTTATAATTAATTATGTGAGAACAGGGACTGATATGGTTTGGCTGTGTCCCCACCTAAATCTCATCTTGAATTTTAGCTCCCATAATTCCCACGTGTTGTAGGAGGAATTTGGCGGGAGATAATTGAATCATGGCGGCGGTTTCCTCCATACTATTCTTGTGGTAGTGAATAATTCTCATGAGATCTGATGGTTTTATAAGGGGTTTCCTGTTTTGCTTGGCTCTCATTCTCTCTTGCCTGCCACCATGTAAGATGTGCCTTTCACCTTCTGCCATGATTGTGAAGCCTCCCCAGCCATATGGAACAGTGAGTCCATTAAACCTCTTTTTCTTTATAAATTACCCAGTCTTGGGTATGTCTGTCAGCAGCATGAAAATGAACTAATACAGGGACCATATCTGTTTTCTTCAGTATGGGACCCCCAGAACCTAGAATGGTGCCTAGAATGTGGCGAACACCTTTACTTTTTGAATGTATTTTTGCTTTCTGGTATCCTTTTCCAGCGCACTTCACTAATGTTCTGAGTATCATTTAAACTATTTATAAAATTAGACTTTAGAACACAAAGATAAATTGGTTCACATAGTAACTAGGTAACTTGGTATAAACTAAAAGTAATTTTTAAAACTCAGCCCAAAATGACTATGTTTGTCTAAACCAATAAGAAGAATTTTCAAAATAGCAAACTGCACAACTGACGACATACAGCAAACACACCTTTGCCAATGGGAGCAAGTAATGGGGAACAAACCAAGCTCAACTTGTTCTGGAAAAAAACCCTGTTGTTTTATTATTATTTAGAAAGCACACACAACAATTTATTGGGGAAAAAGAAAAAATGCAAAATAATTGAGCATACAAATTTATTTTAAAAGAACTGGTGTCACTTCCCAAGTCATATCTATGTGAGCTTTTTAAACTTTTGTATTTCTTATATCTGTATTCATAATCAGAGTTATGGATATAGATATATGGAAACACATCACACACTCCTCAGAAATCCTTTCTCCAAAAATCTGTAGGGAATGCATCCTTTTTCTTCCTACAGGCGTTTCCTTGGATCACGCCACAGTCTCTTTTCTCTGAGTTCGTCTCTGATGACAAGTAAGGATACTTGTGAAGGAAGATTTCCCCTTAGTTCTTGACTTTTTCTTTATTTTTTTCTGATTCTTCAGTGAGATTCCCAGTTCTTCCATGATAGCGTTGAAAGAGAGACACTAGGGAACATGAGATACAGACCATCAGCTTAATTAAGCCTATCGCATGTGCCGTTGACCTGCCTCTTGCCTAGGTATTTATGAACACAAGATATTGGCTTGAAGGCAGCTCTGTCACAATTGGCCAGTTCCCATCACCTCCTCCTCCACCCGCTGGCCACCCACCTTTTCTAATCGGGGAAACTGAGATGGCAAGTTAGCTGGGCAAACTTTGGGATTTCATTCACAAATGCAGTAGTATAAAACTACCCAGTTAAAGCAAACTCAGGGCTCTCAAAATAGATAACTTACCTTTGCTGAGACACCAAAATAGAGTTAAATTAAGTCATTTCCCCCACTGAGATGATCCAAACATTGATAGGATTATCAAGGCATACGGACACTTCAGTAATGCTATAGAAAATGAACAAACCTTCTCTACACCAAGGCTTTGTTTTTTTCTCCCATGAAACCTTACTTTGTTCCTAAAATAAAATCTAATTCTTGATGACTTTCCTTTCTGATAAAAAAAAAAGAAAAAAAAACAATTTTAAATTGTACATTTTCTCCAAAAAACAGAGATTCTGGCAGCAGCAATGATGCAGCTGTGGTCGAAATGAAAAATAATGTGGTACTGAACTTCACAGCAAAAACGATGGCATAATACAAAAGAAAATGGAAAACGGAATTATGATTAAAAAATGTTCTACATATACAGACAATATATATAATCTGCATTGCAATTATGCTATATCTGTTCACATGCATAGTACATAAATGGACCAATAAAACATAATTTGCTGTCATTTTTCTAGCCAAGATAAGACCTTTGAGTGAAAAATTCCTGCTCAGAGAAATTTCTATAATGTCCTGGTTAGAGAAATTTCTAAAAAGTAGTTTTCTTTTTGATGAGGTCACTCTTAAAACATCCTCTAGTGATATGAGCCAGCACAGGAGGACAAAGGCAGCATGATTCCACTTATATGAAACATCTAAAATAGTCAAAGTCATGAAAACAGAGAGGAGAATGGTAGTTGCCAAAGGCTGGGAGGAAGGGAAATGGGGGCAGTTGCTGCTCAAGGGGATATAAGGTTTCAATTATGCAAGATAAATAAGTTCTGGAGATCTTCTGTACAACATTGTGCCTATAGTTAATATCGTCTTGAACACTTAGACATTTTTAAGCGGTTAGATCTCAAGTGTTTTTATCACAATAAAAAAAAAATCCTCTAAAAACCATAGCCTTTGGTAAAGGTTATAGAAGTGCAAGCATACTTTTTTAACCTTAGCACACAAAATGGATATGGTTGAAAGTCAAATGACAGTGTGCCACCAGGTAATGTGTCTAAGTTGTAACTGCCTTACGGGAAGAAATTTGTGTTCTATGTTTGCAAAGTACTAAACATCTAGTGTGTTTCTTGTGTATCAGCATGCAACATGTGTATTTGAAAATGTTCGTTTTGTTCCAAAAATAACTTGATGTAGTTTAGAGAAGTAGTAGTTTTAATTTTTCTATTTTTAAATTTTTTCTACTTGATTTCAAAACCAGGCCTAGAATTTAGGTTCTAGGTGTAAACTATTGGCCTATCAGATGTATGTCTCTTAAAAAACTGGTTCTTTGAATAAAACTTTTTATCTCTTTTAAGCATAAGTGTTTATAGGATTTGAATTTCACTTCCATTTTCCTGTAATACAGAAACATAAAAACTCATGTCATGTGTGCTAATTTTCTTTCAAACAGTAAGTTGTGGCTTCAGTGAATTGGGAGGGGTGTCATGCCACACAAAGAAAAACGTCAGAAAGTTTTTTATGAACTATACTTAAAAAATGTTATAGCAAGTACAGATGCTTCTCACTTACTATGGGGTTGTGTCTCAATACACACAATGTATGCTGAAGATATTAAGGAGAAATTGCATTTAATACACCTAACTTACAGTTTAGCCTAGCTTACCTTATACACACATGGAACACTTACACTAGCCTACAGTTGGGCAAAATTATCTATCCAGCCCATTTTATAATACAGTGTTGACTCTGTCATATAATTTGTTTATTGAATACCGTGCTGAAAGTAAAACACAGAATGGTTGTATGGGCACTTAAAGTATGGTTTGTCTAGTCTGTGTATCACTTCCGTTCCACTGCAAAGTCAAAAAATTGTAAGTCAAAACATCATGTCTGTATATCATGAATGAAATATAATAATTTGTTAACATTACACCATATAAAGCTTGTGTGTTGCTACTAAGAGCAAATTAATATTTTATAGTGTAATTGTGATATATAGTATTGTATCAGAGTTTTGCAAACTTTGCTCAGAAATTTATTTCAATGGAAGAAATATTTTTGGCATTAAAATGGAAGGAACGAAAGGAGGAAAGAAAAGAGTGTCAAGAAGTTTGCAAACTTTATTACATATTATACCCTTTATATAGATGGGGAAATTTACTATTGGAGACATTAAGTAACTTACCCAAGAAAAAGAGCTTGCATTTGAACTCAGTATATCTGGACTGCCCAAACCAAGAGCTTTCATGAGAAATCATCTACACATTACCTTTTAAAAATATTTTTTATCACTATAGATAGCTTTTTGTGAATTTTCCCAAAAACCATTATGTTAAGAAATTCCAATCTTTCTGCTTTACTTGAACTCTCAAGCATTTGATTTTAGGCATGTCACTTCATTTTACATTGAAATCGCCCAAATGAATCTCTGACTGTGACTTGACACACACAGAGGAAGGTCTCATTGAAACCTCTTTTCCCTATTTTGGGTAGAAGAGTGGTCATAGATATTACCTGACAATCTGTTTCAACTAAGTTTATTTTTTCAAAAAAGGAACTCCTCCCCCAGATTTTAGACTGCCTTAAAGTACAACAAACATCTTTACTCTTGACTAACTCCAAGTATTTATTTCTTGCTGCTTGTGTGAGAGCAAATATAAACATAGTTTTATCAGTGGGCGGCTTTCTTGGTCTTTGGTTGCAAACAATGATTTCTTTTTGATTCTCACTTTGTCTCTGACTGTTGAAAAGAAAATGGCAAGATATTGGGGCTGACCTTTCTGCCTCCAAGTTTTTGCTGTAGTCACAAGGAAAGGTGACCTTTAAGGCCTCTCCCAGCCATGAGCTTGAGTAAACCACACATTCTTGGATCCACAGGAAATGAAATTGTGAAGGTCATCTTTCAGCCCAGAGTGGCTTGGGAGGGGCTCATATTCATTAATTAATTTGCCTTTTATGATCTCAGAATTAAGGATACATATAAAGATTGAGCTTCTGAACTGGGACCAAAATGACTGTAGCTTTCTAAAACTTCTGTTTGTAGGCTTGGGTTTTTCATATTCACAGAGCCATAGAAACATTATTTTAAAGTATGTTGGTTTAAATTCCTAAATCCTACTTTCATGAGAAAGTATCAAACATAATGGCATTCAGCTAGCTGCCTTACTCAAGACGTACTGCAAAAGGAGGCGGGATACTCAGGTAGTATTTTCTGG
Source organism: Homo sapiens (assembly GCF_000001405.40). NCBI lineage: Eukaryota > Metazoa > Chordata > Mammalia > Primates > Hominidae > Homo > Homo sapiens. The sequence continues at coordinate 29,540,871 of NC_000021.9, forward strand.
TACTTTGCATACTGGAAAGTCCTCCAGTAGCCTGGATCTGGGGCCTGGATTAAAAATGTGATGGAGTTCACATTTCTAATAAATCTACACTTGCACTTGATTTTTTTTTTTTTTTTTTGACAGAGTCTCACTCTGTCACCAGGCTGGAGTGCAGTGGTGCCAACTTGGCTCACTGCAACTTCTGTCTCCTGTGTTCAAGCGATTCTCCTGCCTCAGCCTCCCGAGTAGCTGGGACTACAGGTGCGCGCCACCACACGCGGCTAATTTTTGTATTTTTAGTAGAGATGTGGTTTCACCACGTTGGCCGGGATGGTCTTGATCTCCTGACCTCATGATCCACCCCCCTTGGCCTTGCAAAGTGCTGGGATTACAGGCGTAAGCCACCGTGTCCGGCCTACAAGTGACTTTTAATTACAGTTTAGAATTGGTGCCTGGTATCAGAATGAGTTTTAATTTCAGCTATACTTCCTAGTAGCCAGGTTACACCGGGCAAGGTATTTATTTTCTCTTGGACTCAGTTTCCTTATGTATAAAGTGAGACAATAGTAGAATCATTTTCATAGAACTATTATGATAATTCAATGTACTGTTATATGCAAAACAGTCCAATGGGTGGCATATTTTAAGTATGCTCTTTCTTTAAAATAAAGTTTTATATACCATAGTATATATTTTAACTCTATGCCATTCATTGCACTCACGGTCTTTTTTTTTTTTTTTTTTTTTGTGGGAGAGATACAATGAAAAGGTTGATGGTTCTTTAATTTGAGCCATCTGATGCACATCTGTGCAGCAATTCCTTTGAGTTGCTTATACTAGTGTTTTAGTTAAAATAGTTCCCATAGGTGTTAAAACATAAATTTTCAATGCCTATTACCACTTCTTTTGCCCAGTCCATGTTTCTGTGTCTATGTAGTTGTAGGCATTATGACAACTTGTATTGTGCTTTATACATAGGCACTCCAACATCAGAAGGAAATAAAAGCTCACCACAGTCCCCGGCAATTTAAAAATTCCATCTCTGTGCTTATGAACCATCTATTAATAAATGAACCTTTATAATAATGTCTGATAGAAAAATTCATTTACAAATGAATTTATAGTAATAAAGTATGTTCTTGCCATTTATGCTGTTTCTGACATTATCCAAAAATAATGTAGAGTGTGTGTGTGTGTGTGTGTGTGACCTTTCCTTTAGAGGAAAGGAAATGGAGAAACACAAGTTAGTCTAGTAGAGATTGAAATAGAAACTTCAACTAAAACTCTTGGCTTTAGAAGGAGAGAGATTTGCTTGTTTATTTCAGTTTTGCAGAAAGTTATTTCTCTACTCTGATCCCTCCATGCTTGTGGTGTGTCCCTAAGGACCCCCTTTTCTTTCATATTCTGTCTTCTTTGCTTTCTTTTACCTTCCCTTTTGGTTTGTTTCTTTTTTAATTGCTGGCTTCATGGCACCTCCTTTGAATTAACCTCAAATGTTTGATTTCTTGAAGCTTGTGTGAGCCTGAATATAAATTATATCTTCTCTTTACACCTTTATCCTTCCGTTGCAAATGTTGCCCTGGATGGGGTGGGAGGGACTAATAAAGTTCTATTTGTTTTGTACCTAAAATACTCTGCCTCACGAAGAATGATTCAGGGGAAAATAACAATTTTTTTAAGTTATAGATAAAGCTCTGGGCAAGAATTGGATTTGAGTTTGCAGTATTCAAAAAACTAGACTATATGGAATTGACTTTCATACTGGTTGCAAACTTGACATCAGATTGTGAATGTCAGATTGATTTCTCATTGTAGATTTAGCATTTATACATTCACATCTTTCATTCATTGGTAGGTATAGGTAAACATTTCAGAGAACTGCTTTGGATGCTTATACCCTTGAGGATTTTTCTGAGGAATTATTTTTCAGAAGCTCTGGCCTAGCCAATAATACAATACAAATCTTACATTTTGTATAGGTTTCTCCCTTTAATAGGCTCCTTATTCAAAGGCACTTGAAGTGCTCTGTGACACAGTCTGATAAATTTTCACATTACACATGGAAGAAAAAGGATGTAGGAAAAAGGAAGAAAGAGGATATTATTGTCATTGTATAGATGTAAAACCTTGCATTTTATGTATAGACCTACCATAAGTTGAAAGCAAGCTATGATTTGGAGTATTTTTATAAAGACAATTTCAGTAAAATGTAGACTATTAAAGAAATAGTTTCCTGAAAAATAATGGGATTATTATTACTATTTTTTTTTGTCTTGGTCAAATTCCTGCTGTAGTTCTGTGGAGCCAGTGTCTCAATGATTATATTTTTTAAAGAAAGACAAAAACTTCACTTCCTTAACATTTTTTAACTCTAAGCTCTAGTGTAGGAGCAAACCTAGGATGGTTTGAGGATACAGTCAGGAAAGTTTTTAAGGAATAGGAACAGAAGAATTGTATTTAGGGATTTGCAACATAGAGACTTGTACAGTCTGGTCACCTATCTGTCCACAGATTTCACTCCCTTCCAAGAGAATTAATGATCTAAGAGCAGAGGTCAGGCTTTAATCATCTCTCACTAATTATGTGAAGGCAGGTGGAAGGAGATTTTTGGAGTAGTTTTATGTGTACTACCCTTGTGGGAAGTTTTTGCATTCCAGAACTGAGGATTTGGGCAGCATTTCCTGTGGTTTGATCCATTTTCTGAGCGCATTCACAACCCATGGGCCATCTTTTATGCACCCATCCTTGGAATTTAAAAAAAGTGAATCCTAGAGGTTGAGTGTTGATCACCATATTAGCTTTTAGAATAGTGGTTATGTTGATTTGTGCCTGAGAGCTAATGAGAAAGCTGATTCTCATCTCCTGGGTCCGTGTAAAGAATGTTGGGGTGAAGGAAGTCTAGCCACTGAAATAAAATGTACAAGTGTGGTCGCCCATACTAATCTCCACCTGTGACCCAGCAGCCACGTCTTGCCTGGCCCGTTTTCTTGCAACTTTAAAGCTTTAAACTGGCTCCCCATGGGAAATGACTCTCGAAAGCCCCTGTCTTCCTTTCCTTTGGCTACAGCATGTAGACTTCATGAACTCCTTTTTCCCGTGTTTGCTAATGTCATGTTTTCATTACCTCCATGTTGTCTCTTCTGCTCTATTTAATTTTTGTTCCCACACCTGGGACCTGATGCCAACATCCTTACCATCTCAGATCCTAGATTTAAGTTTCTCTGTTTGCATGAACGCATGCCCTAGAATTCCTTGTTCTCCTAAATGAGCTCTTTAAACCATAAAAATATACCTATGAGGGTCACAGGGTTACTCCATGACATCAGATACACAAGTGTCTTCCTCCTGTTGTTCATCTTTATTTAAAGATTTCATTTAGAAACCTTATTCTCTCAACAGAAAAATAGTCTATTTTTAAATGGCATGCACAATCCATAGGGATTCTTAATTTTAAAAAATGATCCTTAAAAAATTTTGCACATGGGGTGGCCACGCAGGGCTACCCAGTGCACATTCCTGACAAGTAGGGGATGTGTAAGTTCATCCTCCGCTAACGTTAGGGATAATGTCATGGAAAACTTTGAAAAGTGGAGTTAACATTGAGGCCCTGTAATATTTTGATATTACTCTGTGTGCTTTTTTCCAGTTCTTCTGAATCCCAGTCCTTTTTCTCACTTTTCAAGTTACAGCAAGTGCTTTTATATGCATTATCTTCAGGGTAGGGATGATATAGAAAGAAAAAAGACTCAAATTTGGAGCTTTGAGCTTTTTAAATGGACTTTTGTGGATCTGTAGAAGACGCTGCAGTCTTTGAAGCTATTAATTACAACAGTCAGGTGTTTGAAACAAGGAAAAGGCAGGTACTTTGAATTGTAAAAGTTTGACATTAAATATCAAGCTTAGAGGCTTCAGGACTCAGCCTATAGGACTGAGGATGGAGTGTAAAGAAAGGGTTGTCTCGTAGCTGCTCTCAAGGAGAAAAGTTCAATCAGGTGATGTGAGAATCTTGACCAAAGCCTAGATGCCAAGGGAGATCTGAGGAGGGGCACCTCCTCTGCCTTCTCTGGGGGCAAACTCCCATGCAGCCTGATAGGTGTGGGGACCTGAGAACACAGGGAAACCATAGCCCAGTCTCTGTCTCAGGCATTCAGAAGAGGCAGTTAATGGAGCAGAGAAGTGTCAGTGGGGTATGCCATCAGGCCAGCCTGAAACTGTCCTCTGAGACTCCCATGGCCTCCCAAGGGTGCTCCAGAGCAGCTAAAACATTTTCCTGCCCTAGAAAGGACACATGAATAGCTGATGGTATAAAAGGGAGCATGAAACATGGCCCAGTCCAGTGCTATGAGCAGAGAACAGAGAGATATTCCTGCAGTGAGGATAAGCTTCCAGTGGGCCTTGTATACCTGGAAGTAAGCAGCTCTTCTTGCTTAAAAGTGGCAGAAATGTGGGTTTGTCCTTCAATCCAAACCACACAGTGCCTTTCTCCTCTTCAGAGTCACTGTCAGAGGCCAGTGTGGCTTTGTGCCTTGGCCCTCTAGCTTCCCTCTGGCTTCCTGCACTGAAGGCCTGAGAGGATTCTGCATGGATTGGCTTTCCCTCACCTCATGGAAAACGCTTGATTTTTTTGTTTTTTGTTTTTGTTTTATTGCATTTCAGAGGCTGAATTAGGGCCATAAAATAAACTTCCAAGAAATTCTTTGCATGCCCTTTCTCTACAGGGAATGGCACTACCTTTAAGCTAAACTGATCGTGATGTGTAGGGTGTTAGTTGTCCACAGTGCACGTATGCACTACACGCATAGCTTTCAGGGCCCTACCTTTAAGCTAAACTGACCGTGATGTGTAGGGTGTTAGTTGTCCACAGTGCACGTATGCACTACATGCATAGTTTTCGGGGTACCAGTTTATGCCTATGGTAGTGGGAATGCATTTTTCTCAAGCTACAAACTTGGATTTGCAAACAAATTATGTGATACTATTTAAAAAAATAGAACTCACCTTAGCTTAGAGGTTCCCCATCTGCTAGTGTGTCTTATCAACTCAAGGTAATTAATTCACTTTTGGTTTAAAATGCTTTCTTTTGGTTAATGTTTTAGTTAATGCAAGCCTCTCTCCACATCCCTTCTCTCTTCTCTTCTTTCCAAGGGTCAGCTGGGATAAGGAGAAGTGTCTAGAGGGCCCAGGATCAGCTAGTCCAAGGCCACCCTCTGTCCTTTTGTCTTCCATGGGGATGTGACATCCTACTAGGTCATGAACACTGATTTCTGTCTCTGCTGTGCCCTCTGAGATGACCATGGTCCCAGTGTCACATCCACACACCCTGTGTCTTTCCCGCTCTAACCTCAAGTCTTCCAGTCCACTGGTTCTCTCAGCCCTTCCACACATGCCTCTTGGGTGAGAAGAGCCATGGATTTTTGGCTGTTTTCCCTGCATTCTCTGAGATTGAGGAAGACACTATGTATGAAACATTCCATAGCTTCACTGCCTACACGCTGTTATTCTGCCATTCCGGAGACAGTGGCATACAAAATGTCTCTACAAGTCTTATCACCTCCTGGCCCTTCACCCTGTGAAGTAAAAATGGCATTTTCTGTCCAGGATTCCCTTTTAATTTTTCTGTGGTTTCTATTCTTCTTCATCCTCCCAAGTGTGAACTTGGCTCAGAGATGGTAAGTGGTTTAGGAATAGCCTCCTCACAGAGATTAAGGTAGTATCTAACCTTTGTGACTTTCCTCCAATTTTCTCTTTCCTAATGGTCAGAATCTGGTCTGGGGTAGGTAAATCAGGTAGTAAAATATCATTATCTCTGTTTCTCCAACCTTAGCCTTTTGGGTTTTGGCTCTGGCCAATTATAGATAAACTTTTTTGAATTATAACAACTTACATATTCAATGAAACATCTGGATCTTGCAATTAAAAACCATGGTTTCCAAGATTTTTCTCTGTGCTACAAATCTGCAAGGACTACTTAACATCTCAAAAGCTAAAAGTTTAACTCATTTTTAGTTTGAGAACAGTTCATATAAAAACTCCCATACTTGATGGTAGGAAGAAGGGTAGGGATAAAAACAATAGAAAATAAATGCACTCTGTCCTCTTTATTTCTCCTTGTCTGTCTTTAGAAGAAACACTAAGTTACACTTACAGAATAGAGAGAGTCTTCCTATGAGGTCCAGTCTCATTTATCATCCTCTTTTGTGAATTGTGAATGTGTATTCATTTCTACAGCTTCAAATAGCTTCCTAGGTACGTATCTCTTTTTTGTCTTGTTTTACCTGGTCTGTAGGCTCATTAAGGTCAAGAACAATTCTACTTCTGTAAAATTCACTCTGTCTGTAATGATTTGCTTATGATTCATTAGATGGGAACCTTCTTGCTTCTTGATGTCATGATGGCTAGTGGGGCCATTTTCTCTATATCCAGGGGAGGCCTTTCTGCCTTGAAGTACTGGCAGGACACAGTCATTCTGATGGCAATAAGAATTTCATGTGTCCAAGAGAGACACATAACCATATAAAGAAATGTAGAAACAAAAATCTCTTTTTATCACTGCTTCTATGTTTTTTGTTTTTATTTCCTTCCCATTTTCTACTAGAGTCAAACAATATTGTGGTTGGCAGAGAACTTCAAATGCAACCTCCTCATTCCACAGATGAAGAAACTGAGGTTGAGGGAAGTAAAATGACTTGCCCAAAGACACACAGCCCTTTAGCAGCAGTGTGGAAACCTGAGTTCTTGGCATGTGATTCCCAAGTCACCTGTCTATTGGGCCATGCCCATCGTTCAGAGTTCGTTTGGTTGATAAGACAACATCAACTTGTATATTAGAAACGTTATTTCTAAATTGATGTTAATTGCTTCCTGGCTTTTCTAATAATTAATGAATGTTTGAGTTTTCAGGCAAAGGAAAACCTCTTTGCACGATTACAAAAATAACCTAATTAAAGAGACTTTTGCAAATCACTTGCTAAATAAGTTGATCCGACTCCAGAGAAATAGAACTGAAGACTCTTGGAAGCATCTGATAATATGCCAAGGAACACCGAGGAAAGATAAATACCAAGGTTGAGTGGGTTATCAAATGACAGTAATTTCTTGGTTTTTGTGGCTGGTAAACTGATCAGGACTGCTTTCATGTCTTAGGTTGAAAAATCAGAATATTTGAATATTTTAAGTCTAAACCCTCCAGTTGAAAAACTGGGGAGAAAGACAATTCTGGTCAAGTTAAATTAAAATATTTTAGTTGCTAGGGGGAAATACAGTAACTTTATTCCATCATCCAGGTCTTACTCATTTTTGTGTCTTATCTGGATGTATGCATTGCAACATGGACACACATTGTTGTGTACTTTGGGCCATTAGCCGTATTTGGGCTGACAACAACAAAGTTCAAATTCTGCAGGGTTTCAAATTCACACACTGCATTTGTAATGTTGACTTTCTATCACAAGGATGTTCATATCTTTGCAATTAGAAATTCTTAGAAAATTTGATTTTCTTAGAAAAAGCAAAAATGATTTTCTTAGAAAAAGCAAAAATGATTTTAAAATGCTTGTGCATATGGACATAAAATTCCATAACTGTGAGAAGCATAATGAGATGTTTCCTAAAGGCAAGTTAAAACTGCAGCATCAAGCAGAATTTTTTTTTATTATCTACAAGAGTTAATTAATAATACCATTTGGCACTGTTAGATGTTCAGAAAATAGTCTAATAAGTAAGACTGCTTTGCTTTCCTTTTGCTGTTAAAGGCTGTTCAGACTCTCTAAATTGCTTACTAGGAAATAGACCTTGTGGTATAAGGGTCATGTGCTTGGAAACTAATTGGGATTCATTGTAGTACTGCATTGCCACAGATGGCTCATACAGAACATAATATAATATCAGTCAAATGCAGTGAGGTATTTGGAAATAATTTTCCTTGGATAGGTTTATAATCATATGATCCAGCTGATTTTCCCAACGGCAAGATTCCTACCCACCATGTATTCCTTAAATAGCTCCAATTTTGCTTGAAAAACTCTCTAAAATAATTCAATTTATAATTTTAGTTTAAAACAAAGTAAAATATAAAGCTTAATTTTTTTCCCTTATTTCATTAGGTTAGAAGCAAACTTATTAGGAAACAAATTGGACAACACTATGTTTCATTGCTGTTGATGCATTTGTTCAGTCTTTGTTTGTTTGTTTATTGATTTATAGAGATGAGGTCCCACCATGTTGCCCAGGCTGGTCTTGAACTCCTGGGCTTACAGGTGTGAGCCACCACTACCAGCCACTTGTTCAATCTTTTAATGCCTCCCTGCTCTCTGCTAAGCTTAAACAGTATTTTTCAAAGTATAATCCACAGACAATCTGTTATTATTTAACAAAAACTCATGCTCAACAGCTAATCTGAAATAAAACTAGTAAAACCACTATATTCAAGCTAGTTTTAATAAAAACTCATGTTTACTATCTACTTTTAAATAATGCAACTACCGTTAGGATTGTTGGGGAAAAAAATGTAAGAAAAGCTATTTAAAAAAATAAAAATAAAAACACCCTTGTATTGGAGATCCTTTTAAGAAGGAATCATGTATGTGACTTAATTTGGGAAAAAACTGCTACGTTCAAGCTAATTTTTATGAAAACTAATGTATACAACTAGTTTTAGTCATTCACTTTCAGGCTTCATTGTAAATGCAGATTCCTGGACTCTTCCTACTGAGGAGAAAGGTCGAGAGGTAGAGCCTGTAAACAGCAGTTTGGATAATTTCCCCAGGTGGTTCTGATTTACACCAAAGTAGGAGAACTAATAATGTAAACATAAAGCTTGAAAAAAAAATTGTTTTCCTTTCATATTCAAGTCTTTTGTTCTACAGTTCGCTTGAAATGCAGTGGTTCCTGGTCGGGTCACTGTGGTCTTAGCATCCATTGACATGATGGCAAGAACTGGTTGAGAATCAGTATAAAGGGAGAAAGAGAAGAGTGTGGGCTGGGCGCGGAGGCTTATGGCTGTAATCTCAGCACTTTGGGGGGCCGAGGCGGGTGGATCACCTGAGGTCAGGAGTTTGAGACCAGCTTGGCCAACATGGCGAAACTCCTGTCTCTACTAAAAATACAAAAATTAGCCAGGCGTGATGGTGCACGCCTGCAATCCCAGCTACTCAGGAGGCTGAGGCAAGAGAATTGCTTGAACCCAGGAGGCAGAGGTTGCAGTGAGCCAAGATGGCGTGACTGCACTCCAGCCTGGGCGACAGAGAAAGACTCCATCTCAAAAAAAAAAAAAAAAAAAAAAAAAAAAGTGTGAAGAAAGTAAGTACTTGAGATTTCTCCAGGAAGGAAGGGTACAGAGAGAGCAATAAACTGTCTACTTGATAATTCTGAGTTGATCTAGCTCTATAGTTTTAAAACTAATCATGATATCAATTGAATATCATAAAATTTCCACCTCAAAGCTGTGCAGGTTTTTCCTGAATTCTAAGTGGAAAGGGTCTGTCAGATTGAATGCCAAACATGTGTTGTACATACTGCATAGGATTAGTGGCTCTACCTCTGCAATCAATCAAGCAATCAACAGCAATGATTTATTGAGTTCTAATTATGTACATAAGTTTGTGCTTTAGCTTAGTGGTTCTCAGCGTTTCCAGCACATTAAAATCAACTGGGCATCTGAAAAAATTACCATTGTCATGCCCCAACTAATTAAATTAGAATTTCTAGAGACGAGGTCCAGAGCTTCTACTATAGATCTTCACATATTACCAGTTTGGGTCCTTCTTTCGAGTGCAGTGACCTCTGCCATTGATTTGTAATGCTTGTACAAGAAAAACTGCTCTTAGAGATAGAGCTTGAGCCTCTAAATTAGAAAACCAATTTTCTAAACCAGATTCCATTTTAAGATGCTTGATAAATTTTAGTTACTGCCCATGTGACCAGAGAACAATACTTAGTTTCTCCAGAAGGTACCAACAGTTGTTAACGGATATATATTAACAGGACTTTTATTAATTATTTCATTTTCTATGCCATGATTTTATTTAATTATCATAGTAAATGTATAAAGTCCATAATATTACCTTCATTTTACAAGTAAGAAAATTGAGGCTTAGAAATTTACTCTAAAGAATACATAATTATTTATTGAGTGGCTACTATGTGCCAAGCACAATGCAAGATGTCTTGTACACTATTATGGGATGAGATTCACATGATCATACCTGTGTTCCCTTGAGGATGATCTGTGGAACACTGGTCTGTCAAGATGCTGTGGGGAAAAAAATCTGCAATCTAATAGGCTTCAGAAGTGCTGAATACTTTTCTACTTTGTTGAAAATTCTCAATGCGCAAAAACTTGTGACGCACACTGAGATAGCATGTAGTAAAGGAACATTTAGAGTGACGCTCTATGGGTTATTTAACTATGAAAATTCTATTTGAGAAACATTTGCCAATTGAACACATTTTGAAAAACACCCCTACAAAACTTTGTGTTCCAGAAATTTTGTCCCACTGCTACATATTAAGAAATTGAGACTGAGAAGTTTGGTAACTTGCCTGCAGTCATTCAGCATGTGGCTCTGCTAGAACCTGAATCTAAGTTTGGCTGTTTTAGAAAATTTTCTTCTGCTTCTAAAATCTATAACTACAGGTCGATGATGGATATCTACTTCTCTGTTAGTAAAGCTGAATTTAAATTGTTGAAAGGATCAAATGTAATGTATGTGAAAACATTTTGAAAACTATAAAATAATACATAAATGTCAGAATTAGGTAGTATACAGTCTAAAGTAGTATAGAAATATTAACTTTTGAAAGAGATCATTTCTTTATCCAAATCTCTGAATTACACTTTTAAGTAATAGTCTCTGCAGAAAGTTAAGTTTTGTCAGTTATTGTTAATTTTGATTGTCAATACTTCATCAATCACACTTGAACTCTTTTGGTAGCATTTTTGGTTTATTAAATTGTCTTTGGGAGAGTAAACTTAGGAAATTTGTGGTTTCTATATACTGAATCCATGAAATATGAAACTAAGAATAATGTCATATTCATCCCAACATCTGATTCTATTGATTATGAAAATGTGAACTCTGACCTGGGACAAATAGTATGTTGCTTCTAGTTTAATAATAATAAAACAATGTTAGTGTAATTTATGATATTTTCTTCTGAGTACATTTCTTTAAAGAAGGAAGCAAAGCTGAGAAACAATCAGGATAAGAATCAACTAGTCAACTTTCCTGAATATGCTTTACTGGAGAAATATACAGTTGATTGGAGAAGCCTGTGGCTTCCAAAACTGGGAGCCATTTAAAGCTAAGCAAAGAGAAGGTAAAATGCTGTATGATTGCACAGATGGCATATCTCTACTTCAAGGAAGTGCTTTAGGGGATTTCTTGATATGTCAAAAGATAATCCCATTAAGAAAAGAATAAAGACCAACTGATCCCATATTTAGAAAAGATGAAACACACCTTCAACTCTCTTATTCACTAGTGAGGAATCATCAGATATTCTCTGTCACAACAAATTAAATGTGCAAGAGGTTTTTTATGTCACCTGGTTGAGTTAGCATGGAAATTATTTACAGCACTTTGAATGCAGATGGAAAATGAATCTACAGAGATCTGTAACTAATGTGTATGGACATTCTTTCCTTTATTTTTTCCTTCTTGCCCGTTTCCCCAGAATACTTTAAATGAATTAATAATAATGATGGATCCAAAGAAATAACTGTGAAAATGGTGATGTTCAGAAAAGATTGTTCCAAGAACAACCCCTCTATCTAGGGTAAGTGGGAAGGAAGTGAAATAACATCTCGTAGAAAGATGTTCATCAATGCAAAGTGAGTGGTAAATAGAAATGAATTAGTACATAGCTTAGGACTTTGCTGGGATCTTCAAAGAAGTACTATATAGCTTGAAAAATATCACCATTCCTTAGAGACTCAGAACCTACAGAAGACTGTTAAATTCTACAAGTAAATGTTATTTGAGAGTTTGAGGTTAATGAATTTCTGCCCAGGAATTATTCTTGACTGTGTTCTGTTTCCATGAGTGATGTTCAACATAGCTAGTGCTCTTCTGTGACACCAGAGGTTTCAAGTTTAGTTTTCTTTCTGTGGATCACGGTTTTTAAATCTTTAAATGCTAAGACACTTTTGAGTCTTTGTGTAAATAATACATTTTAAATCGTGGAATCAGTTTCAATTAAAAATTAACATTGTTATGGAGTTATGTGTGTACTGTTGAAAAGGTAAGGGTTTTGGGTAGTTTGAAAATACGCAGATCTACACAATATATGAGACAGGGAGAAGAAAAGAGGAGGGAACAAAGTTCACAAAGATGAAAAGAAGTCCATAGAATTAGCATCGTGTTTCCATGCTTTGCCCTGTTGAAAGTCTGAATCTCCTTTTTCATGAAGGAAGAGTTACTTATTTTTAATGCATGAAGATAGAACTAAGATGATGAGTGGGACAGAGAAGATTCCTGTAAATACACATTTCTAGAAGTCTTTATACCCCTAATATGCCCCTGCTTCAACATACAGTGCAAGTATCTTTCCAGTGTATTCATTTCAATGTCTAGAATACATGAGTTTTGCTATCCTAAAGGAATAGAGAATTGTGGCTATTTATGCTTAGCAAATACAAATATCAACAACACCAATTAGCAAAAACATTTTCTACTGGGCACATCTTTTTTTTTTTTTTTAAACTGATTACACAGTATGAACTGAGGACTGTTTTCGAATCCCTCTCTCCTCTCGAATTAATTTACCACATTCTAAATCCGTAGATAAAGTAGTTCCAGAAGTGGAGTTGGTTGGATGGGTTTGCTTACATTGCAGTCCATAAAAGAAACAAAAAGCCTTGCATGCAAAAGAAATGAGAAAAAAATATAGAAAAATGAATAAATCAGAAGCAAGAATGAATGTTTAAATGAAAATTTACATCACATGAAGCTGGCAACTATGAAAAGCACATTAAAGCATCATATATACAAGCTTTTATTTTCCAAATTAGTTGCATAAAACAAGACACCTCAAGAGCAAATTGAAAGTTAAAGCAGATCAGTTCATTCTCCCTTTGAATTAAAGAAACAGCTTCTTATAACAAGAGCTTTGGAAAGGGGTGTTCATTGTTGTCATAGTTGCCTTGTAATTCTGGGGAAGATTTTCATGTGAAACCAGGTTATAATGAATCATCCCCAGTTTTGGGCCCTTAAGGAGGGCTTCCACTTAAAGAAAGTGGATCTATTATCAGATTATTAATCAGAACCAGCCACATAATTTGCAGGGTCCAGTGCGAAATGAAAATATGGGACACTTTGTTCAAAAATTATTTAGAATTTCAAGATGACAGGAGAGCATTAAACTGGCTCTGTCATTAATAGTCATAGTCTTAAAATTCTAACAATATTTAAAAATTCAAAGCAGAGCCTGATTCACTATGATGACCATAAACTTTATATTTTGTTTATTCTAGCATGGTTATGAAGGAATTATCTTAAATCACAATCAGCCTTTTCAAAAGAGTGTAAGTTGATTTCCTTCAAAAATGGTGTGATTTCCTTCAGAAATAAAAGTAGTAGGCAAAAATGGTCAACTACTAAAGTTGTCCTATAATCCCAAACACAATTTAGAAAAATAAAGTCTCATATACATTGCATTTTCATTTTGTATTGTTTATGACATTCCTGGCAAAAAAAAATTTGAGGTGATATATCCTTTTACAAATCTTACTTTGATAGAAGTGTTCAATTTCGTAGTATGACTTTTACATATTTATATAAATTGTTTTGCATTAGTACATGTGCTCAGAATCTATACTTAAGGGCTGGTAACATTTCTGTTAAATATCTTTTTATATCTTTTCCAATTTTGGATTTATTTTTGCCTTTTTCCATCTAGGGTTTCTATCTTACGAGCAAACAACAGTTCAAAAATTAACTGAGTTTGGAATTTCTGCACTGTCTTTCCAAATAATGCTAATTGGATTTAGTGTATAAGCCCCTTCCTTGTCGTTAATAAATGATGGACCTGCAGTGCCCACAGCACCTGGCAGGGATTCAATAGCTCTCTGCTCTAACTCAAAAATGGCTCTTCTGGGCATCTAATTCAATAGACTGAAAAAGAGCAAACATCCTTAAAAACCCCCAAACTTAAGACAGATAATGCAAACTATAAACTAACCAGTCCTAGAAAGAGATGACTCACCTGTTCAATATCATTATTCTTCCGTGATTTGTATATGAATTCTCCAATAGCTACAAATACAGAAAGGACCAGTCCGGCAGCCAGAACAATGAAGATGCCTCCAATATTTTCCACTCCCAGGGCACTGGCTTCTTTGTTGTCTTCCTCGGGGCAGCCATTCCCACGCCACCACTTCTCTTTCATCATATGCAGCTTCCCTTCTTCTTGGAGTTGAAGAATAGCAATAGTAATTTTATCCCGGTAAGGAGAACCTGGAAGTAAAACCATCTGGATATTGGTCACCAAAATGTTGAAGAAGACATCCAGAAGTATTCTTAATTATCATCTTTGTCATAACTATGTTACGGCTGTTGTGAGACCCCAATCCACAAATTGACTTGCAAAGGACAGGAAAGTTCACTCCTATATTTTGAAGGCACTATATAATTGGAAAGAAGATAGCTGACATGTTGAGATTAACTTTGGCCCCGATTGTTTGCTCCTTTTAAATAAGGAGAAGCAAAGCTAGGAATTCTATGACATGTCTTTGTTTCTGGTGAGATCATTATGAGTCTTTTCACATGTCAAGAGATTTCACTGTGTAAGCTAAAAATAAAATTCTAAGCCCCCATTGACTGAACGACCCTCTTTTGTAACCAAAGGGACCCCAGAAAAAGCTTAAGAACTTAGTTTGCAGCCATACCGGAATGGGAGGTCAGACAGAGCAGTCTATTTGTGGCAATAAGATATCAAATTATAAACAGAACTGAAGGCCATGCCAGACAAGGGTTAAGTCACACAGCCTTGGACTTAAAAAATAAACTATGCTCCAACTGCTACAAGGCTTTTCTTTTTCTCAAGGAGGTAAACAAGCACTGGCCTCAAGATAAGCAATATTAAAACAACTACAGCTCATCCAACTCTTAGACACTGACTTCCAGCCCCTGTTCCACCAGATATACCTTTCATTAAACAAGATCCTGATTTCAGTAACTTTCTCCAGAGAAGAAGACCACCGACCTTAGACTGGTTCTGGTTGGATTAAAGAGAGTGTACCCTTGCATGCCATTGTGTCCTGCAAGACATTTTGACGTATAGAACCTAATTATAAAACCATTAAATGTTAAGTCTCTACCCCGAAGTGGACAAGGATTGTATGTTACATGCATTTTTGTTCAATATGCATGTGTCAGGATCATCTTCATAAATATTCATAGCTCCGCCTGTAACCAGTTTAATATGTATGTTTAGCCAACCCATTCGGCATAAAGCTCTTGCCCCAACCCCTCTTTTTTCAAAGTGCCTGTCTTTGATCTTGGTTGGACACATGTTTTCCAGCCTACGGGATGACCACCTTGCAGATTGTCACCCTTTAATTATGAAGAAATGAAGTCTCCATTTCTACTTTCCAAATTTATCGATATTGTGGTTACATTTTTTAAGTTAGCAGTTATTTAGACCTTACTTTTTTCTAGGCTCTTTGTTGTCTCATATTGTGACTGGGCTTGGCTGGATGACCAGCAGTGCCATTTCTTCTTCTGAGGGGGAGTAACTAGACATTTCCCACCTCCCTTACAGTTCAGTGTGGTTATGTGACTGGTTTCTAGCCAATAGGAACTAAGATGATGTCTTCCCAACATGATCTTTGGCTCTCTCTCTTTTTCCAAATATATAGCAAGAAGGAAAGGATTTCAAGTCACTAGGAATGATGGAACCACAAAATAGAAGGAACTTGAATAGAAGGAACTTTGAATAGAAGGATTGAAAGAAAGCAGAGCCTCTCTTTCAATCCGCACTGGACTGTGGCAAGATCAAGAAATTAACATTGAATGTGTAAGCCACTGAAAATTTGCAGATGTTGGTTAGTACATACTGATTAATGCACCTATTAAGATAAACTTAAGAGTAGGTTTTGAATAATTCAAATATCCTACAAAATTCAGGTAGGTTTGGAAAATTTGCAAGGACTTTATTAATATTATTTATTCTCTATCTCCTAGTAATGCCACTGAACTTTTAATTATGTAAGGGTTGGAAAGTGCCAACATCTACCTGTAGACATAGCTTCTCAATACTGGATTTTGGTTAATCAATGCAAAGGAAGAGGCAAAGTAAGATTCTTTCAATTAATCTGTCCTTGAATGTGAAGAACTCTTGTTAGCATTTCTTCTACTCAGTAGAAAAGTAGTACACCCTGGTTTTCTCTATTTGCAAATGTTAAAGTTTTTCTTGGTGGAAGCACATTGATAAATGAGGCATCTTAGGACTAGAAGAAATCTTAGGAATGATACAGTCCAGTCCACTTACAGTTCAGTACACATTCCATTTTAGAATGGAAGAAATTTAGGAACTGAAAGTATGAGTGAAACTGATAGTTGCTGGCACAGCCAAGAATCAAACTCAAGTTTCCTGACTTCTTACTTTTCAGTGTTGTTTTCACGACAGTGTTCCCAACCATTACTCCCACCCCTACATAAGCCTTATGTCCTATGGCATGGTTAAGTTAGAAAAACAGAAGGTTAACATTTGTGTCATTTGTTATCAGTTTTCCTTGTAAGACTTCCTGAAATAATCGTCAGCATTCAAAAGCAAGTTTAAAAGAAGAGCAAAATGCTTTGGAGTGAAATTATGGCTTATCAAGAGTATGAATTTTTGGTGAAAAAAATGGATATTGAAAACAAAATTAAAAGATATTGGCTGTTTGCTTAAATATCCTCAGAATAATGGCTAGTGTAAAAATTAGCACCATTGATATACCCATAGCAGGTGAGCAATTAAGTGAACCAAGAGCACTTTGCTTTAATGTACATGAAAGTGCTTTGAAGAGTGTAAGAATGATTCTTATGTTAGTTGTTGCAGTAATAATCCTAGGAGCATACACAGTGGGTGCTCAGTAAATGTTGACTGATGCTTTCCTTCTGCCTCCAGGCTGCGCAATACCTAAAACATTTCAGACAGATGAAAATCTGATCTCTGTTTAAAGTTGGTCTCTGAGAAAGATAATTTTCAGCCTCCTGGTAAGCTGTTCAAACCTTAAATGCTCTTATTCTCTCAGAGTTTTACTTTAAATCTCTCAGGAGGTACATTTCCAGAGCTGTTGTCCTGAGTGTCTCTAAGAAGCAAAGTCTTCAATTTTGTGTTGTGACTCTGCCAATCTTTGATTATGGGACAGAGCTTGCAGCCATAAGGGAGTTAGTCAGGGCAAGACTAGAAGTGTACAGATAATTTTTAATATCTGAATATATTTTAACTTAAGTTTTTGTTGTTGTTGCTTAAATGAAGTAAATGACATTGGAAGTTATTATGTCACTTGAAATATATATATATATATTTCATATATATATTTCACACACACACACACACACACATATCTTCCTGAATAGCAACTAATCTTTTGTAAAGAGTCAATTCATCATAAAAGAAACATCTCACAAATTTTTCCAACAGCTGTATTCTCAATGGATGTATTCTCCATGAGGTCTGCCATCTGTTCCAATTATTCCTTCATTGTTTTTGGTTTAAAAGCATGACAGGTTTACAACAACTGTGAAAAATTCCTGGAGTGTATTTCTTTTCATCTAGGAAGTGGGGAAGGCTTTTCAACTTTGGAACTTGGGTGAGGTTGGCCAAAAGGAGACTGAATGGGTACCTTTGGATCTCTCTGTATTATATGTATATTTATATATATATTTTTTTGTATTATATGTATATTTAATATTAATGGTACTCAACACTAGGTCAGCTTCATTCGCAGGAAAGCAGGTAGCGATTTTCAAAGTGCTGCATTCATTTAGGAAAGTGGTAGGAAGAAATGCATTGTTCCCTCCTACCTCCAGCCCTGCGTCACTCACTGTACTATCAGAAATTTTAGCTTTCAAGTTATATTCCATGCTGTAGAAGGAATGTCAATTAAAAGTCTCATGTTAAAGTTCAAACGTTCTTAGGAGAGATGATACACATTGTTATTTTAAATCATTGTTAACAGACAGGAATTTTGGTGCCAAAAAGGGGTGTTGAAATGTGGTGGGGTAGGGTTATGAGGTGGGAGATAGAATGATAAAAGCACAGTTTTTGACTTTATAATTTAGTCTAGAGATGGTTCTATTAAGGAACTATAGTTACTCCTCTACGAGGGTCTTGATTCTGCAAAAATTCAGGCAAAGGTACCTACTCTTGGTGTTCTCATCTGATCTATGGCCCGTTTAACTAAAATCAGCAGTGATGAGATATAAAAAATAGCATCTAACTTCTCCCACTTTTATTATCTAAAATGAGGTGGTGAAGCTTGCTTGGGGCAATAGGACATTGTTTTGAAAGTCAAAAAGAGGTATAATATCCTGTTAGCCAGTGCCAAATGATTCCCTGAGCCTCTTGGAAAACATGTTGACTAAATTATAGGAGAGCTTACCACTTGGGGCAAAATATACACTTCACTAGCGATATTAGTATTTTCATCAGTAGAAGTTATTGGAAATAAAGAAGCAAGAAGGTAGCTGTAAATCTTCTAGCCCAATCATTCTGCAGGAAAGTTATTTGGAGGACATAAATGATAACAATAATAATAAAGTTAATTTCTCCATAGCACATATTTCTAACACCAGGTAGTTAGCAGGAAGTCACATTGGCTGTGTATTCATGGTAAATATGGAAGATAGTTGAACTTTATCTGATTAGTTATATTCATATTAATTAAAAGTTGAATATATAAAATGCAGCTTTTTCTTTTTTAATGAATTTGTTGCTAAATAAAAACATTAGGACAATTCACCTAAAATCTGGATTTTTTTTATTTTCTTAGAAAATGGAATATTCCACAATCTTGTTCTCAAATTCCTACATGTCTACAACTCTCTGACTTGAAAGGCAGCTGTCTCTTTTAGGTATGTCATGTGGTCTGTAATTTTCCATAATTGCCACCGTTCCCTACTACCTCCTGGCACAAGCATGCTTTGCTCACTTATGGTATCTGCTTGGCCTCTGTAAGCATTTTAGTTTGTGATCCCTGCATGATGTGGAGAGTCATATTGGATCATCCCTTTCAAATGACAAAAATACTAATACCAACAAGCAAATCAAACCTACCTGGGGTCCTTAACGATATGGCTTGACTGTTAGCTATGATTTCTGGACTTGCCCAGTAGTCTAGACAGTCCCTGATTCTTCTCCTTTGGAATGCTTACTAACAAATTACCAAGGGCTCACTTGGGAAGAGCAGGTTCCCACTATACCAGGACCTTATATGATACAGTTTTCTTTCTTTCTTTCTTTCTTTCTTTCTTTCTTTCTTTCTTTCTTTCTTTCTTTCTTTCTTTCTTTCTTTCTTTCTTTTTCTTTCTTCCTTCCTTCCTTCCTTCCTTCCTTCCTTCCTTCCTTTCTTTCTTTCTTTCTTTCTTTCTTTCTTTCTTTCTTTTTCTTTCTCCCTTTCTTTCCTTCCTTTCCTTTCTCTCTCTCCCTTTCTTTCTTTCTTTCCTTCCTTCCTTCCTTCCTTCCTTTCTTTCTTTCTTTCTTTCTTTCTTTCTTTCTTTCTTTCTTTCTTTCTTTCTTTCTCTCTTTCTTTCTTTCTCTCCTTCCTTCCTTCTTTCTTTTTTTGAGATGGAGTCTCGCTCTGTTGCCCAGGCTGGAGTACAGTGGCACCATCTCAGCTCACTGCAACCTCCACCTCCCGGGTTCAAATGATTCTCCTGCCTCAGCCTCCTGAGTAGCTGGGACTATAGGCACATGGCACCACAGCCAGCTAATTTTTGTATTTTTAGTAGAGACGGGGTTTCACCATGTTGGCCAGGATAGTCTCGATCTCCTGACCTCGTGATCTGCCTGCCTTGGTCTGCCAAAGTGCTGGGATTACAGGCGTGAGCCATCGCGCCTGGCCATGATACAGTTTTCTATAGAGAGGGAAAAAATAGAGAGGGAGTTTTCTATGGAAAGGAAATCACTAATTACCCCTTAAATTCTATTCATGTCTCCTATAGACGTACAAGAATGCATTGCTATATGGGTCTATATACCTAGGCAATAATATTCCTAGGAGAGCAATAGCATGGAACTAAGGAATTTGAAGATTTTACATAGTTGGCATTGATTGAATGTAACATTGCCTGAGCACATCAGACTTATAATTTAATCTTTATCCTTTTTCTTTTGACTGATATAGCCTTGCTTTTTCATCTATCATTATGGAACACTAGCCCTCTCACTTTTGCTGTCCATATGCAGAATCAACTTTCTTCTATTCTAATTTAAGGCAGATACATTATATAGGCATATATGGGTATTGAAGGAAACAATGTGAAGAGGATTAATTAGAAATATATTCTCTTTAAGATATTTGGGGTGAAATAATAAAATCTATATATTCTTAAACATGTGTTGGTAAAACTTGAAAGACACACTGGTTAAAAGTATATTAAGTTAAATATCTGGGAATCTGTAATTCAGACTATGTCTCTGATCTATATGGATGTTTACATTATTAGTTCACTAATGGCATTGTAGGCCTTCTCAGAATTTGGAATAAAGAACTCTGAGCCCATTGCCTTCTATACTGGTAACTGACATTCTGTATCTCAGTCTTGGTTCATGTCTACCCGTCTTACCAATAGGTGTTCCCACTCCGTAACCTTTGGAGTCAATGAGGCCCCCGATCTGAGTGAGGTTGCAGTTTCTCTGCGTCACATACTCAATGCTGGTGGACTCCATCAGCAGCGCGTAGTCTGTGGTGAGCACTCTCTGGATCCCCTCATCACTGTTTCTTACCAGGGCGGTCTGCTGCCTGCTGCTCATGAAAGCCCACATCTTCTCATAGGTGGAGATTTTTGATTTCTGGAGGGAAAGAAAACACACTCACCAGCAGAAGAGGGCTGGAAAAATACGACCTAAAGGTATTCAAAGTCCCAATGGTTCAAATAATGATAGGGAGGATACTTTCTCCACAGGTGGGGGAGTCAAGATTGATGATCTCAAGGCTTCACTTTTGTAGCTGAGAAGAGCCCAGTTCACTCACTATTGGACAGCATTTGCACGGAGGCAGCTATTACATGGAGACCTTGATCTATAAGCCATTGTGGCCCACTGGGCTAAGGGGTGACTAGCTCACTCCAGGACTCTGTTCATTTCATGCATTTTCCTTTCAATCACTCAACTCCAGCAGGTATTGTTTTGCTGTTTCCAGGTGTATAAGTTTCAATCCTTGATCTAGCATTCTTCTGCTGGGGAGAGCCCTGGAGTAAACCACTGACTTCCTCTGCTTTATTTGTGAGAGAACTGTCATTCACTCTTCTCTTTTCTAGAAAACCCAGAATGTAAATGCTCTTTTCAAATTAAAATTTAGATAAGAAAAATCTTCAGCCAGGCCTGGTGGCTCACACCTGTAATCCCAGCACTTTGGGAGGCCGAGGTGGGCAGATCACATAAAGGTTAGGAGTTCGAGACCAGCTTGACCAACATGGTGAAACCCTGTCTCTACTGAAAAAATACAATTAGCCAGGTGTCGTGGCATGTGCCTGTAATCCCAGCTACTCAGGAGGCTGAGGCAGGAGAATCGCTTGAACCCGGGAGGTGGAGGTTGCAGTGAGCCAAGATCGTGCCATTGCACTTCAGCTTGGGCAAAAACAGCGAGACTCTGTCTCAAAAAAAAAAAGAAGAAAAATCTTCATACTGTATTTATATGCCTTTTTATGTGTATAATTTTAATTGTAATCATATTTTAGATAATGGGGACTGAATATCTCATTTCAAAGTGTTCTATTAATATATTTGTCTTTTCTCATATTCTTCAGCTTTTTGATAGATTCAGTAATAAATTATATATGTTATGTAATATATGCACATATACATATGTACCACTGCTTCATTATCTTTTTTTGCTAAAGTATACTGCCTAAATTTTCATATTACTTAAATATGAATTTTCCATTCTTTTGAATAGTGATCTATGATTAGACATTTTGCATTTTACTCTGTAATTTCCATACAGTTCCAATTTTTTTTTTTAATTTTTCTTCATTTGCATCAGCATTCTCCACTTATTTCAGAGATGAAAAACATTATGGGAATTATTGGTATTTTTAAGCTAACCCCAGTTATCACAGTTATATATAGTGCTCGCACACATTAGACAAATCCCTTGGCAGGCACAGGATGCACCATCTCCGTAGTTCAGGAAAGCTTAAAACATGGTTTTGGGCCATAAGCAAAAAATGGAATACCTGCGGAGTCAACTCTATCACGGTTATTCATGCCCAGGTGTTCCTGGGGGCCACTCAATTCCAACCTCTATTTAGGACCTGGGTTAATACTGTAGGGTTTATGAGTTAGGGGAGGACAGATGGCTTTATTTCAGATTGTTAGGCATTGAAAATCCCCCTGAGAAAGGTCTTGTGAGACAAATAACAATTCAATAAACAGTACCTTATAGATATTGGTATTTTGTGGAACCCATTGTGTCATATTGGGCCCCTGTGAGTTATGCCACAGCCCCGGAGATATCTGCAAGCTGCAGCTCATGTCCCCATAACAAAGGCGTGTTTTGGGGGTCAGGTTTACTGCTTCATTTGTTGTGTGATTTCAGCCTTGCAAAGTCTGATAATGCTAAACTTATAGTAAAAGAGCTACTCATACAAGCGCAGAAAGGTCAGTCTATCTTGTGGCAGTAAATGCACAGCTGCGAAAATTATTCTTCCATCAGGAAACTACCTTAAGGGAAAATAATTTTCTTTGAAGTATAAAATTTAAAGTTGTCAGAGACTTTAGAGATCGGCTCATACAAACTGCTACTGTCACAGAGGAGGAAGTTTTAGTACGGAAGGCTTTGAGACTTCAAAAAGTCACAAAGCAAGTTAATACCAGAGCTAATTCTGGACTCCAGCACACCTAATATCTAATTCAATGCTCTTTCCACTGTACCATGCTGATTTGGGGGAGGTGGATGTCTATATTGCCAAAATGCTTTTGAGAATGATTTTAATCTCATTTGATCTACATGTGAAAATATAGCTTTTATTCATGGACTCATTATTCCCTGAGGTGGGTTGCTAGTTAGTTACATATTAATATGAAATAGGAATCAACCTTCACATAGAAAAATTTTATGAAACATTAAATTTTTTCACCACATTTATTTATTTATTTATTTTTTTTGAGACGGAGTCTCGCTCTGTCGCCCAGGCTGGAGTGCAGTGGCGCAATCTCGGCTCACTGCAAGCTCCGCCTCCCGGGTTCACGCCATTCTCCTGCCTCAGCCTCCCAAGTAGCTGGGACTACAGGCGCCCGCCACTACACCCGGCTAATTTTTTGTATTTTTAGTAGAGACGGGGTTTCACCGTTTTAGCCGGGATGGTCTCGATCTCCTGACCTCGTGATCCGCCCGCCTCGGCCTCCCAAAGTGCTGGGATTACAGGCGTGAGCCACCGCGCCCGGCCGCACCACATTTATATTTTATTAAAACGAGTGTTGTAAATTGTTAGAAAACTGAATTTGTGGTTTATGGAAGTCAAAAACAAAGTCAATGTTTAGTTCATCCACGGTAAATGGAGAAAGTGTGGGGAGTCCTTCATTTCATCTGGGGAATTGAAGGATATGGGAAAGGATGACACGATTCAACTCTAAACCTAAACTATCTGAAGTGAAGGACTTCATTATTTTCAATCTATGGCAGACCTAGCTTTGGTCCTCCTGCATGGGACGAATATGTAGGTCATACCACCTGTGACTCACTCTGTGAGTATTCAACAGTATGCAGGTGGTCTAATCCACGGGTAAGAGAGGTCATGAGTTTAGTGCAACCTCAGTATTCAACAGCTGCAACATTTCTAAACGCTTACTCTCAGTATTCTTCTCCTTGTCACAGCTTAGTAACAAAATGTTTCCTGAGCCAGCACACTCTTCACACTACACTTTGAGTAGCATGGCTCTATGGAACAGAGATAATGGATTTAAATTCAACAACATCCACATCTTCCTTCTTGGAGTAGAAGGTTGTTCTAGGCCTGACCTCTCCCAGGGAGCTACAGGGGAAGTCTAGTTGGCATGGACACCTTTGAGCAGGGAGGGCAGAACTTTCTCTCTGACAGAAAACTGTTACTTGGTAGGGGACTTGGTAAGTTGAAGGTATAGGAAGTGTTATAAATTCCTTTGACCCCTTGCTATTCTCACTAGAGCACAGTAATAGTAAACATAATGGGAGCAAGAAGAGCAGCATTTTGCTGTTATTTAGAGCTCTCTTTCGTCGTTTAAAAAGTTTGCTGTTGTGGGGCTTTATTGTGTTTCACAGTTAGAGTTCTAGGCTACTTGGGATGCTAGGGAAATTAGAGTTTGCAGGAAGACCCAAAATGTGGCTAAGGAATAACTTTTTTTAATAGGTAGAAATATCTGCAGACAGCTTCAGCACCTTAAAGGTGTAGTGAGCTTTCTTTTTTATTTTTTGAGACGTTGTTTCACTCTTGTTCCCCAGGTTAGAGTGCAATGGCACGATCTCGGCTCACTACAACCTCTGACTCGTGGGTTCAAATGATTCTCCGGCCTCAGCCTCCTGAGTAGCTGGGATTACAGGCACCTGCTACCATGCCCAGCTAATTTTTTGTATTTTTAGTAAAGACAGGGTTTCACCATGTTGGCCAGGCTGGTCTCGAACTGCTGACCTCATGTGATCCACCTGCCTCGGCCTCCCAAAGTGCTGGGATTATAGGCATGAGCCACCATGCCCAGCCGGTATAGTGAGTTTTCTATCACTAGGCAACTGCAAGGAGTATGTCATGCTTAGACGAGTTTCACATAAGGAGATGCTTCAACCACCACGTTCTACTCTCTAGACCAACCCCTTCCTATCACATATGCAGGTCCTGAGGTCAGGGACAGCAAATGACACACAGAAGGTGGCAGAGGGTTAGTGGAAGAGACAGCACAGAATTGAGGGCTCTTTCTTCTTTACTGCAGAGTTCTGTCCGCTGCATGCCACGCTCAGTAATGTTTATTTTTTGTTAGATAAAAAAGTAGAATGTTGGGAGTAAATTACATGTATTCCTTTCAGCAGACTTTTTTTCATGGTTGAGTCTCAAATCTTAGTAATTCTTAAAAATAGGATTATACTTCATGAAAAATTATCATACATATTAAAAGACCAGGCAAAGTGTTAAAATGACAGCCTGGGTGTTTTTGTACTTCTAAATCACATATAATGTCAACCAGTCTCCTAAATCACTCTAAATAATATATGTTCCAAAAACAGAAATAGTGGTTGCCTCTTATTTCACTAGATATGTCAAAAGTTAATTAGAATATTTGGAATGTCTTCTGAGCTTCTTAGCAAAAGTTGCTAAAACTGAAAAAGCCTCATTTATTAAATCTGAAATCACCCAGGATTTTTTCTTTTTAATCCTGAGAGGCATCTGTTTAGATAAATGCATTTTATCTGTTTAAATCTGATTATGTGGCTATCCTCATGCTGATGAAACATTGTTGGCAAAGAATAGCATTTTTCATCTCAAATCTGTTATAAGGGAGTGTTACTGCATCAATGTTTGATGAACATTATTTATTTCTTTTTTCCCCCTATAATACATTCAAGTTAAACACTCACTGGGAAATAGTTTATAATGTTTGCAGGCATTAAAAATTACTTATTGAAAATAGTAACAGCAACCAACATATGCAGTGTTTATTTACTGTGTAGCAAGCACTATTTTAAGAACTTTGCATATATTGATTAATCGAATCTTCACGGTAATCATATGAAAGACGTACCATTATTATTTCTCTTTTATAGATGAGGAAATAGAACAGCACATGAAGAAATGAGGAAACCAGGATTTGATCCCAGTAATCTGGTTCCAGGGTCTGTGTTCTTAAACAACAGGGAATGAACTATCTCTTAATACACAGAGCAGCAAACTCAAGGCTTGGCTAATGTTTCCACAGCTAATGTTTCCACAGAATTAACAAATTTTCTAAAGAAATAATCGAAACAAGTAGCTGTGGGATCTTTCTATTATAGCCAGAGCTGTTGTACTCATCATATAATGTACAGAAACTATTTACCTGACTTTTAATAGCTTACACTTGTTTAGACAAGAATTTAGACAGTGTTTTAGGAAGTGCAACAGTTAGAACCTGGAAAAAATGTGACTTGTTTATATTGTTTCCTTTCCTTTAACAGTATTTTGCTTTTCATATAGTTTCACTGTTTTTAGTTACAGGATTTCCATCACACAATGTAAATAAAATATGTGCAAATTCTAGGGTGTAGTGTGGTCTTAAGCCTGATGGACTCCATTTTATAAAATATCCCTCTAATGTTTCTTTTTTATTGAGATAACTATTATTTATCACATTATTTCTTCCACCAGTTTTTATAAGACTTTCACAGTTAGGATGTATAATCTCATTTTTCAGTAGAATCAGTAATCATGCAATTCTACTTCACACTAATATGGCTGATGATTTTATATATCGATCTGTGTTTATGTATGTTTTTACTCTACACACTGAAATATACATTAGAAATAAGTTATTGATATTTGATCTTTTTATCTTATCAAAAGTGATCTTATAAATGTAAATATATGCATATAGAACAAATGAAATATCACAAACAATTATATTTTAAGATCTCCAATTTAATTTTACTTTAGGCAAATCCTGATTTAAGACAACCCTTAAAAATTAACCAAAGACATAGACATTGGCTATGTAGAACTTCATACTTGCGAAATAGGTACATCAGAGGTGAATAGTTGCCTTAAAAACAACCATTTCTTTTAGACATGATTAATATATTATTTCATTAAATAATAAATTCTCATGCTATTTTGAAAATATGATTTAATTTACAAAAATCGCTTTGAAGGAAGATGATCAGAAGAAAATATTTATAGTATAGTTAGGACCTCTGCCTTCCAAATGTGTATAATATGAACACTGCAGTTGATTATGTCTTTATCTTGATTTGATGAAAAGTTATGACATTTGCAGACTCTCCAACATTTAAAAAATTTATGGATTCCCTTTAGAAAATTCCCTCAGCGGGATTTAAACAGATTTGCTAAAATATTTTTCATGTTTTTCTCCTGTCTAGAGTTAAAGATTGGTCTATTACAGGCAATCTTCCAGCCTTTGAAAAAGGTTGAATTGACCTCATAGATTTCTTCCCAAACAAATACACTTTTAACCTACAGAGACCTAACATTTCTGACACTGATGGTAAAATTAGCTGGATTTTTCCAACATAAGCTAGGAACTCTTATGTGAAGAGTGCCTTCCTATGCAGAGTATTTGAGAAATGGCTTTCATCTTCTGCTTCCTGAAATGGTTATAACTGTCTGAAATCTGTCTCCCTACAATGGCTCATTGCTTCATTTCCACTGGTGCAGTGCCCAGTAACTTCTCTGAAATGTCTTTTGGGTTGGTGACAGCACCTAACCACTCCCTGGAAAGAGATGATAAAGGTTAGAGAATCCCTTGTTCCCACAGCTGGTCCAAAGTCCCTAGACCATGAAAGCCAGAAATGACAAGTCTTTTATGATGTTTTAAAACCTATTTTATCCAAGTCATTTTAGACTGAATCACAATTTAATCTGTGTAATCCTCTGGCTTGAGTCTGGGAGGATAGTGATTTGTTACAAGGCAAGCTTCTACTGAGAAGTATTTCTTACATGAATACTTCATAGCTAATTTGGCTCACAAGAAATTCTGCCACTACTTCCTGTCTGCACAATGCAACCACATGTTGTGTTGTATTTAACAGGTATTCATACCTCTTGTCTCTGTATTGCTATTCAGATCTTCATGTCTTGCTCATGATTTTATACCTTTTTCCCTCTTAAGTGCTAACCTCAGTACTGACCATATTGAGGACCCTGCAAAAATATCAATTGAGCTGAATTAAACTGAATTAAACTGAATTGCCTCACTCTGTTTCTTGTCTGCATTCTAAGGGCAGCCTTACCATCTTTTGCCTACCTACCATCTGGTAAGTGCTTCGGCATATGCAATGTATGTGCTCAAGAAGGGCCTCCAAGGCCTAGGGTTGCTGTCTGGCCAGGCCTCCAAAAATCTTTGAGATCTTGGGCACTGACACTTCTTCTGGACTTTTCTGTCCTTTAGCAGAAGGCAGACACTGCAGAGATGACTGACAGTAAGGAAGCTGAACAGAGACCAAACCAAAATATTTATAAATCTAGAGAGACTGAAAAAATAGGACTAATAGCTAGAGGTAAGGGTTGAATAATTATGGTGATGATGTTATAAGTGATAGTTACAATAATATCTAATGTTTTTATTGCTTACAGTGTACTAAGTGGTAGTATAAACATATTACCTCTACTAAGTCATTAAATCCTCAAAATAATTTTGAGTTAGAAGTCATCCTCAATTTATAGACTGGGAAATCAAGGTACAGAGAGTTTAAGTTACTTGCCAAGGTCTACATAACTTATATGTAGTAGAACCCAGGCTCTCTGGGTCCAGATCTCCAACAAAAACACTTTCCTGTAGGTTTTACTTTATATCCCAGCATAAGATGTTGGTCATATTTCTTGAGAAGAAGACTAGCTGGTATTCCCATTCTCTGATCCATGGGCTAAAAGCATTATCCTCCTTGGATGATGGTTCACAAGGATCATTGGGAAATCCATTCTTTTAGGCTGCATACGGTTCTTAGACATTATCATGACTATTCTTTCTTCATCTGGGGAAAAAAAATGTGACTTTCTACACTATCACTGTGAGACCACAGTTTGGACTATCTTATTGTTTCATAAGGTAATTAATAGAATTCCAACAAGAAGAACAGAGCCGTTGTACATTTCTGACTTCCTGTGGGAGAGAAAACCAGAATCTTAGCATACTATTTCTGAAAGGAAAAGTTGGAATTGGCTGTCATTGTTGTCATCTTGTCAGTTGTCTTGGATATAAAAGATGGAAATAGGTCATGTAGCCCCTAGGAAAGCTGAATGCAAGTTGTGTCCATAGAGCTTGGCTATGAACTGACTGATCTTTGCATCTCCTAAGATGCTGGTGGTGGTCCCAGGGAGTTGGGAGCGAAGGAAATCCTGTACTGTTCAGACTTGAGAAACAATTGAAAGGACCAAATAATTTCATCAGCAGAGAACAGAGAAACCAATAGAGTTAAATCTGGATTATTAATTAGTATTATGTCAAGCAGAAATGAGAGGGATTTTATTAAAAATTCTCTTAAATAGTCTGGGCATGGTGGCTCACGCCTGTAATCCCAGTACTTTTGGAGGCCGAAGCCGGTGGATTACAAGGTCAGGAGTTCAAGACAAGCCTGTTCAACATGGTGAAACCCTGTCTCTACTAAAAATAAAAAAATATAGCTGGGCGTGGTGGCAGGCGCCTGTAATCCCAGCTACTCAGGAGGCTGAGGCAGGAGAATCATTTGAACCTGGGAGGCGGAGGTCACAGTGAGCCAAGATCGCACCATTGCACTCCAGCATGGGCGACAGGGTGAGACTCCATCTCAAAAAAAAAAAAAAATTCTCTTAAATAGAGTCTGTTGAAGTTCTGAATTATTAATACACTGACCCATAAACATAGGCCATTAATTAATTTGATGCCGATCGCCTCATATTCAGAGAAGAATTTCCCAAAACATCTCCAACAGTACCTGAACACTTGATAAATGTTCTGCCTCCCTTTAACCTTGGCCAGCTAATTGGTCTTGGGGTGCCTGAGACCCTTTGACCAAATAGGCTATTGTATTTCCCATAGTGATTGAACTGTAAGTTCCAGAGTGTTGATGATCTTGTGACAACATAAGCCTTAATAAGCATCATTAGCTGAGTGATCGAAACTTAGAGTTGCTTTTTTTTTTTTTGATGGACAAAGTGAGGTAGAATCTCAGGATGTCCATTAAAGTTTCACAAGAATATGTGGAATTGAATTTATGATTTAATCCTATTCTCTTGTGTAAATACAGTCCTTGATGAGCAATGTTGCTCCATATATGAATGACCCTGAAGGAAAACTGCCACTGCCTCCCCGTCTCAGTCACGTCTTAGCTTGAGCTAGCATTTGTTTAAAAAATTTCCACTGGGCGCAGTGGCTCATGCCAGTAATACCAGCGCTTTGGGAGGCTGAGGCGGGTGGATCACGAGGTCAGTTCAAGACCAGCCTGGCTGAGATGGTGAAACACCCTGTCTCTACTAAAAACACACACACACAAAATATTAACTGGGCATGGTGGCGGGTGCCTGTTATCCCAGCTACTCAGGAGGCTGAGGCAGAGAATTGCTTGAACTCAGGAGGCAGAGGTTGCAGTGAGCCAAGATCACGCCATTGTACTACAGCCTGGGCGACAGAGCAAGACTCCATTAAAAAAAAAAGAAAAAAAAAATTCCACTTAGTTCCCTCAGCCTTATATGAGCTCAGGTGGTAGATAGTGGAATCTCACCTGAGCTATTTTAAAAAACTAAATTTTGGTTTTCTTCTTGTTGAGAACCAAATACATCAGATCTAAAATGTAGAGTGTCATGCTGTCTGCAAGAATAGCCAAGTCTAGGAGAAAAAGTCAACGGATTTTGAATGAAATTTTAGCGAGCAACTTCTGGGCACACATTTCAAGGACAAACTTCACTAAGCACATCCCTTGCTTGTGGCCTAGCGACCAAATGTGAGGCATTCGAGTATTTTGTTTGATCATGGATCTTGAAAATGTCTGAATCCCTTTCCTCCCTGCAACTGGCCATTCTTTGGCTATAAAATGATTTTAAATCAACTTGAAAGTAAAAAGACCAGTTTTTATCATTTGGGTACTGCCAGAGGAATACTGCTTTTCTGAGAAGAAAAACACTTGAAATTACACTGTTTGTGATGAGAAAACGTTTCTCATTAGAAGTTTCCTTGTGATTGAGTGGAGACAGGACCCATCTTAGCAAATGACTTGTGCTCCAAAAACTGATCAGGATGCTCCAGGTTAGATTAGGCAAAGGTAGTTTCCTTATTCATTCTACAGCTCAAGAGAGGTTATTGTCTTTAACTGACAGAGAAAGGGCTGGAGGAGGGAGACCCTGATGGCACAGCAGAGGTGAAACATGTTCATGTGGAGCCAGGTCAGGACTGAGTCCTTGTGACTGTACCTGCTGTCACTCAGTGATTTAGGGCGGAACTACCCCGAGAGCAAAAAAGCCGAAACTTTTCTTTCCCTTGTGGAATAATCCAGCTTAAGAACCTGAGTGTACATCCCTCTGACGCTTTCTGACAGCTTACCATCCTCGAGGGGAAAACTAAATCGGATTTAGTCCTTGTTCTCCTTCTGCAAATACATTTCTTCTCGGTAAACTGGGTTGCTGGGCCACAAGCTAGCTTGTAAAATGAGGAACTTGGCAACAGTGTCTCTTCTTGTGTGGGTCCCTATGTATCCATCCACCTCTCTCCCTCCCTCTTTCCCTCTCGGCTTCCTTCCTTTGCTCCTTCATTCACTCTCCCTCCCTCTCTCTGATAGAAATCCACCTCTCCCAGAGTTTACTTTTTCACTTATTGAAAACATAGTTTTCTGAATGCCTACTATACGGCTGGGCACTCTTTTAGATTCTGGTGACTTAATGTCATACAAAGAAGACCGAGTTTCTACTCTCATGGAACTGACTTTCTAGAACTCTCTGAATTTTGCTGAATCTTGGCTCTTCCATTGCTAGCTTTGTAACTTTGGGGTAAATTATCTAGCCTGTCTGTGCCTCATTTTCCTCATTAATAGGGATAATATTGGTATTTAGCTCAATTGGTCTTTTTTTTTTCTTCTTCTTTTTTGAGACGGAGTTTTGCTCTTGTTGCCCAGGCTGGAATGCAATGGTGCGATCTCGGCTCACTGCAACCTCAGCCTCCCTGGTTCAAGCAATTCCCCTGCCTCAGCCTCCCGAGTAGCTGGGATTACAGGCATGTGCCACCACGCCGGGCTAATATTTTTGTATTTTTAGTAGGGACGGGGTTTCTCCATGTTGGTCAGGCTGGTCTTGAACTCCTGACCTCAGGTGATCCACCAGCCTCGGCCTCCCAAAGTGCTGGGATTGCAGGTGTGAGCCACAGCGCCTGGTGCTCAACTGGTCTTTTTTAAAGATAAAATGAGGTAACACAGGTAAGGGCTAGTGCACAGGGCGTACTGCTATTTTTATTGATGCTGTTTGTACTATCATCACATTCTTCCTCTCTGAGGTGCTTATTGTTTCATCATTTTCCTGGTGACCTGAGAGAATGCTTGCATTGATGCCTCATTTTCAGGACCAGGGAGAAAGCAGGAGCCTTCTCAGAAAATGCTCAGGGAGCAGCAGTTGTGAACATAGCATGTACCTGTTCAGTGGAAGTGCATTATCCAAACATGTCGTAATGTAGTCATTCAGGGTCCTGCCAGGAAAAAGGAGAACCCGCTCTTTTTATACTTAAAGAGGGGCATGAGAAAGAAAAGATCAAAGTGAGCTTAAGGGGCTGGGCGCAGTGGCTCACACCTGTAATTCCAGCACTTTGGGAGGCCGAGACAGGTGGATCACTTGAGGTCAGGAGTTTGAGACAGAAAAGATCAAAGTGAACTTAAGGGGCCGGGCGCAGTGGCTCACGCCTGTAATTCCAGCACTTTGGGAGGCCGAGACAGGTGGATCACTTGAGGTCAGGAGTTTGAGACCAGCCTGGCCAACATGGTGAAACCCCAACTCTATTAAAATAAAAAAATTAGCCAGGCATGGTAGCATGCACCTGTAATCCCAGCTACTCGGGGGGCTGAGGCAGGAGAATCGCTTGAACCCGGGAGGAGGAGGTTGCAGTGAGCCAAGACTGCGCCACTGCACTCCACCCAGCCTGGGCGACAGAGCAAGACTCCGTCTGGAAAAAAAAAAAAAAAAAAAGTGACACTTTGTCATTTAAAGGACACTTTGTAAATCTGGGTTGAGCATCTCTATTCTGAAAAATCCCAAATCTGAAACTTTTTGAGCACTGACATGTTGTCCCATGTGGAAAGTTCCACACTTGACCTCATGGCATGGGTTGCAGTCAAAACTTTTTTCATGTACGAAATTATTTAAAATACTGTATAAACTTACCTTTAGGCTATATGCATAAGGTATATATGATGAATAAATAAATTTTGTTTAGACTTGGGTCCCATCCCCAGGTTTTCTCATTATGTATGTGCAAACATTCTAAAACCTGAAAATATCCAAAATTCTAAAAACATCTGGTCTGAAACATTTCAGATAAGGGATCCACAGCCTGTGCATAGATCCTGTGTACAGTGGCAAAGTCAGGTCTATTGCTTTTTCAAAGAACGGCACAGCCTCTTTCCCTTACATTTGTGCTGAACATCTTGAAGGAAGTAGAATCTTCTCTGCCTTCTGCTAGCCCATTTCCCAGTACTTTAAAACTCTTTGATATTGCTGAATGAGATAAATCATTTCAGATATTTTTTCAGATATACCAAATTCTATCTTGCCAGTGCCCCTCTGTCCTGTGAGCCTTGCAAGTGACCTTCCTTGTTTCTGACAAGGACCATGATGAATCACTAGCTTGGGGTATCTTGTGTCTCTTCACACTATTGATTTTAGGAAAATACTTTCTGCAGCTTGCAAAGCCGTAATGTCATTTGTCTTTAGAACATCACTGTCCAAAGAAGAAACAATCACCATGCTTTACACATACATTAAATAAATGATACACTTCTTTTTTTTTTTTTTTTTTTTTTGAGACGGAGTCTCGCTCTGTGGCCCAGGCGGGAGTGCAGTGGCGCAATCTCGGCTCACTGCAAGCTCCGCCTCCCGGGTTCACGCCATTCTCCTGCCTCAGCCTCCCGAGTAGCTGGGACTACAGGCGCCCGCCATCACGCCCGGCTAATATTTTTGTATTTTTTTTTTTAGTAGAGACGGGGTTTCACCGTGTTAGCCAGGATGGTCTCGATCTCCTGACCTCGTGATCCGCCCGCCTCGGCCTCCCAAAGTGCTGGGATTACAAGCGTGAGCCACCGCGCCCGGCCTAAATAAATGATACACTTCTTAAAATAAAAAGTGTTTAAAAATCTTTTTTAACACAGAAGAAAAGTAAGTCCTACTTTTTCCATTACTTTGCTTCTTGATAAAACTCTAGATATAGTTAACTTTTAAAACAATACCTTTTTATTTATTATTGTTATTAAACATTATAACTTATTGTATAGTTAATTCCTATTTTTGTGAACCAATAGTGTTATACAAAGAAATGTGTACTTTTTTTTCCTAACCTTAGTTTTTGTTTCTAAGCTGGTATTTTTCACAAGTCAAACAGTCCACTCAAAAAATAATAGACATTGGAGACTCAGAAGGGTGGGAGGGTGGCAGGGCTGACAGATGAGAAATTACTTAATTGGTACAACGTATGTTATTTGGGTGATGGAAACCCTAAAAGCCCTATATCCATCTAACAAAATGCAACTTATACCTCCTAAATCTATAAACAATGTTTAAAAAGGAAATAAGAATGAAAGAAGAAAAAGAGTTCATTTTGAACTCAATGGAAATAATAGAAAGGAAAAGATTATTTAAAAAAAAATACCCCTGGCTGAGCGTAGTGGCTCACGCTTGCAATTCCAGGACTTTGGGAGGCTGAGGCAGGCAGATCACAAGGTCAGGAGTTCAAGACCAGCCTGGCCAATATGGTGAAACCCTGTCTCTACTAAAAATACAAAAATTAGCCAGGTGTGGTGGCAGGCACCTGTCGTCCCAGCTACTTGGGAGGCTGAGGCAGGAGAATCATTTGAACCCGGAGGGTGGAGGTTGCAGCGAGCCAAGATCGCGCCACTGGACTCCAGCCTGGGCGACAGAGCGAGACTCCATCTCAAAACAAAAAACAAAACAAAAAAACAGCTGCCCCCCAAAAGAAACAAACAAACAAAAAACCCCAAACAGTCCACTCAATGCTGAGGTGACAACTCCATTTTTGGTAATCTGAATATGAATCTTTGACAAGGGTGTTTTTAGAGATTATTTTGTTTACAACTGTTGTTTTCCTTTTATTCACATGCACATTTACCACCATTAATACTTTTTTTTTTCCCAAAAAAAACTTTAGCCCCTTCTCTGTTATAGACTAGGTATTTGACTTGGAGCAGGTAATTTAGCTTCTGAAGGTTTTGTTCTTTTCATAAGTAGAGTGAAGAGTTGAACTTCATGATCTTTACACCTATTGGATCTATTAAAATCTATTTTTCACTGGAATTAGAGTATTTGAGATTTGATAATAAAAGTACTAAGGCTTCCTCCAAAAGCGAGGCAGAAATCAGTTTCATTACTATGGGTAAGTAATTAAAAAGACCTCAACAATGAAATGCCCTTGACACTAAAACTAAACTCATCCAACTTAATTCTCCTGCGGTGCCTCCGAAGACATTTTGAAAAGCTTCAGGCATGGCTGGGAACACTGTCCTTCATCAATGCGGACTCAGTATTAGACCAGAGTCTCCTGGGATTTTTTTGTTCTTAATTCTCTAACTAAATTCCAATATCAACACGTTTTCTTGTCATCTGTTTCTATCTCATCAAGTACAGGACCGAAAGAACAAAATAATGATATTCAAGTATTCTGGTTACCAGAATTCTTGATTAAGGAACCTTTATTTTATGGGTTCTATAAATGAGTGATTAATTAATGAGTGGTTAGATTGTATTCAGATTTTTTTTTTCTGGTGTAAAGGCAAGAGAGGATATTGAAGATATTGATCTATGGATCTGAGTACACTAAATTGGGGTGGAGTAAATGACACCTAGTTGGGGACCAAAGAAACTGCTTTATGCTGACTGGGGCTTCAAGGATTCCTTATAATGGGATTATGTAATTATAAATTTTATTTCATTAAAAAAATTACCCAACATCTTTTTTTCTTTTTTCTTTTTCTTTTTTTTTTCGACAGATTCTTTTATACTCTACCACAAGTATCAGATAATCACTGAGAACACTTTGTCAGCTTCTTACCTTGAAGAAGGTCATTGTTGATCCATCTCTAACCGCCCCATATTCTATCTTGGTTTGCTTTGCCAGATCATCTGCCGAATCTATGGGGGATTCCATTCTCTCTACTGTCAAGAAGGCAGCCAGATTGGCCGTGTAGGATGAAATGATGATTAGGGTGAAAAACCACCATATCCCTCCAACTATTCTGGTCGATAGAGCTTTGGGCATCAGCTCTGATCCTGTGATGGTATCATCAGAGTAAGGGTGTTAAACACAGTCAGAAGGAAAGGGAAGATGTACAGTTCGACACTATTCTAGGAAGATCAACCTGTAAAAGACTTACCGTCTTGTAGGTAGATGAAATAAATGCATTTTATAGAAAATGGAGCAAAATCTTAAGGATTATTTTCAAATCATTAATCACTACTATTGCTTTAACTATAATTTATCAGTAGCTGATGGTATTAAAACAGTTTTAACCTGGAGGCATTCCATGTCTAAAATTTAGTTAGTTTAGTTGCTTAGAATTGAAAAGTCAACCCCAAGACTTTTTGCCTTTTATTACTGTCTAAATGCATCTTATAGTGTGAAGTAAAATATTCTGCGTCTTTGTATAACTATGAAAATATTTGAAATGCTAACATTTTTATTTAAGGTTAAAGAATGAGAGCTACTTGTAAAATATTAACATGCCATTTATCACATATACTTTAATAAAACATTGGGATTTTACAAATAAAATAAGATGCAGCCATACTTGACAGTGGATGAATTAGTTTTTATTGTCTTATGTTACCTTAAAAGCTACAATTCTTTTTTCTACTGTAGATTTTTATTTGGCTAAAAAAACACATTCTCTGCAACGCATAATTTTGTACTTCAATAAAATGCTGTTTCTTAACTACACTTCAAAGACAGGCTGTTCCTTAGGTGAAAGAAGACTTTCCTGGTAAGAATATACATTTTAGATGTCATTCAGATGATTTGAAATTATGTTTAAATGATAAAATAGAGGCACTTAATGTGTTTTCCAAGGAAACCTTCCTCTCTAAAAGAAAGGGTTTATGAGCTAAGTTTACTGTCATAAAAGAC
Source organism: Homo sapiens (assembly GCF_000001405.40). Classification (NCBI taxonomy): domain Eukaryota; kingdom Metazoa; phylum Chordata; class Mammalia; order Primates; family Hominidae; genus Homo; species Homo sapiens. The sequence continues at coordinate 29,578,035 of NC_000021.9, forward strand.
AAACATCTTGAAAACGGTCTAGTTCAATTTTGCTCAAACTCAGCAGCAGAATTAGAATAAATGAGAAGTACAATTAGAGTTCACTCCAGTTGTACTGATTCACAAGTGGATTTTGGCTTGTTCATCTGCCTGAAATTTGCCATTGGTTCTGTACTTAGCATATCCTCCATGAACCTGAAGGCATGACAGAGTTTATCTGACCAGATAAAAAGTGAAAGAAAAACACCCTAAATTAAAAATCCCGAAGAGTGAAGTACAGTAGGTCAGCTGTCTGGTCTATAGGATCCCTTTACTATACTGATAGGGTGTGTTGAAGCTCTGTCGTTAATAATGGCTTAAGATGGAAAGGAAAATTGGAGTTCACCAGTCTACCAATAAATGAATTTGTGCTAAGGTTTAATCTATAAACAGATGCAAATACGGCTCAGGAAATCACAGCCAGCTCAAGGCCAGTGATAATCAGATCAAGGTCGCCAGAGTTTCTGGGCTTTGAATTAACGGATATATTCTCCTAATGCTATTACGTATCTTTGTGTTTTATTCCCTTTTAATGAGGGAAATGGTTTGACAGCGATTTGTGTTTCCTTCTGTCGTTTGTTTGAATTTGAGTGGGTAATATTACACAGACTTATAATAGTTTTCCATTAAATTGCCTCCAAGGATTTAGTGGAATGGTTTGCTGCTGTTGTTTTAATATTGTGGTTTAATGGGATTTATATGCCTGTGGGTGTGTGTGTGTTTAATGCCCAAGGTTGTTTCATATCTTTGTACTTAATTGATCTAGCAGTCTTGTGGCAATGTAATATTATTTTAGCTCTTTAGTTGGTTATCATTAAAATACCATTTATTTCATAAAATAGCCATAGGAAATAAATAACAATTAATAGATATATTTTTCTTAGCTTATGGGTGCAGATTTTCTGCTGTAAATTTATTCTTTCATTATTTGGTTGCATATGAAAACATAAGGTTTTCACTTATTTGTATATTTGTATAATTATGTATTATATGGCATTAAGAGTGGACAGACAGGTGAACAACAGGCTGTTGACATGTAATAATACTAATTCACATCTTTCACACTTTAGAATGCATATTTAAACTTTTGGATAAAGTTACCTTAGAAACTTAATAAAAATGTTAATAGAAACGTATTGAGATTACATTTTAAACCCTTGTTAGATGGCATCAATTAGACTTCTCAATGTTTCTTCATGTTTTCTATTTTTATCTAATTTTTGTGAATTTTGTAATTCTCCATGTTAGTTAGAATTATTTAGAAATGGCTTCTTTCAAGTAGAGATGATTTGTGTAAGTTTAGTACTCTAGAGGATGAAATTATACAAACATTAAAAGTTGAGTAAAACATTACTAGAAAATATTTGGGATGAGAGACAATACTTGCTGAAGTCTCTTTAGTGCCTTTTACGGCAGACATGACAGCCAATCCTGATCCAGACTTTGCTCACGCTCTGTAGAAAAGAGAAAGTCTGATCATCACATTTAAAAAAAATTCAACAAAATGTTTTCCAATTGAGTACAGTGACAAGCTTCTGCTAACAAGAGAGAGCAACAGAGGATAACTACCTGGTTCAACGCCACGTGCTAGAGACAGATGCACTAACAGTCACAAGTACCTCAAGTTTGTATCTGGAAAGATTTGTTGCACCTGACAAATGTTTGTAAACTTCTTGAATGACAAGCAGAGTCTGGTTGGGGCTGACTGTCATGTACCCAAGGTAGTGGTAACTAACAGACACTGCATCCCACAGTGTGCTGTGGATGATGGTAAACTCCAAACAGGTAAAAGATGAAAGATAAATTCCGGGGGTGGGTGCACTCAATGACAGAAGGCAGTCACAGTCATATACCTGCACAGGCCAGCTGCATGCATGCTCTGTGAAACCTAAAAGTATATATATGTGTGTGTGTATATATATATATATATGTGTGTATATATATGTATATATATGTATATATATGTGTATATATGTATATATGTGTATATATGTATATATGTATATATATATGTGTATATATATGTATATGTGTGTGTATATATATGTGTGTATATATACATATATACACATATACACACATATATATACATATATATATACACATACATATATATATATATGTATATATTTTCTAATGTCAGAGAAGACAAGCTATAGGGAAGGAGCAGGGGTCTCCTTCACTCTGAAAGTAATTGCTCACAAGATAAATATCCTAAAAATTAAATACATGGGTAAAGTAGTATATGGGGTTTCCTGCAGGATTTATACCTCTGTGCTATGCTCTAAATTTATGCAAATTACTTCTAGTAAATCAGATGGCATCTATACTTATTTAGCAGTGCCCACACAAACCATACTTAATTGCGTAACTAGGATTTTCCCACTTTCTTCAACTATTTACTATTTCAGTATTATAATTTGGTATTTCCACAGTCTCTCTCTCTCTAATTTGAAGATCCAAAAGATAAATATTTCAAGTGTTATAGCAATTCCCTAATGAGAAACCTTAGGGTTCACCCCCAAGTAGCAAACATGTTTAATGTATATCCCAGTGGAATTTTCCTTTGCCAATGTATTTTGCAGCTTATTGTCAAATGAACATATATTCCGAACACAACAGTTTCTGTGACTTATGATTTTCTTATATTAGTGCATTTAATCCTGGAAAAATTTTCTATACCATATGCCTGACATTGAAGCTGAAAAAAAAAATCACAAAAGAAATGGAGTTCTTCCAAAGGTTAAAATAGCTCCCCCTTCCCCCACTACAAAAGCAGAATCCCCGAATTCATAGGAAATGTATAAAATATATTACATTTCTATGGCCAAATTTTATTTCCCCAACTCCTACAGTTTATTGTTGCTATGGTTACCAATTGAGGGAGATTGTGAAAAGTTACTGGGAGGCTGAAATGAATCTCAGTAGGGTTTGCCAGAGTAGTAATTAGGTGGAAGTCCTAGGTAAGGTTGGCAATTGGAAGAATCTCAGTGAATTTAATCTCCAAAGGATTTAGATCCCGCTCCTTTAAACTGCTGACTCGTGGAGTTATGGCTGAGAAGGAGAAGACCAACATCTCCATCTATGCAAATTTGTAAACGATTTCTAAGGTACCTTATCTTTTGCTACCCACAGGAAAATTTGTATTTATTGCTTGATAGAAGTGCTATTTTAGATATATAGCAAGGGAGTTCCATATAGGTCATTGGTTTTGCTTCATCTTCAAAACCGGCTAGAAAGTCCGTTGCTATTTTCTTAAGTTCCTGAGATGGTGTTTCATCCTACCCTCTAGCTTCATGGTGGAGTTTACCAGCATGAAAGCCTGTCAGCACACTGTGGGATGCGTGTGACAAAGATAGGCAACCGGTGTACCTTGCTGCATGAGAGCTCCAACTCCAAACCAGAAACTATTTAGTAAAGTAAAATTGTTTTCCACCACGTCTGAGTCAGGGTTGCATGGGTGGGGGTTATACCACTCGTAGGGTGTAAACCTGTGGTAGTTAACAGAAACAGTCTGTAAATATCAGAGAAACACACAGGACACCAGCAAAACCAAAACCTGCTGAGCAATGCAGAAAACCCAACAATTAATCACAAAAGCTTCAAACCAAAAGAGTAAAGGCCATAGTCATAAACTTACAGCTTTGGTGGGCAAAGTGCAAAGAGCCTTGAGACGTTAATATTTACCAGACTTCTTATTTATAGGCAAATTGGTCAGCTGGAATTGTACTCCTCAGCTCTATGTCTACTGAATTCTTCTGAGTTTTCATTCATTTCCATATTACTGAACAACTAGATGAACTGTAAAGAAAGGTTCACTCATCCCAAGTATTTACCCCACCAAGTAGCGACGAATGTGACACACACTTGTTGCATAGTAACTACAATGTCAAGATATTGTGTCGTTAGGTCCTGTGGGAGACACAAAAAAGAGGGGTGACTTGCCTTCAAGGGGTTTGTATGGACAGATGGTTAGAAGGAGTCTAAGTGGTGGTCTAGCGATTTTGTAATGCATGAAAGGGATTGCAAGGCTGAACAAATTAGTGAACAAAATGTAGAGCTGAATTTGGAGTGTATTAGATGTTTTTCGAATAGTCCACGGGGAAAAATCATGATCCTAAAGGAAGAGACAAGGCATACATTTGGAATTATACTGGTCCAGGCCTAGTGGTACACATTAGTATTAACTACATAGCATGCCTCACTGCAGAATTTCAAATTCATAATTTCCTTTTGATTTGTTTTAAATTTGTTTTCAGAACCATGGCCTGTGGTCACTTAATCAGCAACCCTGGTTCGGTAAGTGGTATGTTTTCTATAGCATTATTATAGGTCTACCTGCAAGGTGGTGCGCTATGGGCAGTAAACGTTTCTGGAAAAACAACTAGTATAGTAGTGTGGGAAGTCGACTTTGAAAAATTCACTCAACCTCTATTGCCTCAATTTCCTTATTTGTGAAGAGGAGGGAATCCAGATATCTCTGAGGGTGTACTTAAAATAAAAATCTGTGGAACCAAATATATTTTTTGTTCTTTCTCTATTTTTTTAAGCATCTGTCTGACCTATGTAGCCCAAAGGAGGTCTCTGCTCTGTGGTTACTTTTGAGGACTATCTTGCCAAGTGGTACTTATTTTTCCAAAAAGACATTAGCAGAAGCTCAACGAAGTGATCTGCAAATAATTTAAAATGCAGTAATTTTTAGCACTGGAAGATTAGCCATTTGCCATTGGGTCTTTTCAATGCAAGCAGGAGTGTTAGAGTAATGTTAAAAACACCATAAAGCCCATGAGAACACAGAGAATGCTCTCCAGCCATACAGTTTCAGCAGTAAACAATGGCGGGTTGCTGACACACTGGGGAGAACCGGGCTTGAGGTGAATACATTATCTATATGAAAAGCAGGGCATGCTGTGAATCCAGCACAAGGAAATGAGCAGACAATTCCTCCTCATGAAAAACCATTTTCTAAACCTCCAGACACCTTCCGGAAAGTGTTCAGTGCCTCCTCATTGAGTCTTAGGGGGACTGGGATAACAGTCTCGTAGTTTATGCCAGCATAATGGAATCCGACTCATTACTGCAGCTTCTCCACAGCTGCAGGGTACACCATGCAGGTTCCTATGAAGCTGATGAATATAGCTTTAATTGACAATGCCATGCCAACACATTTTAATTAATGTTTCAACAATATAATTAAGTTTTGAATTTGCACACTCTTATAGCCATAGTAGTTTGCTGAGCTGAAGAAATGAATACCAATATTAATGAACCTATTAATGGAAACAGCATGCAGAGTAAAGATCCCGTTACTTAAACACTATCATTGTCACTTGTACAATAATTTAAAAATATTAATTGAAATAAATTAAGAGCCTAATGTATTCAAGAGAAGGGGTTTTATTTTTTCAAACAGACCGTAAGACTTGGCAACCACCAGCCCCCTTCAATATTCTGACATTTCTCTCCCAGATATGCTCCCATCGATGAGCTCATCACTTCCCTCTTTGGAATGCTGCTTTTAACTTGGTCTTGTTTCATACTTTGCACTTATAAGAGAGCAATTAATCTAATTTTTGTGTGGCAAAAAGAAAAACTGTCTAAACAGCAATGTGATTCTGCCTGCTCTGCAGAGATATTTTAGGTCTTTCTCTCTGGGATTCTGAGTGATTTGTGGAGCATGTGGTCTGGTGAATATTAAACAGTGACATGATGCTGTGCTGTAAGACACTGGCTTTTTATAAGGCAATAGACCTACCTGTTGCCTGGATGTAGACATTTCAGCTTAGAATTCCTAACACCTGCTTAAAGATAGCCAGTGTGACAGCAGTGTCAGTATTAGGAAGTCTGGTGAAAAGATTAATATATGACCTACACCAAAGATAATCCGAAACTGCTATCCCCAAATGACTCTCAAGAAATCAATACTCATCTTTACTAATATGATAGAGAAGGGAAGAAACATGCTTAAAACCTGTGACAAAACTTGCATATAGAAGAGTAGCCTTATGTTGAAATGTGAAAGTTCACTTTGGGTTTATGTTTGTTTCTGCCTGGCTTACACTTGAAGATATAAAACAAGCTCACACTGAAGTTTTCTAATTAAGGGACTAATTTTTGTGGCTGAGAATGCACAGTAGGCTGCATTGAGGAGAGAAAAATCCATTCATCTTTCAAGGGAGAATGCTCTATTGAACTTGTAATATAATGGTGGGGTTTGTATTGTAACCATAGAATTTACTTTCAAGGGTTTTCTAGATTTTTTTTTGCCAAATGCCAACTTTAAAAATGTCCATTTTTAAGAAGACGAACATAAATGATAAAATGTAAGCAGACATTCTATCTGGATATTTGATCTATTTAAATTGTTTATGATGGACATAATTTATTGAAGTTAAATATTTTTCAAAAAGTGGAAACATTGTCAACCACAAAACAAAAACCCTGACATACACACTTAATTAAAAGTCATAGTAATTAAATATTGTTTTCCTTAGTTTGTCCCACCGATGTCTACATCTTTATAAATTTAATTCAGTTCAACAAATAATTTTTAGGCATCTATCTAGTGAAGGCATTTGCTTAAATGCAGTGATGGGGCTTTATTTTTCCCCTTTAAAAGAACATAAGAGAATACAATTCACAACATAAATTCCAAAGTCTCTCTAGAGCTATAGATAATTATGAAATTTACTGTTTTTCATGTCCACTTCCCTAACTTGGAATGCAAACCACTAAGGTGGTAACTGAGGGTACAGAGTGACGGAGTTCATGGTCTCAAACTATGATGGTAGGAAGTAAAGGTGACTTGGTACATCTACTCAACCAGAATTTTGTTTTTGGGAATCAAGTCTAAATATATATTTAGTGGCTTTATGAAGCAGAAGCAGGGATGGATTCTAAGGTGTAGAGAAGGTAAATGTAGTTGAAAGTAGAATCTTCATGACAGTACACTTGTGCCCTGGAGGGAGTTATTTTCTGTATTTCGTCACTATACTGTTTCCAAGTTTGCACTGGATGTATAACACCTCCACGTGTGAACCAAGACAAGGGCAAGAAGGCAGTGGAAGAGGAGACAAGAAGAATAAGCTAAATAAGGGAGGACTGGCTTATAAATGATACTCTCGGTGAGTAGAACTACTGAATGGATTGCATTGATGGTGGTAGTGGGGGTACTGTTATCTTAATAGAAATAAACTGAATGAAGTCCAAAAATATGGAGGTCTGGGTCACCAAGAGCTTATGGAAGAATAGACAAAGAGGGGAAAACTATTGAATGGCGTGCCATTCTGACATACTCTGATGACATACATAAGGAGATTTAAGCGCACAGTTGGAGTTAAGTGTAAAGGGTACTTTCAGCCTGTGTGCTTGTGAGAACTTTTGGATGCTGCTGGCGTTTCTTCTCCTACTGGCTTTGGTCAAGTCATGTAATAAACAATGTATTTGCTCATCAACCTCACCTTGCCTGTTCTACTCATCAACATCACTGCCTAGACAGAGCCTCAGACTGCAAAATATGGAAACTCACTTTTGCCCTGCGAAATATGGAAACTACTGTTGCCCTGGGCTGCATGAATTGCTCCATCAGTCCTAGTATCACCCAACAGGTGTGGGCCTCCGGGCAGAGGTATGCAACAAGTAAACACAAGATTACTTATTAGAAGGTGCTTCACCTTAGGATAGTCATTTATTAAATGACCATTCCGAGGCAATATTAACTTCACTGAGGAGTCACTAATGAAAAATACCTCCAAAGGTAAACAATTTATTTTTAAAAATTTTATACCCAAAGCAATATCTTCTTTAATTGTTTCGAGCATGGTTTCTCAACCTTGGTGCTATTGACATTTTGGAGTGAATAATTCTTTTGGGGGGTACCTGTCCTGTACACCATAAGATGTTTGGCAGCATCCCTGGACTCCGTCCACTTGATACCAATAGCACTCCCTACTACCGGCCATGACAACTAAAAAAATGTTTGTAGACATTTCCAAATGTTCCCTGGGGGACAAAATCCCTCCTGGTTGAGAACCACTGATTTAGAGTATTAAAATACAAAGGATAATATCACTATATACATACTGTCAATATTTTATTTTCTGAAGTAAGGCATATTTAAAGAGAGCTTTGGTCAGTAAAAGTATAAAATCTGAGCTTTGGTAAGGGTACAGTTTATAAGGCCTAGAGAACATCAAAACATTCATTTCATATTGAATGTATAAATACCCACATGTGAGAGCACATGTTGATTCAGTTTGAGTATGTCTGCCTTGTGGATCTTTAAAACCTTTCCAGCCTGTGTTATTTTCCCAAGCTTTCTTTATAATTACACCAGGGAAAGAGTTACCTGGCATTAATCAAAACCAGACAGTGGACAATGACAAAGAGCTAGCATGAAGAAATATTTCTCTTAGAAATTCCTGGAGGGAAAACAAAAATTGATTAGGGAAAAAGTTCACTGAGTTTTGTTGAAAGGTGAAAAAGATTGAAAACAAGTAGGGACATACAAAAGCAATTATTTTTTACATGGTTTATCTAGGGACAGCAAATGTTTAAGCCAACAGAAAGATAAAATAACTGTTTCAAATTTAGCATCAAAAGTATTCAGAATATATGATCTATTGAAAGGTATAAAAATCCTTTAAGGAACTGTGTAGAGCAAAATGGTTAAATACAGAGTTAAATCTCGAAAAGTAAAACCTCAATTGAATCATCTTAATGATAGCACAAAGGTTTCATGCCTCCAGGCTCTGTATGTAAGCAATCTTTCCTTTCAGCATTATTTCTAGAATTCTCTTTAACTTTCTCATGCCTTTAAAAATAAATTTAATAGAACTTTTAAAGTATTTTTCTTCATTCCTAAGGGTTTCACAATCTTTTTACTCCACTGTTTTTTATTTGCTATGATAATTCTTTGCTGACTTTTTTATGTTTTGCTTATCCAAATATTCTAGGGGTCAAATATCTTGAGACCATTTTACAATTCCTATGGAAACATTTTACACATCATTTGAGCCATTACTTTTGTTATAAATCAAGGAAAATGGCTAAATAACCATTTTATGTTGCTTGAAATAGGGATAAAGTTAAACTAATATTAAAAATTATCTTCCTCTCTTTTAAAAGTAACTTTATAAATAATTAGAAAACATTCATTTACAGAACGGCTTTTATATGGAAACCTTCCAAGAATAGAACACTAGGCAAAACTAAAAGTACACTTTAAAGTTCCTAATTTTTGTCTGCCTCTGGGACATACAGAAATCTGAGACTGACCTACACCTCTTGTGAATTCAGTGATTCTCAAACTTACCTTGCAATCACAAAGAGTACACAGCTGACTCCCAAGCAGGCTAAGAGCACATACATCCAAATATCTGGAGACAGGGGGTTGAGGAAGGAGAAAACGCCTGGATTGGTACCATTGGGCTTCCGGTAGAGAATGCTGATGCCTAGGGTCATGAAGGGTTTGGAGAAGTCAATGACTTTCTCCCGCACGTAGGTGATGGTAAGAGGAGCCACTGCCAGGTCAGCCCTCTGCAAAAGCAAGTCCAAAATTGTCAGCTTAGTCTAGTTTCTTTGCAAATGTCTAGACTTTTCCTGGGTACTCCTGATTCTTATTCTCAACTCTAAATGCTTCTCATTCATGAAGCTCCTGTGATGGTTGGTTCTAATAAAAAAAAGCCAATTTATACAGTTATGTTTATGAAACAGTATCAGCAAAGAGAAACCAGAAAGTATAAAACACACATATACATACACAAATATATATCCATCATTCTGGAACTAAAGACAAAAATGCAGGAAGATGCCTTTAAAAAGGGCATGTGAGAAAAAGAAGGAATGAGCAACTTGGTTGTACTATTAATTGACATGATGAGATTTTGCTCTGAGCTGAAAACTTTAAAATTCTTTTTTTTTTTTTTTTTTTTTTTTTTGTGAGGCGGAGTCTCACTCTGTCGCCCAGGCTAGAGTGCAGTGGTGCAATCTCGGCTCACTGCAAGATCCACCTCCCAGGTTCATGCCATTCTCCTGCCTCAGCCTACCGAGTAGCTGGGACTACAGGCGCCCACCACCACGCCTGGCTAATTTTTTGTATTTTTAGTAGAGGCGGGGTTTCACTGTGTTAACCAGGATGGTCTCGATCTCCTGACCTTGTGATCCGCCTGCCTCAGACTCCCAAAGTGTAAAATTCTTAATTTAAGAATCACTCAAGTTTATGTTCAGTATGAAAGAAGGATCCATATAATATGGTTTGGTTCTGTGTCCCCACCTAAATCTCACCTTGAATTGTAATAATCCCCATGTGTCAAGGGTGGGACCAGGTGGAAGTAACTGGATCATGGGGTATTGGGATCTGGTGATTATGAGTGAGTCTCATGAGAGCTGATGATTTTATAAGTGTCTAGCATCTCCCCTGCTTTCACGCATTCTCTCACCTGCCACCCTGTGATGAAGTGTCTTCTGCCATGATTGTAAGTTTCCTGAGGCCTCTCCAGCCATGAGGAACTGTGTCAATTAAATCTCTCCTTTATAAATTTCCCAGTCTCAGGAAGTTCTTTATAGCAGTGTAAAAACAAACTAATGCACCATATATTTTTATCATTAATTTTTATCTTTACTTGCCCTTCTAAGTAAGCAAACTCCATTTCCAGGCTGTTTTACTTTGCTTCTTAAAAAAATTGTTACGATTCAAAAAAAGGAAACATTTCTTCTGACATCATTTTTTCCTCTCTTACTTTCTCTTATGCATATTTTCAGATATGTTAGAAATATTGTTACTTACGTGATCTATGAGTTCTTTAACCATCCCGTTCCACTCCCCTTTGTCATTCTGGGCCCCATATTTGCCATCGGGAACTAGTTTAACATCATAAATGAAACCCAGGATGTTTGACAATTCTTTCAACAGGTCTAGGCAATATCCTTCAAATCTGTCATTTCCATATAGAGGCTTATCAGATTTCCTGTACATAACATAGGGTTCTTCCTAAATGAAACAAACCAAATATGAAAACCCTGTTATAATGAAAGGAAGAGTTTACCCTATCAGCAGCTTGAAGATGTGAAATGTTTGATAATGATTTTGAAGAGCTGAGAGTACTGAAGTCATTCACTCATCTGCCTGCCTATGTCCTCTATAAATACAAAACACTTCCTATATTATTGTTTCTTTCCCTTCTGCGTCTTTCGATGGGAGCTTTTCCTTCCGCTGTGGAGGGTGGGGCTGTGCGGGAATGGTGTGATGGATACACAGTCACTGTTAAATGTTGGGTCTGAGAAGAAGGAAGGCGCAAAGGGAAATGGGGGCCCACATGCCTGGCCACCTGCTGTGCCAATACCTAAGCTTTTTTTTGTATGACCCTTCTGGCTTTTTTTTTTTTTTTCTGACGGAATCTCACTCTGTCACCCAGCCTGGAGTGCAGTGGGGAGATCTCAGCTCACTGCAAGCTCCACCTCCCGGGTTCAAGCCTTTCTCCTTTCTCAGCTTCTTGAGCAGCTGGGACTACAGGCGCCTGCCACCACGCCTGACTATTTTTTTGTATTTTTTTTTAGTAGAGACGGGGTTTCACCATGTTGGTCCAGGATGGTCTCGATCTCCTGACCTCGTGATCCACCCTCACACCTCACAAAGTGCTGGGACTACCGGTGTGAGCCACCAAGCCCGGACCTGGCTTTTATCTAAGAACCTCATGACAGAGAAATCTACATCACCAACTATTTCCTTTCATTCTTTGCATTTCCTATCTATGACTATTCTCATTTCTTTATCTAAATTTCATCTGAATTTCACTATTCACTTATGATTTATATATTTTGATTGGTTTCCTTCAGGGTAGCCTATTCCAAAGGCCATTTCTATTTCTTCTTTTATCATCTTTCCCATTTTCTTTTTTGAAATCACCTCAAATCTCACATCTGGTCATTCTCTGCTTATATACGTGCATCATCAGTCCCCTCTCCTATAAATAATGGACACTTCCCTACTACCATGCATCTATAACCTTGTTAATTCTCATTTGACTAAATGAATCCTCATTTGGTTTTATAAAATATAATAGTTGCTATACTACAGACATATTCTTTATATTTAGGTTTATCCTCAAACTGATAATGGGGTCATTCAAACACAGTAGAGAACCCTGTGTTTTCATAAGACAGTCATAGAGAAAGTAGTAACCAGAAGAGCAAACCAGTTTTTCCTTTGGATGAACAATTCTCACAAGTTAATAATATCAACAATAAATTGATTTGACATTATGGACTGGTGTAAGGCAGGATGTCTGCAAGCAAGGATTTCAGGGAAGGCTACTCCTGCCCAACTCCCTGGAGAAAGGAAAAAGCGGAAAATAAGCAACCGGTAGCTGTACAGTGGCTGGATGGGGCATGACCAGGGCACTAATAGGAGGCAGGACTTTCAAGAACAGTTAGTAAAGGAGCTGTGTACAGAAGTGTGAGCAGAGCAAAGGGAGCCAAGGGAGGTGGGGGTCTGATTTGGTGGCAAGTCATAGACACACAGGCAACAGCCTCTTCAGGAAACCTGCACCACCCAGGGCTGAGGCAGGAGGGAGGAAAGAATACTCCTGAAGCTCAGTGCAGCTGGACCCTAAAAACAGTGCCACTGATGGGCAGAAGCTATGGTTGTAGAAAGTCAGAGGTTCTGAAAAAACTACTAGTAGCAGTTGGGAGGGAACAGAAGAGCTTCTCTTGCCTCTCTTCCCCCACCTCTTCCCCCACTTCCCTAGTCTCTTGCTAGGGTCTCCACATGGTTGAAACCAACTAGCAGCCAGAGAGCAAGGGAGACCAGCTGGGAGGGGACAGAGAGTGGGGCTGAGCAGGACTGGCAATGGATTAGAGGTGGGAGATCTTCAGAACAACGTTGGAAGCGTCTAATTCAATCTTCCTGTAAGTATGTACAAACACAGGCTTTTAGTGTCCTAGTTAAAAATAGACATTTGCAGACAGAAGCGTTGGCATGAAAAAGACAGTTGAGGAATGCTTCGAAGTCTAAGGCAGGAGCCTGGATAAGACACCCTCAATTCCATGAAGTCAACTTACCAGAATGGTGGTGACAATGAGTGTTCTGTTGGCCAATGAATCAGTGATATTGCTGGACTTGTCTTTGTTGCTGTCCGTCATGTTAAGCCCACTGTTGGAATTCCAAATCCCAATCTACACAGAACACAGTACATCAGAGGCTGCTGGCTGTCAGTGTGGCATTTACACCAAAGAGAGGCCCCTTCTCTACCAGGAATGGGCACAAAAGCTCACAGTTTGGGACACTGGGGCATCACAGTGGAAGCTACTAAACGTGGGGAAATGAAACAACAGAGGAATGAATGTGTAGACAAAATAGGATATATCTGTGCTATTGGGGGCAGGGTAGGTGGAGGTCTTTTTCTTTTTCATTTAGTAAACTCATTTTCTTTTATAAATGAAAAAATATATAAGAATTCTTAAATGAATATCAGATTTTTCTTCCTATATATATATTTGCTGAGCATCTATTTATGTGCCAGGCACTGCTCTAGGCATCTGAGGACATAACAATGAATAAAATATACAAGAGTTTCTTCCCTTGTGGAGCTTACATTCTACTGATAGAAACCTTAGGCTGCCAAAGTAGTATCACTAGTTTATTTAAAATTTATGAATAATGGGGTGAAGGGGCAGGGTGAATGGTGGAGAGACCCAGCATCTAAAAGGGAAAGATAGTGGGGTGCCGAGACTCATGCCTGTAATCCCAGTGCTTTGGAAGGCCAAGGTGGGAGGATCTCTTGAGACCAGGTGTTCAAGGCCAGCCTGGGCAACAGAGTGAGACCCGATCTATACAAAAAATTAAAAAAAATTAGCCAGGCATGATGGTGCACGCCTGCAGTCTCAGCTACTCAGGAGGTTGAGATGGGAGGATGGCTTGGGTTCAGGAAGTCAAGATTGCAGTGAGCCGTGATTGCACCACTGCACTTCAGCCTGGGTGACAGAGCGAGACACTGAAAAAATAAAGTAATTTTTTCTTTAAAAAGAGAAAGATAAATGAAAGAAAACATGTCATGTGCATGAGAAGTAGACTAAATTCAGGGCCTATCTTCTTTGAGGAGCCAAAGCTGGGCAAAGAGTGCTTGTGAGCCCTAGCAGGACTCTGTTCATATCTCTGTCACAGCAGCTAGCGTCTTCTGTTATTATTTATCTGTTTACCTGTCTTGTCTGTCCACTTGATCGTGAACTCCTTCAGTGAGGATGCTCACTTTTACTGGTCACTGATTTTACTGTCACAAAACCAACCATGGCAACTGGCATTCAGTAAAGCCCATTACTCTTTTTAAAAATAATGATCCACAATTTTCTCCAGTGGCCAAGTCACTCCTGGGTTGTGAGGTGGTGTAGAAGTGTATTGATTCATTCAGCCTCTGTGGGAACCCAGAAGAGGAGCCTTGGGGATTTTGAGCTATTTTGTAAATGCCTATCTTTCTGTAGGCATTTACTGCCAGCCTCACATGGTGGCTTGCAAGTATGTTTTAGAGCCAGGAAGACCTTGTTGCTGTGTGTCCTTGAATGAGATTCTAAACTTTCTGAGCTTCAGTTGATTCTTTACCTATAAAGTATTTCACAGGAATAATGAGAAGATCAAATAATCAGATGATGTATGTGGAAGTGTTGGTGCATGTTGTTAAGACCTGCACACATAGTAACAAGAAAGGACATTGAAATGGCTGCCTCAGTCATTTCTTCAACCTTACCCTGTCATGAAGGAATCTGGACTCATTTTTTTAAAAATTCAGATTCTGATAAGGTAAAAGAGCTATGACAAGTGGCAGTTTAGGAACATGAACACTTGGACCCGCTCTGAGATGGACAGGGTGGAGCTATGCTTGGTCCCTAAATATGTTCCTCTAATGGGAAGACAGACAGGAGTGTTAGGCTCCATCCTCCTTTGCTTTTCTATTTCTTGACTCTGATTTATTGCCTATATTTAGCAGCTGGAAATTCATTTAGCTTGACAAATATCCCTTTTAGAGACATCAATGCTTTGAAAAAGTTTCAAGGACTATTACACGTTCACACATCAGTGTGAACTATTTTAATTTCAGTTTTATTTCCTATACTTAATGAGGGTTAGTTGACTGGAGAAATAAAGAGACAGGTATAGGTAAATGGGGGAATGGGATAGTTTTTGCATTTGAAAATATTGTGGTCCTGCCTGAAAAGAAGTGTCTATTGGGTTGTAAGCTGTACTCTTAATAACCATCCAACGTTTCCAGGATCTAGTGTGATAAATATCACCTAGAATGCACATTATACGTCTAATGGTTGAAGAATCTTTAGGTTTCTTAATCTGGCTTTAGACTCAGGAAAAGTGGACAGCATTTTCTTCTTTTTCTTCTCAATCTCCATCCCTTCTTCTGAGGCAGGGACCCTTGCTTCTAGGAAATGTAACTCTGGCTAAATATACCTGTCTATTGATTTTCATCCAAGGCTGTGCTTTAGGTTGTGAACAATTGACTCCTAGCTCCATGAAGAGTGTGTGTAAATTGGGCCCTGACTGTACTTCTAATTAAACCTTCACTTAGACACTGAGGAGAAGGGAATCTAATTTTTAATTAAGTAAGTATTGAAGGGTGGAGAAAATAACTGTTTTTAGCCACTTGATTAAGTGATAGGATGTGGTCTCTTTAAATCTTATTTCTATTAATGTCAAGTATGTGAGTGTTGGAGGAACTACCGTAATATTTGAAACTGACAGTGTTCAATAGCCTAGCAATATCACTCTCTTGTAAAATAAAACTTGAACTTGTAGACAAATACACCCCACAGCTTGATGTCTGGTTTTTCTTTCCTTTGCTATCTGCACTAAAAGTGCAGAAGCTAAGAGATCATTGCTGCTGCCAATCCAATCAACTAAGTCCCAAGTCCTATTCAGTTTAAACTTTCCTTCTTAAAATGAGAAAAGGGTGACCATTTTTTCCCCTATTGTCTCTACAGAGGGACCTACAGAAGGTCCTTTAAATGTAGACTAGAAGAGTATCAAAATATAGTAAAGGTCAGGCTATTCCTGGGAAATGTACAGTATATATATGCTGAGTGACCTCAGTCTTCTGTTTCCAAACCTGTAATCAGCAAAACAGAACTGTGTATGTGTGTGTGTGTGTGTGTGTATGTGCACGCATGTGTGTACCTGTGTCTTTTAAACCCAAGTAGTCATGTGGCTTTATCTGTTACTTGAAGTAAATGAATATGTTCTCAGGAAATGAATGTCTCCCTTTAAAGAAGTCAGATCTCATGATTCATGTGTGCTGGAGACAGAGGTACAGTTAAGAAGATGCCTGGACATTTGACATTTCAGTACTGTTCTACGAACTAGGAGGAGTGCCTCCAGGGAGCGGAACCTCAGTTTTCAAGCTTCACAGTGAAAGCAGACAGTAGTCATTTACCAGTGAGAAGTAGTGGAGGGTGGATCAGTTACTTGTGGGGAGGAGCACTCAATATCTAAATTACCTGGCCCTGATTTCTTTCACTTTGTAAGCTGGCACAAGGGAGCAGCCATGTGTTATCTAGGACAACTGAGAAAAGCATTTGAAAATGAGTGCCCAAATGACATTAAGCAAACTTTTTTTAAAAAGCGATGCAATAAAAAGGGTATTCAGAGAGCCACTAGTATCTATCTTCTAAACCTAGACAGTGATTCATGTAAACTCAACATCTAAAGTGGCTGAGGGAAATAATCAGGTATCTAGGGCAAAGATAAAGGTATATGTGTTTCCTGTATTACGAACCTTATATAACAAATATTTTAGTGAGGGATGTTGTAAAGATTGCTACCTTCCTCTTTTGGAAAGAATTTTGGGTGAATAATACTATTCTAAAATAAGTCAGAGTACGAGGAAAGCTTTTGGGATTTCAATATGATGAAGGTGAATTTTTGTTTAAGTTGGAGACTTCTGGAAAAAGTGCAATGTGTTTGTTGGGTCTGAGTGGGTCGCCTGTGCTAGAACTCAGGTTACCGTGAATTTTTGACGGAGTTATAACACAAAACAGCACACCACAGTATATACAACTTACAATGTGGAACATGATGGGCTACCAGGAGGGAAGAGGCATGAAGGCATGGAGGATCAAGATCAGAAAGTTACAACCCTCGGGAGTGTGTGTGGCTCTTGCAGTTTAGTGACAAATAGAGGACATCCCCCCTCCCCTTTATATAATTTCAAAGCTTGGATTCCATTCCCTGGGACATTTGTATTAGATTAATTCAAAGTGCCCAGAGTCTCAAGATGGATTAGTGTAATAGGTTTTTTTTTTTTTTTTTCTTTTTCTGGGTGCCGGTTAGGTTCATCTATTTACCAGTAAAATTTTAGTGAGGAAACCAGATCGCCTTCTACATGCACTTAGTAGCCTTGTTCACTGAAGATTAAAACAAGGCTTTTAAACCTATGCTTTGAAAACTTAAAAAGAAAAAATTTTTGAATTCATCACTGAGTACTACTAAGAGGGGGACAAGGTTTTTGGCTACAGGGAGAAACTTGTGTACACTTTCTGTGACATAGCTGATAATTTGAAAGATGAAAGTGAACCTGACAAAACTGTTCAAGTTGAACAACCTGAAGCAATTTAAGGTCCATTCATCAGTCCATAGATTTTTTTTACCAAGTAGTTTTAGAGAGAGAGAGACAGAGAGGGAAGGAAGGAGAGGAGGAAGAGAAAGAGAGAGAAGAGATGAAAGAAAATGTTTGCTTACCACGGGGACATTTCTCTGATCCAAATGTTTTTAATGTCTCATATTTGCTTACATAAATCTATGCACATTCATTGGCAACATGGCACTGTATAATAAACTATAAAATAGTGGGTGTTATAATTCACAAGATAATCTCATTTCCTTTCCAAGGTCCCTAACGTTTGTGTCCTCTTTAGAACTGTGGCTCTAAAACAAATTGCAAGACAGTATACTCTGATGAAGATATCACACAAAACAAAAGATAGCTCATGAGAAAAGGAAATTTCTGAAAATGGTTCATATTTTGTGGTGGTGACATTACAGGAGGTGTCCTAGCCTTCTGAGGCTGTAGCCTATCTGACTAGTCTCATGGATCAAATCTATTGTGATTTTTATCCCCCTTAAGGAAAATATTTAGTGATTTGAGAAGGAATATAAATAGGTCAGTGTCTCCTTCTGTTACAGTTGCCTGCTTTCAATCCTAACAAGGACTGATCCTGCCTGGGAGAAACAAAAATAATCTTGGGGGAAATATTTAATCCATAATTATTTAATCCACTGCAAACCTGTTTTCAATTCACAGGTGATGTTGTTGAGAGAGATAACATATTCAATCACTCCTCTCTCTTTACATGGAACTTCCCTTCTAAACTGCAATTGGAGAGCTACAGGTCTGGTAACATTGGAAGGGCACAGGCCTTTCCAATGACATTCCCCATCCCACCCCCAGGTTTCCTGCAGTTGTTGTCAGAGTACAAACCTTCTTCCACACTTTATACAAGTGTTTAGACACTTCGCCAGCAGCCTTGGTTTTCAGAGAGAAAAATAAAATAAAAACAGCACTTAATTAAAATGGAGCGTGAAACCCAGAAGGAATCATGGTGTGTGAGTGCTTAGAGTGTTACAGTTCCCACCCATTGTTTGGAATTTGCATCTTAATTCAATATAAAGCCTGACAATAGGTACAGCAAAGAGACGAATCAAGACTTGGGTCTCACAGAAGTTACCTGGTGGTAAGACTCAATTTTTACTTTTCCTTTCACACACCAAGAAATGCCTTAAAGTGCTTTTCAATGTATACAGGTATGCTGCAGTATTAAGGGTCTTCATTGTTCCTTAAGAAGACCCTTTTAAGGCATTGGTAACTAAAATCAATCAATTAACCAACCAACCAGCAAATCAATCAATACACACACACACACACAAACACACACACACACAGACACACACATATAAAGAAGAAGTATGCTTGATGACTTGTTCTTTGATTATGGGTTTCTGGGCAGTAGAAATTTGAGTGAAAGTGAGAATGGGATTTTTCTAATAATTTTCCCTATTGACTCCAAGAGAGGCTGACATAAAAAGATTGGGCATTTCCTCCCTCGGCTCCTGAGAGAGATGTGTTGGCTTCCCTCATTGCCTTAAGGCCCAATCAGCCTTCTCAGGAATTGAGCCCAAGACACCTGAAGAAAGAAAAGTTATTGCAAACAATGAAGAGATAAGAAACCAACACAAAACACTTTCATCTAATTTGATTTTGCCTTTGATGGAAAAACACCAATGCAATGTGCATAATATTACGGTGTATAGATAGCTGTGAAAGCATAACAATAGCTCCATCTATTTCATCATTCACCTAGCCAAAAAGATGTTTCCTTAACAGCTTTTCTTCCCCCTTCAGTGCTATACATAAGAGGAGAACAGAGTTGGGGAAAGACTCATGCTTCGAGAAGCAGACATTTTCTTAAAAAAATTATAGGCTTTTAGATCATAACAAGTATTTTTTTTCTTTTGTTCCCTCCAGCCAACATCCCATGCACCATCGTGGAGACTGGCTGGATGCCCTGTGCTCTATCAGGGCATGTCAGACCAACAGAGGGGCAAATCAGAGTGAAGAGGAAGCCAGAAGATGGGAGAGACATTTTTGAAGTGAGTAACCTGCATGTATAATGTGTACTCTCAAAACTGCAAACAAATTATTTTCCTCAAATATTTCACACTGGTGGTCACCTTCTAATACATTCAGCCTAAATGATCTTTGTTTCCATTAATGTTTTTTTGAGGGGGAGGGGTAGTTAGCACCTGCAAAAAAAATGTGTCCTGGTTAACAAAAGCAAGAAAACGGAAATGAAAACCTTACCTCATTTTAAAAAATCAACCCAACTAATCTAATTAATCAAGCAATCGATTGTTCCCAAAGCCACTCTTACATTAAGCACACTGTCTTATTCACTATAGTGGGAAAAAAAATGTCAGATTATAGAGTTTTCTGTTGAGGTGATTGCTTTGGGGGTTTCAATTGTTTTTCTATAAGATTGTCAGTGCAAAATCTTCAAACTGTAAGTGTTAATTCTGACGTATAGTCATGAATATTAAAATTGGCATAGTAAAATATATTGAGGAGCCAAATTCTTTTATCATTATTATTTAACCAAATAGTTTACATTGGAATTACTCTAAATAATAACTAAAGTAGAACTTTAAACATGGAGAGATTCAGAATTACAACTAAAATAATCCTAAAATGAGAACCCAACATTAAAATACAGTTTTTTGGCATTTGTCCTAAAATTAAGAATGCAAAGTTAATTTGCTCCAGTAAGTCTCTTCTATCCTACTTTATTCTGTCTGTCACCAATCTCAAAATGGAATAAAATGTGCAATTAAAATTAATTTCTGGGTAACCCTTGGATGCCATTCCATCGATAAACCATTGATAGCTTCTGCTTTTCCAAGTCTAAACTCAATTTGTTAAAAGCTTTAAGACATGGGCCTAATGACACCCAACTCTAGGGTTATATATGTAATAATATAATCACACTTGCTATGTAAATGAAGCACAATAGAAACACTAGTTAGTACTGCTATTACTAAGACATGAAATTTAAGAATCTAGCACATCAACTTCTATCTGCAGAAAAAAGAAAGAGAGATAAAAAACTGGATGTAAAAGAACATGCTTAGAGAATCACTTCATCATTCACCTACTTGTCTTTGCAATTTAGTAAAAATGCCTGAACAATGTTCATTTGTTATTTTATTTATTTATTGTTAAGGAGGTTACCTTTTCAGTTCCTTCCTCTTTGAGACTAATAATGTCCAGATCAAAATCCTTCCTCAAGCCATTGGTTTTATTAAAGGTGATATGCCCAGTCAAGCCATCCCACCGGGCCTGTGGACAAGAAGAAATGTGGCTGTTATTGTTAAACATTTATCATAATTCCTGAGACCATCAAAATTATAATACCTCAAATTCATCACAGTATCCAATTATTTGTTTTCATCATGCTGTTATAAACCATTGCATTGGTTCAGCGACAAGATAGCAGAACACATCGTCTTTTTATTAGCACTCATTTATTCTGTCAATTCTAACATCCTAACCCAGTCAAACCTGTCATCGTGGCTACCTAAATGGACAGTATGGAAAGAATTGCCGTAAAACAGTCTGCACACGGAATACACAAAATCTGAGAAATCACAATATTCTGTTTTCCAAGGTCAATCCAAATTCCCTTTGAGATATGGCTGAGTGGAAGTGAGTCCCTGCTTTTTCTTTCTCTGTGAAAAGAATATAGACTAATATAGTCCAATGATGTATTGCAGTTTTTAGGCTGTTTATGACTTAGCGTGTTTGCACCATTTGGGCATTATAATTTCCCGTGGCTGCTGTAGCAAGTAATCACAAACGTGGGTGCTCAAAACAACAGAAATTTATTTTCTCAAGGTTATGGAGGCCTGAAATCCAAAATCAGTGTTAACTGGGTGGAATTAATGTGTCAGCGGGACCGTGCTCTCTCTGGAGGCTCGAGGGAAGACCCTATTCTTTGCCTCCTTCTGCTTCTGGTGGCTTCTGGCATTTCTCCTTCTCTTGTGGTTGCATCACTCCAATCTCTGCCTCAGTGGTCACATTTCCTCCTCCCCTGCTGTCTGCATAAAAGCTCCCTCTGCAAGGTGGAGGTTGTGGTGAGCCGAGATCCTTCCACTGCGCTCCAGGAGCCTGGGCAACAGAGCAAGACTCTGTCACAAACAAACAAACAAACAAACAAAAAGGGTCGGGCGCAGTGGCTTGCGCCTGTAATCCCAGCACTTCGGGATGCCGAGGTGGGCGGAGATCGAGACCATCCTGGCTAACACGGTGAAACCCCATCTCTACTAAAAATACAAAATATTAGCCAGGCGTGGTGGCGCATGCTTGTAATCCCAGCTACTCGGGAGGCTGAGTCAGGAGAATCGCTTGAACCCCAGAGGCAGAGGTTGCAGTGAGCCGAGATTATGCCATTGCACTCCAGCCTGGCGACAGAGCAAGACTCCGTCTAAAACAAAAACAAAAACAAAAAAACTCCTTCTGCTTCTGTCTTATAAAGACACTTGTGATTGTAAATACAATCTAAATAGAACTCACCTGGATAATTTCCCCATCTCAAAAATCCTTAATCACCTATGCAAAGGCCTTTTTGCTATATAAATTAACATTTACAGGTTCCAGGGATGAGGACATGGGTAACTTTTGAGGGTGCCGGTCTTCTTCCTACCCTACATATCAACATCATTTCAAATAACAAAAAATTCACAATAGTCTGCCTTTCACAGAACTCACATTGGGTATCTCTGGTGGTTTTATTAAATAAAAAGCGGTGGCCCTTGGGAGAGTCTTCAGCTTCAATCATTAGGTGATTTTTGGCAACCTTGTTGATTTGAGTTTCACTTACAAATAGGGATAAAGGAAAACTCAGATCTTTGTATCCACTTAGCTGTTTTTCTCCCTCTTGACTTTACCAAATTCATTAGACATGCATAAAATGGGAAGATTCTGAAGAATTACACTGTATTTGCAGTTATTTGCGCCACGTATATATGTTGAATGTATTTACCCATTTGGCCAAGAGGCAGAGCAATGCAGTGAATTTTCCATACCTCTAGGGCTGAATATCTGCAGTGTAACTTCAGGCAAGCTACTGAACTTGAGGCGTTTTAATTTTTAACATTTATTGTTTTTATAACTGTCTCTCACTTTTCCCACTTTCATAATTCTAGAGTTTGGCTATTACTATCTCACGTTTAGCCTTTACTTGGCTGTGCTGTATTTCATTTTACAAATCACGACCAGATTCACGGTCCCCAAGTAAATTTTCGTATTTATGCAATTTTCACCAGCACATAAAGTACATAATGGATTCATTCTACCTACAAATTAGTCTAAACCTTGACTTTACGTTGGAGGTTGTGATGGTTAATTTTGTGTGTCAACTTGCCTAGGCCACACGATGCCCAAATATCTAGTCAAACATTATTTCTGGGTGTGTCTGTGAGGGTGTTTCCAAAAAAGATTAGCATTTGAAATGGTGGACTGAGCAAGGCAGACAGCCCTCTCCACGTGAGTGGGTACCATTCAATTCATGTAGAGCCTGAAAAGAACAAAAAGGCAGAGGAAGAGAGCATTTACTCTCTGCCTGACTGACAGCTGAAACAGCGGCCTTCACCTGTTCTTGAGAACAGGAGATTACATCATCGATGCTCTTCGTTCTCAGGCCTTTAGACTCAGACTAGACTTACACCAGCCAGCTTTCCAGGGTCTCTAGTTTGCAGATGGTAGAATGTGGGACTTCTCAGCCTCCATGTTGGTGTGCCAATTTCTCATAGTAAACCTCTTTGTATATATATCCTATTGTTCTGTTTCTCTGGAGAATTCTGGATAATACAGAGGTCTTTGAAAATTTTGCCTAAGCTACGTCTCCAGAATTTCCTACCACCGCTCCCCTATGCACAGCCCCAGCTGGAACAGGCCTGGGCTCTCCAGCCTCTGTGCTATTCATCCCAGCCTGCAGCCTCCACTCAGCCTCTCCATCTCCTATCCAGCCTTCAAGATTGGCTTATTGTGCTATTTTGGTCCACAGTCACTATTCTCCTCTTTGAGGCACAGGCCTCCCAGCTTATACACCCCTCTGACCAGTATTGCTTGTGTTTTCACATGTGATTTTGTACTTATTACCACTTACCTTTACACTTTCAGTTTGGAAATCCTTATATCCTCAATTGGATTGGAAGCTTGTCAGTCAAACCTAATTATCTTACTAAATTGTGTTCTCTTTAGTATTTAACAAAATGGCATAGCCCTTAGGCACTTTAATTTTTTTCTCGCTCTAATTTGTTCCAAAACAAAATTTTATTAATTTGTGTTTTTACTTTTCTGTCTTCTGTCACTCGTTTCTCTCTTTTAACCCATAATTTCTCAACTCATAATTCCATCTAAAAATAGCGAAATATCTTTGATTGGGAGTCAAGAAACCAAATTTAGTCTTTAAGCCACTATCAAGTTTTGCGGCCTTGGTTGAGTCATTTTGTCCCTTTTTTAGGCCACAGAGAAATGCACAGTAAGTGAAGATTTTGCATAAAACGAGCTTTAGCTCTGGAATTCTACAATCATAGGCAAGATACCATAGAGGGGTTTAATGAAAGTGATTCATGAAGCACCTATGATCTGGAAGCTGGGCTATATAAAACATAAAACACAGTTGTTATACTCAAATTTCAATGTAAAACATATTACTATCTGGCTGGGGAGAAAAGACTACAGAATTTGGTTCAATTATGTTTTCACTATTAATTCATTTGGAAAATATCCATTTATTGAATATCTTCTCTGTGCAGGGAAGTATGCTGAGAATACAGCCCCTAGAAGTTTACAGTTTAGTAGGAACAAACACATTAACGGATTTCCATAAAGCACTTTAGGTTTGAGGATAAAGATTTGCATAGAATATTGAGGAGAGAAGTATGGAGAAGAAGCACTTATCCCAACTGCAGGGAAAGAGTCAGCAAAAGATTCCTGAAGGCAAGAATGCCTGAGCTCACAAAGGATAAGTCCACCAAGCAAAGATTCATGTGCTGGGTAAAAACATGAAATAAAGAATAAATTATAAGTTTGCCATGAGACACTAATGCAAAGTAAGAAATGATGCGAAATGAGCCTAGGAAGGCAAGTAGTCTGTTTATAAAGGCGTTATGAAGCATGCTAGTTTGCTTAGACATTGCTCAGTAGACTTTTGGGGAATCATGGGGGTGTTTTAAACATGTGTTGCCATGGTCAGATGTGCATTATAGGGAGATCATTTGATATCTCTTTTATAATTGAGGAGAATGACTTGGAGAAGGTCAATATTGTAAGCAGTGTGTTGGTTAGTGGGTAGTTCTCATAGAACAAAATGTATACAGTCATATTCATATGCCCAAATATGAACACAGGGATAGCACAATTCCTCCATTTCCCTGTCCCACCAACTGGCACACCTTTAAATATTAATGAAAATAGTTCCACAGCAGGATAGACAGAATTTCATAAAGAGTATGTTAAGAAATCAGCTTAAATGTAAGGAACCAGTATAATTGGCCAAAGCATATTTTCTGGCTACCATTCAGATAGAGTGGATATTATGACAAAAGGATACTTTACCACTGATAGTGCTGGAAGTTAAATCAATGGTAGGGAATGATATGTGGACAAGAAAAGGCTCCAACTTTTTCCTCTAAGCTGTCTCGATGGCAAACTAGATGTTGCCCAAGTACTGTAACACATAAAAAGAAATACTTCTTCAGATCCTAGTACCTAGTCTCTAGAGTTTATTGCCAAGGGAGACCATAATACCAAACACTGGCACTAGCTTTAAAATTGAATGGCATATCTTTATGGTCAGTAGTAACACCTATTGCCACACCGGCTGAGATCCAGGTAATCATGTCTCTGCAATGGGACAAAAACTATCAGCAATGAATACAAGTAGGAGGTGTCCTCTTGTGTCTATTTAGGTACACCTCTTGGCATTGCATTCTCCTTTTTCTCCCCGTCACACCTCAATTCTAGTTTTTGTACTCTGGTCATTCTTTCTTATTTTGCAAGCCAAAGGCTGGCTTTGTGGATTGATGGGTTAAACGAGAGCCATGAAATAAGCTGCTGTGTTAGGCTTACAATATCTGTCTGAGAGCTGAGAACAATTTGTGTAATGCTTTGGTTGAGTGGAAATCTCCACTGTGTTAGGGGTTTGAATTAAGTCAGTTTTCAGGCCCCTTCTTCATGCCTCTAAACAAGGTACTGTTCCAACTGTCCTCCTGACCTGTTTGAAAGGATGTAGTTATCTTCATTAAATTCTATAGGATTTTCAGAAAGGTTTTTTCTAGAGGCAACTTTTCCTTTATGGGGTTCATGTTGTGAGTCAATTTGGTACATTGTCCAGAATTTACAGGGGTCTCTGAAAATGTACAGAATTGGTAGCATTTATCTCTTAGGGGAGCATATGGCTTATAGCGGGGTCTTAAAACCCAGATCAGAAATCCAATTTCATTCCCTAAGTGTGACTATTGTGTCCGTTTGTTTGGATTCTCTTGCATTGATTTTATTCTTGAACTTAGTGTTCCAATCACGGCTGCAGAGTAATTCCCACTTCTCGCTTTTTCTCCTGCTCATCCAAGTGGCAAAAAAGTTCCCTTTTCATGTTTTAACAATGCTTCCTTCTCTGCCTCAAATATCTACATAGACTCCCTGTGTGGTTCTTCACTGAAAGGAAATATCTTTGACCTTCAACGTCAAATTTCCCTTACTGGCACAATTACCCATGTCTTCCTGCCTCTCATCCCCTAGATTAGCTGCATTTCTGTATATGTTCTTTGTTTTTCTGCAAACTCATTGTTGATAAGCATTTATTAATCATCAATACACTATTGATTAGGGTGAATATGCAATGACTAATTCCTGGATGTGATAAATAGGATCCATGAGGAATCCATTTTTCTGGGACAGGGCTGAAGCATATACAATTTAGATAATGATATATAATTATATTATCCATAATTACCATGTGCTTGCCTTATGTAGAAGCATTTGCAGAGGGGACAATTATAGTATACTTAAAACAGAAAACAATACTTAAACTATTGTCCCTATTTTAGGAAAGAGCTTTATTTTCTACCCTGCATCAGATCTTCATGTCTACCACTGCTTAATAGCAACTAAATCAAATATTGTGAGTTTTCCTCATTCCTCTTATTGGACACATTATCTGATAATCAAGAGACAGGAATCAAGAGGTAAAAGAAGAAAAATAAAAGGTTTCATGAATATCTTATTTGTATATTCTTTCTCAAGATATTTATTGTCCAAATTAAATGCACATATTTTATTATTAGGGAAGTAAGGGGCTAGCACCTAACTCTGGGCTCTTATGATAATCAACTCTTAATGTCATTAGTTAAAATGATTTCTTTTACTTATTTATTTTTTCTGAAAGGGAATTTTTTTTTCTTCAACTTTTGTGTTAAGATCAGGGGTACATGTGCGGATATGCAGGTTTGTTACACAGGTAAACGTGTGCCATGGTGTTTTGCTTCACAGATCATCCCATCGCCTAAGTATTAAGCCCAGCATCCATTAGCTGTTCTTCCTGATGCTCTCCCTCCCCTGTCCGCATCTCTGACAGGCCCTAGTGTGTTTTGTTCCCCTCCATGTGTCCATGTATTCTCATCATTCAACTCCCACTTATAAGTGAGCACATGCGGTGTTTGGGTTTCTGTTCCTGCATGAGTTTGCTGAGGATAACAGCTTCCAACTCCATCCATGTCCCTGCAAAGGACATGATCTTGTTCCTTTTTATGGCTGCGTAGTATTCCATGGTGTATATATACCACATTTTCTTTTTTCAGTCTATCATTGATGGGCAATTGGGTTGGTTCCATGTCTTTGCTATTGTGAATCATGCTGCAATGAACATAAGTGTGCATGTATCTTTATAATAGAATGATTTATAATCCTTTGGGTATATGCCCAGTGATGGGATTGCTGGGTCAAAAGGTATTTCTGTGTTTAGGTCTTTGAGGAATTGCCATAGTGTTTTCCACAATGGATGAACTAATTTACACTCCCACCAACAGTGTGAAAGCATCCCTTTTTCTCGGCAACCTCGCCAGCATCTGTTGAAAAGGAATTTAAATATGTAAAAGAATGTAAATCCTCCCTTCCTAGAATTTTCCTTGACATAGCCATTGTCCTTTGCCATACTGAATAAATTGTTTCCTATTGAGAGAGACTTCTTATTCTTCACTTATATATTGGAAACTATGTTTTCTTCTGAGAACATTGTGTATGGAAGGCTCATGGCAAACTCAAGGTTAACTTTCCTTGCTAGATCAAGGTGAAGAAAAAAATTGTTTTTAAGTGACTATTCTATTTTTTAATAAAACTTATAAAAACTTGAAAATGAAGCAAAAAAAAAAAAAAAAGATTGTGTGACCTTCTTTGTCATGGTGGCCATAGTACAATAGCCTCATCCAAGGGTGATTTGATTCTCTAAAGAGGTGTCTCTTTATTTTTAAATTTACTGTTGTTTAAGATGCAGATTCTGTGAAATTACATGTTAATTTATAGGATTTGTATGTGGCAGAGATGTAAATGATTTCCATCTAATAGAAAAGATAACCTGAAAAATTATAATTGTATTGACCTATCGGACATTGGCCAGCTTTTTATTTTATTTTATTTTATTTTAAGTTCTGGGGTGCATGCGCAGGATATGCCGGTTTTTTACACAGGTAAACGTGTGGTGGTTTGCCACACATATCCACCCATCAGCTAGGTGTTAAGCCCCACATGCATCAGCTATTTATCCTGATGCTTTGACTTCCCTGGTGGCCTCTAGAACCACCGTGCCTCTCCGTCTTTTTACAGCAAGCTTTATCATCCTGCTGGTTCCCTCAGTTAGACACATCTTCAATACTTGCTTTCTTATGTTTGTGCTAGAGTCACATATATAACTGGCTTAAAATTGGAAATGGTCCTACGATGGTGCCCAAGTACACTCACCTGCCAGAGCCAATGTTATGGGCCATTTAAGCTCAGAAACATCTTTTTTTAAAAACAAAACAAAACAAAACAAAACAAAACAAAAAAAACAAAAAAACCCAAAACACAACACTCCAGTCCTAGAGCAAACCCTAAGTAGCAACAAACTTTACTTCTGCTGACTCTCTGTCTCTGTTGTTTCTTGTCTTGTCTTGTCTTGTCTTGTGATTATGTGTTTTGATTCTGAGTTTTGGCCAAGTCCGTCAGTCGAGAAGTGCCTTACCTAACTCACAGCTTCAGTCATTTCTCCTCCACAACTGGGTGCAGGCACCTGTATTTGGTCTCAGACCACTGTGCCACTTTCACTGCCTACTGAGAAGAGCATTTTGTGTCTCCTCGTTTGGGTCATAGCTGAGTATATGAAGTAGTGGGTATTTGACTGCTAGGCAAGTCTCATGAACACAGTCACGGGGATACTAGTGTCTTGTGTATCTGATCTGCATGTGGCTGTTAAGTTTTCCTTTGGTGGCAGGAATAATTGTGAACCTGGCACTTCGTTCTCATCATATGGTGATCTATCAGCTAGATGCAGGTAATCTAACTCTTTGCAGGGTGAGAGATGACTGAAAACCTGGTTTCTTAGCACTTTTCTTTTGTCTGAGCAAGATTATGTCTCAGGTTCACTGGAAATGACAACCAACCTTTCTGTCCTCCTGAGTTATTGTGTTCTATGTTTCCTTTCAAGACATGGCTAAGGTTATAGAACCAAAACTGCAACCCTCAATAGCTGCCTATCTCTGGAAATTAAAAAAAAAAAAAAGCCTTTTCACCTCATTGTGTATGAATAAAACCTTGTGAAATAAGGATTTTCTGTTTTTATTATTTATAGATTTGATTACTTATATCAATATTCTCAGGATTCTCATGTTGCAGAGAAACTGAAGTTTAAATACATTGTATTGCTACCCTTGAAAAAGTTCACAGAAATTGCTTGTATGTAAAAATGCAAGTTCATGTAACCAAAGTGCATATTTGACCACATTTAATTGATTTTTTTAAAAATTAGCTTAAATAGCATTACATATCTCTCCCTTAATATTATCACTCTGAATTATAGAGTTCTGATGTACTTTTTTGTTTTACAGATTTGTTTTTGGTTTCCTGAAAAGAGGCTAGTTAATCTGAACTCCTTAAAACTTCTTATACTGGTTTACCAATGAGACAAGATAGCATTGACACATAATGTTTAAAATGAAGATTTAAAATTATATGTAATTATGTTGAGTTAGAATTTTGGCAAAATTTTTATATAAACAGTTTTTACACTTTATAAGGTATCAGTTGACATGGAATTTCCATGTTTCTATTACGTTTCAGATCGTGAGCTAATGTAAAATCAAGAAGTTAACTGGTGGATAATCTTGGGATATCTGGGTTGCTTCTCATTAAGAGATAATATTGGCATGATGATTACCATTAGTGTGTGTATGTCTGCTTATACCTATAAATGTCTATATACGTCTTATTATTTCTATATGTTACAGAGAAACTGTAACTTAGAGTCATGTTAATGAGCATTTTGGTTTTGCCACTTTGAAGATGATGTTCAAAGAATGTATGTGTCTCTAGGGGGTTGTTTTATGCAAGCTCATGTGTATAAGGTAATGGGGTATATTTTTGTTTACAAAGTGAAAAGAAAATATGTTCCAAAGTATGAAACAGTATAGTGAATGGCAAAGCATGAGTGTGTGTGGAGTATAGAAGGTTGGAGGAAACAGAATTTTATTTACCTCGGAGTATAATATATGCACGTAATGAGTCTGAATAAAAACAAGGAAATGTGTTAAAATTTTGGCGAAGTTTACCCAGCTTTAATTGGTTCATTAATAAGATAGATATTTTAAGTTTTGTGAATCTTTTTTTCTGCCAAATACTGCATTAATGTAACACTATAGTTTTATTTTCTCTCTTTTAAAATGGAATATTTAGCCTGCTCTTAACAAGAAGATAAATTATCACTTACCTTCTATGTCATCGTCTCAGACACTTTCATTCCCATCATCAACACGTGGTTTCTGCTTTACTCTCATGTTTTTCTGAAGGTTTTGCTATAAACTACAGTCTGGAAATAGCCTTTGTCAGAGAATGGCAGTATCAGAGCCTCATGGAAACATGGTGCCAAAAAATACTCTTAACCTATTGGCACTTCAAACAGTCATTGGTATAGACTTTGGATATTAAGGTGTCACTTAGATGACTAACTGTACTAGAGGATGGAATCAGGATTTTCAGGACTCTTTTTAATAGTCCAGGAGCAGAAGACCTTTGAAAACCAGGTGTTGATCCAACATCCACTAGTTATAAGACAAGTAGGATTAAGTGAACTGCTGAGGGGAATCTAATTGTGGTTATATGGCTTTAATATCTTATTATAAGATATCTTGGGATACCTGGGTCATTTCTTTTATTCTTTTAATAAGATATGGTCTTTTAATAAGATATTATTAAATAATAATAAATAAGATAAAAAGGTATTATTAAATAATAAGATAATAATATATTATCTTTTAATAAGATATAGCTTTACATATCTTATTAAAAGAATAAAAAGATTCATTCTCTTCCTGATCTCTTTAACTCTCTCTTTGGTAACCTATAAATGACACATTCTTTATATGGCACCTTATTCTCCCTGACCACTCAGAATTCACAGACAACTTACTAGCTTTTATGGCAATGTGGTTATTTGTATAAAATCAATACAAATTTGTCCTTTTTATAACCAGGCTATAGTTGAATAAATTGGCTGTGTAAATAAGGTCACACCAGGTGTGATGGTTCACATTATGTGTCAATTTGACTGGGTGATGGGCCCACATTAAACGTTGTTTCTGGGTGTGTCTGTGAGAGTGTTTCCAGATGAGATGAGCATTTGAATTGGGGGGCCCAATAAAGAAGATTGCTCTCTCCGCTGTGGTTGGGCATCATCCAGTCCAATCTGTTGAGGGTCTAAGAAGAATGAAAGGTGAAGGAAAGAGGAAGTTGCTTCTTTTTTTCTGCTTTATTGTTGAACTAGGCCATCTCATCTCATCTTCTACTACCCTCATACTGGGAGTTATACCATCAGCTCCCCTGGTTCTTAGATCTTCGGACTCAGACTGAATTACACCATCTGCTTTTCTGGGTCTCCAGTTTGCAAATGGCAGGTCATGGGACTTCTCTGTCACCATAATTGAATGAGCCAATTCCTCAAAATAAATCATATTCCCTCTCTCTTTCTCTGTCTCTCTCTCTCCTATTGGTTTTGTTTCTCTGGAGAATCCTGACTAATATGCCAGGAATGTATCTGGTTTATTACAAATAATACAGATCTTATTTAATCAGGTGTAGCAAACCCACCATTAAGGAAAAAGTGCTGTACTTCAAATGTGGAACCAGGATTCAGAAAGCCCTCTCTGGAAACTGGTCTGTTATTTGTTCTATGATTTATACGATCATAAACTTACAGGTAAAAAGGAAGACAATTTTCTAGTAGACCAGGAAATCTATCAGATGTTGGGCACTCAGAGAAATTCACCAAAATGTCTAGGTGCTATAGGAATATTGTGCAGATGCATTTCTTGAATGGAGTTTCTTACCTTTGTGTGGTAGGGTGAATAAATGTCATGCTTTTCCCCATTGTCCATGTTCTAATCACTGGAACCTAGAAGGTAGCAACAGAAGCTACACAGATGGGATCAAGTTAAGGATCTTAAAGTGGGGAGATCATCCCGGATTATCTGGGTGGGCCTAATGTAACCACAGGGTCCTTATAAAAGGGACCCAGGAAGGGTCAGAGAGACAGAAGATGATGTGATGACAGAAATAGAAGACAGAGAGAAAGAGACTGAAAAATTGAAAGATGCTACTTTCAATTGAAAGATTGCTGGCTTTGAGGATGGAGGAAAGGGTCCATAAGCCAAGGATTACAGGAATCCCTGGACCTTGTGAAAGGCAAGGGAACTGATTTCCCTCTACAGCATCCAGAAAGAATCGGCCTTACCAACATCTTGACTTTAGCCCAATGAGACTTGTGTTAGAGTTCTGACTGCCAAAGCAGTAGGAGAATTAATTTGTGTTGCTTTGAACGACAATGCTTGTGGTAATTCACCTAAAAAGCAATAGGAAACTCAAACACCTTGGAATAAAAAAGCCAGTAAGAGAAAAAAAAAATTCTGGAGAAAGGATTCTGAAAATGCAATGAGAGATTTCTTTTGAAATTTTCTTACAGAAGTTAATTTTCTGTCCTTAGTAGCTGCTTGAAACAGCAGCTCTGAATTTGCTACCCATATCCAGAGGCTTCCATGGTCAATGAACATCTTGCACTGCCCCCATGTAAATTAATCAGGTCTAAGCACAATGACATCAGACTTTTGGTAATATGAATAATCTTTGGAAATTATTTATGACACAATAGGGAACTGCTGAGAAAATTATCTAAAACTTGGAAATAAAACAAAAGAACAACGACTGTATTTCGTTTCAAAGTCACATGGGATCATTGCCTAACAGGTCCACCCAAGGATGATTTAATCCTCTAGAGGATTGTACTTTTGTTTGTTTTACTATTTTCTATTGTCTAAGGTCAAGACTATGAAATTACATGTGGACTTAGATATTTTTTGTTCAACAGAGACCTAACTGATGCAAGTCTAGTACAGAAGATGACCTCAAAGGTTATGGTTTTATTGCTTGTTGAACAATAATCAATTTTGTCTTTAACTCAGATATTCATTTCCATTAGCTTCTCCTGTTGGACTATATAACCACTCTTTCTGTGATTCTTTTTTGAACTAGATTTACCATCCAGATGGTTCCTTCATTAAGGAGTTAAGTGTATTTTTGGCACATGCTTACATTATGTTTGCATGAGAGTCGTGTTGATAACTTTATAAAATTATATACTGACAAATGCAAAGTGGCATAAATGTAATCACATTTGGTCCTTACAGCATCTAGATAAGGTAAGTAGGATGGTCCCCAGTTTATTGAGAGGAAAGAGATCCTAAAGTTAGTAAGATGTACCCAGAGGGGTTCAGAACCAGTCTATCTCATGTTCTTTTTCTTCACCAAACTGCATTTCCATCAATGAGATGATGTGAAAGAAATGAAAGCATGTGGGCTTATTTCTCCATTTTACATCCTAACTCTAGACTTTATATGGGTCATAAGGAGAAAACATTCTCAAGCCCAAAATAAAAGGAGAAATAATTTAAAAATTTTCTATCATCACTAAAATCCTGATTTCTCACTCATTTAGTGGCATGTTTGAAGTGTGAGTTGCCCAAGTGGATCCCTCTTGGATCTGCTGGGTTCCATTTACAAAGACAAAGAGCCTCTGCTCTGGCTTCCAGGATCCTATTTCTCAGTTTCTCTGGTTCACCTAGCATGGAGCAGCTTCTCCTGCAAGTCAATGTCACAAGGCTAGAATGGGCTGTCTGCAGGAGTAGAAACAAAATAAGCCTTCAGCGTTTTTTGTGCAGTCCTCTTTGCAAGGGGTCTCAGGCCAACTGGAATTGACACATAGCGTTCTATTTGCCATCAGGGTTTAGAGTAAAAGGGATTTCTAGAAAATGAACCCTTGACCTTTGGCTAGTTTGTTGAAACACCTCTAATCTTCTTGCTAGCAATGCCTTTCACAGACCTTCATTGCCTGTCCCATTCTGTTTGTTGACCACTGGATTAAATGGGTCCCAGGACGGTTTTACCTTCTAGGATTTCTGTTTTGGATTACTTGTGTGTTTCTGCTCATAGAGTTACCACATTACCATAAGTGTGGGTGACTTTTGCTGACTTCAGATTTAACTGTGAGACAGTAAAGCATGTTTTAAAGTCCTTTACCTCTAGTCACACAACTCTCCCCACATTGAAACTTCTTGAATATGCCCTACATTCTCTTCCCTTCAGTACATTGTCAGTGCATTCATTTCTCACCAACTCAAAATATCTCCTTTTCTAGTATTCTGAGATATCAATGATGCTTGGCTTTTATAAAACACATCACACGGCAATCCATGATAGAATTACTTTGTGATTTGAAAAGCTGTATGGAAAACAGAAAGATTGAGATAAAACAGGATAATTTAATATAAACAGTAAATTAATATGTTTCTATTGGCCTCACCAAAAAGAATCACATTGCATTTACAATTTTAAAAATACCGCTAATAGGCTATGCATTGATTTTCACATATTGTTTACAAACAAATTTTAGTCATAAACCTGACATTGTAAACAAGACACTTTCAGCATAACAATAGTAATTTAAAATGCTACTTAAATAGCATTTTAATTGCTATCAAGTTTTAAAGTCTGAGCATGACATATTTGGAGAATGACTTTGGAATCAAATGACTGGGGCTTGAATCTTGGCTCTATCTTTGAGTAGCTGGGTGCCTCTTTGCAAGTTGCTTAACTTCCTCAAGCTTCATTTGCAAAAATTAATAGTCTTTATCTAGTCGTTGTGAAAATGAAAAGAGATAGTGCTTCAAAGCATCTAACACAGGACTGTCCGAGTGGAAGCCTAACAAAAATCCAGTTCCCTTATGATCTTGACCTACTTAAGATCTCCTCAACTCCCTTACAGATACGTGATTACTCATAGAGCAGTTTGCAATGAACCCTGCCCTATCTCAGGAATTTCTTTTATGCTGCTTGTCAGTGAAAAACCAACTGCCCTCCTATGTCATCAATAATATAGTGCAGTGGTTTTTACATTTTAAATGAGCACAAAATCATTGGAACACTGTTTTTAAATAAGTACTTTAGTTAGCTTTAAAAAAGAAGATCCTCACACTACACCATAAGAATCACTGGAAAAGGGCTCAAAGCTTGTCAGCTCCATAGATCTTTGTCTGATACTCATGTTTGCTGACCAATCCCACCAGACAACTTCAAGCCAGTTATTAAGCTTGGGGTCTGATTACAGTTCTGAAGAAGTTTACTCTGATGATTAAGGTATTTATCTATCTATCTATCCATCCACCACCCATATACAGGAAATTAATAGGTAAATAGTAACACTAATAAAAGTCTTATAAAATTGGGAAAGTGAGCTGTGGCTAGTATGGCCAATGTAGTTTTTAGGAGAAGATGAAAACATTGAGTTAGTCATTGATGATAAACAAGGTCTGACAAACTGCATATTTGTTTATTTCAGTATAGTTATTGGAATGTTGAAATGCTCTCATCATATGGTTGGGCATGTACTTATTGGATCCCATAACCCTATAATCTAGAGGATTTTCAGGCAAAATACAGATTGCTATGGGAAAATGGTTTTTAATATATTGTAGGCAAGGGAGATCTGCTGAGTCTTTTCAAAGACTGCTTGCCCTGAAAAAAATAGGTTTGCCCCCAAAGATCCTAGTTGTTATAATTATTCTTGGGGTCACCATATCCTCATAGGTCATTCTCTGGGGATTTAGATAACAACCCCTAGCATGGCCTCAAACCAAGTTTTTTTCCCCCATCGTTTCCTAAATGGAGCACTAGCCTGGTGATAGATTCCCTGGCACAACCATAGCAATCCAAAGCTCATACATTAATATGGATCTGAAGGAGGCCTGTAAGTACCAGGGCTGTACCCATGGCCCAGGACCTCCTGCATCCCGTCAGTCCTGGAGGCATTTACGCTGATCTCTGTGCATTTTCCAGTGTTTCAGCATGGCAACAATAAACAGTAGTTATAACTTGCTTTGTGTTTCAGATTCTTCATAAGAGCACTTTCCTGGAACAAAATTTTTAATTGCCTGGAGAATAAAATCCCTCTTTTTTTTTTTTTTTTTTTTTTTTTTTTGGGACGGAGTTTCGCCCTTGTTGCCCAGGCTGGAGTGCAATGGCACCATCTCAGCTCACCGCAACCTCTGCCTCCCGGGTTCAAGCGATTCTCTGGTCTCAGCCTCCCAAGTAGCTGGGGTTACGGGCATGCAACACTACATCCAGCTAATTTTGTATTTTTAGTAGAGATGGGGTTTCTCCATGTTGGTCAGGCTGGTCTCAAACTCTCGACCTCAGGTGATCTGCCTGCCTCGGCCTCCCAAAGTGTTGGGATTACAGGCATGAGCCACCGCGCCCAGCCCCCACCTTTCTAATATACTATTTATGACTTTTCCCTGCTGTGCTTTCCACCTCCATCTACTGCCATGTTCTGCCCCAATAGCTACTACACATAAACTTTGTGTTCCAACTATGTAGATGCTTCCCCAGACTTTGTGCACATAATAATTCACGAATTTGTTCCCAGTACTCTCTCTCCCTAAAAATTCTCTCCCCCAGTAAATTTTTAGAAACCTTACTTGATAGAAAGCGAGCATCACAAAGGCAGGGATGGGTATCTCTTGTGTACACTAATATATCCCAACAAATAAGGACGGTTCGCAGAACTAGTACATCCTAACTAAGTTCTTGTTGAATGAGCGATAGAATCTATCAAGGTCAATTCAAATGTCACCTCCTCTCCGAAGCTGTTCCGAACCCTTTTGGATGGAATGCATAGTTTTTTTCTTTGGGGTTTACTAGTATTTTATTTATTAATATATCATATTATAACCCACATCATAGCAGTCTTGTATTACAGTTTGTTGTGTGCATTTTCCTCCAGATGATGATGGCTTCCTTAAGAGCAGGTGTAGTGTGCATTCACCATTTGCCTTCATGGCCCACTATTCCTTTTTTTCTTTCTTTCTTTCTTTTTTTGATACAGAGTCTTGCTCTCTCTCAGGCTGGAGTGCAATGGCACAATCTCTGCTCACTGTAACTTCTGCCTCCCAGGTTCAAGTGATTCTCCTTCCTCAGCCTCCCAAGTAGCTGGGATTACAGGCACCTGCCATCATGCCTGGCTAATTTTTGTATTTTTGTAGAGACAGGGTTTTACCATGTTGGCCAGGCTGGTCTTGAACTCCTGACCTCAGGTGATCCACCTGCTTTGGCCTCCCAAAGTGCTGGGATTACAGGCATGAGCCACGGCGCCTGGCCCCACTATTCCTTTTACAACTAACAGGAATAGATGATACTTAATATAGCTAATTAAGCTGAATTCCGAAGATCTTCCAAGATATATGTAATACTGCTATAATTTCAGAAGATGCAAAAATGATATACTTTAATCAGAAATTATTTTGAAACATGAGCCCTTCTCTGTCAAATTTTCCAACGTCAAAGGCTTTTGCGGTTTCACCTGGCTCACAATATAACCTCATTTTGCCCAACCTCAGTCTCCCGTAACTTTGGATTTCCTGCAAGTAACAAGACTTCAGTGACTCTGGGAAAATCAGTTTACCCCACAGGGCTCCCAAGTCTTCTATAACCTAAAGATTTTGAGCAAAGCAATCACTAACAGTACACCTGTTCTATTCTTTCCTCTATTTGGCCTGGAAATTTGCCCCAATTCCCAACAAGGGCTGAATCCAGCACCCAACAGCCTTGGGAACCCATCCTGGACCTCTTTGAAAGCTAACACTGCACTTTCGAAAGTTAAATCAGAAAAATGGCCAAAGAAGTATGTCCTGTTCTCTAGTGAATCAGTTAGACTGTAGTGCTTAGAGACTCTTCTAACATGGAACAAAGTCTCCTTTTTGGCCTCTTCTGCTAGCTCAACTATTTTCAGACACAGGAGACTGACTGAACCCATCTCTTGAGGGATACGGTACTCTCTTGTCCATCAAGCAAATACGTTTAGATTTAAAAAAAATAGTAATGTACTTTTTCTTTCAGCTCTAGGGGTCCTTTATCATTCTTTGACAGGCTTTTATCATTTAAATTCCAAGTGCTCATTTACTTACAACTTCTTAACTAATCCTTTTGCAGCTGTGCCCATCTGAGCACAAAGACAGGAATAGGGCTTGCCTAAGTAATATCGTGATATTTTAGCAGAATTGCTGAGCAAGCCCTTCAGTTTCGTGTTTCTATCATCACATTAAGCAATACTACTTCAACTCAAATACTTTTCAGCATTT
Source organism: Homo sapiens (assembly GCF_000001405.40). NCBI lineage: Eukaryota > Metazoa > Chordata > Mammalia > Primates > Hominidae > Homo > Homo sapiens. Next base: position 29,616,589 of record NC_000021.9, read on the forward strand.
ATTTCCTCAGGCTGAGGATTCTGGGGCTTCAATTCACTCAGCCTCTCAAGAACTTTCAGTCAAGTGAGGAAAAGAGTCAAATAAATCCCGTGGCATTTCATGAAACCGCCTCAAAACTACAAAAGACTTAATTAGACTATGGTTATTTGACTTAATGATGTTTTAAAACAATATTCACAAACTGTGAGTGAGAAAAAAAACTGCTTGATGCCATACTTCAAAGATGTCGCTTTCAAAATTGCTTTAAGCATGAAGCAACATACATTCTGCCTATTGTAGAATAATTAAGTTGAAATGGTAAAAGTCAGTTGTTTCAATAACATTACAGTTCAATGGAATCATGTTAATTAGAATAGGTTGGGCTTGTTCTCATTTAGATCCAGCTTAGTTTCATTCTCTCTCTTGGTGTGGAGCAAAATTTGCTATCAGCCATCATTGTATAAAACATTTTATAATAAGTAAAAACCAGTGATAAAAGATGGGCTTTGCAGATCTCTAATTAGCAAACTCCCTTGAAAGTATATTAATCAAAATACATTTCCAATTTAATTTTTAATAGTGTCATTACCAAGGCATTAAAAAGAAACATAAAACACCTTCCAGAGAAGGAAACACACATCCTGGGAGCAATCGAAGAGTTGCTGCCTTTTGGTGCAGAGAATGCAGCAAGTGAATTTAGTTCTTTTACGGTGTTAAGCCTCATCCTTCAATAACGCTGCTGCAGAAAGTCAGTCTCTTTGTCTTGTGTCACATTTTTTACACCAATCTTGTTGCCATTTAAGTTCTTGCCATGGATTGTTCCCGTGTGCAAGTTTGAGCAATCAGTACTGAATATAAATGATTTTGGAAACCGTGTGTAGTGGGAGCTCAACAATCAAAAAGTTAATAAAGTGATGCTCTTAAAAGATGCATGTTATGTGCTGATGCTGTCACCTCTAACAGGACTTCCACCCAACCGCCATACATCCCCCAGGTACCCGGGCCCAGTGCCAAGACAGGAGTGTTTTCAGAAGCGCTTGCATCTAAACATTAAAACAGGCTGCTTATTTCCATTTAATGGTCAATTCATTAGCATAGGGAATAGAGACCATTTTATATCTGCCATCAATATTTTGCTTAGTATTTTAAAAATGTCACATTGACAGAGGCCTGGAGTGTGACATCAGATTCAAATATTTTCCTCTGCATCCTTAATGCATTTCAGGCCAAACGGCATGCTGAAGGGCCTTCTGGGCTGCTATTGTATAGACCAGTGTTGAGGATTTGCAATGGCTTATTTGATTTAGAATATGTTTATTTAAAGTCTGTTTATTCTTTATTGCTCCATGCTCATTTGCATTTGCATATCCTTTCCATTGTTCTGTGGCATTTGACATGTGATACTACTTATTCTCATTAATCTCTCAGTTCCAGTTTATCACATTGACCCTGACTGAAAGGCTTAGGATGACCTAGTGTCCCTTAGTGTCACCTTGATAATCTCTAATTGTCCTTCACCTTTCATCTTTGATATTTCTTCCTCCAAGAAGCCTTACCTAAACTTCAGAGACAGGGTTAGCATTCTTCCTAGGGTTCCCATAGTTTCCTGCAATTATCCCTATTAATGTACACATGGCTGCATGAAATCGATTGCTTACTTGTCTGCTTCTCCTGATTAACTTTTGATTCACTGAGGGCAGGGCATTCGGGCTTCATGAATGCAAATCCAAACCACAATGCGATACCACCTTACTCCCGCAAGAATGGCCATAATAAAAAAAATTTAAAAAAGTAGATGGTGGTGTGGATGCAATGTAAAGGGAACACTTCTACACTGCTGGTGGGAACGTAAACTAGTACAACCACTATGGAAAACAGCGTGGCGATTCCTTAAAGAACTAAAAGCAGAACTACCACTTGATCCAGCAAGCCGACTACTGTATATCTACCCAGAGGAAAATAAGTCATGAAACAAAAAAGATACCTGCACATGCATGTTTATAGCAGCACAAATTCACAATTGCAAAAATATGGAAGGAACTCAAATGCCCATCAATCAACGAGTGAATAAAGAAAGTGTGATATATATATGCACAATGGAATACTACTCAGCCATAAAAAGGAATGAATTAATGGCGTTCACAGCAACCTGGATGAGACTGGAGACTCATTATTCTAAAGTGAAGTAACTTAGGAATAGAAAACCAAACAATGTATGTTCTCACTCATAAATGGGAGCTAAGCTCTGAATATGCAAAGCCATAAGAATGATACAAGGGGCCGGGTGCGGTGGCTCACGACTGTAATCCCAGCACTTTGGGAGGCCGAGGTGGGCAGATCACGAGGTCAGGAGATCAAGACAATCCTGGCTAACAAGGTGAAACCCCGTCTCTACTAAAAATACAAAAATTAGCCAGGTGTGGTGGTGGGCGCTTGTAGTCCCAGCTACTCGGGAGGCTGAGGCAGGAGAAAAGCGTGAACCCAGGAGGCGGAGCTTGCAGTGAGCCGAGATTGTGCCACTGCACTCCAGCCTGGGCAACAGAGCGAGACTCCGTCAAAAAAAAAAAAAAAAAAAAGAATGATACAATGGGTTGGGCACGATGCCTCACGCCTGTAGTCCCAGCACTTTGGGAGGCCAAAGCGGGCAGATCACGAGGTCAGGAGATCAAGACCATCCTGGCCAACATAGTGAAACCTCGTCTCTGCTAAAAATAGAAAAATTAGCCGGGTCTGGCAGCGTGCACCTGTAGGCCCAGCTACTCAGGAGGCTGAGGCAGGAGAATTGCTTGAACCCAAGAGGCAGGGGCTGCAGTGAGCCGAGATTGTGCCACTGCACTCCAGCCTGAATGACAGTGAGACTGTCTCAAAAAAGAAAAAAAAATAATGATTCAACGGACTTTGGTGACTCAGGGGGAAAAGAGTGGGAAGGGGGTGAGCGGTAAAATACTACAAATTGGGTTCCGTGTATACTATTTGAGTGATGGGTGACCAAAATCTCACAAATCACCACTAAATAACTTACTTATGTAACCAAATACCACCTGTTCCCCTAAAACTTATGGAAATAAAAAATTGAAAAGTAAAATAAAATTAGGACCTAAGAAAAGGAAAAACTCATATTCAATGATCATACTGTACCACTTGGTGAATTTCTCAGTTAAACACACTGAACATATTTCTTTAATGGAGGCATGATGGTAGAACAGAAGCAGCAACAGAAGCAGCATGGATTTTGGTTTCCCACAGCCCCAGATTCAAATCTACCTGCACCTTTACCAGGGACAAGTTGATCAAACCAACTGAGGTCTATTTTGCCATTTGTCAAGCAGGAATATAAAAATCTACAGTGCAGGAATGTTGTGAGGATGAGAGCTAAATATTATTCATATCTAAGCATCAAAGGATGACCAAAGATAGTCACGGTTCTCTTTACTCCTGAGAGATTTCCATTAAGTGCAGTGATTGGATTCAACCTCTATCCTTAGAGATGCTGTGTCATCTGCAAAGCTTGGCTCCTTATAAAGATGTGCGTGTATAAGGCTAGTATAAAGCCTATGATGTTAAGAAGTTATTCGCCAAGTAATTTAGGATGTGTAACTGCATGCATACTAGCTTAAATGTTGACAGGGACCCAGACCATCTTGAATTGGCCAGCAGGTAAAAGCAAGTATCAGCTCTGCAGTTTTCAAATGTTGGATATTAACTGAGACGTAACAGGTATTTCTTGCCTGAGTGGACTTTTTCTTGCAGCAAATCACTAGGTGATTTCATGCAAGGTTTACAGCAGTTTTACTGGGATGAGGGCATCTCATGTGAAAGGTTACAAGGCAAGAATAAAATCAGAATTGGCAGCCAATCAAGCAATTTGTTGAAAGAAATGGCTTGTTTCCACCATGGCCTTTCTTTAAACTTCATTGAAATAGAGGACATGCTGTACCCTTTGAGGGCAAAGCACTTCGTTAGACTTGCTTCCAGAGAGATCGTCACCTATTTTCATTCTCTTTAGGATAAGCTGGACTTTTCTGAAGTTAAATCTCACTTGTGATTTTCTCTGAGGCTGAGATACCAGCAATTTGCCTTGGACCAAAGGAAAAAAAAAAAGCTGTGAGGTGATGTTTTGGGGAAAGACACTGAAGTTAAGTGAAAACCAGGATGTGTTTTACCTTCTTCTCTAGTCTAAGTTACATAAATGGTATGAAAGTCATATATATATAGATATATATATCTATATATATATAGATATATATATATAGTAATAATATATTATAGTCATAAAATATATATCATATGTAGTTATATATATTATTTCCTAGAGCAATGTGTGATATATATCATATATGTAATTAATTCTATATTCTATATATGCTCTCTGTATATATTATTTATATAATTCTACATATACAGAATTTGGAAAAAAAATATATATCTTATATTGCTCTAGGAAAATAATTTAAAATTTGGAGTATTCTTTCTTGGCACTACATAACCATAAGCTTTGGAGGACACTGACTAAACCCAATTGTGAATTAATTTAGCCAACAATGTGCCTTCCTAAATTTTAAAAAGAAGAAAGCCAGCCTTCAAATTAAGAGAAGACAAAATTCTAGTTTCTCAATTGTCAGAAACAGAAAGTAATAACAGTACATTAAAAAATCATTTCTGAATCATAAATCTTTGCTCATACACCTGTTGAGAGAAGTCAGGGATGACACATAGGAACTGGTAGGAATTTTCAGTTTCTTCCTAAGAACACTCAAATGTGGCACCTGACAGAAATCCTGCTATGTAACTAGAAAATTGATATAAATATTCATTGGGCCTGAGGGGTGTGTGTGTGTGTGTGTGGGGAAGACGATCTAAAACCTAAAACTCTTTGTTTCATTCTCAATTCAAAATGCAGATGGGCAAATTATGCATCTATATAGTCCCAAGCTAAAGATCCAAATTTGCTAATTTCTTACTTTGTAGTAATAGTGAACCCTCTTGCTATAAATTCCACATAGTGTGATCATCTAGTTCTGATTTGCCCAGTATTATCTAGATTTTAAAATGGAAGGTCCCATGTCCAGGGGAGATACTCTCAGTCCCAGGTGAAAACCAGAATCATTTATTACCCTACTTCTAGGACAAGACTGGTATGAAATGGTCTTTTTTCCCAGTAAGTAGCCTCAAAGTATCAGTCAGGGTGTACTAATTTCAGAATCAGTAAAATATAGTGCCCCACAGTATAGATACAACATCCACTTTACACTTGGTAGGTTCCCAGGATCATAGCACTACTGGAGAAGGTCACATGGATTCTCTAATTCCTTAAATTTGTAGGCAAATCAATTATTTATAAATAAAATCATATGTGAGGTGTTCTAAGAATAACTTCTTTTTTCTTTTTTTTTTTTGAGTTGGAGTTTCGCTCTTGTTGCCCAGGCTGGAGTGCAATGGCACGATCTTAGCTCACTACAACCACTGCCTCCCAGGTTCAAGTGATTCTCCTGTCTCAGCCTCCTGAGTAGCTGGGATTACAGGTGCATGCCACCACACCTGGCTAATTTTTGTATTTTTAGTAGAGAAGGGGTTTCATCATATTTGTCAGGCTGGTCTCAAACTCCTGACCTCAGGTGATCCACCCGTCTCAGCCTCCCAAAGTGCTGGGATTACAGGCTTGAGCCACCACGCCCGGCCTCTAAGAATATTTTCTTGCTCAAAGAATCCTATAGTAAACCTTTTTAAAAAGTAGTTGTTCTTGTATTTTGTTTTGAAAAGCTGAATTGCTATTCTGGTCTTGTTTAAGTTGGGAGTACTCTACGTTGGAAGACATGCTTTAGAATAAAATCTACATGGTTGAAATCAGTGTTTCTTCTCCTACCTATAGTAGTCACTATTGGTGTCCTGTCAAATTCTCCTCCACCAGCTTGGTACATTCATGCCCTAGCTACAGGCAGTGTTGGTTATCCCTGGTCTACAAGAGCCTGCTGGTTCTGAGATGCCAGGGAGATCCTGTCCCAAATTCCCAGAAGGGTGATGACCAATAGCCAATGAATGAGTACTACTGGGGTATGCTAGCCTCCTAGGGGGACCATGCACATTTGGATGAAAATTTATGTTCTAAAGGTCCCCTGTGGGATATGGCTAATATTTGATTTCTCCTAGTTTCTTCCTCTGTCTTATCCAACCTTCCTTACTCCATTACTCATTTCTCCTGAGAGCGCTTCCTCAATAGGTCACTTGCACAAGATTCCCCATCTTAGGCTGTCCCTCTAGGGAAACTGACCTCTACTATATCTTATGATATGTGAATCCATAATTTACTAAAATTTTATTCCCAACTGGCAAATTTGCTGTTTCTTTGTCTATTCATGGTAATAATTATAATATCTTCAAGACAATGTGGAAACTTACTATAAGATCATAAGAAGGAGGATGATGGAAGGTAACAAATTGACTGCCTATCAGACTATATATCATCTCAGTTATTGTATCAGTCTGTTCTCATCCTGCTAATAAAAACATACCTGAGATTGGGTAATTTATAAAGTAAAGAGGTTTAATGGTCTCGCAGTTCCACATGGCTGGGGAAGCCTCACAATCATGGCAGAAAATGAAGAAAGAGCAAAGGAACATCTTATATGGCAGCAGGCAAGAGCGAGAGCATGTGCAGGGGAATCCCTCTATAAAACCATGAGATCTCATGAGACTTATTCACTATCACAAGAACAGCATGGGAAAGACCCACCCTCATGATTCAATTACCTCTCACAGGGTCCTTCCCATGACACATGGGAATTATGGAAACTATAATTCGAGATTTGGGTGGGGACACAGCCAAACCATATCAGTTAGTTATGACCCAAACCCTGCAAGACAGGCTTTTGAAAAATCTCCTTAAAAAAAAAAATCAATAGGAAGCTGAATTTCAGGCCAAGATGACACCATAAGTTAATGAGAAACCCAAGCTTAACTTAGGTTGTCTCATTCCAAAGACTTTGTTATTTGTGTTTATTTTATCTTCCTTTACTTCTTCGTTTTTATCTTTAATTGCTCAATGTATAAATCCAGCTTAAAAATACCCTTATTTCATGAATAACCTCAATAACTCTCAAAATGAATATTGTTTAGCTTGAGTTTTTCATAAGCTATAATTAATTTCAAAAGTTCATACTGAAATAAATAAAATAGAATGAATAGAAAGCACTGGTATAATGTAGTAGGTGTTTGACCCTATATAAGAGTCAACATGCTATTCACTAAGTATAAAGTGTGGATTCTCCAACTAAACACTTGCAGAATAATTGTCTAATGCCAAAGTAATCTTTCATAGAGAGAATTTCATTTATTGTCTTTATTTTTGAAATGTTTTGTTGGCAAATCTTGTTGACATAATGTGGATAATTGCCATCTTTGGCTGAACGTGTTTTTTGTGTATAATGATGCTATGATTTTATTTCTAAAAATAGTGTAATGAAAAGAAAATGTGTAATGCATTGAACAGAGCAAACTTAGTAGAGGTTCAAAATTAAGTGAACAGTTTGTCACACTTAAGATCTTCATTATTCCTTTAAAATTAAATCCCTTGCAATTATTGAAATTGTCCTCTAAAATATTTGGCAGTGACTACACTCATGACATGTATTGATGCAGAAAAATGTTTATTTTTCCCTTTCTTATTCTGAAGAATTTTAAACACAAATGCTGTCATTCCTTGATTAGAACCTTTTTTGGGTTATAAATCATGACTAGACTACTTGAGTGAATCTAGATTTAGGTAATTAGATGTTAGTACCAGCCTGTTTTCCATTGCAGAATATTTAAAAATGGTATAAGATATTTAGAAGGGAGGAAAAAGGCATTTTTTAGAAGTCATTTTTTAAAGGCATTGCCTTTACTCTTATTAATCATGCCACTTAAATTTTAAAGCTGTATTTAATATGGAATCAATAAAAAAAAGAAATGAGTAGAAAATCTCTAACATTTATAACCAAAAGGTCAGCTCAAGTTATAACTTTTGTCAAAACCTGAATTTCCAAGGCAAACCTTAGAATCATCTATTTAAGTAAAAGCCAACAATGAATGTTTTCCTCTGTTTCTCTGAGTGATTCTTCTTAAGCTGCACATAGAGGAAGTCAGTATTCAAGTATTATTTTCAAGTTGTAATTAGCTTGAAGTTTAAATCACTAGTTTGTAATTTTAATAATGTAGATGACTAAAGCCCAGGCTGGGGGCTAAACCTGTGCTTTGGCTTACGGAGGACCAAGAAGGAATGGTGTGAGGTTAGTGGAGAGGGCTTGCCCTCCTTCTCTGCAAGACCCATCCACTCTCCAGCTCACGTCTCTGACTCTCCTGCTGTTCTGGAAATTAGGGAGAAAGAACAGTTTGATCCAGGCCTTTCTTCTTCCCTTCTCACTACCTCCTGTTCCTCAGGGTGAGCTCATAGCAGGTCTGTGTTGCTCTGTTAGATCCTTATGTAGTCTGACATGTGGAGGGCACGAGGCCATGTTTATTTTGCCTTAAGTTAATTGATGTGTCTATTAATATCTTCCGTACTGTGGATTGTTATGAAGCTTTACTTGTGAATAATGCAATATAAAGCACATCGTAATATATACCTCACGCCATTGGTTATATTGAATTATACAGGGGTAGAGGACGGGCAACATAATTAACTTTATCTTAATGCCTAAAATGCAATCTTTCTCAAACTTGCATAAGATCATCTAAGTTTCTGGGAAGTGAATGTGAGAAGTAATTCATTTTCAGAGGTTTTGTCAGGTGATTTGGTGCACACTTAATTGTGAGAATCTCTGGCCCACAGAATTGTTCTGGATCCTTAGTAGAGCATAGAAGGCCCTTGATTATCTGGCCTCTGCTGATACCATTTAACCTCTTACCATACTTCATTCAGCCGCCAACCAGTTCCCAAGAGTGGAGTGTTCTTCCCCACCATGCTGCCTGCCACTCTCCAATTCATCCTCCAAAGCTGAGGCCAACCCTCATGTCCTCTGAGAAGGTTTTAAAGTAACTTAAGTACTGAGGTGGAAGAACTCTATTGTCCCTGACAAGCACTCCCCCATATCTGTTATAATGTGACCAAATGTATGCAAATATGTAATGCACATATTTGCTTTCATGTCTCTCTTCATGTTGAACTCTGCTTCCTCAAAGTTAGGGACCATGTCTCTCTTGTCTTATTAGTACAATTCCTGCCAGCACTTCCAGCACATAGTATATCTTGCTCAATATTGATTGCAAAGTGAATGTTTCAGAGTCATCCTAGTGAATGTTATGCATGACTATTTGTCCTTTAATTAAATGGTTGTACCCCTGAAGAGTGAATATGAGTAAAGTTATGGGCAAAGTTGTGTCCCCCCAAATTTGTATGTTGAAGCCCTAACCCCCAGCAGCTTAGAATGTGACTATATTTGGAGACAGGGCCTTTATAGAGGTAATTAGGGTTAAATGAGGTCATAAAAATAGGGCCCTAATCCAATATCTTAGTCCATTTGTATTGCTGTAACAAAATACCACAGACTAATTTATTTTTAAAAAGAAATTTGTTTATCACAGGCTTGGAGGCTGGGAGGTCTAACATTAAGGTGCCAGCATCTGGTGAGGGCCTTTTTGCTAAGTCATCTCATGGTGGAACGTGGAAGGGCAAAAGAGCATCAGAGAATGCATGCACATGAGAGACGGGGGACCAAACTCATTCTTTTATCAGGTATGGATAACAGCAGTAATCCATTCATGAGGGCAGAGTCCCATGCTTTAATCACCTGCTGAAGGTCCCACCACTTAACGCTGTTGCATTGGGGATTAAGTTTCCAACACATGAACTCTGGGGGACACATTCAAATCGTAACATCCAGGGTGAACGGTGTCTTTATAAGAAGAAACATTGCCAGAGATGAACACATGAAGAAAACACCAGGGGAGGACACAGCAAGAAGGTGGCCATCTCAAGTCAGGGAGAGAGGTCTCAGAAAAAACCAAACTTGGTGACACCTTGATGCTGGGCTTCCAGCATCACTTCTCCTTTTATTTGTATTTCAAATAGAACTTGTATTAATAGGGCACTGTTTGACAATTCTCTCTCTAGTTTTTGCTAATTGATTCATGCACTCCAGTCATAATTTTACTGGTGGATGTCAATGTTTAGCACCATTGGTTTTTGTATGTGTTGATGAGCACACTATTTCTAGCCTGGAAATTGTGAAGAACAATCAGTTATACTAAATGAATCACCCAGCATATTTTCAATATGAACCTCTGGCAAGGAGTCTTCCTTTTTGCCCTGGATGCCTGAAGAATGGGTTCCATTAGCAATGCAGTATTTGAAAACAAATGTTGCATGTTGAAATGGTGATCAAATCACATTTCAGGAGTTTTGCAGTTGTAAGAGGGCCTATTCCAACACTTACTACACAAATTCAAAGGGTAAAAAATTTGAGTTATGTGATGAAAATATTTTAAGACAGGAAAATATGGTTTAAATAAACCCTCTGGGTTCCTGTAGAGGACTACTTGTTACCTCTGTAGCATAGTTTATCAGGTTCTTGTATTACAGTAACTATGCTAGCTATTATCTTAACTATTTGTATTGCAAACATTTATTATGTACTTATATATAATAACTATGTATTATGTCAGTTATTCATGTTAGCACTCTCTTTCCCAATTAGTTGTTAACTTTTTGATGGTGGAAAGTATTTTACTTACGTTTGAATTCCATTACTAGCATTTGGTAGATATCCAAAATATTTGTGGAAGGCATAATTGAATAAAGCAGCACTTCCAAAAGTTACACACATTTAAGTCATGAGAGAAAAGTAGAGGGAAGGTACCAAGACCTAGGGAATCAGGATCTGCTTTCTGCTGGCAATGACACTGAGGAAAGGTGACAGGATTACAATGTGGGAGAAAGAGATTCCCGTGCCCCACACCATCACCCCATTGTCCCTTTTTCTCTCCATGGAAGATTTGGGTTGGTACACATGGCCTTGAGCAGGTCACATGATTTCACCTCTTTGGTGGTGGAACTGAAGGGGCAGTCAGACTCAATTCCTGTGCATTCCCAAATCAGTTCTTACACCTCAGTTCAACTCTTATGAGATTTTTCTTTGAATTTTGAAGGCTTTCCAAGTTTAGGAATTCCCTATTGGCCTGTGAATGTGCAGGAGAGGAGTGACACCTTTAAACATGAATTAATAACTCATTAATTAAGGTAATCATTCATTTGGTTAACAAACTTTCCTTTTGTTAACACTTTAGTATAGAATTTCTGAGAGTAAGATCAAGAGGCCAAGGTACCCTTGGGGAATATAGCAAAAGGAAAAGAGAACAGAGAAGGCATTTTATGGATTTCAAAAATTTGTTTATACTTAGTCCTGACTTTTGAATAGAAGACTTAGATGCAATTCATCATGGCATTATTTCATTTGTTTTTAATTAAAGAAGGCTCACTCAGTATCTATTGTATAAACATAGCCCTGATGGAATAACTGTACAATTACTGTCTTTCTCAGGTCCACAGAGTACTGTACAATGACAAATATCTGAAATTCACCCTTCATCTAAGCAATGTAATCCATGTCAGGTCACCCACAATTTTAAGTCAGTTCTCAGAAAAGTTATTTAAAAACAAATCTGAAGTATACACAATAATGGTGATGAAAATAAACATTAAGCAAAGGAAGAAATGATAAACATAACCTTTAGACCACACAACTTCCTAGGATGTCAGCTATTTCAGGAACTGAAATGATGCATTTATCATATGTTCATCTGTTCAATATATAATTATTTTAACTATTATGTGTGCTGTTTATAACCCATTATCTTGCAATAACAGCTTGCATGGATCACTGCATAATTTAAAAATATAATAGCTTTTCTTGCCAATATTTGATTTCCAACTCTAAATCTGCTGACTTTAACTATGTCTATGCCATGTACTCTGGGTAAACTGGTTTTTATTTCCTAAGGATTTATCTTAGAATACACACCTGGGTTTTCTTTTACAAAAAGCTAGTTTTGTTTGGCTCTGGTTCATGTGGTGGCTTGTTTTCTGAAATGGAATAAATTGGCTTCTGTACATGCAAATCAACTAAATGGGCAGGATCACAAACCTGAGACATTCATATAGGTGAAGTGGGTGGGAATGGGGCTCTTGTCTAATTAGCTAGATAATGTGGTCAATAAAACCCAAAAATCAGATTAGTCAGTCTCAAATTACTCAAATTACTTTGATCATATTAATCATATAATTGTCTTTGTTGCCCAGATGCCTATCATTATAGGTAAACAATATGTTATTTATGGATGGTTTATCTATGAAGATGAACAATGGATTCCACATGGGTTGAATTCATGTCTTGCTCTAGTTAGTCTGGTTGAGTGAGATATTATATTTAAAGAAATATTTATTTATTTAGTCACCAAGATTTATTGAGCCCCTACTATATGCAGGAAGAGAGCTAGGTACTAAGTGAATAAAATGAATTTAACAGTTCTTGTTTCCAAGAAATGCAATGCGTACTGGAGAGGTAGACACATAGAAATGTATTTATAGTACAATGATAAAAATGCAATGGTGAAGATATACACAGTGTAGTTTTGGATAAATGAGGAAAGGAGAAATGTGTGTGTGTGTGTGTGTGTGTGTGTGTGTGTGTGTGTGCTATTTGCAAAAGCTTTCTGGAAAATGTGATGCCTGAGCTGAGCTGTTGGGTTTAGTCCAACATAGAAGAAGAGGGAGTGGCAGAAAGGGCATTCTTAGCAGAGGAAAAAAGATGGACAGCAGCACAAGTAGACACTGAGGAAAAGGCACAATGTCTCATCCTGTGATTTTGGAGAAAGAGAATGGGCATGAAAAAAGTTTGCTAAATGGGTTGTTGGAAATTGAAGGTGTTCACACCTACTAAGTTCAATTTTCTTTCTTTCTTTTTTTTTTTGAGACAGAGTCTTGCTCTGTCACCCAGGCTGGAGTGCAGTGGCGGATCTCAGCTCACTGCAAACTCCGCCTCCCAGGTTCAAGCGATTCTCCTGCCTCAGCATCCGGAGTAGCTGGGACTAGAGGCGCCCGCCACCACGCCCGGCTAATTTTTTGTGTTTTCAGTAGAGACAGGGTTTCACCGTGTTAGCCAGGATGGTCTCGATCTCCTGACCTTGTGATCTGCCTGCCTCGGCCTCCCAAAGTGCTGGGATTACAGGCGTGAGCCACCGCGCCTGGCCAATTTTCTCACATAAGTTGGCAGTAAGTTGAGAATGAAGGTAGTAAAGTTTGAATTGTGGCCCAGTGAAATAATAAATTGCCGAGGGGAATGGAAGAGATGAGTAGACACAAGTAAAAGGATTGAGAGGTGGCCCTAGGAGCCTAGCTACTGTTGGACACCGTGGATTTGCCATGAGGTGGAACTGCAAGGATGGATGATTTTTTGAGATACATCCTTGCCTGGGCATCGGGAAAGAGAAGGCACACTATAGTACTGACACAGCATTAGACTTTTCTTATGTGGGTGTAGCAGAAAATGAGGTGAAAAGGAATTAAGGGTATTCCTGAAAAGGTAGTATTCTAGACGGTTTTGAAAAGAAAGAGAAGCCAATAGGAGGTAGATAGATAAATAAAATGGAGGGAACATAAAGCCAGGGATCTCCATGAAGCAACAGAAAAATATAGTATGGAGAAATTTGACACTATATAGTTGTGGTAGGCAGAATTCTGAGATGAACCTCTGTGACCTATGCCCTTTGTAATTCCCTCCCCTTGAGTGTGAGTGGGACCTGAGAATATGGTGGGTGTCATTCTATTGATTATGGCAAAGGGAAAGGAATGTTTTGCGATGCAATTAGGTATCTGTAATCAATTGACTTTGACTTAATAAAAAGTACGATTATCCTGCAGGGGAGGGCTGACCTAATCAAAATAGTTCTTTAATAAAAAGGGATTTAGAAAACAGAGATTTGCTCTCTTCTGGTCTTAAGGGAACAAGCTGCCAATAATGTCTGCAAAAAGTGAATTCTTCCAACAACTACGTGAGCTTGGAAGAGGACCTTGAACCTAGAATGAGACTGCAGCAGCCCCAGCCAACACCCTTCTCAGCTTCGTGGACCCTGAGCAGAGAACACAGCAAATTTGTCCAGACTTCTCATCTACAGAAACTGAGATAATAAATGATTGTTGTTTTAACATCCCTAGTTTGTGTGTGTGTGTGTGTTTTTGTTTTGTTTTGTTTTGTTTTTTGTTTTTGTTTTTGAGACAGGCTCTCTTGTTCTCTCTCTGTCACCTAGGCTGGAGTGCAGTGGCGAGATCATGGCTGTTTGCAACCTCTGCCTCCCGGGTTCAAGTGATCCTCCCACCCTCTTGAGTAGCTAGGACCACAGGCATGCACTACTATGCCCAGCTAATTTTTTTTGTTTGTTTTTTTATTTTTTGTAGAGAGGGGGTTTCACCATGTTGCTCAGGCTGGTCTAGAACTCCTGAACTCAAGTGATCTGACCACCTCAGTCTCCCAAAGCGCTGGGATTACAGGCCTGAGCTACTGCACCTAGCCAGTTCGTGGTAAGTTTTTATGCAGCAATAGGAAACTATTATGCTGGTAAAGCTAAAAATGCATACAAGCAGCAGTCCTACTTCTAGGTGTATGGTCTCAAGCTGGGTTGTTGTTACAGATTGAATAATTGTGTACCCCCACATTTATATGTTGAAGCCATAACCCCCAATGTGATGGTACTAGCAGGTGAGGTCTTTAGATGAAAATTAGGCTTAGATGAGGTCATGAGGTAGAGTCCCCATGGTGGGATGAGTGTCCTTGTAAGAAGAGACATACAGCAGTGCTGCTTCTCTTTATTATGTGAGAATACAATGGAAAGATAACCATCTACAAGCCAAGAAGAGGGCCCTCACTGGAACTTGACCATGATGGCACTTTGATCATGGACTTTTTAGCCTCCAGAACTATGAGAAATAAATGCCTTTTGTTTAAGCCACCCAGTCTAAAGGATTTTGTTATAGCAGCCCAAGCTAAGACAGCTGTTCATTATGGTAGCTGGAGGTGGCTGTTGAGCACTTGAAATGTGGCTAGTCAGAACTGAGATGTACCATAAGTGTAAAAGACACAGTGGATTAAAAAGACTTATGAAAAAAAGTACAATTGCTCATTAATAATTTGAATATTGATGACATTATGAAATGCTAATATTTTGGATATACTGGGTTAAATAAAATAAGTTATTAAAATTAATTCCACCTGTCTTTTACTTTCAATGTGGCTACTAAAAACTCTAATATATATGCAACTCACATTATCTTTTTATTGGACAATGCAACAGTGCTTCTCTAGAGCAAATCTTGGATTTGTGCATGAGAGCCTATTACTTAAATGTTCAATTTAAGTAATTAAGTAATGAAGCATTGTGTGAATGTGCAGGAAAAAAAAAAGAGGCAGCCAAAATATCCATGCAGAAGGGATTGGACAAGTACACTGATGTGTATTCAATGCATAAGTTGTTCCCTCTACTTGGATCTTTCATCTTCTTAATATTTGCATGCTTTGCTCCCTATTTTCTTTCAGAGATTTATTCAAGTTCCATGTTATCTGTGAGAAGTTTTATAATATAGCAATGCCCATTTCCCTCTTAAGGGCATTGTATGGTATGCCCTTCCCTCTTCTGAGCTTTGTTTTTTCAATGATCCTTGTCTGATTTCCCTGACTAGAGTATAAGTTTCATGAGAGTGAGGACTTTTCTTTGCTCCTGATTGCATTCTTGGTGTCTAAAAGAGTGTCTGCCACATACTAGGTATTCAGTAAATACTTTTGGAATGGATTAATTATAGAATACTAGATTTTAGTGAAAAATGAATGAACTGGATAAATAATATGTACCAACTTAGATATAATTCAAACCTTGAGATAATTGCGAAAGCACACTGTTAAAGAAATAGATACAGACACAAATACACACACACACACACACACACACGGTCTCACAAAACATGTATATCCTCACTTCCCTCCATAAATATGTATATATATATGTGTAAAATGATATTCATCTAAGTAAATTAAACATGTGTGCACCTGTGTACACATACATACACACATATATCACAGACTGTATAAAAGCAAATTCTTTAATCAATGTGGGGTAGAACCAGGACATTAGTAGTTGAATGGGAAAACAAGAATAATTGACATGAGTCCCTGATGCTATTTTATAAATATCAATGTTATTTAGAATCATATAAACTAAGAAGAGTTTGGCAGAAACCTTCATCTGAGGCCAACACTCCCTTGCAACATTTCTTGTTGGAGACTGTTCACCCAGCCACTGATTGACTATTTCAGGAATAGGTGTCTTAGTGCTTTAGTTATTGCTGTGGTTCAAAGGCTTTTGTCTCCTTGAAAATTCATGTAGAAACTTAATCTCCAATGCCACAGTATTAAGAGGTGGGGCCTTTAGGAAAGGATTAAGTCATGAGGCTGGAGCCTTAATGAATGGCGTTAGGAATCTTATAAAGGGGCTGGAGGGAATTAGCTAGGCCCTTTTTGCCATTTTGCTTTTCCACCATGTGGAAACACAGCAAGAAAGCCCTCGCCAGAGACTGGATGCTATTACCTTTATCTGGGACTTCTCAGCCTCCAGAACTGTAAGAAATAAATTTCTGGCTGGGCACGTGGCTTACGCCTGTAATCTCAGCACTTTAGGAGCTGAGGTGGGCAGATCATGAAGTCAAGAGCTGGAGATTATCCTGGCCAACATGGTGAAACCCCATCTCTATTAAAAATACAAAAATTAGCCAGGCGTGGTGGCGCACGCCTGTAGTCCCAGCTGCTCGGAGGCTGAGGCAGGAGAATCGCTTGAAACTGGGAGGCAGAGATTGCAGTGAACCAAGATCGCACCACTGCACTCCAGCTTGGTGACAGAGTGAGACTCTGTCTCTAAAATAAAATAAAATAAAAATAAATAAATAAATAAATAAATTTCTGTTCTTTATAAATTAGCCAGTCTCAGGTGCTGTGCTATTATAATGCAAACAAACTAAGATGTTTATATATAAGACAAAACCTATGTAATTGGTAAAAATATAAACGATGAACCTTTAGAAACTAATCTATTTTATCCATCCAGAGTTGTACAGGGAATTGAGGGAAGGACCTAAAAACCCACTCTTCCTTAGGTCTAAATATCCTAAATGTGAGGGGCTGCTGGGATTTATGGCTTTCTTTTACACAGTGAAGACTAGCTAGGGATGCTGAAGAATGAGGGGTCAGAATGCAGCTAACTTTCAAGAGGTGCAGAATGAGAAATAGAAATGGAAATTTTTTCTGAAGAGTAGAAATTTGATTGAGGTTGCTGCCAGACCCAATGTCATCTAATTAAACTAAGAAACAGCTTGTCCTGGCAATCGAGATCAAATGGCATGCATTAATGGGAAGTGTTACTCAGTGAAGACACAGTAGGATAAAAATATGTCAGAGCTTACGTTTCACCAGGGACTTTTTTATTTTCAATACTGTAATTTTTTACCCAGATCCCATACAAAATCAGCCAACCAACCAACCAAACAAACAAAAACCCCACTCCATAGTGACCTACTAAGTAAAAATCCAAACAAATATTAAGCACAGGTAGGTGCCTAAATGAATAATTTTATTTTTTACTCTTTGATTTTTAAAAGCTTGAATTCAAATATTAGGTTTATATATTCAAATGTATAATCTCCATTTCATCAAAATAGAACCATAAATTACATTTTTCATAGCAAAGCAGTGGCAGAAAACTGCCCATATTTCATATACCTCTCAGTGACATCCCATAAGCACTGATATTTAGAAATAATTTTTCATTCTTATGCAGTAAATTTATTTTGGAGCAGATCAATTAGGAACTATTTATATAGTTTAAAATTGAGTATTAGTTTAGCAAAATGTGTTAAGAATTTGCTAGAATTTAACTTTCTGGCTTCAGTTCAATAAGCATCTTTTAAAATGCCTGCCGTGTACAGGCACGGTGCTCTGAGGACACAAAGATAAATTGACTTTCTGTCCCACAGAAAGATCTTACGGTGCTGAGTGAAGCATGTTAAGTGCTAACATAAAGATATATCAGAGCTACGGAGTTGAAAGCAGGATACACCCTCCAGCAGAGGTTCAGGAAAGGCTTTCTAGAGAAAAGAAATTCTAAGAGTTGGTCTAAGTGAAAAATGGGAGGTAGGGCTTTGCAGGCAGGCTGAAAGGTATATGACAAAAAGGGTGTTATTAGGCAGGTTTAGTCAGGAAAACAAAAAGCCATCTGTCTCCACTCTGTATGGAACTGGATGGTGGACACAGGAAGCTATGAGCAAGTTTGTGTTCGTAAAGGGTAGAATACCTACTGCACATTTATGTATATCACTTTGCTTATATGTGGACAATAGTTACAAAAGGGCTGAGATTAAAGATACAGAGCCTAGTTGGAGGCTATTTTAACAGTCCAGGTGAAAAATGATGAGGGCAGTGGGCAAAGAAGGTTGAGAAAAAATATCTCTGACAGACAGTTGACAGGACTTAATCAGATGAGTGTACTGAGGGGATGAGGTCTTAGATAACCTGTAGAGCTATGGTTTGAGTGGCAGGCTCCATCGTACTGTAATGCTTTCACTCAGGTACTAGTAAAATGGGTATCAGGACACCAGAGTGGGAGACAGACACCCTCAGTGTTCCCAATACATAAGTATAAAGGAAGTGTTCTCCAGAGATGGTTCTAGATCTTGTGGGCCCAACTACGAAATCAAGCATACATAAAAGAGGTCACGAGAGTGGTAGAGGTGATTGCTGAAGAGACTTCTCTGGGGACAGCTGTTGTCTCTCTGTGTGTCCACACTGCCCAGTCTTGTCTTTGGGATGCCACTTTCTAACACCACTCCTGGTGAATAGAGCTTCCAGGGGGTCACTCAAGAGAAGTCTGAAATAGGTTCACTGCAGCTGAAGACGCAGAAGACCAGTGACTGATATAAATGTGAGAAAGGCAAAGTGGACTACAGACTGTGATGTGACTCCCGAGTGACAAAAGAGTGCTAACCAGAGTTGACCAATTGGTTTTTTGGCTGACAGGGAGAAGTTGGTTGCATTGGGATTAGAGACAACCCCAGAATTTCCAGGAAAGGAATAAGTGAGTGTTTCCTGTGCACCAGATTTAAATCCAGCATACTTTGTGGGAATGTCCTGGGTTATAGTCAATGGGACTGTCTAAAGGGGTCAGGAGGCTTCAGCAGAGAGAGCATGAGGTGTACTGCTGGATGTCAAGAGGCTGAGGAAACAGTGCAAGCTTCCACTGAAATAGGAATCCATCACCCAATGAGTAAAAGAAACTTCAGAAGAGACGGTCAAACAGGAACTCATAGAGTCAAAAGGAAATGCTTCAAGAAAAAGAATTAGCTTCAGAAATCTCCCAGGCCTACCAGGGACACCATCTTAAACTGTCTGCTAAGCCCAGAAAGCACAGAGCAGCCCAGCCCAGCGAGATCTGTCCTGTTTATTTTTGAGCCTAGTAGAAGGCACAACAGCCACAGGAGTTGGGAGGAAGTAAACAGGGAAAGGAGAAAGAGGAGAAGGCATTCATCCCCCCTCCGTCATGTCACTAGTCTTCCAGAAGGATCAGTCTCAGAGAGGGGAGGTATTTGATGTTAAATCAACTTGGACTTTTGATTAATATCTTAGACTGGATATTCTAATCATGAAGTTGAGGCTGTGCTTTAACATAAGGAAGCTCTAGGACTGTCATTACCTTAAGTCAACAAAAAAGTCATGAGATTTGCCCAGATCATTCTACTGAATAATTTTAAGTAGGAGGGGAGATTAAAAATAGAATTGGCTTTGCTGTTTCAGTAGTTGTGTTTGTTTGATATACCAGTTGCATTGTCGTTATCTGACAGTGGAGCTATTTTAACAATAATAGATTTAACAGGCAAAAAAATAATATATCCTGATGGAGAATTTGTTGATATGGAGGTAGCAGCAGAATCACCAAGTGGAAATTTCCAGAAGGGAGGTGACTGGATGAATTTAAACTTAGGGGAAAAGTTAGGGTTGTACTCAAATAAACACTTGCATATTTCTCTTGAATAAATCTGTTTCCCTTTCAGCTCTTTATGAATGGTGATCACTTCTAAACCAAGACATCTGCAATTCTGTCCACATTAATCTTTGTTGGTTTACCTGCTTCAATCATACCTATACATAGCTACCAAGATAAACTATCTGAAACTTCGTTTTGTCTCTGCCTCAAAAACAGTGGCTTTTTTTTTATATCAATTATCAGTCAAATTTGAATTTTAGCAGACAACTTCCAATTGTCTTTCCACATTTACTTAAACATATTTTTCACTGCTTCCACATAGGATCACTCCATCTGGGCCCAACAGGATTCCTTATGCTTCATTTATACATTTGCCATTCATTATACTGGAATGCCCTTTCAACCAAATTCTACTCTAAAACTCAATTCAGGCACCTTGAATGTGGGTTTTAGGGAAGCCAGGGTGTCTTTAAGGCCACTGAGATTATAGACAAATGTGTTTGCATTTTGGGGGACAATGGATTTATGTTTAAATCAGTTTTAATAGAAGCACTGTGACCCAGAAAATAACTAAGGACAACTGATGTAACGTAAGATCTCTGATTCCCGGTTCTGTACTCTGTTCACTGTTCTTCCCAGCACCCCTGATTAGAAACCTTCTTCTTTCCAGATGCTTCAGTGCTTGCTGCTACCACAGCTGCTCCACTGATTGTCCTATATCCAGCTGGAACCTAATCTGGACACAGCGTAATTCTTGGCTTCCTCGGCCCCTACATTCAGCTACCATTTCCCAGACTGACCTGAGAAGCAGCTTGCTATGGTATTCTGGTAGCTCATGCTGTAGTTCAAATGTTTGTTTACCCCTAAAATTCATGTGCTGAAATTCTAACCCTCAAGACAATGGTAATAGGAGGTGGGGGCTTTGGGAGGTGAATGGATGGCACTAGTGCCCTTATAAAAGAGGCCCTTGAGAGATTCCTTGCCCCTTTCACCATGTGAGGACAAAGTGCAAGACAGCTGTCTATGAACTAGGAAGCCAGCCTTCACCAGACAACGGATTCTGCTAGCACCTTGATAGTGGACTTCCCAGCCTGCAGAACTATGACTAGTAAGTTTCTGCTGTTATTTGACACCTGGTTTATGGTATTTTGTCACAGCAGCCCAAACGAACCAAGAAACTCAGCCTTGGTTGAGGTGAATTTTTGCCTAATGTCTTTTCACCTTTCTTGAACAATCATGTGTGTGGTCTATGATTGAAAGTCCTCATTTCCTGGCTTCGTTGCAGTTGGCCTACTGCATGCTGCATGCCTGTCTCCATGGAACTTTCGGTTTTCCACCACTAGGTACTGTCTTCCATTTTGCAAACAACTGCTACTTTATCCTAGACTCCAATAATAATAATGATGACTCCAATAATAATAATGATGACACCAATAACAGTAATAAGAAACATGCAGTGCTTATAATATGTTTGGCAATATACTTAATGTTTCCTAGGTGTTGCCTTATTTTTCCTGACCACTACCTTACATGGTAGACATTTTTTTTTTAAATAAAGGAAAGAGGTTTAATTGACTCACTCACAGTTCTGCATGGCTGGGGAGGCCTCAGGAAACTTACAATCATGGCGGAAGGGGAAGTAGGTATGTCTTACATGGCAGCAGGAGAGAGAGGAGAAAGCGAAAGGGGAAGAGCCCCTTCTAAAACCGTCAGATCTCTTGAGAACTCAGTCACTATCACAAGAACAGCATGGGGGAAACGCCCCCATGATCCAATCACCTCCCTCCTTCAACACTTGGAGATTATGGGTACCCCACTCCACACGTGAGGATATGAATTCGAGATGAGATTTGAGTGGGGACACAAAGCCAAACCATATCAGTTGTACAAAGAGGTGGCAAAATAACAATTACCCGTAAAGTGCAATACAGAAACAAAAGGCTACTTTGTGATGTTAGAATATTAAAAACATAATCCTCACATAAATATGTCAAAGAAACATAAATATTTATGCATGAGAAAACAAGCAGGTAAAACTAGTTCAAAGGAGGATACAGTGGACTGAATTATACATGTACATTTTTTCTGTAAGTTCATTTCAAGAAAAGGTGTTAATCTAACTGCAATCTTACTCCAATAGACTTCCTTTTCTTGAAAATGGAAAACTGTTTTTCATTTTTTAACAGAACCTTTCATTTGATGGTAGCTATCCTTCATTAAACAATCACTACATGACAAATATTTTGCTAGGCTATACATATAAAATATGTAATCCCTACAAACTTATGGTGTGGGCATTTTATTACCCATGTTATAGAAGGAGGAACTGAGAAACAAGCTAAATGACTTGACTAAGTTCACACTGACAGCAAAGTGTGATGAAATCTCAGAATCTGTGTTCCCAGCACCAGAGTTAAATAGGTTGGTCTTTCCCTAAATCCCTGCCTCACTCTCCTATCGAAACCTATGGCCCTGGTGGACAGGTCTAGTCCAGCTCCTGACTCTGTCTTATTGAATTGTTTCTGGATATGATTTTTATGAACACAGTGTGTCCTGAAGCACTGCACATGCTTATAGATTGTGTGTGTTCTTCGGTTCCTTTGCTAATTCATTCATTAATTCATTCATCAATTCATTCACTTGTTTGGCATGTATTTATTGGGTGCTTATTCTATGTCCAGCATTGTGCAAGAACTAGGGAATTGAGACTGAAAACGCATAGCTTGGAGATAGACGTGGAAACAAACACAATAGCATACCCACAGTTGTAATGGAGGTACAAAGCCTACATCTGTGAGTCAGGGTCCTGCAGATAGGAGCTAGTGCTTGAGTTGAGACGTAAAGCATGACCCAGAGGAGCACGGCATTGCAATCAGAGTTAAAATAATTTGGTAGGAGCATATTGCATATTCAAGGGAGCCACAGTAGGTTCAGCAGGTGCTGCAGATGGAGCAGGAGATGAGAGAGCTGGCAAAGGGATCAGGAACAAGATCATGAGCCTGTATATCCTGCTGAAGAGTGTATGTTTTATCCTGAGGTATAAGAAAAAGCTTTAATGAAGCGTGTCAATCCTCTGCCATGTAGAATTTACATTACTAGGTGGCAGAAGCCACCTCTTCTACTTTTCAAGGGTGTTATCCCTTAAGATGCCAAGTTAATATTACTTATGTAGTGGAGTTCCAGTAATGCTTGTTGAGTGGGAATGTATAATCTCCTAGCATGCATTTGTTTAGCAAATGCTCGGAGAGCTAACATAGTAACATACTCTATCATGTTTCATATGTTCTTTAACTCTTCCCCTTTATCTAGTCAGCCCCATACACTGAAAGGCAGTGAGCTGGAAACATGTGTCTGAAAAGCTTACTGATTCCCAACAGTGTGTGGAGTTATCAGAAATTACCGCACATGCAACAACCTCTGCTCAGGAAGTTTACCTCCTGTGATGAATTTGGTCTTCACCCCATAAATTCAATCTGCTGACTTGCTTCTTTTCATTTTTTTTTTTCTGACTCTAGTTTTGGAACTTCTTTACAAAGTGAGAATAACTTAAAAAAAAAAAAGAAGCAGCGGGGGAAATTTGGGGACCAAGTTCCTTATTTCATGTTTCCTAATGAAACCTGATACTTGCAAAATTTTGTTCAGTTATGCACTCATCTGAAAAAACACGTGCACTTTCTCTTTTGCATGTTTTAGGTTGTCTCAGAATTTCCTCAGTGCCAGTCCTCCAGCAGGCTGAGGCATTGCTTCTGGTTACCCCATTCCATCTTCTCTGTAGGTACCTACACCCTGCCAAAGGTAGCATATGACATCCTGACTCAGGAGACAAAAGAGGATGAGCACAATGTTGACAATGGTTTCTGATTCATTCCCCCCTCCCTTCCTGTAACCCCTAACTGTGGAGATTAAAAATGAGAGATTTGCTTCTTTGGAGTGAATGAATATAAAATGCCTTCTTATTTTCAGTGTGGTCCCTCATCTTGGAGCTCATTATTTCTTTAAATATGCCTAAATGTGGCTTGGTAATTTCACCTTCTTATGCGACTTAAGTACAAGTGATAAGGTGTCTTGGGGGCTCTTGAGTGTTTGATCCCAAGCTTTCATGTCACTTCTGCCTCTCCTTGAACTTCTAGGAGATAAAAGAAAACCAGCTGTTTTCTTGTTAAAGATCAAGGTAATCAGGATGGCGATTCAGGACACAACCATGATCACTGCAGGGAAAAGGAGGTGGTGTGATGTTTTTCTATTAGGCACAGTGTGTCAGAGTTATGTAGCTGTCAGAAAAGGTATTTTGTTTCATGCCTATTTGTGATGTCTTTGTTGTTGTTGTTGTTGTTGCCAGTTTGAAATTCCTGGTATCATCTTCAGTAAACTGAATGAGGCTATTCTTAGTGGTGCCTTCCAATGGCAAGAGAATAGTATTTCAGATGCTTACTAGGTTTCTGAACTATTCTTCACAAGCATTTGCCTAATTCTTTATCCTTACAGTCATGCTGTGGGGTAGATGATACTATACCCATCTTATAGATAAGAAAACTGAGAGACAAGAAGTGTAAGTAACTTGCTGATATGGTTTTGGTGTGTCCCCACCCAAATCTCATCTCGAATTGTAGCTCCCACAATTCCCATGTGTTGTGGGAGGGACCCAGTAGCAGGTAATTGAATCATGGAGGCAAGTCTTCCCATGCTGTTCTCGTGATAGCGAATAAGTCTCATGAAATCTGATGGTTTTATAAATGGGATTTTCCCTGCACAAGTTTTCTCTTGCCTGCCACCATGTAGACATGCCTTTCACTTTCCGCCATGATTGTGAGGCCTCCTCAGCCACGTGGAACTGTGAGTCCATTAAACCTCTTTTTCTTTATAAATTACCCAGTCTCAGGTATGTCTTTATCAGCAGCATGAAAATGGACCAATAGACTTGCCCAGGTTATATTGCTCATCAGTGTTAGTGGAACTAAGATTTAAACCCATGCAGTCACTGCCAGGACTAGGATAAAGTAAGAGAGGTGCTCAGGGTACAAAATTTAAGCGAGAATTTCCTCTTAATCTTGTGCAAGTATAGAATACTCACCCAAGAATGAATGTTTCCTTAAATTGCACCCTCATCCTGGGCTTGCAAGCAACCTAGATTTGTAGCCTAGGTACTTAATCCTTATACATCCCGCCTGCTTTATCCTCACCCTCATGGATCAGAGTCAGCCTTTAGTTGCATTGAACAGACTGAGAGAGGGTGTGCAGGCATGGAAGAGACCAGCAGAGACACGAGTCCAAAGCAGGTGTCTTTCCTTACTCTTAGCTGGGTATTCTCCTGTGCCCTCCCTCTTCTTTACACTATATTTCCATCCTTCTCCAGTACAGAAAGGAAAAAAATACTCTTCACTTGAGAACTAAATGTCTGTATCCCATAGAGAAATATTAGAATAGCATCTCAGAGCATTGCGCATACTCAGGCCTAGCTACTCCAAAGAGCCTTATTTCTTATCATCAAGTCCAGACACACCCTGAGGTTCGTGGTGGAATGGATGATCATGCAGTGTACATATCGATAAGGAGTCACGGGGCTTAGAACAGGGCCTTGTGACAAGGAGTCAAACTGCCTCAGAGAAAAGAAAAGGTGGAGGACAGTCCAGGATCCCAGGACATCAGTGAAGATATCTATCCCTGCAAATACCCCATACTCTCAAAAATCTTTTATGTGCTCAGTAGGTTTTGAATGGGAATAAACTTTTCCAGTTAGCTGATAAATGACAAAATAGTCACTATATAATTAAAGAGGTCCTTCCACTCAGTCCTGTACAGCCTGAGCTTTAGGAGGCCACTGGGATTGTGGACTGATAATGCTGGAACTATCTCTGGTACCCTTCAGTAATGGATCAACTCTCCCCTTGACTCAGTGGGACATGGAAGAAACACCCATATGCCCTTATGGACATGTGTGGAGAGCCAGCAGGAGCTATGGCCATGGCTGGCATGAAGGAGAGTAAGTGTTGGTATCTGGTAGCGTCACTGAACTTCTCAGCATCACAATGGAAAATTCCTGCTAGTCCTTCTGGACAAACTTTTGACACTGAAATCTGAGCAGACTGGTTGATGATGGCTTCCTCTCTCTTAGGGGCATCATGCCAGCAGAACCCTGTGGGGAGGACCATACCAAATGGGCAAGCCCAACAGTGCTCAGAAGGGCCCCTGGGCTGTGAGGGAGCATCACTTGCCTCTTTGATCAGGTTCATAAATCTGGGTCCGAGGCGCCATGGCTTATGTCTATGGCACTGCAGGGAGCTGACGGTCAGCTGGGATGCCCGGTGCGAGGCAATGGCCACCATGTACACAGCATCGTACATCAGAGCCGCTTCAGTCTGTGGAGGAAAACACACACCGCATCTTAAATTCCACTTTTGCTTACCTTCCTTTACTTGCATAATCACTCTCCCTGCTTCCATAGCTCTTATCTGTCTGATCTCAAAGGCCATTTACTCTTCAGCTAGGTAGTTTTCACTCTCCAATAGCTATTTTTCTCCAAAATAATACCTCACACTTTGGAGTAAATTGAAGTTATAACTCTGCTTCGTTTCAAGTTCTTTAAAAAAAAATAAAGCAACCCAGATCAGCCACAAAAGACTTGATTCAAGGAACAAATATTTTGCGAAGTGTCCTCCATGTTAAGCATGGTGTTAAGATCAACTACCTTGAGCTAGAAGCTACTAAAGCTCAAAGTTGCAATATCAGATTTGTTTCTCAGCATTTGTCTATATCTATTTATCTATCTACTTACTGGTTTATATTTGGTAGAAAGAAACTGCTACAATCACTAACAGGTGATTTCCAGATAAGGATACTGGTGTTGGTCACTTTCATTTAGCAGAGTTAAGAAGTTCATAGTCATGGAATGAAACTCAACGGCAAGTTTTGGGAGACCCTCTGAAGGGCAGACAAGTGCAGCTTGCTCAGAACATGCCTCCTCTTGCCAGCATGTGCTTTCTTGAGAGAGATTGAAACAAGTCGGTCATTCCTTTTAGGGGGTTGGGCATCTCGTTCTTCCCTTCCTCATGAAATTCCTCTCACTTGCACAATTTTACATAATACAGCATTTTATAAAATATGCTTCCCTGTGGTTTCCTTTAGGGATAAAATCTTATAATACCCTTGCATTTCACTTGAGGGTTTCATTGCAACTTCAAATACATTAGCTCATTTGAAATTCTCAACAAGTCTTCAAAATAAGCAGAAGAGATAAAGCTATTTATTATGTGAGAAAACTCACTTCGAGGTAGGATATTTGTGGAGGGGCACACACATGCACACACACACACACACATGCACAGCCACACACACACCACATACACAATCATAGTGAGAAATCCCAGAGATGTCACTACTTCTGCTTATTATTTCTGGAGAGTAATAGGGATTATATACATAGCTAATCATTTTCAGAGTTAAACCTAGAATCTAGGTCATAGAATGAAAATTATCATATGGTTTTCCAAAATTGGTTGATTCATTCAACATATACTATGCATTGATTGCTCATGTCTTGGTGGAGGTAGAAAGTGAGGACAGGGGTTACTATATCTCACAATTTTATCAGTCTTTGAGGTCACGGAATACCTCTACTTTGAATCATTATTATTCTGTTCAATCTTTATCATTGTATTTTCCATCTATTCATGGTCATGGATCTTTATGTCTGTATCTTGTTAAGAATATTGGTTTTTTGAAGGCAGAAACTGCTCAAATTTAAGTTAGCTTTGGTGACTAACATGGTTCCTGACACAGAAAAGTTGTTTAAACATGTTCACTGACGAAGTTAATACTACTCAATTCCTTAAAATGACATTTATTTTTGTGAGAACTGTAGAATTGCAAGGTTTTAAGATATAGTTTTAAGAAAAAGCATTTCATTCATGCTTATGTAATTGACATACTGACGTTGGATTGGTGGTGGCAGTAATTTATAATGCTTAAAAATGTTTTGATCATTTCAGTTCAGGACTTACACTATCCACTTTGTAGATGAGAAAACTAAGGCTCATGGAAATTGACCGGTATAAGGCTACTCTGTAATCAATTTCATTGCCAGGGTTTGAGCCTGCACCTGCCTGATTCTAGCACCCATGATCTTTACCACTTTGCTGTACTAATTCTGTTTAATTGGAGGAAAGTAAGCTACTGGCAGATTGAGACTTTTGGAAATGCAGTCAACAGCAATAGCTGACATTTATTGAGCACTTATGATATGTCGCATGCTGTTCTAAATCCCTTGCAAACATTAAATTTTCACTATAACCTTTATTCTTTTACAGATAAAGAAAAAAGATGTTAAATGGGATCCCCAAACTCATGGGGGGACAGGCAATATTCAAACCCACAAAGTTGGTGCTAGAGTATATGCCGTTAACCATAAAGCTGTGCTGCTTCTACACCAAGTTATTGGTCTGATGATTTAATAGTCACAATAATAGTTCAATAAAGGTTAATATTCACTGATAATTTACTATGTGCCAGGCACTATAAGCATTTTACATATGTCATCTTTTTTAATTACTGAAATTAAACTTTTGAAATAGGTATACAGACAGGGAAATTGAGGCTTGTAGAGAGGTAGAATAACTTGCCTAAAATTTTGTAGACATTAAGGGAAAGAGTGAGAATTCTAATTCGTGATGCAAACTCAGATTTCACCTCATGACCATAGCCACATGCTACAGTGACTTGGACTGTTTCTTATCAATAGGATATACTTTTTTGAAAATTCGTATGTGTTTTCATTAATTCGCTGAATGACCAATTTGATAGAGAAGTATAAGGACTGGAATTCTAATAATCTGACTTTTCCATAAACTTAGTTTAGAAAGGATGGGCATTCTTTCTCAAGGCGGGCTCCATATTGGGAAAGGCAATAAAATGATTCAAAATTATAGGTCTAATTTGTGCCCTTCAACCCAAAGAAGAAAACTATTTGTTCGAAAAAATATGCTACCCCTTGAAATACAATGTTTTCTTAGATGGAGAAAATGTTTACATTAACTATATTATAGCACTAATAAACTACCACTGATTTTCCTCCCCCTTTCAGTTTTGTGCTCGAGGCCTGCTTACTGAATGACTGTCATCATTTTAGGTAATAGGTAATGTAATAGAAACTGGCCTGTGTTCAAATTTTCTTCTTCCAAATGTGTTTCTGTTCACATTTTATGTATATCTAAAGCCTGGATGAAATCACATTGCTCAATGACCCTAAGAAAATCTTTTTACCACAATCTGAACCATGAAATAAGCACATTGAAAGCATACTTCTCCTCAGTACACAATGCTTTGGTTATTACAATTTGCAGTAAAGTATTAACTCACTAGGCTTAGGGTACTCAGACCTTGCACATTCCAAAGAGAAGATTGGCCCCTTGACTGGCTCTTGAGAGATAACTTTTAACTCCTTGGAATATCCCAATAAGAGTGTCATTGTATTCTTTGGGTCCTGGGCAATGTCAGATAGTTTATGCTAAAAACATGATTTATGATGAATGCCTATTTTTGCTGGCCTAGGTCTCTGGGCCATGCTGTATCAATTTGATCTCCCAAAAGGCTGGTTACTAAGTAACTAAGGCCAGCTGTATGGGAGCTCCATGCCTATGTGACCCATCATCCCAATAAAAAACCTGGACCCCAAGGCTTGGGTGAGCTTCCCTGGTTGGCAATACTTTCTAGTTGTCATAGATCATTGCTGAGGATTAAGTGCTGTTCATGCAACTCTATTGGGAGAGGATACTTGGAAGTTCATGCTTTTTCTGTGTGGACTCTCTGTCACTTTTTCCTTCGCTGATTTTACTCTATCGTCTGTTGCTATAAATCTGTCATTGTGAGTATAACAGCTTTTCTGAGTTCTGTGAGTCCTGCTAGCAAGTCATCAAATCTGAAGATGGTCTTGAGGACTCTGAACATAAGCCAGTCAGATGCCACCTCATCTTAGAGACAAGGACTGACGACACTATATGGCCTTAGAAAGTCCCCATACTTAGCTGCCTGGATGGTGTATAATTGTTGTTGGAAAAAGCTGGAGGAGATTGGGGTGCTGAAGAGAGACCTAATATTCAGAGATCAAATGGGTTGATCACACAGGGTCATATAGGTCCCAGATAAGATTCCATCTTGGGCTATATGTGCAAGCTAAGGAATGTGTTTCTTGGAAATACATGGATTCTGCCATGATATTTCAGAATATCTCTTGTTCTTTCTTTCCTTTTTTTTTTTTTAGAAGGAGTCTTGCTCTTATTGCCCAGGCTAGAGTGCAGTGGCACAATCTTGGCTCACTGCAACCTCTGCCTCCCTGGTTCAAGCGATTCTCCTGCTTCAGCCTCCTGAGTAGCTGGGATTACAGGCGCCTGCCACCACGCCCAGCTAATTTTTGTATTTTTAGTAGAGACAAAGTTTCACCATGTTGGCCAGGCTGGTCTCGAACTCCTGACCTTGTGATCTGCCTGGCTCGGCTTCCCAAAGTGTTGGGATTACAGGTGTGAGCCACCGTGCCCAGCCTCTTGTTCTTTTATTGACTACAAATGGGCAAAACATCAGGTATCATCAAGTAAATTCAATTCTATGTACTAGAGGTTTTGCATATGTGATCTAATTTAATCTGTAGAGTAACACTGTAAGGTGTTATTGTACAGATTTATGGATGAGCAGACAAACTAAGAGAGGTTAAATGACTTGTTCAGGTCACTTAGTTAGGAGACATAACCAGGACTTAACCCTAGGCTTTCATTATCTCGGAAGATTTTGCTTTCTGTACTGAATCCAGCTGCCTGTTTTCTTTCATCGCTGGAGTAGCAGTGGATGTACAAAGTGGGAACTCTATGACGTCTTCCCTGTGGGTCATGATTAAGGGAAATGTTTACAGGCAAGAGAGCAGGATAAGGCTCTGACGTAAGTTTATGTTGTGAGTGGATATGAAGAACTGGAAAGGCAGATGTCAGATCAATGTTTGGTTGTTCCCCTGACTCCTGTGCAGTGTTGACTCATACACAATTTTGGTCCACTGAGAAGGACCCATTTGAGAATGAACCATTCTGTATTATCCCAGTCTATCCAAAAGCTGAAAGGTCGAATCAGCCCAATTGCTGAGAAAAATGTAAACATTATAAAAGAGAACAAAGTAGATTTTATAAAAATCACTCCAAACTTCTGTTAATTCTGTCAATTACCACTTCAGTTGATAAAACACTCTTTCTTTTTCTCAAGATATTTTTTAATAACGAGTTTTACTGTTTTTCAACTCCGTTGACTCAGTAACAATTTTCTTAGTAACTTAATTTTAACCTAATTTTTAAACTAAATTTTTTTCTTTAATTAATTCTATTGTTCTTAAGTCTGGTGTCAAGACTTTTTGGATATAGGCATGACTGATTTCTCTATTTTCAGGTTTGAATGTTTTGATATAATCATATTTTTGAGGATTTTTAGTGTATGAAATTCTAGGAAATGCTTAATAGTTAGAAATATTAGAGAGAAAAATAGACAATTGAATGGGAAATCAAAACACATGCATTTTCCTTATGCTTTTTTCTAATTCCTATATTCATCCATGTATGTATGCACCACATACCAATATGACTATAAACAGCTACAGAGAAATTCACCTTGAAGAATAGTGGAATGAAGCATATGATTTCAGAGAATTCAATTCTATTATAGTAGTAGCATTATTTAAATATTAAGAGTGGCCAGTCTGTGACTAATTTTAAAAAAACACTATTATTTTAAAGTAATCTCTATTTTACTAATCATGCACATTCACATATATCTTGTTTATAGGAACTCTCTGCACTTTTATGGGACTATTTCAAGGCTGCCTAAATATTTTTCATTTAACATCTTCAGTTTTAGTAGAAGCTTAATTCTTATTTATTTAGCACATTAATTTCTTTATTAAATACATATTTATTGACGGTGTACTTCGCACTGGGCCTTTTCTAGTGCTGGGGAGAAAGCAAAGCACAAAATCACAAAGCCTCTTTTTCATAAAAGACACTTTTATGAAGTGTCTATTCTTGTAGGGAAGGTACTGAACAAACGAATCAAAATATAACACGTCAGGTCATAAGGGCTATGAAGAAAACAAAAACAGGTAAGAAGAAAGAGAGAAAAACCAGGGAGGGGGCTACTGTACTAGATGGTGATTCATGGAGGCTCTGTCTGGTGAAGTGGCATTTTGTAGCCTGGATAAGTGAGACTTCAAGGCAGGGGGACAGCAAGTGCTTGATGTGCAAGAATGAATGAAGGGCAGGGTCTGCGATGTGGACCCAATGAAACTGAAACCAAAGGACTTTTTATCTTTAACGTAGAGAAGAAAGAGTTTAAATAGAGGCAACTTGACAGCAAAGATTTGTTAGCTTTGGGCCTGGGTTTGGGGTCATAAGTTTGCTCTCTTGGCTTAGCTATTGATCAAACGGAGGTCCTTTCGTGCCCTTCAATGCCCTTCACCTCCCATGACACAGTTTCCACATTCCCAAAGTAGCCACATCCAGGAGAAACAGAAAGAAAACAGTCAAGTGCAAAGCAGACTCTTTGGATAAAAAAAGGTAAATGTTACGCTTCACATAATTTCAAAGTTATTATCTGCATGACTGTTGGATACAACTCATACTGGGGCCTGCATCCTATCACTTTTTAAAAAATTAGTATTGACACGACCTGATATATTCAATAGTTACTCTACCCACTTTTGCAGCACCTTAGTGAGCTACCCTCTTCTGCTCTGGTAAATCCCCACTTTCCTTTATATAGTTAATTATAATAATAACTGTAAGAACACAGTCTAGAAACCCCTCTCTTAGTTGGGATGACAGTAAAAATCTTCAGGCAGACCAGGACCTCTTCCATCCACTGGGACTCAACCTTATCACACTTCCTGCCCAGGGGATTACCGTTAGCTCAGGACACCAGCTGCTGCCCTGGGATAGCAGCTTCACCTCACGCTCGGCCTGATTCCACATGAATTGCGTAGGTCTGTCTCCTTTGTTCAACGATCTTCCTCATTTCAGTCAATATGTACAAACTGTTTTGTCAGCTCAGTATAATTGAACACACAGACTTTTTTTCTTTGTAAATTAAGCCATACTTGTGATGAATATTTAATGTTTGGCATAAGTCCACAGTCTGTGTTAACATAGCTTCAAACTGTAACTCTTTTAGTGGTATATACCAAACACAGGTAAAAATGATTTGAGATCTCATCCTGTGATTGAAACTTCATTGGAAAAGTGGGCAGAGGATTTCGAACCATATTTGAACTCATTGAAATTATAAACCCAAGAGGAAGAAGAGAAAAACCGATCTATTAGCGTGCTTCTCCCTCTGTCTCTGGTGTTCCCTCTCCCTTTCAGAAATATAATATTTCCCTGGATATTCTCTACTTGCTCCTATTCAAAGAAATGTTTCAAATCATCCCAGGGCTCATTTGTACCAAGATGCTTTCCATCATTATCTCTCAGTTCACTTTGAATATTTTAAAAGTTATTTCAGGTTTGAAAAACAGTTAGGGAGCCTGAACATAGAATCATCCAGAACCACTTAATTCATTCATTTAGTTCTTCACTTTCATTTGTTCCTCATAAGAAAAAGGGGAAAAAAATCCCAAGTTCTCTGTGAGATGTTGGGTAAATTGCATCTTAAAAGCGAGAGTGCGTCTCCCGATGATAGGAATGGATAATAAAATACTATGCCATTTTAAAATGCTATTACCTGCCTGCATTCCACAATATCTTTCCCCTTAGATGGCTCCCATATAGGAAGCATTTTAAAAAATTATTTCCTGCTATTTTCTTCAGCACCCAGGGAGCTTCATTAGAGAAATATAGTGAAGGTAGGTGCATTTGACAAGAGACAAATGATGTTAGGGAGAAGCTCTCTGATGAGGCAGTTCGCAATGTATCTGTTCAGCAGAGTATCTCTGACTTGTCAGGAGGCAGGTCTGGCATCTGCTTCAAGAGCGACATATGGCTGGTGTTAAACACTGTCAGTTCTGCAGAGGTGAACCTATACGCATCCAGGACAGGAAGAGCTGAATACACCGACTGTTTGTAAATCCGACATTTTTCCACACTGGCTTTGCTTGCTGAAATGTGGCAGAAGTGAGGAACACAAATCGGTTCTGCAAAACTCACAGGTAGGTTGTTCCTCCTCTTCCCCCACCAGCCACCTTCCCCACAGCCACATTCCTAGAATAAAATGCTCTTCACTTGTCCTTGCACTGGTTTGGCTGATAATGGTGATTACTCTTGTCAAGTTTTTTATCTGGGGCAAGTACATCCAGGAAGCTAAAAGTAGCAGTTTTTGCTAGTAGCCAGTCACAGCCTTTCAAATTACCTAAAAAGCAAACTCTTTCTTCTCTACTGCAAGTCAAGGCACCCACTGTAACACTTTTCTCTAATATTTTAAAGATACGTGAGATCTTAACCCCGAAGGCATTCAAATATTCTTGCAAATGATTTTATTTGAAAATGACTTACTGTCATCATGCCATCCAAAAGGCCAGTCTCGGGCCTGGGTGGGGCCTGCAGTCTCTCCATGGACCACTTCTCAATGATGGATGACACGTGAGGGTTGTCAATGTTAAGCAGCCGAAACCCGGTCATGTTTACGCCACTGTACCTATAGAGTTCCAGATCCAAAGCAAATAAGTCCTGCATAGTATCAAAAAGGATAACAGTGGAAAATAATTAGAATTTTCATTTTTTATACAAAAGAATATTAATGATTGTAGCACCAACTAATACAATGATACCTTTTATCTGTGGTTTTGTGGTTCATGGTTTCAGTTACCTGCGGTCAACCACAGTTGGAACATGTTAAATGGAAAACTTCAGAAATAAGCAATTCATAATTTTAAAATTGCACACCACTCTGAGTAGCATGAGGAAATCTTGAGCTGTCCCATGCTGTCCTGCCTGGGACATGAATTATTTGTCCAGAGTCTCCATACTACAGATGCCACCTGCTCATCAGTCAGTTAATAGCTGTCTCAGTTATGAGGTAGAGTATCGTGGTATGGAAGTGCTTTGTTAAGTCACCCTTATACTTCATAATGGTTCCAGTCTGCAAGAGTATTGTGCCTAATTTATCAATTAATCTTTATCCTAGGTTTGTATATATAGGAAAAACATAATCTATATGGGGTTTGGCACCATACTAGATTTCAGGCATCTATTGGAGGTCTCAGAACATATACCCATTGGATAAAGGGGAGCTGCTATAGATTAAAACAAAATGGCAGCCGTACCACACTATTTCAATAAAAGAACATTTTTCCCATTGTTTTTCATTAACATGCTGCCCTAAAAATTCTAGGGCAGTAATCAGTTTTCATTTTCATCTGTTTTATTTTTGCAGTACTGTTAGAGTTTAGATAAGTCAAGAGGAGGAATTTGGCTGCTGATAATTAGTATGTCCTTGGGCACAGGATGTAACATTCTAAAAAGCTAAGAATTCTGTTCCCAGTTCATAGCCTTTGGGGTATTTTGAAGAATATTTATTTCCATTTGGTTCAATGCTTTTATTTTACAGATGAAGAAACTGAGGTTCTGAGTGGTGATGTGATCAGAACAAGAATGAACCACTGGCAGTACCCACTCTTCTCCACCAAATCTTGCACCCCAGGCTGTTCCAGGTCTTGCCACAAAGTGAAATTTGAAAACTGCATATGCATTTGGCAGGAAAATCACTCCTGGCCGAAAAAAAATCATCTCCTGGCTTGTTGAAAAGAACTCATATCTCATACAACGAGGGCATGAAGAATGTTCGCTGAACATAGGCTCAGAATAGGTACCAAAGGATGCTCTTCAGAGGACATACTAGAGCACAAGGTTACATGGATGCAAGAACATCTTAATAAGGGAACCCATTCCCTTGCAGACAATGTTTCAGGAAAAAAAGTTGAACTCATCCTGGTGTTTTCTATTACAGATGAGGCTGAGTGTAAACCAGAAGTTTCTAAATTGATTCACATTTAAGACAGGGTTATGTAATAATTTCAACTTTTTTCTTATATGAAAAGACTAGATTTAAAAATACATCATTAAAATATATCACATTTCAGAAGAAACTCAACTTTCAAGATAACATTTAACAGGAAAAATACTTCCATAAAAGTTTCTTAACAATGCAACCGCTTTCTGAAAGTGCATTGCAAGACAGGACATTATCCTGATGATTACAGGTACTGAAAAGCAGCAGCTTCAGAAACACTTCGCAATTTGCATTTGCGGAAGATGCATACAAATTTATTCTTTTGATGAACTCTCTCTTTCCCAAGATATATTTGGATGAGGCAGTAGAACTGTAAGAGCACAGCTCTGTGCTCCGAGATCAGTATCAGAAAAGTGTACAATACTGCCTTTTAAAGCATTGCATATTTTTTTCCTTAACACTAAGTAACTATTTTTTTCTTTAACTTTTATTAATACTCATGGGCAAGAATGGTAAGAATATAAAAGCCAACCAGGACAGAATGCAGATAAAATCAGAGGAAAAGGATGAAAGAAGCAAAGTTAAAGAAGAGGACCCAGGCAAAAATGAGTCCGGTAGCACACTCAGTGAATAGAAAGACAGTTAAGTCCAGTCTCAGGAGGTAAGACAGAAACTGCCAGAATACACATGAACCCTCTTAGAGATTCATAGTACATAGATTTAACATGCTAAAATGACATACATTAAACATGTGCAAAATTAGGTTGTCCTACAATTTAGGGTTTCCACGCAACAAAGAATGTCAGAAGTCTAAAATCCGATTTGCTACATCCCCTTGTGCATGCAGAATGAGTGTTAGGGGTGAAGAGGAATAAAAGTGCACATTTATTCATCCTCTATGGTCTCCTAGCCTTGGTAGGTTCCATTATTCGTATTCCTTCTCAAATTTCTCCCACACCAGCTCTTCCAGGGTGTTCACAGCTGGAGGAGGTAGAAAGTTCCGAGGCAGATGGCCATGTCACCTTGAGTAACCCTCAGGTGTTCTTCGTGATGGGAAGAACCATATTTGTAAGCAGAGTAAGACACTTTGCAGTTCTCAAGTTTTCCCTCAGCTGTTCTCAAGGATGACATGATCAAGAAACAGTAAGAGGCAAATGGGAAGACTATGCAAACCTTAGTTCAGGAATTTCTACCCTGTACCCACTTCCACCCTATGGGAAGACTATGCAAACCTTAGTTCAGGAATTTCTACCCTGTACCCACTTCCACCCTATGCTCAGTAGCAGTAATGATTTTGACAACTGTCCCAAAGCATTCATTTCATGATGTCCTCTGCACTCTCAAAGACATTTGAGTCAGAAATAGAATTTACTACTTCGGGTCCTTATTCTAAATTCTTTGAATTCCCCTACTCACTAGCTTGTCAGCTGAATTTGCTAAAATGGCACTGTTACTGACCCCCCCAGAATCCAGGTCAAATTTAGCTAATATACTCTTACAGATTAGAAAACGAGCTTGATTCTGTTTTTCTTCTCATGTAAGGAAGTGGAATGTGTGAGTGTGTAGGTGGGGAGGTGGGGGCTGTCACTGATTTCTGAAATTGACTGAATGAAAATTATCACATCATTTTGATGTGTTAAATACCCTAAATCATTCTCCATGATCAGATAGTCTCTCAAAATTTAAGATGTCCTATGGTTTCTTTTAGATTTCTAAGGCTTAGGACCATGATTTTTCTTAATGAGGCAAAATGTTCAATGTGCAGAGCATCTCCAAAACTCCCCTTTCTGAAGGTTTTTCAGACATCTGACAGGTAACCCCTGGCTAACCCAGCTATCTACTGGACACAGGCAGCAAAGCCACATCAAATCAATGAATGCCAGACACACTTGGATACACCTTCTAATGTATATAAAAATTGTAGATGATGTTTTTTATGAATAGTTTTTACTTTAATAGTTTCTATTTAATGGAATTTTCATTTTAATCCCTCTCTGAATGCACATGCATTGATACTAGTTAAAAGAAAAAGAAAGAAGGAAAGAAAGAAAGAAAGAGAAAGAAAGAAAGAAAAAAAGCCTGCTGCTCAGCATTGCTGGATTTAGAGGATTCTTAGGAAAGTAAGGCAAGTCTCCATGACAATATCCTGCCTTTGACACTGGTGAGGCCGACTCTGAAATAACTGTGTGAAGACGTTTCCTACCATGTGGAATACATTTCTCCCAGATGCACTTACCAGGGTTGTGAAAAAGTAGTGATAGTACTCGGTCATCATGCCCATGAACAGAATCTGCAAAAGAGAAATAAGGGGAAAGAATCAGGAACAGAATTATAATAAGAATGGGATAATTTCTAGGGTGACTGCAAATGCTTGGAAACATAGAACAGGAAGGGACTTTGGAAATCCACAAACTCAGCAGATCAGAAACCTGAGGCCAATGAGTGGCTGGTGTGGAGCAAGCCAACTGACCTCCAGCCAACACTATTTCCATTACACACTGCTTGACCTACATCGAAGTAATGGGTTTGATGATCAAATTTAAAAATAGTTTGGGCCAGGTGCAGTGGCACAAGCCTTTAATCCCAGCACTTTGGGAGACCGAGGCAGGTGGATCACATGAGGTCAGGAGTTCGAGACCAGCCTGACCATCATAGAGAAATCCTGTCTCTACTAAAAATACAAAATTAGCTGGGCGTGATGGCGCATGCCTGTAATCCCAGCTACTCGGGAGGCTGAGGCGGGAGAATCGCTTGAACCTGGGAGGCGGAGGTTGCAGTGAGCCCAGACTGTACCATTGCACTCCAGCCTGGGCAACAAGAGGGAAACTCCGTCTCAAAAAAAAAAAAATAGTTTGTACTAAACAAATTTTGTATTTGGAGTTGTCCATAATGCACAGGGTTTTGTCTTTCCCACTGCCTAAGTGTCTGAGCCATCTCATACTTAGAAATATGTATTTCATTGATCTCCCTACTTACGACTTAGCATAATGCCACCCTCATTATGAGTAGAACTCATTAAATGTTGAATTGTCAATACTGGTATGTAGATATGTTTAAATGAAGGTTTATGAATGAGTATATCTCTGAAACCTTTCTCTCTCCCCCTTTTCCATGAGAAGGGGAAGAGAGGATTCATTTACAGATAAAAGGATAGGGACTATTCTGACACCAATTTCACACTGTTTCTTCATGCTGGTTCTCAAATAACTACTTGGGATCGTAATAGTTCCGGACATTCTGTGAGCGTGTATATTGTTTTTACTTCGTGGAAGAAGGAAAAAAGGAGGTGGATAGGAAGGACAGGGGTTCTACGTTCATTGAACTGTGATCTTACTTTTGGAGTCCCGGAAATGGTGTCAACTGAGAAGAAGATGCAAATGGTTTGGAGACAATTCTTTCTAAATATGAATAAGGATATTCCTTTCCTTGGGATAGATTACCAAAATAACTATTTGGGTGCTTTTTTTATTTTTATTTTTTTTGTCTTTGCATAGAAATGAAGAGAGAAGGCCGGGTGCGGTGGCTCACGCCTGTAATCCAGCACTTTGGGAGGATGAGGCGGGCGGATCATGAGGTCAGGAGATAGAGACCATCCTGGTTAACACGGTGAAACCCCGTCTCTACTAAAAATACACAAAATTAGCCAGGCGTGGTGGCGGGTGCCTGTAATCCCAGCTACTCAGGAGGCTGAGGCAGGAGAACGGCGTGAACCCGGGGGCGGAGCTTACAGTGAGCCAAGATCGCGCCACTGCACTCCAGCCTGGGGGCCAGAGCGAGACTCAAAAAAAAAAAAAAAAAAAAAAAAAAAAAAAAAAAGAAATGAAGAGAGAAGACTTAGAAATCACATTTCCAAGGTAGTTTTCCGCACAACTCTGGTCAATTCTGGATGCAAGTAAAAATTCCCTCTGGAAGTTTTTATATCAAAGACTCTTAGACACCATCACAGGGACATCCTGAATTGGGATTTCTGAGAGTGTAGCCTTGATTTCTGCATTTCACAGCTGTGTCTGAAAATCACTGCTCTATGGAAAACATGTACCTTTGCATTAAATAACAAAGACTTTCAGATCTTCAGTTGAAGAGATGGATTGAAAAGGTCTGGGGAAAGACATTGCAAGTTATCAGCGGTTCTGGAAGGTGCCTAAGATATGTGAACTAGAATGATTTTACGTGAAAGGGAATAAGAAATAAAGAGGGTATTAGATGACAGCACATAACTGCATGAACACCAGTCCTACACTTCTCAACAACGTCTCTACTAACACGAAAACCAGAGGAATATTTAGTGAAATTGCAATGTCATGAACTTAAGACAAATGACAGGAAACTCCATGAATCATCAGCCCACAGGATATAAGTCACTCCTACGGTGACAACAAGACCAGGCACACTAAAGGATGTTTTTTTTCAAGGGTAGACTTGCTTTAGTGCCATCAATAACATTTAAGGCC
Source organism: Homo sapiens (assembly GCF_000001405.40). Lineage (NCBI taxonomy): Eukaryota > Metazoa > Chordata > Mammalia > Primates > Hominidae > Homo > Homo sapiens. The sequence goes on from NC_000021.9 coordinate 29,657,025, forward strand.
ATGCATGGTGAGGTCTTGTTAGCTGTTCTCTTATATCATTCGAGCATAAAGAGCTGGCCTGCCAGGGTCAGTCAGAAATCCTATTTTTCACTTTGGTCATTAGATAGTGTAATTGCAGCCAAGATTACCTCTTGAAAGGGAACTGGGCAGGTTTCATGTGAGGATATAGGGCTGAATGCTAAGGTTTAAAATTTTGTTTCTGAAACTGAAAATAGAACACAAAGGCATTTGAGTTTATAGCTTTTCACTTGGGTAAAATTTTTCTTTTTAAATTTCATTATGGAGGCTTTGGATCCCCTGTTAAGAGATAAGCATTTTTTTAAACAACCATTTAACTGATTATTTTTATTATTGTATTTTAAAATTCCTGGAGGTAAATATTCATTTGACATGCCTCTCAGCGTTAGGAAAGAGATATTAAAATGCAGCGAATAAACAGCCAACAGGACAGCTGTTATTGCAAAAAGAACCCTGGGGTCCTCCAGGTACACATTTTATTTGCTGTAGTAGAAAAATTCCCGTTCCTTTTCCTAGCTAATTGCTTGCATTAGTGCCTCCTGGTTCTTCCCTTGAATTTACTAGAAATGGAAATTAAGAAACGAGTCCAGTCATTGATCATTGGCCTGTCAACTTTGTGGACACTCACCCAGGTGAATGAAAAACATCTTGATAAGAACAACAAAGTCAACAGCACCAAAGGCGGTGCTTTTAAAGCAGTTGTTCTTGTGATGGTCTTTAAGCAGCTGAGACCAGTAGCCCTGTCGTCTAATTGTCGCATACTTTGTAAATAAAACGATTGCATTCCCATTTTGATTTTCTCTCTGCATGTTGGTATTTCAACTAAAAGTCATTAAGGGATTAAGAAAATGTCACATCAAAATAAATGTCAGTTTTAAAAATAAAAAGTGTAATCACGATATAGGGAGTTTTCTAATAGTTCTTTGCAGAACTTACTTTTTCCTGAGAATGACTTTGAATTTTGATACAGTACTTGTCTGCCGAACTGACCAAATGGTGCTGACCTAGGCAGTATGTATACTTTATTAGGGCGGTATTGCTAGGAACCATCTCTGGCTTTACTTAATTGTCACAATTAATTTTTTTTTTTGGCAGAAAACACTTCATGTCACACACACTAAAATGTAATAAAGGCAGATATCAATACTGTTCATATGGATAGCATATTCCTCCGAATTGCTTCCACTAATATGTTCTTCTAATAAGGCCCATTTCTTTTTTTTATTTTTATTTATTTTTGAAAGAGTCTCATTCTGTCGCCCCAGGCTATAGCGCACTGGTACAATCTCGGCTCCCTGCAACCTCTGCCTCCTGAGTTCAAGCGATTCTCTTGTCTCAGCCTCCTGAGTAGCTGGGATTACAGGCACGTACCGCCATGCCTGGCTAATTTTTATATTTTTAGTAGAGATGGGGTTTTACCATGTTGGCCACGCTGGTTCAAACTCCTGACCTCAAGTGATCCTCCTGTCTTGGTCTCCCTAAGTGCTGGGATCACAGGCGTGAGCCACTGCACCTGGCCAAGTCTCATTTCTTAATGGAATTAATCTTGTTAAACAACTTTTGACATTATATCATTGACTTAGATTGACAGTTAAAAACAACCCAGCCCTTTTGTTAACATTATGTATCTAAAATAGGCAGGGTGTGGAATATCTATTGATTTTGGAAGATTACTAGTGTGGACGTCATTAGTACTGTTTTTCCAGTTTTCCAACTCAAAGGGTACATACTAGGATTGCATTTCCTAGTCCCTTGGGCTTGGGTGGGGGTATGTGCTGGTTCTAGCCAATGAAGTGGAGGTGATTCTGACATATGTCACTCTCCAGAGATCTCAGTTCCCTAATATCACTAGCATTGTTATCAGTGCCAGAACAAGCTGTTCATTTTTGAATAAATACATTTTTCTGTTACATGAATACTGCAAGTCATGTAAATGATCTTGTTTACAACTTTGTTTTGATTGCTAGGAGGTTTAGGGTCAAAATTACGGGTCTTCCATTGGCAATTAGTCAGGAGCACAGGGCATACATTTTTCATGTGCTAATGTCATCCAGCTTTATGTTTTTGTTATCTAGTTTTCTCCTTTGTGCCAATTCCCCTCCCTTTTAAAAACATTTATTAGTTTGTTTCAAATATATTTTTCCAGGCAGCTCCAATTCTTTATAGAATAAAGATATTACAAATAAACAAATAATCATGATTGGGACAAGTCAAATAATTTTTCCCCATATAAACGAGTGGAATTCTTCAGATCTGATGTAGCTGAGTTGGGTTAGAGTAATGAAAAAAAGTTTCCAACAAAACAGTTTTCCCCCCCTACCTCTAATGATCACCATTGTTAGTTAATTCTAATCTACATTGTTACAGAATTAATTATAAGAACTCAAAAGACATCAATACCAAAAGACTTAAGCTCCTGCATACTTATGAAATTCCATTCCATCTAGATAACATAATCCTTAAATCAGCAGCGGGGGAGTGTCTTGTACCTATTGTAAATGCTTTCTCCGTATCATGCTACTGTACATGGAAATGCCACAAGACTATTCCATTGTTCCAGTAGCTAAAAAATAATTACTGCTTTATTTTATTTGCAGTAAATGGGTCATCAGAAGGCAGAATAAAAACTCAATGCCGGCCAGGCGCGGTGGCTCACGCTTGTAATCCCAGCACTTTGGGAGGCCGAGTTGGACGGATCACCTGAGGTCGGGAGTTCAAGATCAGCCTGACCAACAAGGAGAAACCCCGTCTCTACTAAAAATACAAAAAATTAGTCGGCAGTGGTGGTGCGTGCCTGTAATCCCAGCTACTCGGGAGGCTGAGGCAGGAGAATCACTTGAACCTGGTAGGCGGAGATTGTGGTGAGCCGAGATCAGGCCATTGCACTCCAGCCTGGGCAACAAGAGTGAAACTCTGTTTCAAAACAAAACAAAACAAAAAAAACCCAACAACAACAACAACAAAAAACCCTCACTGCCAGCTGCCTCTTGAAAGGACAATTCTAAGGCCCTACTGTTAACTGTTATCAATATATCCTGGGACACAGTCATTGCTCATTGACAGCAGTGATCCCACATTGGTCCAGCTGCTTTCTGGAGTTTTTGCCACAGAACACTCATGACCTTGTTCACAGTAGTATTGACCTTCTTAGTCTAGCCTAGTTGTTCTTGGCAATGATGATCTCTTAGATCTTGATGGGTGAAGTTATCATGTACGGCCTGAGCAGCACCAAGGCCATATTTTAGTTTGTCTTGTGAGTCCTCAATGAAGTCTAGGTAAAGATGACCAGGACGTAGCTCATAGGGGTCTAATGGCTGTGGTTGTTGACAGAGTCATTCTACAAAATACAGGGAAAGTCTTTGGCTCAGAATCTTCCAACCACACATGGAGTTATCTTAAGAAGCCTGGACCATATTTCAGTCTGATCATTTCCTGGAAGGCAATGCAGAGCTATGGAGACAGCAATGAAAAATTCCTCTCCACAAATTCTCAGCAACCATCACTAAGGGAAATCCATATGCCACACATAATTGGTCTGCTGCTACTATTGTGGTAACAGAAACTCAAAATGGAACCTGGAGTGCTACTGAGCAACTTTGAGGTGTTCTTGTAATATTTATATGGTTTTTTATTACTGCTTTTTTTCCATTGAAAAATAGGTATCTTGGAAGTTTATACTGACTAAGCCGAAGTGTATTTCTCTTTTTATAGCCTTTCTCAATATCAGGATAAATTCTAAACCACCAGACATGGTTTGTAATCAATAATTTCAAGTGAATAACTTCCAAATGTGTGAACATGCAATGTGGCTAAAATAATGGTTTTACCTCAAGATAGAAATAAGGTATTTTTGGCACAGGAGTCTTCAGAAAACCAGGTGAATGATATCAAGTCTCCGAGCAGCAATTTTAAGATGAAAGTTTGAGCTTCAGTGTGTAGCTCTTTTTTATTTGCTAACTGTAATATTTTAGGCTGCATCTATACTATCCTCTGAGCCAGATGCCTCTTTGGCCATGCAATTTTTAATGGTGGTCATCAGTAGAACAAGATGGATATAAGACAGTCTTTAGACCAGTGTTTATTGCTATAGAAAGTACATTCATGCCACATTGAATGATTATAGCTTACATCTACAAAAGTAATAGTGGAATATACAGAAAATAGCATTTGACACCAGAAAAATCCTGATATACAGAAAGATATCCATCTACTTATGGAGGGGACCAAATAATGGTTCTCTAAAGATGTCTACGTCCTAATTCCAGAACCAATGGAATATGTTCCTTTACCTGGAGATGGATTTTACAGATGTGAATAAATGAAAGATTTTGAGATGGGGAGATTTCTCTGAATTATCTAGGTAGGCCCAATGTAGTCACAATGAAAACAGCAGGGTCTTAAGGCAGAGAAGGTGTAAATGGGAATGCGTAAATAGAAGGAGAGAGAAAGATGGAGTGTGATGCGGGGCCACAAGACAAGGAATGAGGACGGCCTCTGTGAGTAAGAAAAGGCAAGAAGTTGGATTTTCCCCAGAAGTTTCCAAAAGGAAAGCAGACCTGCTAACAACATGATTTTAGATCTCTGATTTCTGTAACTGTAAACAAATATATTGTTAAAGCCACTAAATTTGGCTTAAACAGCAATAGAAAACCAATACATCTCATTTTCTCATCTTTCTGTGATTATGGCATATGAAATCGCTGTAACCCTAACTCCAGTGATTGGTACATTACTCCAGCTTTGGTAACGTCAAAAACATGTATCAAGAGGAAAAATTGACTTTTTTCATTTGAGGTTGACAACTTGCTAAGTTCCTCTGTTTCCCTCCATTCACTTACACGTGTTAACCACATGCATGTACACAGGTGATAAGCTAACCACAAGTCTAGGGTTTTTCCTTGGATTTGAAAACTGTGCTATATGATGTATAAATCCAGCCCCTTTTTCTCCTACCTCCAAGTTAAACTAAAGAAAAGCAAAAGATATTCCACAAAGAGTTGATGAATTAAATAACTGTACTATTTGGAAGTTCTTCTCAGTGTTAACTCCTTTATAAGCTTCTCTCCTTAGAGGTATGGTCTGCAGGAGAAAGGAAGCTCATACTAATAGATATTAATAAAAGGAGTGCAAATCATTGGGGTTTAGTTTAGCTTGGAAGATGATCCTACTAGAAGAGCCAGATTGCATCACCCAGGTGCACAACAGATGAGATTATGCTATTTAAGGAGTGCAGACTGTTGAGAACAGAGCAGGAAAAGAAGTTTTCCCATGGCAGAATGAAATAGGCAATCTGGTAAACAGGAGAGAATGGAACTTTTGGGGCAATTACATGAAACTAAAAAATAACCTCTCTGCAACATCTAGGGAAAATTGGTGGAAAGATGATATGTAAGAGAGAATACGGAGGAAACAAATTTTAACAGCAAATTATTGAACAAAATCTAGAAGCTGGAAGGTAACAGAATATTTTGAATTATTATCTACCCCAGATGATTCAGTGTAATCTTTTTGCAACAAGCTTCTTTGATAATGATGTTAATGAAAACTATACCTCAAATTTGCTTGAAAGTCACCTTTTGAAGGAGAGACAGGGGTGCAGCCATTAAATGGTGATCTTGCTGGTCTCACGAGATCTCTATTGCCCAGTAAAGTCTTCATGAGTCTGGGGCCTGATCTTCAGCTTTTTGGGTGACTTGACTTTGTTAATTTATCTGAAAACTATCAGGCTTAAAAAATAATTTATATCAGTGTTTCTTAGTATATTATTAGAACCACCAAGAAACTTCTCCAAAATACCAATGCCTGAGCCTCATTCCTAAATATTCTGATTTATTTTGTCTGGGATATGTTTCAGGCATTGATAGTTACTAAAAACTCCCCAGGTGATACTTATGTACAGCCAGTGCTGAGAACCACTGATTTATATTAACCAAGCTCATATTTTTAAGCTACAACAATAATATTCACAGCGACTGCTTGCTGAGTGCCACAACACGATGTTCACTACAGTAATAGGTTATTGACATTTAATTGGAGAGGAAGTGTTATTCCTAATTTATAGATTTTAGAGATAAAGCATAGTTATAGTATTTGAACCCAGGTTTGATTTCAATCTTGGGATCTTAGGACTTTATTAATTTCTTAATTGATAATAGGAGGTGCAAGTGGCAGGAAAATTAATAATTTGCACAAAATTCTGCTGGAGTTTGAGATCCCAAATAAAAGCATATGGTTATTTAAGACCAAAGTTAGAACCACAGGAGTCAAAGCTTTATCTTAAGTAGGATGCATCAATCCACCTGCCAGAGTTTGTTAAGTTTCCTGTCTACCCGTGAGGGAGCCTCCTGTATAAATGCTGGACTCAGCTGTGAAAGGCCCTTGGATGATGTTCCAGGGACTAGGAGGTGCTTAACTCACAGTTCTTCTTCTGTAAGAATTCAGACCTACCTTGATCTCCTATTATGACATCCCTGGAGATATTAGAATTAATTAGATACAGCTTTTCTTGTGATTTTGAATCCCTTTAGGTCACATTTGGAAAGAACTTTAATCTCCTTAATGGAGTAAGAAAGGATAGTTTCTAAAATTTGTAACAGATTTTTTTTGGCTAAAAGGGTATATTAGACATAATAGATATTTTTGCAATACATGTTATAATGACAGTGGGGACAGATGTGGAGAGCTCTGCATGGCCTGCTAAGAAATGTGTCCTTTATTCTTAATGCAACATCCAGGGTGGAGAGGGTGGCACTCAGCAATTTCAAACATGGAGGTATAAAATCAGATGTTTTACTCAGAATGAATAGTGTTTTAGACTATGCAGAGGATGGTTAGGAAATAGGAGGGGAAAGGAACTTGTGGCAGAGAGATCAATTATATTAGTGGAGAAGGAAGATGATGAGAGATAGAGAAAAGGAGATTGAATCTGAAACATATTCCGAGGGCAGAATCTCCACTGTTTGCTAACTAATGAATGTGAAAGGTGAGAGCAAGTAAGGTGGATTTCTTGGTTTCTGGCTGCAGTAATTGGATGAAATTTCTAGTTACCAAGAAAGGGACAGAGCAGGAGAAACTGGTTGGTTGGGGGAAGAACAAAGAGGATGCAAAGTGTTAATTCTAGCATGGAAATGTAATTACATTAGGTGAGATCTCAGGGAGACTTGGTATGTTAGGCTGAGAGGAATCTTGGAAATCATTGTTATGATGTAGAGCAGGGAGTGATGTCGTGATACAGAGTTGGAATTGGGAAGCCAGTTCTAAGAATTGTATCACACCTGTAGTTTTGCCTACACAAAAGACTACTGCTACTAATGACAATGATAATCTCTAAGTGGAATATTTTATATATTGGTGCTGAGCTTAATGCCTTATATTTAATACATTGTCACATTTAAATTTTCTCAAATAATGTGACATATGTACTAATACATTCCCTTTTTAGAGAAGTGGAAAATAATGAATCACCTGAACCTTCACTAAATAATGATCTCGTCTAACACATTAGAGTTTTTAATGATATTGTAATTCCCATTTCACCCTAGAAGATTCTTTGGCACATAGAACTCTACGGGCCAAAAAAAAAAATCTGGCACATAATTTGGCTGGATAAATGATGAAAGTTACATTTCATAGGATTACCCTTATAGCAGAGAGGATTTGGCTAACAGTCATGGGAAAAGTAGGAAGGAAGGATCCTTTTGATAAGATCTTGCATTTATGAAGTATTGAGGAAGTAGATAAGGTTAACCTAGCAAAGTAATTTTTAAACCACTTTAGTATGCAGGCTTCTTTAGAAAATCTGACGGACACTACAAACCCCTTTCCACAAAAAAGGCACACCCAAGAGCATGCACCTTCCTACAATTTTGAATAAAGCTGAAGTTTGTTGATCCAATAGGCTTAAGATGTGCCCTGACATACATATCTTCAAATACTTTTAACAGTTTCTTCTAAAGTTCCCCTGCTTCCACTGCAAGGAAAATTTTTCTTATCTCCTACTATAGTCAAAAGTTGATATAACCGGGATTAAGCATTAGAGCATTTTTGAAGCATATGCATATATGGTTTTTCTCGCTTCCCAATTCAGGTTGAAGCAAATCTAAGTCCTTTCTTAAACTGACTTTTTGGAGGCCTTTGAGAATCCTCAAATGGATATCCTGGACACTAAGAATATGGGCAAATTGCACACACCTTTAGTAAATTGTTGGTTATCCACAAAGGTCAATTAATTCTTGTATACATTTAATAATATACTCGTAACTATGAACCGCTCCGTACAACTAAAACTAACTATGTGTTCAGGGAATATAAATAGATTTTAATATCAGCCTGAGAGAAACATAATTACGATGAGAATGTACCGCCAAAGTAATTATATAACATACTACAAATTATCATCAAATTAGTATAAATTGAGATTCATCATCATTACATTGTCAGGATTTATCCAAAGTAATGAACTTATCAATTAACTGGCTCAAAGACTATCAAAGGACTGGAGAAACTTTAAGAAAGAATGAACTGCTTAATTAATTTCCCATTTCTTTGAAAGCCTACTAAGTACAAGCAAGTTCTTTATATCTAAACGCTAGTAAGAGGATTCTTGGTCACGTGTATGCATGGAAGCTCAGAGCTGATGGAAATATTAGCAAGCTTTGATAATTTTGTTTACAGATGAGGTGACTGAGTTGAAGAGGCATCAACAGAATTTCTCAAAGTTGCCTGTTTACAGGATGTGAGCAACATGGGTGATGTGAACATCATACTCTGATCTGAAATTCCAGACCTGTCACTGAGTGTGTGACCTGAAGCCTCATTTTCCTCATCTATGACAAAGACTATTTTGAGAGGATAAAAAGAAATCATTCCAGTCAAACACGTAGCATATTATGCATGCAGTAAATACCAGATAAATGGTAGTTATTTTTTTCTGTTAGGGAAAAAGCAGAATTTGCAAATGGGTCTCCCAACTTTCAGTCTAAGATTCTAATCACAGTCCCTCACTGGCAGGAACATACCTATATAAAAAACCTGCACATGTACCCCTGAACTGAAAACAAAAGTGAAAAATAAATAAATAAGCCAGGCTTGGTGGCTCACGCCTGTAATCCCAGCACTTTGGGAGGCCAAGGCAGGCGGATCACCTGAGGTCGGGAGTTTGAGACCAGCCTGACCAACATAGAGAAACCCCATCTCTACTAAAAATACAACATTAGCTGGGCGTTGTGGTGCATGCTTGTAATCTCAGTTGCTTGGGAGGCTGAGGCAGGAGAATCGCTTGAACCTGGGAGGTGGAGGTTGCAGTGAGCCGAGATCATGCCATTGCACTCCAGCCTGGGCAACAAGAGCAAAACTCTGTCTCAAATAAAATAATAAATAAATAAAGTTTATTAATTAAAAAAAGAAAGTAACTTGATGGTATTAGGCCAATTTGCAAGCACTGGATAATTTTACACTTGTTACATTCATTTTCAAGGTCTCTTTTTGCCTTAATCGGGCAGAGATTTGGGTTTTTATTCTTGTTGTTGCTTCCACTGTTGTATCTCCAACACCTTCAATCAGTGCTCAACAAATAAGTATTGAATAAAAAAATAAATTTCTCTATGATATCCCTACCACATTCTCTACTGGGCCATTGGACATTTGATACAATTCACATTTCTTAAGGAATTGTGTAAAGCTAGACATGATTAGATGTTTGAGAATAAAATGAAACACCTTCGTTCAAGAAGTGCAAGGCTTAACTAAAATACGTTTCAGGTTGCAATAAGACGAGAATCAGTTGACATCTTGTTGTACACAACAGTAGCAGAAGAGGTTACATTTTTTTTCCTTTCAAAGCCTCAGATAAGTTTTAAATCCCAGACCTGCCACTTGCTAGCTTTGTGACCTTGGGCAAGTTACAAAATCTCTCTGGGCTCTGTCAGTTTCTTCTATCCAGAATGTTCTCATAAAAATTAAATGACTGATGCATTTAAGCTGCTTAGCACAGTGCCAGCATACGGTACGTGTTCAGTATAAAATGGCCCCTGAGGTCTTCGGCCTTTTCTATGTATTTATGATGAAAAAAATGATTGACTTATAGATCTGACTTAGTGGGCACATGTTTACCATCCCTTAGCATAGTGTGCCATGCTTGACTTGATGTTTTCTATAGTGAGAGATCACAGCTGATGGTTGCTTCTGTCTTATCTAAACAAGGGATGAAACCAATTTAAGCATCTCTGTTTGCCATCATTACAGCCACTGAGCACAACATATATGAGGAGAGAATCAATGCACAAAATTATTTGATTAACTAGCATTGTCATTGCACTTTCTAGCAGAGGAAGACCAGGCATTAAACAAACAAACAAAAAGCCATTTTCTTCTTTGCCTTGTTTTTATGTTAATTGAAAGAGATTTAAAAAAAAAGTGGGTTGGGGGTGGAGAAAAAAGCAAAAGCATGCAAATGTTGACAGGAGAAAATGCAATATAGCTGTACAAACTATTTTGGTGCTAAATGTTTTATGCAGACTAATGGCTCAATTATAGCTAAATATTCATTGCCACTAGTGTTGTGGGAGAAAAAATCTCCCTCAATTTGTTCATGTAAAGGAGAGGGCAGGTTTTCTGAGTGGGAAACAGCATGTTCATGCTCACCTGCTGGCCATTCTCCAGCTCAGGAAATTGGCCCAGCCCCCAGGGAGCTTCCCATTGAATGGAGCAAGACAGTGCCATCTTGCTTTTCATCAGAGAACCATTAGGAATGGGTGCCTGAAATAGCGATTTGCTCACTCAATCCTACTATAGATTTAAAAGTGACTAGGCAGTTCTCCAAAGAGCCAAATTTATTTTCAGGAAGTGAAATCACAGGCTCAAATGCATTACGGTTTCTTAATAGTATAGGATTTCATAGTTGAACAAAGCCTTTCTTTCAGGTAACAGGCACGGAGGAGCAACTCACCCAAATGTGCTTGGCAGAGATGAGAGTATAGCAGACTCAGTGGGGTAGAAGAAAATATGACTTTGGGGATGATTTACTGAAAGAATCTAGAACAGTTCTTGGCTCATTCATTCGTTTGGTTCATTTATTCATTCAACAGAGCTGTACTGAACACTCGTTGTGTGTCAAATGTAGTAGGTGCTAGGGATTTGGGGGAAAAGGACAAAGAAGGCTTCTGTCCTCTTGGAACTTACAGTGTAGTAAAGGATATGGACAACACATGAGTAAATGTCTTAATTCACTATGATTTTTATTGTGGTGATAGAGCAAACTAAGTAGAGTGAAGGGATATAGAGAATGAGAAGGGAGCTTCCTCTCTTTTATCTCTTAAGAGATATTCATGAAGACTTAGGTGGGAATGACTGGGAATTTAGAATGTTCCAGGATTTGGCAACCGCAAGTGCAAAGGCTATGATGTGGGGAGAAAAGGCTGTGTCACGTGGCCAGAAAGGATGCCTCTGAAATGGAGCATCGGATACTGGAGGCCAGCAAGAGGAGAAAGAGGCCAGGTCAGGTCATGCGGCCTTGGTGTTTTCTATTTAAGTGTATGCTCAGTATATGGTAGATAAAATTGGCTTCAATTTTCAATTGCAAAAGAGGAATAATGCCAATCATATTAAAAGTTATTTGGTCACTTAAATGAGATGGTTGCTTAGCACCCAGCATCCTGCTAGGTACAAGTTGAGAATTCCATAGGTAGAGCTTTCTTGCCCTTTGCTTCATTCTTTAAATTCACCTCCTTTCAGCCACTCCCTCAGTAAAATCACACTCAGTATGAATGAGGGTGTATATGAAGGATAAACAGCGAAGAGTCGGCGAAAGAGTAGTTGGACTTGGGGAAATGAGAGTGAGGAGGAGCAATGGTTTCCACATTGAAGGCAGGTTAAGGAGAGAGCAGCATCTTTTCAAAGCATCAGGACCCTGCTGCGAGGTGGTGGGTGGGTAAGTTGGGGAGAGGACACATGCGACCTTCTGGTTTATGGAAATTTTCCAACTGTAGAAATTCATGAAGAAAGTTCATATGAAAGCCCTATCTTCTGTAGCCTAATCAAGTCTTGACATTCAAATTTCAAATGAATTTTGGGGAAATAACTTCTCAGATTTTCATCATATAGTACTTGTTCAATATGAATAGAAATAATTACTTTGCTGGAGTAATTAGCATGCCCAAGAATAACTATAGACTTTTCCCCAATTTTTGCTTTTAGATAAATGTTAAATATCTTTAAAGTGCCTTTGATTTCTTCTTTTCTGAAGAATCATTAAAAGGTGAGAAAATATGATAAAGGTGCAGGGAAATGCAGGACAATGATGGAAAACGCACATAAAGAGGGTACCACATTGACCTGGCAGAGAAATGTTCTTGGCAGTGATTTCAGCTACCAGAAAAGTAAAAGCTATTAATACTGATCTTATCTAAAGAAGACCAGCAGCATATGGCTGTGTTTTTTCCAGACATTTCTGAAAGCCTACTTCAGAATAGTCATCCATTCTGCTTGGGGGCCCTTCAGAGTAAAGTGAGCACACAGGCTCTGAGATCAGGCAGTCTGGAGACCACATGGCAGCCTAGCCAGGCTCAGAGAATGACCTTATATGGGTCACTTATCCTGTCTGAGCGTCAGTTGCCTCACCTCGAAAGTGAGAATAAGAAACTCACCTCAGGGGGTTGTTTGAGATTGATGCTATGATCATGTAGGATGCCACACACCTTTGTTGGCACCTCTTAGGACCCTCAGTAAAAGAGGTAAGTCTCCTTCCTTTCCTTTCCTTGGGTAGAAGGATTAGTGGAATGGCAGCCAGAATCAGGACCCAGAACTCCTGAGTCCTCAGCCTCCCTAGGGAATCTCTTAGCAGACAAGTCTCTTTCTACAGTTTTTTCTCCAGGGCAAATGGAGCAAGTTAAGCTGGATCACATAGAGTGCTTGGGCCTTACTTTGACCAGAACAGAAAAGTTCTGATGTCTCCAATATCCCGTTTCAAGCACAGCAGCCTCTGGAGGTTCCAATGAAGCCCCATTAAGCTGACCTGAGTCCTCTGTAGTTATTCCAAAAAGCGCAATTGCCCTTTTACATGCAATACGGTAGGAATTTCATGATAGGACCTTTAAAAAAGGGTTCTTATCTCCAAAATATTTGCAGATTATTAGTCTAGAACGAAAACTGGATAAGCCATCTCTTTAGTGTCTTCCTCCAAGCCTCACAGCCACTCTTAACACTAAAATGATTAGGAAAAGCAAACATAGGCCAAAACATGATAAGAGAGAGGATAGAGAGAAAAATGTCTGTGTCAGTGGTTGGTACAAAGCTGAACTAATCCTACTCCCCGCTGTACCAGCTAGACATTTCTTGAGAGTGCCATTCTTGGATATTTTGCTTTTGTTTTTGTTTTAATTGTCCTTTGAATGATGTAATCCCCAGGCTACTAGGAAAGAGCTACTTCTATCAAAGGAACTTCAAGTCCAAATTTAGTGAAATAGAAGAGAAAATCTAGCAGCCCTTCCCTGCCGCCACCATACACTGTTCTTGCCTATTCCAGACCTGCCTTTGGGAGAGATGTGGCCAGTTATGTGAGACAAATGAGTATCTAGCAAAGAGAAGTCTCATCAGCAAATCATTCTCTTAAATGTAACAGAAGTCCTCAGCCTCTGTTACAACAGGCCCCTGGGAAGGGATGCTTCTTTGCCTTTTGAGGGCTACACATAAATCTGGGTGTTTTTCTCAGTTCTGACCCACACACTTCATTACACCCTTTAATGAACTGTATTAACATTCTTAAATGAAGCCTTATGATAAAGGATTACTGATTGCATTTACTTACCTTTAAAGTTCTTCAGTTGTTGACACTACTGCCACATGCTTACTTGCTTTATTGAGAGGAAATTTTAATATCTAAAGATTTGTTAATGTAACTATAACGTAGAATTAAGCAATGGATACTCTTCTGCCTAGCAGGAGTGACAGCATCTCATGGTGGAGAAAGCACTGGATGTATGACTCTGGCAATATCATTTTATATCTTGCAAAGTGTGAGAATTAGATATGGTGATGTCTGTGATTGCTTTCAAATGCAACTTTGTGTTCCCAACTTTATTTTATTTTATTTTATTATTTTTTGGGGACAGAGTCTCACTCTGTTGCCCAGGCTGGAGTACAGTGGCATAATCTTGGCTCGCTGCAACCTCCACCTCCCAGGTTCAAGTGATTCTCCTGCCTCAGCCTCCCATGTAGCTGGGATTACAGGTGCCCACCACCACACCTGGCTAATTTTTTTGTATTTTTAGTAGAGACAGGGTTTCACCATGTTGGCCAGGCTGGTCTCGAACTCCTGACCTCAAGTGATCCTCCCACCTTAACCTCCCAACTCCAACTTTAAATAGAATTTTTTTTTTTTTTTTTACTCTAATCATCCAGCACATAATAGAAACATTTGGTCAACTTTTTTGACTGCTGATGTTCAGTGCAAGTAAAAACTCAATTCTGAACTCAATGGCTGCATGGAGGTGCTCTGCAAGTGTGAGATGGAGCACCAGAGAGTCAGGCCAGATGATTATTTGAAGAGAGCTCTTCCTAGTGATTCAAAATTCCACAGTTCTGCATTCCTGCGAAGGGGTTTATCTACTTATGAAATTACTGGCCCTTACCAATCAACAACATAGCAACCCCAGACCTTTAAACAAAGGAGTGCAATACAGCTTGTGTTATTTTAGATAAAAACTTTGCCTATGCCACAATAATGACTTAAATATAAAGAGATGGCCGGCAGACCACATAAATATAACCTGGATATTTTTTCTTTCTCCCAAATTCAATCATCTGATCTTTTATTAATGCTTCTATTTTAAACGTCTCACTAGCCTTTCCAGATGTGTATTACAAGATGTTTAGCAGTACCCACTAGTTGCCAGTAGAGTGCCCTGTTCCAAATATGACCCCCCAAAATGTCTTCAGACATTGCTCTAAGTTTCCAGAGGGCAAAATCACTCTGGGGTGAGAAGCACCAGTCTGCGCTTTGTTTCTAATTCTGAATTTACTTTTTTTTTTTTTTTTTTGAGATGAAGTTTTGCTCTTATGGCCCAGGCTGGAGTGCAATGGTGTGATCTCGTCTCACTGCAACCTCTGCCTCCTGGGTTCAAGCGATTCTCCTGCCTCAGCCTCTTGAGTAGCTGGTATTACAGGCATGCACCACCATGCCCGGCTAATTTCATATTTTTAGTAGAGATGGGGTTTCTCCATGTTGGTCAGGCTGGTCTCAAACTCCTAACCTCAGGTGATCCTGCCTGCCTTGGCTTCCCAATGAATTTACTTTCTTAAACTTAAGACCAAGTGCTCAGAAATTATTATTCTGTTGTTATTATTCTTTTTTTTTGAACATTACTCATGTCTTCATTTATATAGGATTTCACAATTTACCAAATATTTCTATCCACATTATCTGTGGAGACTAACACATAGCAGTTTATTGTCTAGAACAAATTAGAAGAAAGAGGCATCTTTTCTGTAACTGTCCCTGTATACCTTTTTTATTGTGTTTGCAATCCTGCATGTTTGACAAAAAGGTCTTGCCATGAGGAAGATGTATTTAGGACAAGTCAGGCATTGTGGAAATGAAATCTGGCACAGTCTTTTCAAGAGACATAAGAGAGAGAGAGAGAGAGATGTTTAATCACCTCAAAATGATGTCCTTCTCTCATCTTCAGCTGGTAGGAGTCACATACCACTCGGTCCACCCATAGAAACACACATTTACAACTAAACACTCACATTATGGCTTCAATGAAGCCCCATGAACTCTCTGAGCCCCTTGCCTGTTTAAAAGGGCTCTGAAAATTATAATCTTTAGCATAAACGGGACTGCTGCAGTTTTATTATGCTGCATTAAGTGAAAACTAGATGGCATTTTTGAAAAATAGAAAATAACATTTATCCCACACCTCCACCTCCTCCCTAGCCCTCTTACCTGCTTAAGGATTTCAGCGGCTGTTTCATGTGAACAATCAAATATCACATAGAACTCCTTGCCTTTCTTCATCTCCTTGAGTAAAGGCTTGGCATCTTTATTCCCAGAGGGCAGCTGGCGGATTTTGATTTTAATATTATATCTGGAGGGAGCTTTGATGAGCTCTTGTAGACGAATTAGACCTAGAAAATGACATGCAATCATGCAATGGAGACTGTTCTGTCGACAGAGTATTGTTTATTGCCATTTAGTTAAACTCGTTTCAACTCCAAAACATACCCAGTGGCCACCTTCCTAAAGGTTACACTCCTGACTTCCCATTTGTCACTCATCTTCCTGTGGTGGATTATACCATTTTCCCTTTGTGGGTGTGTGTGGCTTGGAAGCATAATTTTCCCAGGAGCATTTTAAATTTATTTAGAATGCAATTGTCCTTTCCAGCTTTCAGCAAACACCTCCCATCTTTAACAAATCAAGCCTGCAACTGTAAAACTTGGTAAACAAAAAGTTGGTTGAAGTTTCCAAAAGTGTTCGATGAAATAGATCACACCTGCTCACTTACAAAGCCGATAGAATATGGAGATTTGTCTAGGCTATAAACTTCTGTAAGCCTTTTATTAAGTATTTATATATAACATACCCTTAACCAGCTAATTAATTGGGTTGCTTTATATAATCTTTCAGTTCATGCCATATAAACTATTTGTAAATGGCTCATGCTCATTACATTTTCTTGCTAATATATTTGAATGTTAACTTGGAAAATCCTACTTGATTTTTTAAAAAGACCATAGAATTTTTAGAAATTAAGATCATAAAAGCAGAAACAGAATTTAAAAAAAAATTCCCTATTGGTTATTGCAACAAAACATATACGTCCAACTAACTTGATGGAGAATGTTTGATTTACCACAGGTGTGGATGTACTGATCTGCACTGTTTCCTAATAGACATGCTTTACTAGGACAAGGAAAGCCGCTGTGTAAAAGGCTCCCTCTTATGTTCCCTAATGTTAGCAGGTGCTCACTACGCTGCACCTTGGCTCTCACTCAAGAACTTCCATCATACGGAAAAATTGAGTTTTTTTTTTTGTTGTTTTTTTTTTTTAGTATGCAGTTCTGTACCTTCAGGATTTGTCAGCTTTAGGTAATCAGTAGGGAATATTAAGTTTCATGAGTATTCAGATGAAAATTGTGATATGCTCTGTGCAAGATTCAGCATGTATTCCAGCTACTGTCAAAGTCACATTTTTCTTTTTCTTGTTTTATTTATGTAGCTATTTTTTTTTTTACCAGAAGTTACATTTGTGTGTGTGTGTGTGTGTGTGTGTGGCTCAGATGAGGAAAGGTTTCTCTACCACCATAGTTAGGTTTGATTCTGATGTACAATAAATTTATAATGATATTGAACTTCAGAGTTAAATGTGTAGGAGTAGTAGAATGGGAGGGTGGTTGCTGTAGAACCTTATCAAGATTTAGTGCTCATTATCTGATATGGCTTGGCTCTGTGTCCCCACTCAAATCTTATCCCGAATTGTAATCCCCATGTGTCGGGGGGGAACTTGGTGGGAGGTGATTGGATCATGAGGGCGGATATCCCCCAGGCTGTTCTTGTGGTAGTGAGTGAATTCTCATGAGATCTGATGGTTTAAAAAAGTGTGGCACTTCCCCCCTTGCTCTCTCTCTCTCTTCTGCCAACATGTATGACATTTCTTCCTTCCTGTTTACCTTCTGCCATGATTGTAAATTTCCTGAGGCCTCCCCAGCCATGTGGAAATATGAGTCAATTAAACCTCTTTTCGTTATAAATTACTCAGTCTCAGGTAGTTCCTTATAGCTGTGTGAAAATGGACTAACACATGAATCTTTTCTCTTTTTACACAAAGATTGAATTGCTAGAATAGTAGGCTTCCTGGATTCTTGCTCCTTTTCAAATCAGTCAACTGAAGTCCCTCAGGTACTTATAATCACCTGCTTGTCTTCTCACTTCCACAGCCACGTCATGAACTACTGAGGAGCATTAAAAATGAAACAAAATATAGAACGTGGGTTCGTATATTTGTTATTTGTAATATGTGTTAATCTTTGAAATAATCCTATGATGTAACCATTATTACTATTATTATTTAAATGAGGAATTCAGGGCCCAGAGTAGTTAAGTAACTTACAAAGATAGTTAAGAAGAATCCTGGATTAAAATTGCTGTTTGTGAATCCAACACTTAATCTTTTGACGTCACCATCCTGCCTTATAAATACAAATTGTTGGTGCTGAGGGAACAGATATGGCTTAGGACTTGTTGATGAGATGGGGAAAAAATAGAGACTCCAGGCTGCCTGAGTTTCTCTCCTGTTTTCTGTTACCACCCACCTGCTTTGCAATCACATAGATTTTTTTTTTTCATGACCATGACCACAAGGGACAGTTTAATGTGGTCTCTAAATAACATTGGGAAAACATTTAAAAAGTGCATTTTGTGTGCTTCAATGAACTGCTCTCTTTTTCTGTGTTGAATAGAATGTCACATCTTTCTATCATGATGACTTACATATTTATAGGATTTAAAGTTGACATATATTTTCTCACTTCTTTCATTTATTTTTATGGGAAAACATTTGCTGGATGCTCATTAGATGCCAAGCTTCATGCTAAGCCCTGGGGATGCAAGACAACACAACCTGCTTCAAAGTCCTCACAGCCTGTAGGATAATTTTGTCCTGTCAACTCTCTTGAGGTAGATGAGGCATCAATTACCACTTAATTTTACAGATTATGAGCTAAGACTGCTGGAGGCTGGAGTAACTTGCTCAAGGTTATATAGCTAATAAGTGGCAGAACCCGGGATTAAGGCCAAATCCACCTTCTGATACCAAATTTAGGGCTCTTTCCTCCAAATCAGTGGCCCCTCCCAACTTTAGGATTTCTTGTCAACTGGCTGAATGAAAAACTAATTAACTGACTAATTAACTATATTAATACATAGCTATATAAGTAACAGAGAAAGAACATTTCTAGACCAGCACACAATATTAAATCCTTATTTGGCACACTAGGCCGTTAATAAACACACACCCCCAAATATGACCATCAACTTTTACAGTTGTTTCATAAAAGAAGGTATATTTTAATACCAATAGAGGAAATAGGAGAACAATTCAGTCCAAAAGACTAGTTTCTAATTGGAATAAATTTATCTTTTACAAAAAGCTTACTGTTAAACTCCTATTTTTCTCCTTTTGCCAGTATATAGGTAAACTGGCTTCAGAAAGGGGGAGGATCAGCAGATTTAAAGATTAGGGATGGAAACTGGGGGAAGAACAAAGAACAGGGAGGGAGTGAGTTTTTTATTTCTCTTCCTGAAGCAATTGTTTGCTTAAGAAAAGCCTTTCTGCCTTCATTAGCAAATGATGGAGAATTTACAATTCAAAAAGCACAGTAGACAAAATTTAGAGGAAGCTTTCCCTTATATTTGCATTTTGCAGCAATCCATCAGTCATTTCTTTGTAATGAGTAGTTAAAAGTCGTTTGCTAAACATATAATTGCTTCAGAAAAAGGACATTGATTTAGGCACAACACCTAGCTTTGCTAATCCTCTCTCGTGTGGATGCCAGCCCTGATGGAGTGACCCAACCCTGCCAGAACCCCAGTTGCAGTGAATGGTGAAGGTGCATGTAATGCTGATAACGTGAATTTTTTTCTAGCCCACTGAGATGGAGAGAATTTAAAAATAAAACGTAGGCAAGAGAGAACCAGACAAACCCAATAGAGGGACATTCAACAATAAAACTGACCTGGACTCTTTAAAAATGTCAATGTCATATATGGCAAAAGAAGGCTGAATTGTCTGAATCAAAGGAGATGAAAGGGATTTGACAACTGAATGCCATGAGTGATCCTGGGACAACTAGCAAACATATATTATTATTTTGCCAATAATAATATTAGCAAATATATATTTCTATATGTTTAGATAACATTATTACGTTATTGCTAAGTTTCCTGTACTTGATAATCTTAGTGTGGTTATAACGAGAAAGGTCCTTCCTAGGAAATTCATGCTAATGTACTTATGGGGAAAAAGGTCAAGATATCTGCAGCTTACTTTCAAATGGTTCAACAGTGCTACTACTTAGTATAATTTTTATTGTTGTAGGTGTTTCTATATTAAGAGAATGATAGAGCATTACAGCAAATGAGGCCAAATGATAATAAATGATGAATCTAGGTGAAGGGTGTACAGGAGTTTATTGTACATGTCCTGCAACTTTTCTCTAAGTTCAAATCTTTCTAAATAAAAAGACAAAACATACAGATATAAAATCATATCATAAAAGCTTCTTCCACTTCTATCCCCAAGAATGAAATTGGAAATGCAACTTTGGTTGAATAAACGCTTTACAGAAAGAAGGCTGTTTTTTTTCACATGAATTTGAGCTAAGCTCTGCATATAGATACAACTTTCAAAAATATCCAAATGGCCAATTCTAAACACTTGCTTTGGCCGCCTGTCTACTCGGTGCACTCAGATGTGACACAGAAAAAAATGCTGATTTGCATGCACATTGGGTAACTCAGGCAACAGGTGGAGCATATGGAGGAGGAAAAAAAAAAAACCTCTGCTATTTCCAGTGAGCATTGAAGATTTCCTATGCCTTCCTTTTAAGTAATAACAAACTTTGCTATTTAGATTGCCCCTTTTTATGAAGTCTGCTCCATGCCTTATAAATAGCGAAATAAACCTTAGAATATACCTCTGAGGTGAATAGGTGTCAGTGCTATTTTACAGTGAGGAAAGGGAGGCATGGTGAGGTTAATTGTTTGGATCGGCCCTGAAAATGGGTCACAAATAGCAGGAATTGGAAGAGACCTTCAGGTCAAACTCCTTTTGATGCATGAGTCCCCTCTACACAGCCACTGCTGAACACCTCTCAGTGTGAGAAATTCTCTACCTTACACCGCAGTCCAATCCATTGCTGGATAGCTTTAGCTATCTTTAATGAGTCTCGGTTCAAAAGAAAAGTACCTAGGTTTTCTTGAGTCTTAATCCAATTTCCTGTTTGTTAAACCATCAGTGAGTTTGATGCCATAAGCATGAATGTTATAAACCACTGGGACCCAAAGATCAGGTTGCAAATTTTAAATGTTAATTTCTTCTCTATTTGAACTTGGAAATATGCAAAATGGCATTTCATAAACTTGTGGGTATATTAATGTACCCAAATCTAATACGATTCTTAAGGGGATCTGTGCATCCTCCAGAGCGGAGGAAAAATCAAAACTAAAAAATGAAAACGGGTATGTGAGCGAATTACCTGGGGAAACACAATGCTTTTAAAGTGCAGATCTTCATACATAGCGTTTTTCAGAAGTGCAACAGAGAAGGCAAGTGGGAGTCTTCCCAAAAGAAAAATTGTGTACCTTGGTTACAAAGGAGCTTATAGAAGAATCTAGTCTAAGTATTCAAGAAAGTGTATTGCACTCAGCTCCACCAGTATATGTTGGTGCTGAATTCTCGTTAAGTTTCAACAGTAGCTAAAAAGAATATGCCTGGCCTGGAATATCTAAATATTGGTTTCCTGGGCATAGTTCTGAATATTTAAGTAAGGTTCTGGTCAAAGAACCGAGGTGGGAGATATGAAGGGTAGAAAAAAGTGAGTACAGAGAAAAAAAGAAACTGTAATTTATCATTTTTTTTGATATTGAGTGTAAAGAATGTTCCATCGTTGGGTTATTTCAGTGGAATGGTGGGAGAGCACATAGCAGAAGAGTTTTAGCTATCACAAGTGGTCATAATGACACAGTGGGGTGAGTGGTGATGACAGAAGGTGAAAAGAGTCACTTATTTGGCACTGACTGTGTATAGCACATCTTGCATTTTAGCTTGACTACTCATGCCAAAGTGTTGATTTTCTTTGAGTCCAAACTTCAGGCTTCTGTCAAGATTCTTAGTTCTAGAAGAGTATATTATTTCTGTTTTCTATGGGAAAATGGAAGGAACTATGACAGATAGAGTTTTTAAAAACTAAGTCATTACTTAAATACAGCTATAAGAGCAGATATTTCACTTACTCACAGGCTGGTTGAGCACATTAAATGAGTTAATCATCTATTTAGGACAGTGCACATAGTCAGCACTCAAGAATTTAGTTATTGTTATTATTGCGATTTTCATTTCATGTATGTTTTCTCCCAGGGTTGATTGTTTTTTTCAATCACTGCCACTGTTAGGGATGCTATTCTCATTTCAAATTAATCCTTACAGTAAAGCTCGGAGACTATATTTGATGTGATGACTAACAACTAACTCTTCACTGCAGGCTGCATTTTAGAAATCTCATGGCTGTGATGTGTTGAGAAAAATGACTTAAGGTAAACAAAGATAAACTTCTCAAGGTTGATGTGTTATAAATTCAGGGCTAGAGGCATCTGTCTGGTGCTCATTTCCTTGATGTACTCATCCCGTCCTATCTATAGGCTGAGGCCACTCAAATTTGTGTCTCCAGCCCAGATCCATTTTCTAGACTCTAGACTCAGGTATTAACTGCCTGTTCTTACCCTTATTCAGATGTCTAATAGATATCTGAAACTCAAACTTAACATATTAATGACTCAATTTCTGATATCATTCTTATTTCCTCAAACTAGTTCCACCTATAACCTGTTTCAGGTAATGACAACTCCATCCTTTGGCTCAGGACAAAAAGATCAATCTTTTATTTCTCTCTTCTTTCTTTCCTAACCTCTACTCCCTCAGGATATTATTAGCATTTTGAGTTAATTTTTGATTCTTTGATCTACAGGTATGAATTAAACCGTAACCTGCCTCACCAACACCATGGCATCAATATTTTCTCAGACTGGAACACGGTCTTCCTGTTTTTATCCTCCATTTAAAAATAAACTTAACATATGGCATTTGTCTTGTGTCTAAGGAATACAAAGTGTTTTTCTTGACATTTGATTTAATTGAAACACTGAGCCAAACTTTGATATTTCAGAGGAGTTTGCCATAGGAGGGAATATGCTCGCTATCTTCCAAACAGGTTAATATCTTGAGGCAACCTGAGGTGTCCCAAGTTTCTTAGGTCATTGAGTTCCTTAAATCAAAATAAGTGTCATACAGACCCAAAGGTTGTGCTGGATACTCAAAAAGACATCTTAAAGTAGTAGTGAAACTAATAGATAAAATGCATGCAGTTGAGAATATCCATGATGATTTTTGTACAGTTCCCTCAAAGACCCTACAATGTTTGAGCAATCATTCAAACATAGCCCAATGTCACCACACAAATGGAGATAAAGGAAAGAGGACATGATCATATATAATAAAAACTTTCAAATGGGGAACACATTCAAATATCCTCTCAGATATTATGCCAGCTCTACATTAAAAATGTTTCCAGAACCTGAGCGTATCTTACTCTTCTACTGTATTGCCTCCATCTCTTCCCTGGGTTTCTATAGGAGCCATCTGGCAGGTTGCCATATTTCTACCTTTGCCTCTGTAGAGTGTACAGTGATTCTTTTACTCCTACTATTCTTCAAGAGTAGGCCCTCCTTATCTGAGGTTTTGCTTTCCATGGTTTTAGCGAACCACGGTCAGTCGTGGTGTAAAAGTATTACATGGAAAATTCCAGAAATAAACAATTCATAAGTTTTCAATTGCATGCCCTTCTGAATAGCATGATGAAGTCTTGTACCATCCTGCTCTGTCCACATGGGACGTGAATCATTTCATCATTGTTGTTGTTAGTCTCTTACTGTGCCTAACTTATAAATTAAACTTTATCATGGTATTATTCATACAAGTGCTATACAGACAAATATAGAAGAAGTGCTTAGGTATGTATATATAGAAATAAACATAGCAGGCTGGGCGTGGTGGCTCATGCCTGTAATCCCAGCACTTTGGGAGGCCGAGGCAGGTGGATCACGAGGTCAGGAGTTCGGGACCAGCCTGACCGACATAGTGAAACCCAGTCTCTACCAAAAATACAAAAATTAGCCGGGCGTGGTAGTGAGTGCCTGTAATCCCAGCTACTGGGGAGGCTGAAGCAGAATAATTGCTTGAACACAGGTGGTGGAGGTTGCAGTGAGCCGAGATCGCACCACTGCACTCCAGCCTGGATGACAGAGAAAGACTCCGTCTCAAAAATAAAGTAAAAGAAAAAAGTAAACATAGTACATATAGGGTTCAGTACTATCCGTGGTTTCAGGCATCCACTGGAGGTCTTGGAATGTATCCCCTTAGGATGAGTAGAGACTACTGCAGAATGTTACTCTGATCTTATCCACCCTCTGCTCAAAACTCTTCCACGGCTTCCCATTCCAGGCAGAGCACAAGCTCTTCCAATGGTTTACAAAGTCTTGCATGACCTACAAGGCCCTCCTCTCTGACCGTCTCTTCTATCTCCCCTCCCCTCTTACTCTGATCCATCCACCCTGGCCTCCTTGCTGTTGCTCTGAGGTACCAGGCACACTCTCACCTGAGACATTAGCTGTTCTGTCTGACTAGAACCGCCTTCTCTCTCACAGAACGTGGTTCACTTCCTCAGCTCCTTGCAGCCTTTGCTCAAGCCTCATCTGTGCAATGTGACATGACCTTTAATTCTGCAAACCACATTTCTGGCTTCCAGATTCCCTTCAATCTGCTCTACTTTTTCTTTCTTCCACAGACTCACCACCGTTCAACAATTATAATCATTTTATATTGAATGAAAAAATGGTTTATTATTCCCATAGAACCTAAGCTCCTTGAAGTCAGTGGGTTCTATCTGTTTTATTCACTAATGTATTCCATATGCTTAGAACAATGCCTGGTACCAATATTTATTGGCATATCCAATAAATATTTGTGGAATGACAGACTCTGACAGCATTAGTGAAGATGAAGAAACAGATGATCTACCAGGGTGGCATCACGATGGGACAGTGCAGTGGCAATTTGTGTTTTAGAAAAGCAATTTATCCAAAGTTGGGAGCAACTTTAGGTGCCAGGGTAACCTCTTGGGTACTACAGGAATCCTTATATCAGGACCTGCCTATGACAGGGTTTTCCAAGCCTGGGCTTGAACTCTTCTGGGTCAGGGTGTTAAATATTTTGGAGAGAAATGCAATTCATCTCTTGAGAGATCTGGTGATTAAAAGTTCATTCTTTCAGTGATGCTAAAGTTGCTTCCCTCAATCCTTCACCCACTTTGTCCATGAAAGCCCAGAGGACTAGCTAAAGCTTCTTCTATTCCATCACCCTTTAGACTCAGTGTTCAGTAGCCATTAACTTCTATGTCCTTATGTTTTTCTTTTGCAGCCTAAACATTTTAGTTCTTTTAGACTTACTCATGTATTCTGTACATGAATGTTCTCAATATCCACATATTTATAATGAAGTAAGGGCTGGCGTCGTTGTGAATTTTGGGAGGCGGGCCTATCCATAGGTAAATTTTAGAACAGGAAAGTTCCTATTTGAAGCACCCTGTTTTCTTTTGCTTACATTTTTTTTGGTCTAAATATTTAGCTTAATGGTGTCTATAATAAGAATTCAAGGTATTATCCTTCTCCCTACTCAATAAATAATGCTGAGATAACTTGCTAGCCATATGTAGAAGAATAAAACAGGACCCCTGTCTTTCACTATATACAAACATTAACTCAAGATGAATTAAAGATTTAAGTGTAAGACCTCAAACTACAAAAATTTTGGAAGAAAACCTAAGGAATACCAGTCTGTACATTGTTTTTGGTAAAGAAGTCATGACTAAGTTCTCAAGAGAAATTGCAACAAAAACAAACATTGACAAGTGGGACCCAATTAAACTAAAGAGCTTCTGCACAGCAAGAGAAATTATCAACAGAGTAAACAGACAACCCACAGAATGGGAGAAAATGTGTGCAAACTATGCATCCAACAAATGTCTCATATTCAGAATCTATAAAGAACTTACATCAACAAACAAAAAAAAACCAAATAACCCCATTAAAAAGTGGGCAAAAGACGTGAACAGACACTTCTCAAAAGAAGACACGCAAGTGGCCAACGAGCATATGAAAAAATGCTCATCATGACAGATCATCAGAGAAATGCAGATGAAAACTACAAGACACCATCTCACACCAGTCACAATGGCTATTATTAAAAAGTCAAAAGACACAGATGTTGGTGAGGCTGTGGTGAAAAGGGAACACTTATACACTGTTGGTGGGAGTTTAAATTAGTTCAGCCACTGTGGGAAGCAGTTTGGAGATTTCTCAAAGAACCTAAAACAGGACTGCCATTTGGCCCAGGAATCCCATTACTGGGTATATATCCAAAAGAAAATCATTCTTCCAAAAAACCCACACACTCATATGTTCATTACAGCACTATTCACAATAGCAAAGGCATGGAATCAACCTAGATGCCCATCAGTGGTGGATTGGATAAAGAAAATATGGTACATACACACCACAGAATACTATGCAGCTATAAAAAAGAATAAGCTCATGTCCTTTGCAGCAACATGGTTGCAGCTGGAGGCCGTTATCCTAAGTGAATTAACACAGGAACAGAAAACCAAATACCCATGATCTTACTTATAAGTGAAAGCTAAACATTGGGTACACGTGGACATAAAGATGGGAAGAACAGACACTGGCGACTACTAGAGGAGGGAGGCAAGGGCTGAAAAAGTACCTATTGGTACCTGTGCTCACTCACTGCATGGGTGACAGGATCATTCATACTCCAAACCTCAACATCATGCAATATACCCATGCAACGACCTTCATATGTACCCTTTAATCTAAACCAAAAGTTGAAATTATTAAATATTGTCCTTTAGCTATTTACATATGCAAAGCCTCCATGATATGAAATACTTAATGATGGGGTTCAGCACAGTGCTACCAGGAAATAGTTATTTTGTCAGGGCCTTTGCACTGGCTGTTCCCTCTGCCTGATGTCTGAAATGCTCTCCCCCAGGTATCTACATGATTTGTTTTTTATCCTCTTTAAATTTTTACTCAAACGTTATTTTCTAGAGCACTTCCCTGGTATCCTTACATAAAACTGTATACCTCATCTCTACTGTCGGTCTCCCGAATACTGTTTGATGCTTTATTTTCCTTCATAACATTTTCTACTGTCTATCTACTAAATATTTACTATATATTTTGTTCATTAGAGAAACAGACTGTGGATTCCATGAAGTCAGATATTTTTGTGTGTGGTTTATCCCCATTACTTAGGATAATGTCTGGCAGTAAATGTCTATGAAACAAGGGAATCTATCATCTCTATCTATCTATCTATCTATCTATCTATCTATCTATCTATCTATCATCTATCTACCGTTTATCATATATCTATTTAGCTGTCAACTATATTCACTATTTATCAACTATCTATCTAATTGATCATCTACCTATCATCTATCTAATCTATCATCTACTTATTTATATATCTATCTAATCTATCATTTACCTATCAGCTATTAGGTTGGTGCAAAAATAATTGCAGTTTTTGCCACTACTTTTAATAGCAAAAACGCAATTACTTTTTTTTTTTGAGATGGAGTCTTTGCTCAGACGCCCAGGCTGGAGTGCAGTGGTGCGATCTTGGCGCACTGCAAGCTCCGCCTCCTGGGTTCATGCCATTCTCCTGCCTCAGCCTCCCGAGTAGTTGGGACTACAGGCGCCCGCCACCACGCCAGGCTAATTTTTTTTTGTATTTTTAGTAGAGACGAGGTTTCACCGTGTTAGCCAGGATGGTCTCGATCTCCTGACCTTGTGATCCACCTGCCTTGGCCTTCCAAAGTGCTGGGATTATAGGCGTGAGCCACCACACCCGGCTGCAAAAACGCAATTACTTTTGCACCAACCTAGTATCTACCTATCATGATCTATTTTCTATCATGTATCTGTCCTCTATTAATCATTCATCATTTATCTACCTATTGTCTATCATCTACCTATCATCTGTCTATTAATATCTATCATCTACCTATCATGATCTATTATCTATCTATTATGTATGTATCTATTTATCTATCTACCTACCTGTTTATCTCCTTGTCTGTCTGCCTGCCTGCCTGCCTATCTAATATCTAAAATAATATACACTAAGACACTATCTGTGATAGGTTTTCTGGATATTTTTGTTTATGTCCTTACACTTTTCTTCATTTTAACATTTTCTAAACAAAGCAATCTTTTTTAAAAAACTATATAAAAATAAAACTTTCAAACAACGTATTGCAGAAGCCATTTAGATCTCAGGAAAAGGCAGCCATAGTACAGAGTATGCAAATATGTGCTGTCTTGACTATTTTCCCCAATATTTCAGAAAATATCACCTGAACCAAATGAATATAAACTTTGGGCCAGTTTAGTTAAGGACAAGTTAAAGTAGAGAAGAGAGACAGGCAAAACTATAAAGTAGGTTTTTCTTAATCATTCACAAAATAAAAGCTAAGCAGAATAGGAGTTTTTTTTGTTTTTTTTTAATGTTTTGCCACTGAAATTTGAATTAGCACTTGCTTATTTGCTCTCTATGCTGACTGCGTAGGTAATCGCCTAACCAAGCATAAGAAAACACTTTGAAATCCCACTCTCTGTGGCATGCAATATTCAATGCTTTTGTTGTCTTTTAAGAGAGCCAAACCTAAAATGTGCTATGATTAGTTTAAAGTAAGAAACAGCATTTTAAGTCATTATTAGCCATTAACACTGTTGGGGCTCAGAACATGACACCCCAAAATATGGCACCTTGGCATGCTGACTACTTTGAACTGAAAAAGACTGGAAAGTTCTCAGAAACAAGGTCTTTCTGACTTTCTCCTGACCCCCGGTATCCTACCCCTCTTAATCCACTGACGTGAGTCATAGAAAGTAGAATTTCACTTCCCTAAGTGGAGCATAGAAGCTAGAACTCCTCTCCCCAAAAGCAAGATATAAAATCTAGAAAGATTCTCTTTTCCCTTGAAGACTCTTATTTCATAGGGGCCCTGACCCATGCTCAGGAGGAAGGAACACTGCACAGAGAGGCTAAGAAGAATCCGAACACACAGGCCTTGCTGGGCTTTCCCCCTCAGCCTATTACCACTGATTCTACCCTTTTGTCCAATCACATTTCCACATGTTGTTCATTCTTCATGGAATCTAAGCATAGAAATAGACAGTTTTCCCTAGGTCTTTGGTCTTCATTTTTGAAGCCTCCTGAGTCATGTAAAACTTTGGTTAAACAAATTTGCTATGATTTTCTCTTGTTAACCTGTCTTTTGTTATAGGAATGTCAGTTGTGATTGTTATGATGGGTGAGGAAAGGTATCTGTTCCCCCAACACTTCTTTGAAAATTTGTTTATCCAATGAACCAGAATATCACCTGGCAAATCCCACAGAGATAATGAGACAAAGGACTGACACGTATTGATGAGGAAGCCAGGAGGGCCAGTGAGGAGGAAAGAAGGGCATGAAAACCCAGAAACCAAAACGAAGGAGTTTTGGATGTGAGCTGAACCCACTTCATATGTGTACAAAATTACAATCTTAGTTTTTAGCTCAGTTGTCTTATCTTTTAAGGCTATAGCAGAGGTGAAATAGGGCCAAAAGGCCAAACCTAGCCCAGCATGTATTTTTGCAAATAAAGGTTTATTGGAACACACTGGGTCCATTCGTTTACATATTGTCCGTGTGCTTGCTTGCTACTTTGTCAGAGTGGAGTGGTTTTGACCAAGACCCCCATGGCCATAAAGCCTCAGCACTTGGCTCTTCACAGAAAAAGTTTGCTGATCCCTGCTCTCCAGGAATCGCTGTGGGTGCATTTCCCTGAGATTGGCTTTGAGAAGGCAGAAACTGCTGAATATGCCACACACTGCAGTTGAGGCTCAGCTTCTCAGCTCTTTTTGCTGTATGTGAAGTGATAGCCAGGTTTCCACCAGGGTCTAATGAATCATGAGGGGAGGTCAATGGGCAGCAATTTCTCATTGCCTGGGGTCACCTCTGGATGTGGGAATCAGCGACAAGTAGGTGACTAACGGGAAGGACATCCAGGAAAGAGAGAGAAGAGAGACGAGGCGAGACGAAACTTTGCTCCTCCTAAGAGTTCTCCAGAGTCTTTCGACATTTTATCTTCTAGAGGACAGAATTCTGCTTGCTAGTATTTAGCGAATTGAATTTTGTCCTTAGAGACGTGCACACTGCTCCCATTGACTTCAATGGGAGTAATGGGCCATTTGGTCCCGCGACATCTGTGTTGGCTTCAGGCTATTTAACAAACTCCTAAACAAATCCCAATAAAGTGCTCTTTAATGGGTACTTAATTCTGGTGTAGGGGCGGGTGCTAAGCACACCTAAGTCCTTTCTTTTCCTTTAGGTTTACTAAGTTTCCTCCTTTTTATGGTGTGATAATTACTAAAGGCAAGAACCCTGAGTCAAGCAGTATAAAACCCACTCACAGTCACAAGGCTTGTGCTTTTATTGATCTCAGTTGGCCTGTTTATTCTCTGGGTTCCAATTTAATGGCTCAATTGATTATTCATTTACATTTTTAATGTCTTTGTGGGCAAAAATCATTTTAACTTGAATCATCTCTCAATGGGCGACATACGAAATCATTTTGGATTGTAAATTTCAACAAGTATCTATTGAGTCACTGAGCACAGGTGAACTTGACAAAGATGAAAAGGACATTTCAGTTTCTTGTAGAAGATGATGGAAATGATAGTTTGGTGTTTGCTTTGAAAAATGGATGTCACATATGTGTGGCTCACCTGACATCAGAGAGTGGTTAGAATATCAAGTTTTCTGTCATTTACTTACTAATTATATTTTGTCTAAATACAATTTGAAATCTACAATGCCTACGTCTTTAGTTGAACTCTTTCTTAAATTAAATCCACGAGTTTCAATATTATTCATTGGTATGTTTTCCTTTTAGATGGTCCAGCTTTGCTGTAGAAATGGTGAGAGATGATTATACTACAGAGTTCACAACATAATGAGCTATAGCTTGATTTTATGAGCTCACAAAATTTCATGTTTAGCAAAAGTAGGCAACATGCAAGATCTAACCACACTTATGTTTAAAACATGATATTCTTTTTCAAAGCCCTTTAAAGTATGCGTGTGGATTTGATTAGATAATGATTTATTCCTTCACAGCAAGCAGGTAAAGTTCTAAAAATATGGCTGCTTGTAGCTTATTCTTCTTGATGGGACTGTTTCGAATACAATACTTATAAAATATATACCCACTCACTTAGAATCTTCAATTCTTTCTAAAATGAGATGAGGCACAAGAAAATACATAAGTGCATATTTCCAACCACACTCGTCACTTTTATCTGACTATATAAAATGGAACCAGAGTTTAACATCAAAGAGGAGGCACATATTCATCCTTTGAGGAATAGTAACTGCTAGTGCTTGGCGAAAGGGGCAGTGAAAAGC
The DNA here is from genome assembly GCF_000001405.40 of Homo sapiens. Taxonomy (NCBI): domain Eukaryota; kingdom Metazoa; phylum Chordata; class Mammalia; order Primates; family Hominidae; genus Homo; species Homo sapiens. The sequence continues at coordinate 29,688,407 of NC_000021.9, forward strand.
GAAACCGTATTGCAAAGTTTGACACTGTTTCACTTTACTAACTTTCACTTGTAATTTTCATAATCTTATTACAAAATGTGTAGATCAAGGAAAGCAACTCATTTCAACTCTTGGAGAAAAAAAATTCAGACAATCAATGGTATTATTCTATCCATGTGGAATTACTAAACTGTTTCCTCTATGTCAGGTTTACGACAGGTAGCAGATTATAAACATAAATAAGATAAAATTAGGATGCTTAGAAATTTCCAGTCTTACAGACATGTAAACAGATATTTGAAATATAACTTGGGATTCAGTGCTTTTGCTTCCAAAGTGCTAGTGAACCCTCTGGTGGTCTCAGAGAGCTTTAAGGAAGAGGGAAATTTGCGTGCGGTCGTGGAGAATGAGGGAGTTCACCACCGTGAAGGTCGTGCAAAGGATCATCCAAAGTGAGGTGCCAGCCTCAGAAAACAGGAGTCAGGAGAACATGGGGATATTGAAGAAATGATAGATTCTTCATCATAACTCATGTGAGAGTACAGGCAGTGAGGGAAGCTAGTGCCTGAGTTAATGAAAATGAAAATGGCTGGATGATGAAGAGTTTTGAATTAGAAGAAATTCAACTTTATTATGTGGACAATGGAGGGTCACTGCCTGACTTTAAATAAAAAGGGGCCTGAATTTTTGAAAAATTCTGGACAATAAGCAGAAAGCAGAGGGGGGTGGTGCCAGTAAAAGAAAGTTCAAATGGGGGCGGGTCAGAGATAGTGGCTGATGAGGACTGGACTCCAAGCAGGCATATTTCCATCCTGCACCCTGAACAAGCACATGGAGCAAGCTTTATTAAGCACTCATCAATGGGGATTCATAGTCCCTTTCCCATGACATAATCCACTCTATTGGTACAACCTCTAAATGAATTCCTCTTTGTTAACTTACGTTAGAAACTTTTCTAAACATTTACATAGCTACTTATCAAGTTGGAATCATATTCCATGGTCATTTTCAATTGTGGTCATAGTCTTATTAGAGCTGGAAAAATGAAAATACATGTTTAATATTGTGATTGGATTATAACATATACTGATAAGATGATATTTCTTTTAAAAAAAAGTTCCCATATATTTGATGATAAAAGGATCGTTAGAAAGGATCAACAAACAAAAAGAAATGTGAATTATATACACATGCATTATTAAATTACTTCAGAATATTCAGTTAGCTTTATATAAAAGAGCATTTTTATGCTCCATCTGATGAGTTTAATGACTATTTGATACTTTCGTTCTGTTTGTTCAGAGCAGACATGGTCGGGTGAGGTCTTGTGTGAGTCCCATACCTGTGCTGTCTTCATACACCACTGTCACTGTTTTCCAGTTGTAATAGAGGACCAGATCCAGGATCGCCCTGCTGATAGCTGCATAATCTGGGTAAAGGTTGATGTAAAACAAATCTTTGTTGTCCACCGAGGGGTGTTTCCAGCGGGTCTGTATGTGTGGAACTTCGAGAGCATTGCAAATAGACTGCACAGCACTGACGGAGGAGCTATGGGAAGGGCCAAAGAGAGCAGCCACACCAAGAGCCAGCTGGTCACATGCTGATGCCCAAGGACAAGGAGAGGATGGGGAGGGAGGGCAGGGAAAGGGGGAGAGAAAAAGAGAGTTCTATGAATTTAATTTTTTCTTTCATGATTCCTCTTTTTAATGCAACTATTGAAAAATCTTTTACAATCCCTGTCTGCATATTGAGGAAATACGGTTGGTCCAACTTCCAACTTTCTTGAGCTGCTAATGTACTGATAGATGTAAACTTAGAACTGATTAGCAATATACCAACAAGGCCAACTCCCTGCTGGTCTCACTTTATTACCTTTAATCAGATGGAGTCTAAATCCCTTGCTTGGTATGGTGTTACCTGAAAGCACTCCTAGTTACCAACAAGCCCTTTGCCAAATGAGTGTTGTATGAATTAAGTTCTGTCATGCAGCAGGGTGGCATTGAAAATATTAATGTGGTTATAAAATTAATGTAGAACCTCTCGGTAACTACAAAGTGCTTTAGCTCCTATCTTTCCAAAACTCAGAAAGAAGTTCCAGGTAAATGAAATACTGCTAAAGAATGTTCATAAGCAGTGCTGCTGTCTAATTAATTTTCAAATAATGAAATAGCATAGCTTAAAGGGATCTCAGAAGACATTTTGTCCAACCCACTCATTTCATAGACAATGAAGAGAGTCATGGCCACTGGACAGGAGCTTTAGCTCAACATCAGGCCTCTTTCTACCCCAGGGTCAGCTGACAGGTAGCCTAAATACATCAAGTCAATATCTACTGAAAAATTTAGTTGTAACATAAATGTATTTTTCTCATTATAAGAATATAAGCACTCACTGAGAGAATTTAGAATATTTAAAATTAGGGATAAAAAGGCTCTGGGATTCATCCTATCATTTTGGAATAATATCTATTAATATTTGGGAAAATTAGAATCATTATATAAATACAGTTTGACATATTACTTTCTTTAACACTATAGCATGTCTTTTTTTCAAGTCCTTACAAATTCTCCTAAAGCATATTTTTAGTGTCTGTAGAATAGACCATTTCATAGGTGTGTCATCCCTTATTTAAGCATTCCTATAATATTAAACATTTGGCTCATGCCTGTAATCCCAGCACTTTGGGAGGCTGAGACAGGCAGATCACTTGAGGTCAGGAGTTCGAGACCTGCCTGGCCATCATGGTGAAACCCCATCTCTAATAAAAATACAAAAATTAGCCAGGTGTGTTGGTGTGCACCTGTCGTCCCAACTACTTGGGTGGCTGAGGCACGAGAATTGCTTGAACCCGGGAGGCAGAGATTGCAGTGAACTGAGATAGCACCACAGAACTCCAGCTGGGGTGACAGAGCGAGACTCTGTTTCAAAAAGCAAACAAACAAACATCCCCCAAAACATTTAAGCTGCTCCTAATTTTTGGCTATTATAAATAATATTATAGCACTTACCTTAGCTCTTATATTTTTCTCTGAATCTTGTGCTACTTTCTAAGAGTAGATTTCCAGAAGTTAAGTTACCAGTTATAATTAAGGGGTATAGATAGTTTGAAGTCACTTGAAACATATTAACCAAATTCCCTTCCGGAAAGGTTGGGGCAGTTTGCCCTCTACAACCATGTAAAATAGTGCCTATTAATCTTATGTTGGTAGGAATTAAATAAGAGCTTAAACACACTTTCAAATTTATATTTTAATTCTGCAAATTTAGAACGGTCATCAGATAATTAAATATCAAATTAGCTAAATTAATACATAAAATTGTATTGAATATTAATATCATTCTACAAATAAAAATAGTTTGAAAAATGATATGGCTCTGTAGTTACCTGACTTAATTCAGACAGAATAACTGATACAACTTTGACAGCCATATTGCAGGTATCTAAGGAACAGCAAATGTTTACAAGAAAAACTTTCTGCTACTCTGCTCTTTGGTAGTGAACTACTGCATTAACTACGAAGATGTACAGTTTTGTCCATTATGTGCTGGAAGTGTAAACTGTCATTGTCTTCAGAAGCTTATTTTCTGGTTAGGTTTTCATTATTTAGCCAGATAAAAGGAGAGTATGGGAGTGTGTGAACTCCAGCATGTGGAGCTGGATAGTGTTGTTCTATCCAGCATAAGCAATGGATTGAGATTCCTGTTAATAGTTAGCTCTGCGGTACTAATATTATTTGACAGAAAATCAATCCTTTTGAATTCTGTTTGCCAGCAAATTACCAGTTTTAAGAAGCTCTGGGGGTGTTTAACTGACAAGTAAGCCAGGTACTTCAGACCACAGGAAAGCTTTCGATTTTTATGTGGCTAGAGTTCCATTGCTAAATGTGGTTGGCTTTCTACAGTATTTGCTCCACAATGTGTAGGAGTGTTAGTGTCTGTTTGCATAGGTGTATGTGTGTAAGAGAGAGCGATGAGAGAAAGAAAAGTGATAGATCTATCTCTACATTATAGAGATAATTTATGTGAGGATAGCTTGGAAACTTTAAAATGCTGTATAAGTATATAGTTTTATTATTTGTCCATAGACAATTTTGACCCATATGATATCTCAAAGTCTACCCATTTTTAAAAAGAAAATATCTTTATACTTAAGTCAGGCCATAGATATAAAAATATTATGTTGTTAATGTTTTTTGTTTTGTTTTTGAGACGGAGTCTCGCTCTGTCACCCAGGCTGGAGTGCAGTGGTGCAATCTTGGCTTACTTCAGGCTCTACTTCCCGGGTTCACACTATTCTCCTGCCTCAGCCTGTGGTAGCTGGGACCACAGGCACCTGCCACCATGCCCGGCTACTTTTTTTTGTATTTTTAGTAGAGACAGGGTTTCACCATGTTAGACAGAATGGTCTCGATCTCCTGACCTCGTGATCCACCTGCCTCGGCCACCCAAAGTGCTGGGATTACCGGCATGAGCCACTGCGCCCTGCTATGTTGTTAATTTTTTATCTGTGCTCCTAAGAAAATAAGTTTTATATTTTGTTTGCAAAGAACACTAGAATTCTTGCAGGAGGCTGTATCAGGTGGACACAACCTATGATCTAACTAGATTAATTCTACATGGAAACAACCAGCATTTAGTAACCTGGAAATCAGCATAAACATGGTGTTCATTGTGTTTCCTTATTTGTGTGTATTTAGTAGGCAAGGATTCCTCTCTGAGGCAAAGAACCCCCCCAATCTGGGGTGATGAGTAGCCTTTGTTTCCACATAAACACATTTATTTAGTGACTAGATAGTGTCCCTGTTAGAAGCCAACCCTCAACTATGTGATCTTACTTCAAAGACTTGTCCTAATATTGTCTAGAAGATGTCTAAGCAAGCCCCACAATTCCGAATGAATCTTTCCATGAGAGAAACCTTGCAGCCAACATATGAATTAGATTACTTTTTAGGCTAGGCACTTGGCTTCAGTTCAGAAGAAAAAGAGGATCGGATGTAGACATTGCTCTCACAGGTTTAATCTTCATATTTCTATGATTTTGTGGAAAAGAGTAAAAAAAAGTTGAGAGGATGCTAGGTAAACTCAGTAGTTTACAACCTGTTAAAATTCAGGGTGTGAGTTATGTGTGTCCTGGGCATTTCCACATGCTCAGTGGATTGACCTTCCATAATGTTTTATTTGACTGCACCGCACGATTTCATGGTGGTATCTCAGCTTCAGGAAGGAAAAACAGATCAAGCTTGACATTTTCCATTCACAGCTGAGCTAGTTAATCATAGAGTGGAGGGCACTGAAGGGTAAGCTCATCAGAAAGGCCCAGAAAACAGTGCTCAGCAACGTCCATTAGGTTAGTTCAGATTACACTGATCAGTGACATCGAAGACCCAGATTTCCCGCGACCCATTTGCACAAAGATGCCCGCTTTAAAAGAGGGCAGGTAGCAAAAAGAAGGTGACTTGGAGAGCAGACATATCACCCAAAGAAGCTTTTAAAAGTGGGAAAATAGTTACCTCTCCGCGAGGCTTCAAAACTATCAAAAAGGTTAATTCTCTGGATGTCATAGGTTAATGTGGTGTTAGGCATCAGGGTTCGGTTTCTGTTAATGCTGGTGACTGCAAACTTGAAAGCTAATTCTTCAACATTAACAGGCTCATTTTCCACTGTTTCAAAAATCCCTCCTGCAGAAGCAAAAGAGATGCATGAGAAGCGTTAGTCACATGGTTCACATGTAATTTTTTTTTTTTTTTTTTTTTTTTTGAGACGGAGTCTCGCTCTGTCACCCAGACTGGAGTGCAATGGCACGATCTCAGCTCACTGCAACCTCCGCCTCTGGGTTCAAGCGATTCTCCTGCCTCAGCCTCCCGAGTAGCTAGGACTGCATGTGTGCACTACCATGCCCGGCTAATTATTATATTATTAGTAGAGATGGGGTTTCCCCATGTTGGCCAGGCTGGTCTCGAACTCCTGACCTCAGGTGATCCACCCGCCTCGACCTCCCAAAGTTCTGGGATTACAAGCATGAGCCACCACACCCGGCCAGTAAAAAGAAGAATGTACATATACAAATAAGAGACCCCAAATGATAAATAGAGTAATAGAGCAGATCCTAAATCCCGGGCTAAAAGTGAAGTTTATCAGCATGTGCCACATGCAGATAAATAGGACTAACTGCATATGTATGCTTAAGATTTTAAATCCAGTGTTGGACTGTATACCATCTCTCAGATGGCAAATGTGTTCCAAACATTTAGTGGTATAAAAGTGTAACTGATAATATGGCAGAGGACGATTTTCTGTGATGTGGACAAGAATTGCACCATGCTCGATCTAAACATAATTTGAGCTGTATCCTTGTAGGACCATTCTTCTTTAGAATGAAGATCTTTCTATTCAGAAGCCTACATTCCAGACTCTAAGGGGATCATGCAGAGTTGATGGGATCAAAATGACACATACATACTGTTAGATTTTTCAAGATAAAAATGTCCTTTTTTGTGCTTCATGGCTCAGAATTCTGAGATCATATTCTAGTACTTTCCAAAGTGCATGAGAATATTCAAAGAACTGGTTTTTTTTCTTTCTTTTCTTTTTTTCTTTCTTTCTTTTCCTTTTTGTTTTTAGAAACTGTTTAGTCCAAAGCAAACCTGCATCAGGTAACTGAAGAAATATGTCCCTTCACTGAGCAAGTGCACATGTTCTAGGTAGGCTCTGGTGTCTTAAACATGAGGATCTCACTGCAAGTAACAGTACAAAATGTTAGTGCTTAAAGCCTCATCAGAGAATGAGCTCTGATTTTGCTTGAGACATTGATGTTTGACAGAAACAATGTAAGTGTTGTTAACTGTACAGTTCTTAGATGTTTTCTGAGAGACGTCCTAGGATTATTAATAGACACAGGGCCTACAGTGGAAGCTTTCTTAACCCATCTCCATTTAAGTTACTCCTTGATTGACCAATACTCCTCATTTCTTTTGAAAGTACATGTTAACTGATGCTCATGGAATGCTAAACACTTGTAACTTGCAGGCTGACATATCTATATCTATATCAATATCTATCTATCTATCTATCTATCTATCTATCTATCTATCTATATATATATATTTTGAGATGGAGTCTTGCTCTGTTGCCCAGGCTGGAGGGCAGTGGTGCAATCTTGGCTCATTGCAACCTCCGCCTCCCAGGTTCAAGCAATTCTCCTGCCTCAGCTACCTGAGTAGCTGGGATTACAGGCATGCACCACCATGACTGGCTAATTTTTGTATTTTTAGTAGATATGGAGATTCACCATATTGGCCAGGCTGGTCTCAAACTCCTGACTTCGTGATCTGCCTGCCTCAGCCTCCCAAAGTGATGGGATTACAGGCATGAGCCACCGTGCCTGGCCCAGGCTGCTATTTTTTATCTACTCTCAGGATTGAGTGATCCCTTACCAAAAGTCAGTTGTAGGTTTTACCTAACTTGTCTATGCTAGGTTGATTTACAAGTGCTCTCAGTTCTCTCTCCATTCAAAGGGGGAAAAAAAAGAATATAGAAAAAGTCTGAAACGAAAATCACAAATACGCATCATGCGCGTCATTTATGTGCATTTTTTGTTAGAAAGGGAACTCCAATGGACAGACTGTAATTCAAAGAAATTACCCTGATCCTACTTTGAAAAAAATGCAATAAACAAATACACATCTGTAATGTTCCTGCTGAAATGACTTTATTAAATAACTAACTACAGTGTTGGGTTGTGAAAGCTAAGATGGTTTATAGTGAATTATTTTGGCTCCTTTTGGAAATATTTCGGGCTTTTGTAGACTGATAATATGGGACATTCAGGTATAGATAATTTCCCTGGTTTCTGAGAAATCATAGTTGAAAATTGTATGACAATACACCTACTATGTACCCACAAAAACTGAAATTAAAAGAAGGAAAATTACATGACAGAGTTATTTGGTAATGTTAACCTTTACCTAAGGAGCCATTTAAGACCTTTATTTGAAATGAACGTAAGGAAAAATGTTGCTGTTCAAGTGAATTTTGTGTTTTACTTTTGTCAGACAATGGTAGGGAGAGACTCTGGAGTTGATTTTCAGTTTCTCTCAGAACTGTTGGTGGATGCTCAACAGTGAGGTGACAAGATGATGCAAAAGACACTTGGTCACCAGAAGGTGGACATAAGTCCGTCTTACTGCCACCATCTAGGTGACCCATACAGAGGGCTGCCTGGCGATAGGGCTTCCACAGTGATTATGAACAATGACTTGTTTACTTGTCTGTCTCCTCAGCCCCACAGGGAGAGCCCGCATGTAGAGAGACTGTGTCTTACTCAGAATCAGCATCCTTGGGGAGACCAAGGCATCTTTAGGACGTTCAGGCTGCAGGTATTTAGGGGAAAAGTCAATCACTGGCATGGATGTGAGCACCATTAATCTGTGCAGGGTAGGCTGCTTGGAGGAAACAAATACCTGAATAGGAAACAGAAATTCTGAATTTTGAAACCTGATCTACCTACTTCCTCTTTGAGAAGGATTTTTAAGTATCAGAAAGAAAATTATTATGAAATAGCTCTTTTACATATGTTTAATTACACTTTATAACATTCAAGGCAGGAGGGTTTTTTTCCATTTTTATAAATGAAAAAGTGAACAAGAAGATTACACATTACATCCTGCTTATTCAAAATCACAGTCTTGTCTGGGACTGACTCAGTTGTCTGAATGTCCAAAAAATGTAAATGTTTTCATTTCATCAAGTTATTTCTGTTGTTCTTTGTCTCATACATGTGAGCTAATAGTGTTGTCTTGCTTCCCTTGGAGAATTGCTCTATAAAGCAAATGAGAAAATGTAATCAAAGTGCCCTGAAAACTCAAAAATTCCCTAGAAATAAGTTTTTTTTATTATCGTACCTGGATAATGGAAATAAAAAGAGGAGTTGGCACCAACTGGTGAACTGACTACTTGCCTCAAAATTATTCTTTTGCTATGTAGTTGTCTATCACATAAAGCCAAATGAACCTGGGTTTAAGGGAATTACAAGTGTTTTCATTATGTGCTTGGGTAGTGTGTAGGTGAACTGTTTTGTCACTTTCAGAGCAATTTTTTTTTCATTTTTTCATCAAACAGGCATTATGAATGGTGTCATTAGCTCAAGACCCCATCACACTCTCTTTCTTCAAGAGAGGGTTGCGGATAAATGCGAAAAATCTACTGTGGTATGAGGTAAATAGAAAGCTGGAGATGTACCAAAAAAGTGAGATCTGACAGAAACAGGAGAAAGTTATTAATAGGAGCCAGACCATTACCTCACATGTGGGCAGACTGTTTAACGATCAGCCACTTCCTCCCTCCTTCTCCTCCCCATAGCTTCAGATACAACAAAACGAGATGTAGAGTCTTTAATAAGCAGAATAAAGGGGCACACACGTTGGGGCCCTTGCATAATTTCCTCCTTCGGTCTTTCCTTCTCTCCTTCTTGTTCTCTCTTTCCCTCTCTTTTTTTCCTTTCTTTTCCTTTCCTTTCTCTTTTCTTTCTTTCTTTCTCTCTCTCTCTCTTTCTTTCTTTCTTTCTTTTTTCTTTCTTCCTTTCTTTCTTTCTCTCTGTCTCTTTCTTTCTTTCTCTTTCTTTCTTTCCTTCTTTCTTTCCTTCTCCCTTTCTTTCTCTCTCTCTGTCTCCCTCCCTTCCTCCATTCCTCCCTTCCTCCCTTTTTACTTCTTTTGTATAATAATTGTGAGTGTGAGCTGTCAATGAGACGTCTGAAGGCTTTAGGGGTCTTCATGTTGTGAACCTCTGGCCTCATTCATTTGGAGGCCCATTGGTTTGAGATGAGAAATCCCTACCTTTTTCATCCCTCTGTTCCTCTTCCTCTCTCTGTCTCTCATTTGAGCTTAGCTGACTTCTACTCCTAACAATGATGTGGACCATGGAAGGGTTAGGAAATTGAAATAAAAATCTAGCTTAGGCTCAAGGAAGAGAGGCAAAGTTGTCCCCTCCCCTTGTATTTTTGAAATTTCCCAAGCCAGGGCAGTGGGTGAAGGGAGAAGGCAGGACTGAGAGCTCAGGATGAAGAACAAGCTTTTTCATTCTGCTATAATTCTTGAGAGAAGTAGTGCATGACAGATGGAACACAGGAGGGTGAGAAACCTCAAAATCGGCAGGCCTGGGTTGTCCATGTTCTCTTTCATTGCTCGTGTGTACCTGAAGCATGAGAAGTATTGTTAAACTATTTTTTTATCATGTCTATGTCGTAGATCAGTTTGAGTCAGTACAGATCACCTGCCAGTCTTTATAGACTGGAAATGGTTGGGCAGTAATCCTTTGTCTGATCATCATTAGGAAGCTTGATCAACGGTCAAGGTGCATGCTTAATATCCACCTCCCCAGCCTCTTCTCCACCTCACCCACCATTGTCGAAGCAAAGGGTTGGAAAGTGAAAGAAGTTGGGCTTTTTCTTTGAGTAATGAGTCTGTCTTATGTGAATATTTGTGCCATTTAAAATGATAAGGGTAAAATCATACTGCTTGTAAACACCAGAATAGATAAGAATTCTGAAAAATTAATGCTTTTTTTATTAATACACGTTCGTATTTAGGATTTACCTATGAGGACTTTGTCCTGATTGCTCCCACTGTACTTTTCTGGGAAGCATAGATGTTGGTACAAATAATGCTGATGCTAAACTGGTCTGTCCTTCATACTCTGTGTTCCCTCACCTGAGACAAGGTGCCACATATGGTCACTAAACAAAGGGTATGAGACAATAATGCCTGTGCCTACATTCTGGAGTAGCTTTGAAACTCAGAAGCGACTTGCTTTCTTGGTAAGTCACTGTTATGGACTGAATTGCATCCTCCCTCAAATTTATATGTTGCAGGCCTCACCTCTGGATCCTCAAAATGTGACTGTATTTAGAAATAGTGTCTTTAAAACAGTGACTAGGTTGCAATGAGGCGGCTAGGGTAGGCCTTAAACCACTCTGACTGGGCCTTATAAGAAGGGAAAATCTGGACACACAGATATACCAGGGACTTGTGCACACAGAGGAAAGGCCATGTGAGGGCCAAGCAAGAAGGAGGCCATCTGCAAGCCATGGAGAGAGGCCTCTGGAGAAACCAAACCTGCCGACACCTCCATCTTGGACTTCCAGCCTCCAGAACTGAGAGAAATTAAGTGTCTGTTGTTTAAGCCACCCAGTCTATGGTCTTTTTTGTTTGTTTGTTTTTTTGTGTTTGTTTTTACAGCAAACCTAGCATAGACTAGTACATTTATCAGCATCTTTTTTTTTTTTTTGAGATGGAGTCTCGCACTGTCACCCAGGCTGGAGTGCATTGGCGCAATCTCGGCTCACTGCAACCTCCAGCTCCCGGGTTCAAGAAATTCTCCTGCCTCAGCCTCCCTAGTAGCTGGGATTACAGGCAAGCACCACCACACCCAGCTAATTTTTGTATTTTTAGTACAGAGAGGGTTTCGGCATGTTGGTCAGGCTGGTCTTGAACTCCTGACCTCAGGTAATCTGCCCACCTTGGCCTCCCAAAGTGTTGGGATTACAGGCGTGAGCCACCGTGCCCAGCCAACATCTTCTTTTTTTTCTCCCAAGGGCTTTGAAATTGAAAATAATTTTAAAGGAACTCACATATATTCAAGTAATATTCTCTTCTAACAAGATTCTGACTTTACAGCGCAGTAATTTAAGATAAGCCAAGAGGAATTCACTTGAAATCTTGGTTTAGACAGCAGAGTTCCGTCACCACAGGAGCATTTCTGTCTGTTTTGGGTAGACTCTTGAACCAGTGAAGTGCAGCGAGGACGTAGGCAGTTGTGTTTTGTGACTACCTAAACACAGATGGAAGCCACAGCTGGCAACATCCTGTACACCTGGCAGGTGGCCTTTAAGGGGGGATGATGGGTGCAATGAAGGGTTGCCATGAAGGATGTTGGGTTGTGCCACATAATTCCATCTAGACTTACAGGAGAATTGTTCTGAATCACAACTCTACAACTGCTGGGTCAACAACATAATCATTGTAGGCAAAGGGTAACACTTAGAGAAGGCTAAGGTCAATAATGTGCTATTCGTGAAGACACCCAAGGTAAACCCACGGCAATGGCTTCCAAACTTTCCCTTAATCCCACATTATATGGAGAGAATCAGAATGTCAAAGGGGTGGAATTCAGCAATCTTAATATGAAAAAAACCATGCCTGGCTCTAGGTCTCACTGATTGACTTTTTTTTTAGGTTCCAAGGATACTTCCTAACCTGCTTTTCAATCACTGTTTCCATGGAACAGGGAGCTATCCGAATCAACTCAGTGTAACATGGTGGAAATCAAGCCATTGTTGTGGGTAAGAACCTTAAAGGGAGGCAATTCCACTGCTGCCTACTGATTCCATCTGTCTCTAGATTAAGCCTGTGCTGAGAGATTAGTGAAAGTATTAAATTTACCCTCTTCTTCCCAAAAGGAATTTCAGACAATGTTTCATTGTGGCAGAGAATCCATCTCATTTAATGATGGAAAAAACAAACAAAAAAAACACAGGAAAATAATGGTTTTCTATCTTATTCCTCTCAAAGGAATATATTGTTCTGACTCAACTTACCTTGTAATGGTAAATATATTCCAACGATAACCATTTCAGAAATGCAATAGAATTAAAATCCACCTATATTTAGTTGTTGTTGTTGTTCTACTTCAATTCATGGTTATATATATTATGTCCATGATTCTACTGAATAACTCGCTCATCCAATGATTTGTTCATTTATTTCCTCATTTATTTGTAAGATGCCTAGACAGATACTGTGTGAGGCACTGGGATGTGCCAGTGAGCAACAGATACGCATCTGACTTTTGGAGCTTTTATTTTAGAAGGGGAATTGGTCATGAACAGGAAGACAGGCATTGACATGTCAGAGTGAGAGGTGAGAAAAGTGCTTACTGGGAGGGCACTTTTGAGCAAAAGCCTAAAGATAATGAGAAAACCACTCTGAAGATACTGGGAGAAGAGCGTTACAGCCAGGGGAAATATAATGTCTAAGGTGGGAGCAGCCTGATGCTATTTTTGAGGAAGAGTGAGGCTGAAGTCGGGTGAGCTGGGCTTGGACTGGTAGAAGACGAGCTCAGAGAAGTGATGGGTGGATTGGAGCAGATCACAGAGGGCCTTAAGGGCCATCACAGGGCTGTGGTTTTGTTCTGGGTGAGATGGGAAACCACTGGCCATCTTTGAGCAGAGGAGTGAAATGATATGACATATTTCAAGAGAATCAAGCTGACTTTTGTATTAAGAATAGACTGAAGGGAGGAGAAGGGCAAGAACAAAGCACAGGGAGATCTGCCCTTGGAGATGTTGCAATAACACTCTTGCCGTAAGAGTCTATTTCAGTAATCCAGGTGAGAGATGATGATGGCTTTGTACAAATTAGTGGAATTGGGATGTGACAAAAAGTGGTTGAATTCTAGATAAAATCTGAAGGACTTCGGCAGGATTTGCTGATGATGCATAAGTAAGAGGAAGGGAGTTGAGGATAACATCAGGTTTTTGGCTTGAAATTGCCATTGACCAAGACGAGGAACGATGCAGGAGGTACTTGACTTGGGACATGATTCTTTTGTGGTGCCTATTAGAAGTCCAAGTGAAGCCATCATCCTTAGCAAACTGATGCAGGAACAGAAAACCAAAGACCACGTGTTCTCATGTATAAGTGGGAGCCAAATGATGGGAACACATGGACACATAGAGGGGAACAACACACATTGGGGCCTATTGGAGGACAAAGGGTGGGAGGAGGGAGAGGATCAAGAAAAATAACTAATGGGTACTAGGCTTAATACTTGGGTGATGAAATTATCTGCACAGCAACCCACCATGACACATATTTACCTATGTACAAAACTGTGCATGTACCCCTGAACTTAAAATGGAAGTTTTTTTTAAAAAAAAGTCCAAGTGGAGAGGCCAGCTGTGAAGTTAGATATATCAATCTGGATCTTATGGCAGAGAGGTTGGGCCTAGAGATAGAAATTTGGGAGTCACCACCATAAAGGTGGCATTTAAAGCCATGAGACTGAATGGCATCACCCAGGAGTAAGTGTAGATTTAAAGAGGCAGATGGGTCACTTGAGGTCAGGAGTTTGAGACCAGACTGGTCAACATGGCAAAATCCCATCTCTATTAAAATACAAAAATTAGCCAAGCATGGTGGCACGCACCTGTAATCCCAGCCACTCAGGAAGCTGAGGCAGGAGAATCGCTTGAACTTGAGAGGCGGAGGTTGCAGTGAGCCGAGATCGCACCACTGCACTCCAGCCTGGGTGACAGAATGAGACTCCATCTCAAAAAACAAACAAGAAAACAAACAAAAACAGACAGAGACTGGAGTGATGCAGCCAGAAGCCAAGGAATGACTGAAGCCACCAGAAGCTGGAGGAAGCAAATAAATGAATTTCTCCCAGAGCCTTCAGAGAAAATAAGACCCTGCCAATACCCAGATTTCAGACTTCTGGCCTCTGGGGATCTGTGAGAGAGTAAACTTCTGTCGTTTTAAGCCACTGTTGGTGGTAATTTGTGATGATAGACACAGGAAACTAATGCAGCATCTCAATTGTCTTCAGAAAGTTTTCATATTGGTCACTTTTAATTACTGTATTTCTTTCCTGTTTGTGAAATGTTATTTTATTCAGTTCTTCAAATAGCAATTTTTAACTCTCTAGCATGATTTTGCAAATATGGCACATAGTTGTACTGTACAACACATTGAGTTTTTATGTTTATGATATTTTCCTATTCTGAATGTGACAGGGCCAAGATACTATATGTATTCTAACAAAGCTCGCTTGCTCCCTTAACTAACTTCTGTGTGCCTGTTGTGACAATCTGTGAGGTCATCCAGGAAGAAAGGTAAAACCATTAGCTGACAATCAAGACATGGAAAGCGTTTGTAGTGTTGACTCCTGTTTTGCATTCCTGTGGAATAATAACCATTCCAGAAGCTATCAACAGAAAACAAGATGGCAATTTGATCTATTCCTTTGCTGATAGCTGCTCCTTAAATATACAATATTCTATAGCCTCTCTATTGCCACATCCATAATTCTAGTTGATTACATCATAAGCAATTTACTATAGGCCTATATTTACTGCACCTTTAATTCCAAGGCTACAGATTTAAATTCTAAGATTCCCTTAGATAAATGCTGTCTTCCTCACTCAGCTTTCGTATTTTTGTTTTATCTTTGGAGCTCAAAACATTCTTGGTAAAGATCCCATGCTAGATGGATTTGGATGGGAAGCAGGTGTTTCTTGACCTGATGGAAAGTGAATGGACAGAAGAGATTGGATTTTTACCTTTCAGAAAGTCCCAGCCAAGAACAGAGCTGTGGTTAAGGACAAGGACAGCTTCAACTGGAAACTGGCTCTAATTCAGTCTGCTATAAGTGTCTTCAGGTATTAGTATCCTTTAGAGGGGGAGAATGGGGTTTGATGTCACCGTTGAGACAATAACCACATCCAGACTCACTCTTTGATGCCTTAAAGAGATTTGCATTAATTCACTAGGAATGGCCTTTGAGGGATAAGAAAATATGGAGCAAGGAATTATGGATGTACTTCAGAGGGTAGCTAGTAAGAGAAAGGCCGTGGATTATGGGCAGTTTAGTAAATACTATTAGTAATTTTCCTTCATAAATTTGAGTTGCACTATAAATTACCCAAAGCCAAAGTTACTCTTATTCCAGTGTTATTCAACACTCAGTTTAACTCATAAAACATTATTAGACATCTATTAATATCTAAGACTATGCTAGGAGGAGTGGAAAATACAAAGATGAAAGATGCTTGGTTCCTGCCCTCAGCAGAGCTTCCAGTCTTTTGGGATATACTGCATTACTGGTGTAGAGTACAGAAAAAGAAAGTAGGTATAGTAGTCAATTATTCTATCAATAAAGCAAAAAGCCTGCTTTTTGTCTCCTCCTATGTGGAATCTTTCCTGATTCCTCCAGCCAGAGGTGAACTCTCCCTTTCTTTTGGTAACCATAAAATCTACTACATATTTCAAGGAATTTATTTTGGTGTAAAATAAGCCTACATCCTGCTCTGCCTGTTCCTTGAAGATCAGGACAGATGTTTATTGAAATGTGCCTTCTCCTTCAGAGCTAAATGCAATGATTTGGTCATAGTATGTTGTCCCCAGTAAATGGTCCTTCAGTTGAACTTACTCTCCTTCTTGTGCCTTAACACTATGCCTCACAAAGTAGTTTGTTCTGCCAAGAGAGAGGCCTTTGAGATACGTAGGAAAGATGGAGGGTGGTTATTGAGGTCTGTAGTGAGACTGCCTGACTTTTTCCATTACTGCCTTTTTAGCAGTGATTTCTCACTCTCTCCCAACAATCACGGCCCATTGTCCCCAAGCACTTTCAAAGCATACTTTTCATCAGGCTGCCAGCCCCTTAACATCATGAAGGTATGGCTCATCTCCTGTTCAACAGCAGATTTCAGGCAAGAACCAGGAATATTGCCAAAAATTCATGCCAAACTTTTATTCTTATGAAACTCTGTGATCACTTTAATGTCTCTTGACAGCAGTTATAGTTTTAGCTTTTAACATCTCATTTAAATGACTCATATTCATGCTGAAGAGCTCATGATTCTATTTATCTCCTTATTAATTAAATGAATGGAATAAGACAAGTTCACAACCTGTGGTTCCAGGGAAGCTATATTATGTGTTGCATCCCAATTTTCTAGTTTTCTTCTTCTGTATTTCTGTTGTTTCTCAACCTGAAATTTCTTGCTGAGAAGAAGATATTGCTGTTAAAGATTAGAACTGATGTTTGAAGCCAAAATAAATGGAGGCTCACAGCTCCCACAGAGCAGTATATACCGATGTGTGTGCGTATATGTTGCCCATGAGATCTTATACATAGAGAGTTTAGTGGTCAAATATGCTTGGGAGGCACTGCTTCATTTCATCCTTCTTAAAAATTCACACTACACAATGACATTTGTCTCTCAGAAGTCCTGCAGCAAAGAAAACAATTTGAGTGTTTAACTCAGTATCCCCCAAATTCATTTGATGATAGGACAGTTTTCCTTGTAACCGTGACATGCAGTGGAATTGTTGTCTTAAGAAACACTTTTTGAAAAGTTTGATCTGTAGATCTACTCTCTTTGGGACTGACTAAAATAATTTGCAGTCTTAAATATTGTTCTTGTGCTAATTTTAATGAAAAGTTAGACATCAGGTTCTTGATCAGAAATAAAACCTCTAATTATGACACTACTTTGTATCTAATTCATATCAGATTTATACTATCAAATCTTACCTCATCTTTTCATTTACAAAAATACCTAAGCATTAAGATGGTCTGTATGTCTATGAAAAACAGCATCTTTTAATCAATCGTATCTCACAGATATGTTGCAGGTAAGGTGCATGTCCATGACATTTAATGTAAATATTTAAAATGCATTTGCTATATTTTTTTCTTTCTTTTCTTTTCTTTTTTTTTTTTTTTTGTGAGATGGAGTTTTGCTCTGTCACCCAGGCTGCATTGCAGTGATGCAGTCTCGGCTCGCTGCAACCTCTGGCTCCCGGGTTCAAGCGATTCTCCTGCCTCAGCCTCCTGAGTAGCTGGTACTACAGGCGTGTGCCACCACACCCGGCTAGTTTTTGTATTTTTAGTGGAGATGGGGTTTTGCCATGTTGGCCAGGCTGGTCTCAAACTCCTGACCTCAGATGATCTGTCCGCCTCGGCCTCCCAAAGCGCTGGGATTACAGGCATGAGCCACCATGCGTGGCCTCTTCTTTTTCTTCCTTAATATTTTCCATTTGGTTTTTAAAACATCTCTGTATATTTCTGTTTCAGCATTTGAAAATTTAAAAAATCCATCCTTTTAATAACTTTTTCATTTACTGATTTAAATAATTGTACAAAATGATACACACTAGGCAACAACAGTGCTGTAGAACATCTAAAAAGCTGACAGCATCTCAGATGCAAGCATTTACACATTTACCACGACACTTTTCCTTTAAAGTGTCTGATTGAAACTCTGTATTTACTATTGTTCATAAGTTACCCCAGAATACAGAAGGTAGTTCTGTTACTAATACCTTCCTAGATTGCTCTCAGTTTCATTCTAAGATCCAACACTTTAAAATGAACTGAGAGTCTGCATTGACATGAATAATGAATGAGTTCGATGAAAGTTATTTCTCAGAGAAAATTTCTTTGTGAAGTAGTTAGGTCCCAGATGAAGAGAGATAAGCTTGACTAATACAGATATCCAAGAAAGCTTCTGGTTGATTGAAAATAAAGGACAGTTAAACATCATATCACAGAGGGATCTGTGTTAGGAATGCCTCAAATAAGAACTTTTGGAAATACACACCATTTATTTTTAAAGTAGTAACATCTGAAAGTCCACTTGACTGCTCAATGCACGTATTTTTAAATGTGCTGCACTCTGTGAACTCCCACAATGGATATTCAAGGCATTTTTTTTTTTGAGGCGGAGTCTCGCTCTGTTGCCCAGGCTGGAGTGCAGTGGTGAGATCTCAGCTCACTGCAAGCTCCGCCTCCCGGGTTCACGCCATTCTCCTGCCTCGGCCTCCAAAGTAGCTTGGACTACAGGTGCCCGCCACCGCGCCCTGCTAATGTTTTGTATTTTTAGTAGAGACAGGGTTTCACCATGTTAGGCAGGATGGTCCTGATCTCCTGACCTCGTGATCCGCCCTCCTCGGCCTCCCGAAGTGCTGGGATTACAGGCGTGAGCCACCGCGCCCGGGCTATTCCAGGCATTTTACTTTCTGGTGTGTCTGATGTGTGTGGAGACATTTTTTATTCTAAATAATTTTATTTTAAAAGCACACATACAACTATAAATTGGGTAATACATTGAAAGAAAGGGGAAAAAACAAGACACAACCATAACACTGTGAAACAATCACTATTAACAGTTTGGTGAATTTCCTTCTATTCTTTTCCTACACATACCTGAATTTTCTCTGAAATAGTTAAGATGACTCTATCCGGCTTTCTTTCTTTCTTTCCCTTCCTCCCTCCCTCCCTCCCTCCCTCCCTCCCTCCCTCCCTCCCTCTCTCTTTCTCTTTGTTTGTTTCCTTCTTTCTTTCTTTTGAGACAGTGTTTCACTCATATTGCAAAGGCTGGAGTGCAATGGCACTACCTCAGCTCACTGCAACCTCTGCCTCCTGGGTTCCAGTGATTCTCCTGCCTCAGCCTCCCGAGTAGTTGGGCCTACAGGCGTTCGCCACCACACCCAGCTAATTTTGTATTTTTAGTAGAGACAGGGTTTCACCATGTTGGCCAGGCTGGTCTCTTAGCTCCTGAGCTGCCTCGGCCTCCCAAAGTGCTGGGATTACAGGCGTAAACCACCGCGCCTGGCCTGACTCTATCCTATTTTCTCCTGTCATTTTCACATAGGTACCTCTTCCTGAACATAATCCACCTTTTCAATGGCTATTTAATATTTCATTGTCTGGATATGTCACAGTTTTCTTAATCCACCCCACTTTTTTGGGTAAGTTGTTGTCAGTTCTTCACTGTTATACATTCTATTATGATTGACATTAAGCACTTTTCGTGTTTTTACTTGGAGAGAGTAAAATGTCTTGTAATTACGAAACATAAGGTATAAACAGTTTAGGCTTTTATTATGTAATGCTACAGGGACCTGCAGAAGTGAAGGCTGAGCAATTTATATGTGCATCCATCCACCATGTAGAAATGCCCAACTGAATTGCAACCTCCCTCAGAATCTGTATGATTTTAGGTCAATGTATTATAGAAAATATTTATTATTGCTTCAAGTTGCATCCGTTTGATTACTGAGTAGTTTAATTTTAAAACTTATTTGCTACCTATTTATACCTCTGTAATTTTAAATCACTTGTTCCTCCTGTCTTTTGCCTTTTTTATATCCTGAGATATCATTACTTTCTTACTCATAATGATATAAAATGGTCAGTATTTTTTATTGCAAATGTTTTCTCAGTTTATTATTTAGCTTTAATGTTGATTAGATTTTTGGGCAGAGAAATGTTTACATTTATAATTACAAATACATTAATTTTTTCCTGAAACATGAAGCATTCATAGTAGTTGTTACTATTTCCGGTTCTTTCCCTTCGGAATACATGCGTGGATTGTACCTAACATGGGGTTGGTTGGGGCTGTGTGACTGGCTCTGTTCCATGACTTGTGAGCAGAAGTCTCTGGTGTCACTTCCTGGACAGAGGACTTCATTGCTAGTGAGAGAATTCCCACACCTCTCTTCTGTTTCCCTCTGCCCAGTGACTGCTCTTTCAGCCTGGGACGTTGGAGCAGAGCCTGCAACAGACTCACTACAGCCATTTCAGCAAAAATCCATCTTTTAAGCCTCAATTTTAATCCTCTTTTTAAAATTTTTTAATTTTTATTTTTTTTGGAAGAATTATTTGTTACAGTAACAGAATCTAGCCTATGTGGGACTGTTGGAATTCAAAATTTCTCCTCTGCCCACATAATTGATAAATATAATTGCTATTGGGTTTTTAACAAGATTTTTGTGTTTTCATAATTTAGTTCATTTAATCCATTTGAAATATCTTGACGTGTGGTATTAGAAGAAAAGCTAGTACAATTATATATGCAATATATAACTGTATACCACATGCTGTTTATAATTTTATATATATGCATACACCTACACACATATATGTCTATAATTTCTTACTGATCTGTTATACCACCTTTGTGACATAATAATTGTCATATAATTTAATTTCTGGACTCTTCTGTTCCATTGATCCATCTGTATAGTAGCATCACATTGTGTTAATACTGGTTCTAAAACTTGCTGGTAAATAAATGACACTTTCTATAGGATCCATTTACTCTTCTTCTTTTTTTTTTTTTTTTTTTTGAGACAGAGTCTAGCTCTGTTGCCCAGATTGGAGTGCCGTGGTGCAATCTCAACTCACTGAAACCTCCGTCTCCCGGGCTCAAGCAATTCTCCTGTCTCAGCATCCCAAGTAGCTGGGATTACAGGTGCCCGCCACCATGCCCGGCTAATTTTTGTGTTTTTAGTAGAGATGGGGTTTCACCATGTTGGCCAGGCTGGTCTCGAACTCCTGACCTCAGGTAATCTTGAAAAGATTTGCTTATTCATTGGAATTTTGTTGAGAATATCATTAAACTTATAAATATATGGGGAAATATTTTTTTAAATTCCATCTTCATATCTAAGAACATGGGCACATTTATATTTATATCAGGATATTTATATTTATTAGCTTTATTTTATAGTTTTCAAAAACAAATCATACAATATTTTTTCCTAGGTATTTTGCAGGTTTTTTTCACAGTTGAGTTTGATCTTTTATAATTTTTTTTGTTATTAACTTGATTTTATGTGTGTGTCTATTTACATTGGCTCACCTTCTCACATTATGAAATACTTTAATTTCCTCTTTATTATTTTGAGTTTTCTCATAATGTAATACTCTTCAAATATTCATTATTTCTGTTTTGCTTATTGCATTGGTTAGAATTTTCAGAGTAAGAAAATGAGAATGGGTCATCTTATTTTGTTCTTAATTTAAATAGAAAAGCCTGTACTATTAAACCATTATTTATGGTTTGGAAGGCAGATTGAAATAAATGCTATATTATTAATTTAATATAATACAATAAATGCAAATTAAAATAAATATTATTTATACTCATATCTCAATATGCATTGAATTTTATTAAATATTTTTCAGAGTTCAATTTGCCCTTCTAATAAGTTATTTCATATGAATACTATTCTTTATATTAACTCATCCTGGCAATTCTGGGATAAGTTGTATTTGATCAGTGAGAGTTTTTCTTTCAATATGTTGCTGAATGTGATTTGTTGATATTTTATGTAGCATTTTGCACTTATTAATAAATTAGATTTGTATATAAGTTTTCTTATTTTGTGTATTGGCCTTGTCAATTTTGTCATTAGGTTATCTAAGCTTAATAAAATGTAAAGGATAGTTTTCTATCCTGTCCTGGAAAAGTGTAGAAATTCCATTCAGCTTAAAAAAACTAATCAGTGTGACTGTGTAGCTCTGAATGCTTCTGTCAAGAGTTCTTCGATAAAATGAAAAACATTTTTCCTTAGTTATTGATATTTTTGAGTAGATGTCAAGAATTTGTTTTAGACTGTTACCTATTTCAATGACACAATTTTAATTATTATTTATTTTAGACTATTATCTATTTCAATGACTATTTTTAATTATTTTTCATATACTTATTTAAATCATATTATATAACAATTATCATTGGAATTTAAATTGTTATGCTACCATTATTGTTATATTTTTCTTATTTCAACTTTTGCCTTTCCCTCCCTCCGTCCGTCCCTCCCTCCCTCCCTCCCTCCTTCCTTCCTTCCTTCCTTCCTTCCTTCCTTCCTTCCTTCCTTCCTTCCTTTTCTCTCCCTCCCTCCCTCTCTCCCTCCTCCCACCAACCACCCTCCTTCCCTTTCTTCTTTCCTTCCAGCAGTTTTATCTGCTTTAAAATTTAAAGAGTAACCCATTCTTGGATTGTCGCCTTCCTATTTTGATTTTTAATTCACTTATTTGGTTTTGATTCTTGTTTTGAGTTTCTCCTTATTTACTCATATTTAATATTTCTTGATATATTTCTAACTACTTGAATTAAATGCTTAAGCTATTATATAGTTATTTCAGTGTTTTTTTAACTCAAAACTTCTTAAAACATGAGGTAGAACATCAAGCATATTCATTTTCATATTACAGTCACACATCATATAACGATTATTTTGGTCAATGATAGACTGTATATATGAAGGTTATCCTATAGGATTATAATGCCATATTTTTATTGTACCTTTTCTATATTTGGATATATAAATACCATTGTGTTACAGTTGCTAAAAGTATTCAGCACAGTAGCATACTGCACAGGTTTGCAGCCTAGGAGCAGTAGGCTATACCATATAGCCTACATGTGTAATAAGCTATGATGTTTGCATGACAAAATTGCCTAAGAATGCATTTTTCCAGAATATAGACATGACTGTATTTTTCCAGACAATAACAAGATAAATATCTAGTATGAGGAATCAGTAACCCCTTCCCTTACAATAGACACCAAGGAATCTGTTTGTCTTTTTGAGAGATTAGCAGAAAATAGTATCAATGTGACTTTTATGGGTCTCTGCTTCCATGCAATCTATACTTTCTGTCATTTTAGCTGTTGAAATGTACCAATGTATTTACACTTTAAAAAAATTTGTTAAAGCATTGGGTTTGTAGGTTTACTGCTCTATGTAACTCTGGCTTATTTCACACATTTTATTGTGGGTATTTACATTTTTATTTTACAGATATTTTTAAATGCACACATTATTTCCTCATTGACTCAAAAGTTAGACGTATTTTTAAACTTCAAAAGTTTAAAGATTTTGTAATTTTTTTCTAATGAAAAACAAAGTAGCTCAAGTATGTTACTGAAAATAAAAAGAAAACTTGTGAAATTTTTCTTTTTTGAAAATAAAGAAAAAAGGAGAAAAAAATCATCTACAATTCTAGTACCTAGAGAGTTACTGATATCAAGATTTGGGTGTATTTTCTTCCAATCCTTTTTTGCTATGTGTATTTATAAATATGTGTGTGTGTATACGTATATAAGTATATGTATACATACATACACACACACACACACACACACACACACACACACACACACATATATATAGGTCCTGGAATCATACTGCATATAAAATGTTGTATTTTGTGTTTTTTTCTTAATGGCATTTTCCATGTTATTTAATATTTACTCAAATATAATTTTAGTGATGTACAATATTCCACCTAAAAACACAAAAGTTTATTTAGGTAACTCTATTGCCAGACATTATATTCATTTCCAATTTTTTGCTATAAAAATAACGTTTCAATGAATAAATTCTTGTGAATAAAATGGTATTGGTACATCTCTTTATTTCCTTAGTTCTTTTATATAAAATTATAACATATTATGAAGAATATGTTCCTTTTTAAGGATCTTGATGCGTATCACCTAATTGTCTTCTAGAAATATTGCATCAACTTACATGCCTACCACGAGTGTATGAAAGTACTCATTTCTCTAAATTTCCAAGTATTGTAAATAAAAAAAATCAACTTCTGAGGAATAAACTTTGCAATTGATGGCTATTTAAATTCATATTACATTGATTATTAATGTAGCTGAACGTTTTTCCACAATGATTTTATTGTATTTCGTTGGATTGCTTCTTTGTTAGTTCTGAAGTCTTTGCCTTGCCCATTTTGAATATTTATATTTATCTTCTTTTGCACTTATACATTAAGGAAAGAAACTATCTTCCAATTACAGTTGCAGATACTTTTTCTAGTTTGTAATGTCTTGTAACTTCTTTTGACCTCTTTTTCTGATCATGACACTTTTATAGTTTTATGTAATTCAATCTATCTTCTCATAGTGAAGAGATTTACTCCACCACTTTTTGGAAACTTTTTTTTTTTCTTCCCACTCATGCTTCTATACCATTGTTCACATTGAGATAAGAGTTGCCTTGTGATGCTATGTTGACAGCTGAGTGTTTCAACATGTGCTAATGTTTCTCTTGCTGGACTTTTGTATGAGGACCAGCAGTAAATTCGTCTGTCTCTCTTCAGGTACCCAAGCCATCAGACTTAAAGCTCAGCAGCTGTCGGCACACTGCCTTTCATCATATTGATTAGAGAAATAGAGGGAGCTATATCCAGTGATAAGAGTGAAGGAGATGCAGAGAGCAGCAGAGATCTAAAAAAAAAATTCTTAATGGGATTCAGGTCTCTCCTTCTTGTTATTTCTAGGGTCCAGCCACATCCTTGTCCTTGCTTCTTAATATCCATATAATACATTCTCTATTTAGTTTAAACTAATTTGATTTGGATTTTTGTTAAATACAACCATAGTTGTAATTGATATTTTATTTTTCTGTATTTTTTTCATTCTTGTAATGCCTATAAAATTATTCTCTGCTCTAAGATCAGAGAAATATTGCCTAATATTATTATTTTCCACAGATTTAAAAATATTTAGTGCTGTAATGCATTTGGAATTTATCTTGAGGCATGGCATGTGGAAACAATCTTTGTTTTTTGAAATGGGTAACGGACCATAAATACATTAATAAATATGCCATAATAAAATAAACTCTAATTGTGGAATTTTAGACAAATTGAATAGTAAATCTTGATTGGGGGTTAAGATACACTTCCTAAACTCTTTAAGCTTGGCTATGAAGGATGTGTGAAATTTTGAGACGGCACAAATGGAGAAAGTACATTCTAGGCAAAACACTAGAAAAGATCTTTGAAATCTGGAACACATTGACTAATTTGGGACAGATATTTCTGGAAATACAGCTGAACTTTTCCTCTGCCATTTGTTTTTTTTTGCTTCAGCTGTACAGTCTTTGGTGTAGCACCTCTTAATTTTTATTGCACTAATTTGTTTACATTAGTCTCCCTTGCTGAGCTATAAGCCTGAACTGTCTTGTCTTTATAGTCTCAGCAACTGTATACTGCATAGCATATATGAGGTGATCAATTAATGTTTATGAACTGGATGAATAAATGAGTGTATGTTTCAATGGGCGAGAAGCAGTGGGGAAATAGCTCAGAGATTTTCCTAGAATATTAACATGATCTAATCTGTATTTTAAGCAGGTTATTCTATAGTTATAATTCCATAATATATGTTTAGAGTATCTTTAAATTTTTGCTCTATTATATTTTGTGGTTTTTTTTTCAGACAAGTGGGGTACAGTTTGCTCTTTACACACTCTTCCCATGATTGTCTTTGGTATATCTAAGGTTGTGTCTCTTAAGTCCAAAGGATTAACTAAGGGTAATGATGGATCTTAATATCAAATGCTATAATAAAACTAAAAAAGTGTAATTTGTGTGAATCACCCAAAAAAGATATTAACCAGGAAAAGCAACAAGAAAAGAAATACAATGTGTATTTTCAATGTGGAGGACAGTTCTGGTTAGCAATGAGGGTTACTGACCTGGGACTGGGTGGCTTTCCAGGGATGCAGGACATTTGGTGCTGAAACCAGGACAGTAGGTCACCCTGTAACCTGACCAGTATGAACATCTTTGGCTTCACCAAGAGTAGGTGGATATCTACCTACCCAGTAGTCTGCCTACCCAGGCAGGACTGGGTAGTGCCGCCTGAATGCACTGCGATAAGTTTTATTCTTTCTAAGATGCAAATCAGAGAGCACCTCAGGCAATGTCATTGCAAGGGCTGGGGAAAGGATTCCAAAACCCAGCTGTAAAATTACCTCTAGCTGTAAATACTTTTTTATAGCTTTGATTCTAATTTCCCTTGAGATTCTTTATAAATCAATCAATCTCTTTGTTCCTCAATTTTTTTAACTTACTAAATGGGGATGATAACACTAAATGAGGGCAATCAGAGTTATGATAACGCTAAATGATTGAAAGCATTTTGTAAGCATTGTGTCAATATTCTTCCAATACCTAATCTTTCAGAATGGAATTTAGTTGATAGTTCATTATTTTCATTAGAATTCAGAGTCCAGCTCCCCATAGGATAAGCAGTAGTGAATTGTAGCATGATATTGGATGAACTCTTAAATGATCTGGGGAACTGAAGATCACTAACCAACCTATCTCTCATAAATGCCCTATAGGATTGGGTTGAAGTCCCTTCCCATTGCTACATAATTCAGGGTTGTTCAGGAATGTGTGTGAGTTACACTGGCTCACACTATGCACCATAATTTGAGCTACAATTGCCCTCAACTTCATAGCACATGGGGATTCACTAGTGACTGCCGGTGGTCAGTCTGATGAGTTAGCAGTTTCCCCTAGGACTATCATAATCTGCTGACGCAAGGCAGCTCAAGGTGGAAAGGGGCTTACACCATTCTAAATGTACTAGGAGGAGAGACAGGAGGCCAGGGCTGGGACTAGGATGAGGCAAGGAGGCATTTACCTTGGATGTACAATTTAAACTTGTGCCAAAATATTTAGTAACCAAGATAAGTAATATTTTAATGTAATATTTAAATCAAATTAATGCAAAAATGTGTGGGAAACAAAATATCTCAATTGTGAGTGAAGTCAGGATCCAACACTGCACTTGCATGTAGCTCACATCGCTTGCCTCCCCCTAATGCTGACCCTACCAAGAACTAGACTTAGAGAGTTAGGGCCATAGTCACATCACAGAGTAGCCTTCTCATCAATGTATGTTGGACCATCTAGAATGTCGTATTCTACTTCTATAGTGAAGTAGAAAAATTACAAATGCTTCCCAACACACCCCTTTCTACCTAAGAGTAGCTTAGGCACTAAAAATATTTCTAAAAATATAAACTGGTACTCTATAAATGTCAAGCACAATGTTAAGTTCTTTAAATGTAGTATTATCTTATTATAATCCTTACAATACATTACTTTACAAGATAGATGTTGATATGGTTTGGCTATGTCCCCACCCATATCTCATCATGAATTGTAGTTCCCATAATCCCTATGTGTGGTGGGAGGGACCAGGTGGGAGATAATTGAATCATGGGGGTGGTTACCCCTAAGCTGTTCTCATGATAGTGAATGGGTTCTCATGAGATCTGATGGTTTTATAAGGGACTCTTCCCCCTTTGCTTGGCACTTCTCCTTTCTGCCTCCATGTGAAGAAGGACATGTTTGCTTCCCCTTCCACCATGATTGTAAGTTTCCTGAGGCCTCCCCAACCATGCTGCACTGTGAGTCAATTAAACCTCTTTTCATTATAAATTACCCATCTCAGGTATTTCTTCATGGCAGCATGAGAATGAATTAATGCAGTAAACTTGTACTGGCACAGTGGGGTGCTGCTATAAAGATATCCAAAAATGTGGAAGCAACTTTGGGACTGGATAACAGGCAGAGAATGGAACAGTGTGGAGGGCTTAGAAAACAACAGGAAAATGTAGGAAAGTTAGAAACTTCCTAGAGACTTAGAGGGCTCAGAGACAGGAGGATGTGGGAAAATTTGGAACTTCCTAGAGACTTGTTGCATGGCTTTGACCAAAATGCTGATAGTAATGTGGGCAATGAAGTCCAGGCTGACTTGGTCACAAGTGGAGATGCGGAACTTCTTGAGAACTGGAACAAAGGTGATCCTTGCTATACTCTAGCAAAGAGACAGCATTTTGCTCCTGCCCTAGAGATCTATGGAACTTTGAACTTGAGAGAGATTGTTTTGGGTATCTGGTAGAAAAAATTTCTAAGTGGCAAAGCACTCAAGAGGAAGCAGAGCATAAAAGTTTGAAAAATTTGTAGCCTGACAATGCAATGGAAAAGAAAAACTCATTTTCTGGAGAGAAATTCAAGTCCACTGCAGAAATTTGAATCAGTAATGAGGAGCTGAATGTTAATCACCAAGACAATGGGGAAAATGCCTCCAGGGCATGCCAGAGACCTTCACAGTAGCCCCTCCCATCATAGGCCTGGAGGCCTAGGAGGGAGAAATGGTTTTGTGGTCTCCCGCTCTGTACAGCCTCAGGACATAGTGCCCTCTGTCCCAGCTGCTTCAGTTTCAGCTGTGGCTAAAAGGGGCCCAAGTGCAGCTCACGTCATGGCTTCAGAGGGTGCAAGCCCCAAGCCTTGGTGGCTTACACAGGTTGTTGAGGCTGTAGGTGCACAGATGTCAAGAATGAAGGTTTGGGAACCTTCACCTAGATTTCAGAGGATGTATGAAAATGTCTGGATATCCAGGCAGAAGTCTATTCTAGGGGTGGACCCCTCATGGAGAATCTCTGCTAGGGCAGTGTGGAAGGGAAATACAGGGTTGGAGCCCCCACACAGAGTCCCCACTGTAGCACTCCCTAGTAAAGGTGAGAAGGGGGCCACCATCCTCCAGACCCCAGGATGATAGATCCACCAACAGCTTGCACCATGTGCCTGGAAAAGGCACAGGCATTCAACACCAGCCATGAAAGCAGCTGGGAGGGGGACTGTACCATGCAAAGCCAGAGGGGCAAGTTATCCAAGGCTGTGAGAGCCCACCTTTTACATCAGCATGACCTAGATGTGCAACAAGGAGTCAAAGGGGATCATTTTGGAACTTTTAGGTTTAATGACTGCCTTATTGGAGTTTGGACTTGCTTGGGGCCTGTGGCCCCTTTGTTTTGGCCAATTTCTTTCATTTGGTATATTTACCCAATGTCTACACCCCCAATTGTACCTAGGAAACAACTAACTTGCTTTTGATTTCACAGGCTCATAGTTGGAAGGGACTTGCCTTGTTTCAGATAAGACTTTGGACTTGGACTTTTGGGTTAATGCCAGAATGAGCTAAGACTTTGGGGGACTGTTGGAAAGGCATGATCATGTTTTGAAATGTGAGAACATGAGATTTGGGAGGGGCAAAGGGCTGAATGACATGGTTTGGCTGTGTCCCCACTCAAATCTCATCTCGAATTTTAGTTCCCATAATTACCTTGTATTGTGGGAGGGGCCCAGTGGGAGATAATTGAATCATGGGGGTGGTTACCCTATGCTGTTATCATGTTAGTGAGTGAGTTCTCACAAGATCTGATGGTTTTATAAGGGACATTTCCCCCTTTGCTTGGTACTTCTCCTTCCTGCCACCATGTGAAGAAGGATGTGTTTGCTGCCCCTTCCACCATAATTGTAAGTTTCCTGAGGCCTCCTGAGCCATGCTAAACTATAAGTCAATTAAATCTCTTTTTTATAAATTACTCAGTCTTGGTTATTTCTTCATAGCAGCATGATAATGGACTAATACAGATACTATAAGCCTAATTTTTTAGAAGAGCAAACTGAGGCTCTGAGATGTTAAGCAGCTTTCCTTCTGTCACATAGTTGGCAAATGTAAGAGTCTGGATTGGAATTGAGTCAGTATGGTTACAAAACACTTGTTTTCATTTATTATTTATCCACTTACCAAAAAAAATGGAGTAACTAGAAGCCTCATAAACACTCATATGCGTCTAAAACACAAACTCACAAACCTGGTTTCCTTGGAAAATACATCATGAGAATGTATCAAAAGGTATGAACCAGATTTGCTGTTGCTTTATGACATTGTTAATAATGGGATGGTGAGAGACAGGATGAATCAGGGTCTCAGCTTCATTTCCTGGTTTCAACAGTGATTCAAAGAGATGTCATAGGCCTTGCATATTGCAAGAAATATTTGCTTAAGCAATACATTTATTATTCATAGGTCAGAGCTTGGAAAGCGGCAGGTGCACAGGAGCCCTTGACAATGGCAAAGCATGATCACATGTTTACCGCCAAGACATAGAGCCAAAGTGGGTGACTTGTCAGAGTTTGCTTTGAGAAAAGAAGAGCTGATGTGCATAATCAGAAACCCTCTGTTATGGGGCATTCTAGTGCTCAGTGCCTTTGCACTCCTTAGCTCAGCTCTTACTGCTCAAAGACACCCTTTAGTGTTCTGAAGGGAGAAGTTGTGAAACTGTTTCTTTAAAAGTTACAATGTGCAAAAATCATAGTGACATTTCTATTGCATTTGCACTTTGCTTCAACTTCTGTTCTGGTCAAAATAGATTTGACTTTGGAGATACAGAAATGCACAGAATTCATGTCCTTGAGCCAGTAGTTACAGTAGAAAGGTGTGTGTGTGTATATACATATATATATATATATATATGATTGGTGCAAAAGTAATTGCAGTTTTGCCATTGAAAGTTATCTAGATAAAAGCTTTTTTATATATATGTACTACTTTATATATAATTTTATCTAGAAAAAATATTTATCTAGTATTTTTATCTGGTATTTTTATCTAGAAAAAATACTTTTATCTAGATGAAATTTTTTTCCTTAGTGATAGTATACTTTACAAATTTTTCTATCTTCAGCTATCACCCACCCAAGACTTGAGGAATCATTCTCTGAGTCAATTGTAAAAGCAATTGATAAGGCAAGATCCTAAAACTTCTGGGATTTTCCATCAATAAAGTAACTTTTCAGCCTTACAGAGCAGAGCTTGTTCCTTTATCTTCATCAGTTTCTACATTTCTTTGTAAAAAATATAACTCTGTAAAATTAGGGCTAAATTCCTTGAGAAGAATTTAAAACATATAGGTTTCAAATATTCAACTAAGCTTCAAAGAAAGAAGAAAGAAACATGGGCTCACAGAGATGATTTTTTTTTTCTCCAGCCAGCATGGTCATCATCCCCTGCCAGGCATCTCAGCTTTAAAAGCTCTGCAGCATGTCTCTATCCTCTTTGACAACAGCTTCTGTACAATATAAAAATCCCATTATGCATATTAAGCAATGAGACTCACTGTTTCCCAAGGGGATCAGTTTGAATTAAGCTTTCTAATTGAGAGATATTTCCCAAAGGACCAGTTGGCATAATTCATGTTTCAAGGCTCCTATGCAATTTGGCCCTCTCCCCTTTATTAAAGGAAAAAGACTATTTATCTTGATTCACTTACATAATACATTTCACAGACTATAGCATATTTCAGAAATACAGGTTAAAAGCTAATCACAATAAAGTCATTTCTGAATTTTCCTTTCTTTCATTTTAAAAATACTTTTAAGTAGGAAAAGGATCCAAGCTGCTCAAGACTTCATTAAAATTTGAACGTTCTAATTTCTAATTAGATTTCTTCTGATCATGCTTTTACATGATAAAAGAAGAACATTATTTATCCAGATAATAAATAAAGCCCTTGCCATGGCTCCACAATCCCTGAGTCACATGAATCACTATTGTTAGACCATCGTGTTTTTTAAAACTGTGTGCACATATTTCTCAGATTATTATTTTATTTTATTGTTCCACTGTCTTTATAAAATATGACTTACTTTATTCTATGCTGTTTGCATCTATGAACACATTTTCTTATTTACAAGTTAGTACCAGATGTAGCCTATCAGCCTATCTCTGATTCAGAAAAATCTTGCTACCTCTAAGTGCCTGTGCCAGCTAATATGTCCTTGGGGTATAGCCCCTCTCTACCAGGCACTAGATTTAGCTTGTTCGTTTGAAGTTAAGTGATAGAGCAACCAGTTGCATGTGTGTGTATATGTGTGTGTGTGTGTGTATGCTGCGTGTGTGTATATGTGTGTATGTATACATCTCAATGGCATATGGAGCTCATCCAACTGAGAAAGGGCTGAAACTCCCAAGCAGCATCTGGAATAGCTGGCCGGCTCATGGAGCTTCGGTTTACAGCAGTCACCTCTTCTACTTCGCCTGCTGGAACACTCTTACTCAGCTTCGATCACCTCCATGAGAGATTACTGAGTGCTTCCTAAGCGTACACACACGCACCCCAGAAATGTTGTTACAATTCACACTCCGTTAACATTACAAGGTTTCCATCCTTATTATGAAGCTATGCACCTTTATTTTACACAAGCAGATAAAACTGAAAGAGTTCAGGAAATGTCACCACAAAGAGCCTCCTTTGATAGATACTCCAAAAGGAATGCAATATTCTAGAATCCTCTCCCTGAGAATCTCATTAACCAGGTAAGATTAAACTCCTATCACCGGAGAGGAGACTGGAAGTTGACCCCACTCCCAGACAGACTTTGTCTCAGGCTATCACCTATTCTTCCGAGGGCTCATTCCTCTTTCCCCAAAATCATTTACTCTCCCCCTAAGTTGCTTACATCCCCCTCCCCTCTCCCCTATGAAGAAGGTGTATAAGCTGCTTGAGCTCACAGTGTTATTGAGCACTCACTTTTCTTTCCTATGGTGTCCTTGAGCATGTAAAAATTTGCATATCTTTTTTCCTGTTGATGTGCTTGTTGTCAGTTTGTTTCATAGACTCAGTTATTGAACCCTCCGAGGATAGATGGAAGGTTTTCCCTTTTCTACATAACTTTACAGACATTTATTAGATAACCACATGATAAAAGTCAAAGCTTTGGGGAACATTGTGGATGAAAAGGGCAGAGAAAGATCGCAGTGAGAGACCAGCCGCTTTCTCTTAAAAGTTCACAGCAGGTTACACCCACAGTGGTGCAGGGCTATAGCGGGGAGATCTGTAAATCCTCCTTTCATGAAAAGGGCCTTAGGAAGCTGAATCGACAATGGGCAAAATGAAAAAAAAATGCAAGTGACTAAAAAGCAATCAATGGACAATAGAAAGAGAATGAATGAGAGTAGCAGGAGAATACATACCAAAAAAAAAAAATAAAGGAAGAAGAAGAGGTAGGAAATAGGCAGATATTATGTTCCCCAAGTTTAAAATACACAAGCAAACAAAAAACTACCTTAGAAGCAGGGTGTCCCAGGATTAACAGCCTGTAAAATCTCTGACTGCAGTGAGAAAGAAACTCTACTTATTGAAGTCTAGAAAAACTATACAATGTTTAAGTCTTGGTTTGGTGCCCCTTCCATCTACCCTTCAATAGCCTCTCCTGCATCTCGTTACCTCTAAATGTCCATGCCTTCCTCCTGAACTACTGTTGTTCAGTTCCAAGGAATGCAATAGACAAAGCTCAGGGTTGCATGACACTCATGGGTACAAGGCATTTGGAGAAAGAATTTTTCCACAATAAAATTATTAACAATGTATTTCCTGTCGATGAAAGGAAGAAAATTCTTATTTCCTAAGCAATTTGGGTTTCTCATAAGGCCCTTTGAAAATTAGGTCTTATTAAAATAAATCTCTGACCTTGGAAGAGCTTGAGTATGCTTACCTCTGTCATAATAACATACCCTGAGATATGCTGCCTTCCCTGTGGTCCTCACTGATAATGGATGCTCTAATTAGAAGAAGGACATTGATCAAGGCAGAGATGACTCACAGCAGATTTGTGGTCACTTTCTTCTAAACAACAGCCTGGTTGGAGGGTATTATCATAAAAACTAAAAAATTTAAAAAAGCACTTTGGGAGGCTGAGATGGGCAGATCACAGGGTCAGGAGATCGAGACCATCCTGGCTAACACGATGAAACCCCATCTCTACTAAAAATACAAAAAATTAGCCAGGTGTGGTGGTGGGCGCCTGTAGTCCCAGCTACTCAGGTGGGTGAGGCAGGAGAATGGTGTGAACCCGGGAGGCAGAGCTTGCAGTGAGCTGAGATCGTGCCACTGCACTCCAGCCTGGGTGACTGAGAGAGACTCTGTCTCAAAAAAAAGTAAATAAATAAAAGTAAAAAAAAAAAAAAAACTCCCAAACTAATACTTTTATTTTCTTTTTTAGCCATTGTAAACTAAGATTAGGTGGTAGTTGAAAGATTTGAAAAATGAAAATACGTGCTGTAACATACATTATATACAAATTATATGGAGAATCAGAAAACAAAAATATTATTAATTTCCTATCCATTTCCCACAAATCTATTCTGCTATTTGCCATTGTGTTCTTTCCTACGCTACAACCACATAAGAAGGCAAAGCAAAGAGATTGAATTGAGATTTAAGAAACTAAAATCAAGATTCTATGTCTTAAAAAAGTTTAGAAATATATTGAATAAAATGTTCGTAGCAGTTAATTTTAGGAAATTTGATCATAGAAGATTTGTAATTTACTGTTTATGTCTATCTCAATTTTAAGTTTTCTTCAAGTAACACTTATTACTGGATAAAAAGATACTGAAAAATATTTGGGTCCAACACAGTAGCTGACATACCTGTAATCCCAGCACTTTGGGAGGCCAAGAGGATTGACTTGAGCCCAGGAGTTCAAGACCAGCCTGGGCAACACAGGGAGACCCTGTTTCTACCAAAAAAAATTATTACTAGCTAAAATTTATAGTTTGGAAATGCTCTCCTTTAAATGAAGAAATAGATAAATTCTAATTCATTTCTTTAATTTAAAATTTGAGAATACTGTTTTCCAGCAAATAATTAAAAGTATTAGCTATTGGAATTTATTTCTCATTATAAAGGCATCTGGAATTGAATCTTAACTGTTATAATTATTACAACTATTTTTAAAAGCACATTTTTATCATTCAAGCTTTCATCATGCTTTACAGATTTAGTAAGCTATTGAGCTATATTTATCTTCCGAGTAGTTTTAGAGTAATTGCTCCCAAATTTCTCTCATGAGAGGAATCACAGAACATGAGGGAAAGGAGAGCTTATTGAAACAAATAGATAAACAGATTGTCAGGATTTCCAAGTGAAGAAGTTAGAAATTTGCTTTGTCTTGTTTTAATACACTTCCAGTTGATTCATATCAGAGATATTGGGAAACCTATTTTAGAGTGCAGTTTTTCTAATATTAGGCAATTTTCTAAGTGTAGTCACAATTAATGCATATGGAACAATGGACCAGCCTTTAGAAATCTTCCTGATGATGAATAATGGAGTTATTGCATTCCTGAAGTACAGGAGTACATTTTTACTCATTCTTTTTTTTTTGGAACTCCAATATTGTTTTTACTCTATCTATACTTTCTAAAGCTAACACAAGCAGCTCTAAGCAAAGAAACTAACTGCCCTTTCTTTCTTAGTATTACTCCTGATTTCACTGATGTGTAAATTCAAGCAAATATTGGGGAAATCACAGCTGTTCCATAGGTCTTATCCTGCACTTTCCATTCATGAACCAATGTAATCAACAAGAACATTAGCCCAGGAATATTATGCCTAATTGGTTTGAAATGTTGTGCCCTCTTTTGGAGATGTACATATATAATTTTTATAAGATCCACTTGGGCTATGTATATGTAGAAGAAGACAGCTTTAATATGAATACAACCACAACTACAAAATCGATCCTCGTGGCCAAGTAATTAACCAGATAATTCCTTTAGCGTGACATCAGTCAAATGGTTGTTTGAATGTCCCAAATTTTGCAACTGATTCATTTTTATGATGTGGAAGATGAGAATGAAATAATTCCCTGTGGGGAAAAAGACCTACATCACTGGCCCTTCCTATGTTGTAGGCGAGAGTTAGGTCAGGTGTCTGAGATACGATTGTTGGGCAACTATCAATCTGGCAGGATTCATTTCTTCATCCACTGAGGGCTGTTCCTATATTTGGAAATCCTCACTCTCATCTTCATTAGTGAATTCTAAAGCATTGAGTGAAAATAGCCTGCAATACCCCTATTTACAGCTTTATAGAAGTGTTAAAATATGCAAGAACTGGGAGTCTTAAAGAGGGAAGCCAAACGGATTCTACAACTAAATATGGGAGAGACGTTTTATGATACTGTTGACTTCTTTTTAAAGAATACATTAAATTTTCTTTGGAGGCTGCATTTGCACAGCAATGATTTAAAGATACTTAGCTCACAGTGATGAAATAAATACTTTCCCCAGTGGTGTGGAACAATTTGATAGAAGAGCATATGTCCTCTAATTCGTGGGCATAATAGAGCCTGAATTAAGGGGCTACAGGAGCCCTAAGTGCCGCTTCTCACATCCTTGCTTTGTGGGAGCATGTAATCTTTTCTTAGCGTATGTTTTATTTTGTTATCTTAATTGGAGTTTCTTCCTTTTCTTGGAGGTCATTTAACGTGGGAATTTGACACTCAGTCGTGCTTAATTTCACTTTCATATTTTTATCATTGACTTTAGTCGAATTCCTTCAGAAAGCTACTGAAACCTTGGTCCCTTTGCCACCTAAAAAAAAAAAAAAAAAAAGAAACTCTACTGCCACATGGGATGTTTAAAATTATTAATTACACCTTTTCTGAGAGTCCACTCAGTCAACGCTCCCTCCAGCTGGAGAAGTGTGTTCTCATTGAATGCTCAACTGCAAGCGATTGCGAACAAGGTCACCATCTTCAACAGCATTTCAGTAAGAAATAACCAAAACCATAGTAAATATAAATGCCGTGAGAAATGACCCTTGGCACATGCTAACAGATCATTGCTAGTAAGTAAACATTGGAGAGTAAGCAACAACCTGCCAATTCTTATCTTCCTCGTTGGGGAAAAGGACAAGTGACTCACTGTGTTTTATGTTTTTAAACTTTCAGGTGTCTTCCTTGGCAAAAAGAATATAAAATCACTAGGATGATCTTTCTCTTTGATGGCTTTGTGGCTCAGTGAGGGAACAAGCATATACATTATTTAAATACAAATGGATTGATAAATCCACATATCGTGCTAGAGCTCAGTGTGAGGCAAGCAGCTGTTTGAAATCCCACCCTCCTCTTCCCAATAGTTCATGGTAGAAAATCCAAGAGACTGCATACGACCAGGTGTAGCCATAATGTAGTCCTATTAGAACCATAGCTTCATTGTCGGAAACTTCATTTAAACGTCCATAAAACCATCCTGATACAAAGAATGAACTGTAATAGCTTATAATTATGAGAGTGCATAAAGTATGCCTCACAACCTATTACAAAGCCATAATTTTAGCATAAAACCATAAACCAGGAGAACAAAACTTGAGGACTTCAAAATAAAATTACAGCTTTTGTAAAGGCCAATAGAGCATACCTTTTCTCTCCGCAATAAATGATTGTCTCGTCTGCCTCCCACACGCAAAACAAGGGTGGATTTCTGATTTTTCAGACTTTACACTTCAGCACGTTCCCAAAGGTATCTTACAACTAGAGCATTAATACATTTTCAAAAGGGATTTTAATGCCCATTAGAATGAGATCTGGTTCAGGTGGAAAGACAGATAGTATTCACTCATGTCAAAATGGGGAAATTAGCAGAAAAGGCTTTTGTGCTTGGTCTGCTTAAAAAACCCCCTCCTGTCATGAGGAAGAGGAAATGCCTGTTTTGATCATCAAACCAATGCAATTAGGACTGAATGAGATTTATCAGTCTTTATGTGAGCAGAAGGAAATGAATATTTAAGAAATGTATTTTAGGAAAATGAGGATAGTTTCAAGGCCAGAATATTTAACTCTTTGTCAGCATTCTTGATGTATTTTTAGGGTTTTGTAAAAGCACTCTGGTTTTTTTCTCATAGATGAAATACAATTTGCCTGACATCAACAAGCCAAAGTGACTTTTATGCCTAATTATATATTAAACATGCACACACACACCCCTTCTAATTTAGAAAGTCAAAATATGTGAGCTTCAACATGTACTTTTAAAATGTCATTTGTTATTACGCTTATGTGAATAATATCGTACACAAAGAACAAACTTAAAATCCCCTATAATTCCATCACAAAGACATAACTCTGCTTAATATTTTGGAGTATTTCTTTTGAGTGTATATTTTCAAAACATTGTTAAGCTCTCTATATAGTTTTATATAATTTATTATTCATAAAACAACATTGTAATCATTTTTATATCATTAAATATCTAACATACTATTTAATGGTTACATAAAACCCTATTATATAAATTGACTATAATTTATTTAATCCTTCTTATGTACAAACATTTAAATTATTGTTTACAATTGTTATTGGTACATGTAGACACATATATAGGTATATACATATGTATATAAAAGCTTTACTTCTAATATCAGAAAATTATAAACAATAATCTTAATGTTCATATAATCTAAATCTGTCTACTGTATTATTTTGGGGTCAATTTTTATATTTATTTTTATTTATATATATTTTTTATTTTTTCTGAGACAGGGTCTCACTCTGTCACCCAGGTTGCAGTGCAGTGGTGCGATCTTGATCTCAGCTCACTGAAACCTCTTCTTTCCAGGCTCAAGCGATCCTTCCACCTCAGATTCCGAGTAGTTAGGAGCACAGGCATGCAAGAAAAATTTTTTGTATTTTCGGTAGAGATGGGGTCTCATCATGTTGCCCAGGCTGGTCTCAAGCTCCTGAGCTCAGGTGATCCATCTGCCTCAGCCTTCCAAAGTGCTGGGATTACAGGCATGAGCTACCGTGCTTGGCCTTGGAGTCAATTTTTAGAAGTGGAGCAAAGGATAGGAACATATTTTTAGGGATTTATATAAACTATTCAATTACAATGAGAAATTTGGAGTGTTTTGTTTATCACATTGTTTTTCGAGGATGATGAGTTAGACATAGAAATAATAGAATTTTCTTTATAAAACTTGATATAATGGTACTGTATATTGACAATTGCTTTAGAATCCTTTCCATTCTGTGCTGTCTGCAGTAGAAACCACACCTTTGCTCTTATCCTATGAGGTTCATATGGCCAGTATCTGAGGAGAGGGCCAGGCCACCCATGGTGGGAATGCAGAGAAGACCTAACTGCATGAGTATGAGGAGAGATAGGTTTATAAACGGGAGCAGGCGAAAGTTAAGGGAATTCACACATAATAGTTTCTATTCTCTCTTGTAAGAGGCTTGAAGTGTAAATGTCCGGAACTGTCCATGTAGGGAAGTAGAAAACTGGACAGAGAACATGTCAGTGACCAACTGTATTAGTCAGGGTTCTTCAAAGACACAGAATCAATGGGATATAAATAGATAGAATGAAATAAATTTATGATGAGGGATTGGTTCACACAGTTATGGAGGCTGTTTTTAGCCTCCATCATCTGCCCATAATCTGATTATGTCCCATAATCTGCCGCCTGTAAGCGGAGCCCCGGAAAAGCCAGTCTGAGTCCAAAGGTCTAAGAACTGGGAGCACTGCTGAGAAGAGGGATGTCTCAACTCAAGCAGACAGCAGATCCGCCCTCCCTCTACCATTTTGTTTTGTTTAGGCCCTCAATGGGTGAGATGAAGCCCACCCACATTGAGGAGAGCAGTCTTCTTTACTCATCTACTGATTCAAATGCTCATCTTCTCCAGGAACACCCAGAAATAATGGTTTATCAGCTACCCAGGTATTCCTTAGCTCAATCAAGTTGTCATATAAAATTAACCATTGTATAAACCTTGCCAAGCAGCACTGAGGTTCAAGCTGAAGTTCAAAACCATACTATTGTAATAGCATCCACACAATTATATTTTCTCTGGTGGTGATTGGCTACTCATGTGCAGGATGGATTCAATTATTTAGGTTTGGGAAACTGCAGGGAATATGTGATAGAAGGCCAAGGTCAGCAAGGCTCAGTGAATTGGTGAGAGGAAACTTGACGTGAAGGGGGATAGGGCCTAGGTCGAATAAGGAACAAAGTAAGAATACAATGGACTCAGTGAAGAGATGAGTGAAGGGCCAAGGGATGCAGGTGGTGGATGAGACCCATGAGCAAGTGCTATAAGAATGAGGATGTGAGAGTTAGCACTGTCGATCATATTTCACTGCTATAAATCATTACATCACAGTGTGGATGAAGGGTTGTATCATAATAGCTTATAAGTGGAGAATGCAGTGTGTCAATTAGATTATACATTTCTTCAGTCAACAAATAACTGATGGACGTTCACCATGTGCTAGGCACTGCTCTGGGCCCTAGGGATACAAAGGTGAACAAAAACCGATACATTCCTTGCCTTCATAGAGCTGTAGTCTAGCAGAACAAGGGAAGATAAAACAATAAACAGAATAAATACATAAAATATGCATCTGACCTAAGAGATGGCAGCTGGTAACAAGAAATCAAAGAGAAAACTAGAAGGATTAAGTAAGAGATAGTTTGCAGTTTTAAGTAGCATGGACAGGGAAGAAGAATAGGAAAACTTGATTAGCATGATGTGAAAGAAGAGGCGATACCATATAAGTAGGTTCCAACTCATGAATGCATTGAATGTGTGGCTTTCCAAGTTGTCATCTGGATTTTGATTAGTTGGAACTCAGAGGTTTTTTTCCCCAAGGAGTAAGATGAGTGATTGTGATTGGGGACCTAATCAATCCTCATCCCATTCCCCAAAGCTTCCTTGACTCATAATGTGTTGGAAATACCACTTTTTGTAACCCTGGGCTTCAAGTCCTTTCCAGTTTCTCTGGCCATCGAGTCTAGAGGTTTCTTGAGTGCTGAGGAAAGAAGGAAGTTTGGTGAATGGTTGAGGCTGGGCATTTCTTATTATTTCATGCCGGAAGAAGCCCTAGTCAGCAGAAAAGTCAAAAAAAGGAAGGTAGGAGGTGGAGAATCTTGGCAGCAGTGGCACCCTTTGGAAGCCTGCCCTATTGTTTTCCCCCAAAATCCACTGCTCAGGGCCTTTCATTTAGGAAGGACATTAGTCAGACCACTAGTCATGCTGTGGTGTTTGTCATATTCAGTATCATTTCTGCAACAAATGATTGAACACCTACAGGCACCTCTTCAGATGATCAGTGAACAACAGGCAAAATCCTTGCCAGGTGAGCTTACATTCTACCAGGGTAGACAGGGAAATAAATAGGCAACAGAATAAATAAATTATATAGGCTGTGATGTAAGAACAATGGGTTAGGTAGTCATAAGATCTAGTGAGTGTCCTGAAACTTCATTTATCCTAAAGGGCCTGAGCTTTTTCAGTTTTCACCACTTGAAGGTATTTTTCATGTCTGTAACTGTAGTAGAGAAAGATAGTTTCTGGAGATGTTACCTATATGTAAGAGGGTGGATCTGTATATTTTGAATTGAGTTTTCATCCTAAACTTAAAAAGTGATTTTGAGTCTGAGGATTCTGAAGAGCAGTTTTGGCTGTTTTTACATGCTCTGGATGCCCATGAAAACAATTAAGATGGTTTAATACCGATTTTCAACTTCTAATCTCTCCCTGGATTGAAAGAAGAAAGCAAATGCCAAGATGCATGACTTCGACACTATTATAGCAAACATGTCATAATCACTACATTTTCCCAATGGTTTTATTACTTTAAATGTGGTCCCCTTTTCCAGAAAAGCAGAATTTCTGAGTTATGGCAGTTCGCCCAGTAATTTGTAAACAGTGCTTAAATCCCTAGTTGGCCAGTCCGTACCTGAAGGAACTGTTCAATTCTACAAAGTACATAATTGCGGTATAAATTTATTTTTTCACTTTCTACAGCACAAATGAACTACTTATAATAATTATTGTATTTTTTTAAATAATACCACCACTCAGAAGGAAATTTTATCTGTTGAATTCCCTTCTGAGAGGTAGGTATTTTAGAATATGCATGCAAAACAGGATAAGCAGAGGAAATCTTAACACCAATCAAAATATCTCAGGAATGGCACAGGAATTCTTTTTAAACCAAAGTATTTATGTGTCTCAATATTCTGAAGAATAGTTTTCAATGTAAATGAGCTCTTCAGAGTGAAAATTTCTGAGAAACTGCAGATAAGATTTCAAATAGCCGATTACATCAATCCAAGGGAAATTTCATCTGCTCACAGATATAGCTATGGGATGTATTTGCAAGACAGAACTTAGCTGAACTTGCATAGCTGTTTCCTGGCTCTCTTTTTATCCTCTAATTTCTTCTAGTTTTATTAGCTTCTCTTCCTCAGCCTGCTCCATAATATTGATATTTCCTGGGTTTGTTTGCTCATTTATTTATTTTACCATTCTCTCTTTCTATTCACAATTCTTTTGTGATTTCATTTACCATCATGACATTCATAGCCACGGTATCTTTAGCCTACACTTTTGTCCTATGGGACATGAGGGAACTTCAAAAAATTCATTAAAAATGAAATTAAAAGATAAAATAAAAATATAAACCTTATTTCTCATCATATCATTCAACAAGTTTAAGACAGTTTTGTAAGCAGTGATAGCAGCCATTTAGTCTATCTCTAAAGAACTGAGATTCCTGGGAATTTAACCATGTCAATGCATTCTTTTTCTCATTACTAGCTGAAGAAAAATGGGTTCCCCTTAAAGATTCTTTAAGATTAGGAAACAAAAAGAAGTTAGAAGGAGGCAAATGAGGACTGTAAGGTGGATGCCTGATGGTTTCCCATCAAAACTTTCACAAAATTGCCCTTGTTTGATGAGAGGAATGAGCAGGAGCACTGTCATAGTGGAGGAGGACTCTCTGGTGATGTTTTCCCAGGTGCTTTTCTGCGAAAACTTTGGCCAACTTTCTTGAAACACTCTCATAATAAGCAGATGTTATCATTTTGGCCCTCCAGAAAATTGACAAGCAAAATGCCTTCAGCATCCCCAAAAAACTGTTGCCATAACCTTAGCTCTTGAGCAGTTTGCTTTTACTTTGACTTGACCACATCCACCTCTTGGTAGCCATTGCTTTGATTATGCTTTGTCTTCAGGATCATACTGGTGAAGCCATGTTTCATCTCCTATTAAATTCTTCAAATAAATGCTTCAAGATCTTGATACCACTTGCTTAAAATTTCCATTGAGAGCTCTATTCTTGTCTATAGCTGATCTGGGCACAACAGTTTTGGCACCCATCAACTGGAAAATTTGCTCCATTTTAATTTTTAAATCGGAAATGTGTAAGCTGAACAAATTGAGATGTCTGTGGTGTTGGCTATTGTTTCTGCTGTTAATTGTTGATCACCATCAATTAGAACACGAACCAGATGAATTTTTTCCTTACAAATTGATGTGGATGCTCTACCGCTAGAGGCTTC
Source organism: Homo sapiens (assembly GCF_000001405.40). Lineage (NCBI taxonomy): Eukaryota > Metazoa > Chordata > Mammalia > Primates > Hominidae > Homo > Homo sapiens. Next base: position 29,731,760 of record NC_000021.9, read on the forward strand.
ATCTTCAACATCATCTCATACCATCTTAAAATGAGTTATCCATTTGTAAACTGCTTATTTCTTTGGGGCATTGTCCCATAAACTTCTTGTAAAGCATCAGTGATTTTCATCATTCTTCCACCTAAGCTCCATCATAAATTTGATGTTTGTTCTTCCTTCAATTTTAGCAGAATTTATGTTACTCATATAGGAGCTCTTTTCAAACAGATGTCTTCTCCTTCTTAGTGACTCAAACTAGATTGTGTTCATATTTGTTATAATAAGTTAATGTGAGTTTATTTTGGTGCAAACAATTGAAATCCTTGCGTAATTCTTTCTCATAATAAGCACTTTCCATGAACTCTTTGAACGACCGTTGTAATTTAAACTGCGTTTGGATTTCTACCTAAAGTAGGGTAATAAAGTATCCCAGTTTGCCTGAAACTCCCAGTTCTGCATCCTGGGAAAGTTTCTCTTCCAGATGTGAAGAATCCAGGCTTTGGGGGATAGGCATGGAAGTTTGGGAGAAAGGTACAAAACCCATCAGCACCTTCAAACATAGGGGCTGAAGGCAACACTATTTTTAGTGTCAAATTGATAATGGCACACATTATCCACCTTCCATTGCTGCAGTCACTGTTTTTCCCCAACCACTGGCGCTGGCAACTGTAATTTGGGGCTAACAATAATAGCTAATTAACTGTTGATTTTCTTCAAGTGATGCATCCTAAATGGGCAACTTAAGTAGATTGCAATCATGATTATTAACAATCTGTCTTTGAGTTGGCCAGTAGATTAATTTTTGAGTTGTATTAAGATAGAGAAGTTTTAAGTTGTTAAATGTTAAATATCATAAATATCACTTTAAGAGAGATATGCCATTGACTTTACCCCACGGATATCAATGATATATTTAAATAAGGAAAAAAGTTCTCAGAGGATTGGGAGAGAATAACTTCTATCCATTGGAGATGTATTTGTGGATATGCTAGTAGTGGAATAGGGTTAGTTTATTTGCCTCACTCGATTTTGGATGAAAACAAATGGGATCTGAATTTCCGTGAGATTAATATATTCCTTTAACTACATCCTAGTTCTGTGTGACTGTAAGCCTCAGAAGATCAAAATGGCAACTATTTAACCAGCAATATCTGTGGTTAATTTTCATGATGAACAAGACAAATGTGAAAAAATGCCACGGAAAATGGTATTATGTTTAATGGTTTAGATTTAGAAGTATTTTCATTTAAGTAGCATGTGGCATTGAACTTAATTTATATAAAAATATGAGTGAAATTTATGTTTTACTTCTACAGGCGGTTACATTTTGACTGAGGGAGATGCTTTTGCAGTGCTGTTCCTTGGGGCCTTGCTACTACTAAATGAATATCTGCCATATATTTCGAGATTTTTCTATGCTTTGATTTACCATGGATGGTTTGTGTAAATAATTTTCAAATTCTAAATACCAACATAGGAGAGCCTTATCCAGAGCTGGTTAAATATTTAAGAACCAGCTCTCAAAACTCTATGTGTGTTTATATATAAATTTTACTGATATTAGAATGTATACCAATAACTTATAAATAATAATAAAATACACAATGCTATTTATCATAAATTCTATATAGCCAATTGAGTCTTGCTATATTCTAGCTATATGAACATTTTTTCCTGATTTTTGCTAAATTTGTATATCTGTATCCAGCTTATAGTTGAAATTTGAACATAGTTTTATAAATAAAGTTGCATCCTAATCCCCTAATTTTTTTTTCAAAAAAATTGTTGTAATTAAATTTGTGGGCTACTTTAAAACTTTCCCATTCTTATGCAAATTATATTCATTAAACTAAAACCTCTTTTAGCTTCAGCACTTGACATGGTGCACTTTTAAGTTAAATCTGAATTATTAACATTTCTTCATCACTTTCTTAAGTGATGAAGAAAATGTTTCATTTTGAGGAAAAGGATTGTTTTGCTCGACAATCACATGAACCTCTGTTAGCGTTTATAGATGTAGATTTACAAGGGGTAAATATTCCCATGATTGCCAGTTACCATTTACTAACATAATGTCACTCAGTGCAGTTAAAAGAGATGCACAGTAGCACATCATTGTATGACATTTTTAGTATATGGATATAGTAGATGTAAAACTGTAAGGCATAGGTAATAGTAAAATACAGTGAAATAATTAGTTTTACTATTATATTTACTATGTATTTTTAATATTTACTTTTATTTTAATATAAGATATTTAATTGTAAGTTTGTGTAATTCAATTTTTTCATAATGGCTGTGTTTAACAATAGGCTTGCAACATTCCTGAAAATTTAACAGTTGGCTCTTGTGAGCCAATACAAACTTGCTCCAGAACATTATTGGCCTAATCTGAAGAGGCTTATTTAATCTGAAGAGGCTTATAAATAAAAATGCCCCACTTCCAAGCACCTCCATCACTACCACTCCATCCAGGCTACTGGCCTTCCTTTCTAGAATTATGGCTTAGCCTCCACTCTGTCCTTCTGGCTCGCACTTTGGCCCATTGGTCCACTTCCCACACTACAGACAGAGTGATCCTTTTAATGGATATACTGGATCATAGCACTTTTCTTTTCTTTTCTTTTCTTTTCTTTTCTTTTCTTTTCTTTTCTTTTCTTTTCTTTTCTTTTCTTTTCTTTTCTTTTTGAGACAGAGTCTTACTCTCTTGCCCAGGGTGGAGTGCAGTGGCACAATCACAGCTCACTGCAGCCTCGACTCCAGTGATCCTCCCACCTCAGCCTCCTGGGTAGTTGGGACTATAGCCACGTGACACCATGCCTGGCTAATTTTTTTGTTTTTGCAGGGATAGGGTTTCACCATGTTGCCCAAACTAGTCTTGAACTCTTGGGCTCAAGAGATCCACCCCCCTGGGCCTCCCAAATTTCTTGGATTACAGGCATGAGCCACTGAGCCCAGCCTCCTTTTATCAAAGTTCTTTATTGTCTTCCTTTCTTACTCAGAATTGAACTCAACATTCTTGTCACCATTGCCTCTTTGACATAGCTCTAATGACCTCTGCATTCTGTTTCCTACTAATTCCCCACCATTTTGCTCTCATCTGTTTTGCCTTCTTGGGATTCTTCTCACACATCAGAGAACCTGCCTCAGTGCATTTTGTACTTTGCTTTCTTGGCCTGGCATGCAGGGACCTCCAACTTGCACACTCCTTAAATTGCCTGCTCTCCAACCTAATGTTACTTTCTCAAAGAGACCTCCCTGCCTATCCAAGTCAGAGCACACTCAAAAACTCTAGACTGCCTGTTTTCTTTCCCCATACTCTACATCTCATTGCTCTTCATAGCATGGTTCAGAACCTACCATGTTAATTTTCCATCTCCCCAACAAGAACATAGATTTCATGAAAGAAAGGACTTTGCTTTATTCATCGTGGATCTCCAGAGCCTAAAAAACTATCTGACATAGATAACTGATAAATATTCATTAAATTCATGCATGGATCCTTATTAGAATTGACTCTGAACTGTGTTCACTTTAGGTGAATTCCATCACTGTTTCTCTCAGCATGAGGGTGGTTCAGTGGCAAGAAGGTGTCAAGTCCAACTCATAAAGTGAGGCTGTGTTCATTCAGAGGGGTACCGCTTTCTAATTCTCACAAAGGCACAATATGAGCTGGTGACAGTCCTAATTTCATCCTATTGACAGATATAATTTTATGTCTTTAATGTCTTCCTCATTGCACCCCAAATCTTCTAGTGGTTTGGAACAACTTATATATGCTATTCTCTTCTCTTGGGGACACATGGATATGACTAAGTAACCATATCATACTTGTATGCAGGGTGAGTCTGTGTGTAACCAAAAGTTGAAAACATCGGCTGGGCACGGTTGCTCAGGACTGTAATCCCAGCACTTTGGGAGGTCGAGGCGGGTGGATCACCTAAGGTCAAGAGTTTGAGACCAGCCTGACCAATATGGCAAAACCCCGTCTCTATTAAAATTACAAAAATTAGCCGGGCATGGTAGCATGCACCTGTAGTCCCAGCTACTTGGGAGGCTGATCGCGCCACTGCACTCCAGCCTGGGCGACAGAGTGAGACTCCGTCTCAAAAAAAAAAAAAAAAAAAATTGAAAACATATTTGAAGAGATTGGTACATTGCCAATACTAAAGAAAAGGGAATAAGTGAAAGAAGTTAAGCAAGGTCATAACATATAAAGAATATTAAGTGAAATATAAAAAGAAATCAAGTCAAATGTTTTTCCCTAGCACGACCCCAAGACAAAATTAGGTCTAAAGACATAGAAAGCAATTAAAACTCATTGTAGTGACTGTGCTCATAGAATATTTGTAAACAGCCTATTTCCTTTAGGCCTCAGTTTCATTACCTGTGAAGCAGGCATTGTAGTATTGATCTCCTCAGAAAGAGTTATAAAAATCAGATACTGTCTGAAAACTGGTATTGTTATTATGATTATGATTATGATTATGATTATTTTTGAGATAGAGTTTCTCTTTGCTGCCTAGGCTGGAGTGCAGTGGTACAATCACAGCTCACAGCAGCCTCCACTCAACTGGACTCAACTGGACTCAACTGATTCTCCAACTTCAGCCTCCCAAGTAGCTGGGACCACAGGTGCATGCTACCACCTGGCTAACTTTTTTTATATTTGTAGAGACAAGGTGTCACTGTGGTGGCCAGGCTGGTTTGGAACTCCTGACTTCAAGTGATCCTTCCTCCTCAGCCTCCCAAAGTGCTGGGATTACAGGCATGAGCCACTGTACCTGGTCCTGAAAATTAGTATTATTAACCTTAAGGATATGTTTCATAAATTCATTTAAATATTTATTAAGTGGGCATTTTTATGAAAGGGAAAGTTTACTTTAGACTTTAACAATGCTTGTTTTGGTCTTCACATTTTCTTTTTCTTTTTCTTTCCTTTTCTTTTTTTTTTTTTGAGATGGAGTCTTGCTCTGTCGCCCAGGCTGGAGTGCAATGGTGTGATTTTGGATCACTGCAACCTCTGCCTCCTGGGTTCAAGCAATTCTCCTGCCTCAGTCTCCCAAGTAGCTGGGATTACAGGCGCCCACCACCATGGCTGACTGATTTTTGTATTTTTTAGTAGAGACGGGGTTTCACCATGTTGGTCAGGCTGGTCTCAAACTCCTGACCTCAGGTAATCCACCCACCTCGGCCTCCCAGAGTGCTGGGATTACAGGCGTGAACAACCATGCTCAACCCGACATTTTCATTATTAACAATTATTTCTTAAAGATCACTTAAGAAAATGTGAGTTTTTTTTCAGAGAATAAGTATGTTCATACTTCTAGATGTATTCTCCATTTATGTTTTACCCACAATATGAAAGTCACCTATGCTTAACAATTTCCAAAGACAGCTTGATGTTTCCAAGAAGTCCCCTTTTAAGTGTGGCCTGTAAGACCTTGCCCAGGTGGCTTATCTGATGGTCTTGGCGAGACTCTGGCCTGGGCAGTAATTCTGGCTCTAACATTTCTGCTTGAAGCACAAAGAAACTGTAGGCTCATTTCCCAGAGGATGGGGGAAGTTGTAGCTCTAACTGTTTAAAATTGGATTTTATTGGGTAATGTTTCAAAGCGCTCACTTTGCATTTCTGCTTACAAAGCTGAACATTCAGCCAAAATATTGGAAAGGAAATACTCAGGCAGAATGAAACGACTGAGGAGGCTTGAAAAGTGGGGAGCCGAGCCAAGAATGACAAAATAAAAGGGGCACATTCCAGAAGGAGACGTGAAAGAGAAAACTGTTTTTAGCACATCAGTTAGAGCCTTCTTTTCCCACATCCATATCCAAACCTTGGGAATAACTAATGTTTTAGTTGGGTTTTTAGCTTTTCTTCTCATATACTCACTTCAAATCTCATGCTAACACATTAAAGAAGGCTTTGCCGGCCCATCTGGGGCAACCCAAGCCTTTAATTCAAGTTGGCTTTTACCATTTCATGGCAGGTGCCAAGGATGGAGGTCACGTGAAGGTTTTCTACCCTCCACTCTGGAAACATGAAATAAAATTACTTTAGCATTGATGCAATGAACAAATATTCCTGTCAGATGCGATCACCATCTGAGACACAAGTCTGGGAAGTATTTTACATCCCATAACATGACTTTGAGGGTGAGCACATGTATTTGTTTATCTCCCATGAAGGCAACTTTATTTATACGCTATTGATTTTTTTGTGAACTATTCTGCTCCTTGAAAAACTCCATTTATTTGATTATAGGAAGCAAATCTCCCCCACACTACCAGAGTGGATTATTTAGAAATGGCTGAGAGCAACCATAGAGACAGCTCAAGAAGCTAGTCTACAAAGGCAGGTCAGGAGGCAGCACAGAACTGAATGGAAGTGCGTTGCACTGGGCAGACAGAGAGGTTTGGATGAACTGACTTCAGTGAGGTTTCCCACTTGGGAAATTTTGCTGATAGTGACTCACTTGTGCTCCTAATTCTCCCACTTTATCTGTTTGTGTGGGGTGTGTATATGTGTGCTCACGAACACTCATATGTGTATATGCATGCATTTCTCTTATAAAGCCATCTTTAATAATTACAACCATCTTCCCACCTTTGAGAAGATTCCAAACTACATTCAGAAGAAGCAAACAGTTTTTGAGGTGTTACCTCCATCATACCAAGAGGATGGATTTCAAATCTTTTTGCAGTCACTTGGAGAGAGTTGACTTCTTTTGCAAGTCTCTTGCATTGTTAAATATCCCACAGAAATGAAACTTGAAAGGGTAAAAGCAGAAATGATCCTTTGTGCTTAAGACACTGAAGAAAATAAATTGTATGGAAACAATAAATGATTAATTTGAAAACAAAGCAACGACTTTTTCTTTTTCTCTCAGATATGGTAGCATCTCCAAGTGGTTTCTGTGGAGGAACTATATTTCAGAGAATATGAATTCACAGACTGTACAAGGTGATTATTTTTAATGCATCTATCTATCTTGAATTATCATAAAGTCATAGAATGTAAAAGGAACTTGATTATCTAGTAAAGTTCTTATTCTTTATTTTGCTTCTTTTAGAAACAAAAACCACTTGTCATTTACTAAAATATCTTCAGATAAAGAAACTAGATATTGCTCTTGGAAACAATAATGCAGCCTTTTGTAATGTCTTCAAGTCAGTACACATTTATTGCGAAATTAAACTGTGCTGGGGACACAAAAATCAAATTAGACATTTTCTTATTTATGTATGCATTCATTTAAAATATTTATTGGCTGTCTACAATGTGCCAGAATGGTTTTGAGGCAATAGGGGTACAGGAGTGAAAAAGGTAGACCTAGTTGCTGCCTTCATGAAAATTATAGTACATTGGAGAAAAAGGACATTAAAAATATAATATAATGACAGGCAGTGAAAAGTGCTGTGATTACAAATAAAGCGGAATGAGGGGGTTAAGAGTGATGGAGACAGACTCCTATTTTAGATAGGATGGTCCAGGTAGGTCTCTCTGGCAAGATGACATTTAAACAGAGATCTGAATGTGATGAGAAACAGAAGACATTCTAGGGAGAGGAAACGGAATAAGGGAGGGGGAGAGACCAAGGATAGTTCCCATAACCAGTGGTTCTGTGTGGATAGAAGTTGAAGTCATGCAAAATTACAGAAGTAGAGACAGGAAAGGGATGTGGGAGAATATTTGTAGGGCTTGTAAACTGCACTGAAGAGTTTAGATTTTTCCTAAAATCCAAAAGGCAGTGTAGAATTGAAGAAGTCTAGGGAGAGATAAGACCAAGCCAGGGCAGTTAGCTGGTTACTCTGACAGTAGTATGAAGATTAGGAAGAGTAAAGGAACATCGTGCATTCATTTTATATGGTACAAAGCAGAGGTCTTCAGACATTTTTGTTCTTTTCTCCCCAAAAAAGTAATTTTGAACAATATGTAAACAAATTTTATAGTGATTTTAAATACTGCCAAATATATAATTTCCAACATCCTCAAAATATTGGCATTTAAAAGTAATTATTTTACTCAATTAAAATATGCAGTAGAATATAAACGCCAGTGTGATTTGATTTCCACCAACATCCATTTAAAAATACACACTAAGTTGTTTTTCACTCTTTTTATATTATCACCTTTCTCTTTGAACTTCTTCCACCATAATTTTACCATAAAGTGTTTTTATGATTTGGAGATGTTTTATAGATAACTGTCATATGTTGTGCAACACACATGCACATGCACACACATGCACACACATACACAAACACACTGTTTATAATATGCATTAATTTTAGTTTTCTGTGACCAAAATGATTTCAATTGAAAAAACTTCTTCTGGATTAAGTGACTATTACATTGTTTATTAGTACACGATTCATCAAGCAACATAAACCAACGATAGTATGAGTAATAATAGCATCAATCCCCCACATGGTCCTTATCACATGGCAGCCACTGCTCCTCATGCTGCCCTTATTTTCCTTTTCTTTTTTTTTTTTTTGAGACAGAGTCTCCCTCTGTCACCAGGCTGGAGTGCAGTGGCACAATCTCGGCTGACTGCAACCTCTGCCTCCAGGGTTCAAGCGATTCTTCTGCCTCAGCCTCCCGAGTAGTTGGGACTACAGGTACATGCCACCACACCCAACTAATTTTTGTATTTTTAGTGGAGATGGGGTTTCACCATGGTGGCCAGGATGGTCTCAATCTCCTGACCTCATGATCTGCCCGCCTCGGTCTCCCAAAGTGCTGGGATTTCAGGCGTGAGCCATCGTGCCTGGCCTATTAATTAACTGAAATCCTCACAACCACCCCATGAGGCAGCTCAGAAATCTTGTTCAGAGAAATAAGGAGGTGGGAATGGAGAGACTTCTGCCAGAGCAATGTCTTTGAAACTCTTCAGTGCCACATGCCAAAATCAAACAGCAAACTGTCATCAAAGAGTATCTTTAACAATCTATTAGCCAATTCAATTAGTTACTCCTTTAATGTTTGATAGGAAAATATTTGAAAGTGCTCAACCTGCTAAAAGATTTGTTACATGGGAACCATGGTTACCAATCACAGGGGAGTCATTATACCCGTGACAAGGCACTGCAGACGACTCAGGGGGTTGAGAGGTTGGCCTTTTCTTTGCTAAGGGAGGGAAGGGCAATTCACCAAGTAGATAGCTGAAATATTCTACTTTCTCAAGAAGATAGATTTTAGGGAAGATGACTACGGAAGCTGAAGATGTAGAAACCAACTCCCTTAAACACCTTACTGCTCTTGTTTCTCTCAGAAAGCCTTTCTGTACTACCAGGGCGATGTGTACTCAATCCTCAGACACCTGGTTAATCCCAGTCTCTTCCATTGCCCCTTTGCCAGGGCCTTCTTGGAAGGCTTACTCAATGTTCCTCCAAACTATCCTTTCTGGTGCTTTTCTTGTCCTTAAGACAATTTGCAACCTTTTAAAACTTTGCTCTGCACAATTTAGGCAATTGAGTTCCTAGGACATTAAATGGCTCTCTCATGCCATGACTTGAAACTGGAGACCTGATTTTTATTATATTGATCAGCTCTTTTAATGATGTTCAATCATTGACAGGTTAATTTATGTTTTTTTTAAATTAGAACATCAATACATTTTTTTTGTCACTGCAAAACAGCAATCGTCACATTTTAAAAGGGAACAAACTGTGAGTAAATGTGGGTGATGGTGGGGGGCATTTCTGAAATCATTGTGAATGTAGCTGCTATTTAGTATCTTATCAGCCAAGAAGCAAATTTTTAAAAATTGCAATAAAGAAAACAGACTTTCCTATTTCTACCTTTGGAATTCTAGAACCATTTCAAAATCATATTGATAAAAAATAACTTATTTAAATTTCAACAGCCTACATTCCTACTAGAAGACACATATTTCTTGAAGGATACATCTTGATATATGAATTTATATATAGAAGGTTTCAGAGCTTGCTGGTTGAATGATCTGTTGGAACATGACCATTTTTATTAAACTGCCATATTTTAAGTTATCCAACAGTTATGTTTATAGTGTAAAATCTCATTGGGGACTTTACATGTTTCCACAGGTCGAGTGGTAGAAAATTGATTGCCGTTGTTTCATTTGACAAATTCTTGGATCTTTACATATTTTCTTGCATTTACTCATCACTAGGAAATGGACTGTTGTTACTTGCCAGGCCTTTGCTGAGAGAAGGAAACAGAGTCCTTTTGAAAGCTCTGGGTGATGTTTGTGAATATTTAATCATGGAGAAGGTACAATGGCCTCATTTACAGTGATACATCAAAATTAATTTCATGGTATTTTGTCAAGGAAAGACTCTTAACCATATGCCTTCAAATAAAAATAAATTAGTTGCAAAACTCTGACAAGGAATTTATCTAATTCTGCAAAGTCTTTGGATGCAAGATTTCCTTAAACAAAAATAGAATCATTCATGCAAACATGATTGAGTTCAATTTATTTCTGTTGTTCAAAAGGAATCAGAAAAAAAAGCATTTCTGTCTTCTGATGCTTCCAAACTCAAACTGAGTGTCTTTAATTGAGTCTCATGTTTTTATTAGAAATACATTAAATGCAAAATTAAGTAGAAAGAGAGAGAACCACACAAACATAGAAGGATGTTAAATACTTGGATTGGAGACAAAGTGAGCAGATCCTTCAAGTACAACATCCATTTCCTGGACCCAGAACAACACTGTATATTACTGAGTCACTCAACCCATCTTTAAAGGCAATCTCAGAGAAAAGAGCCTAGCTCCGTCTGAACTCACGGAACATTAATCAATGCTGAATAATAAACCTCACTGCGTGGTTCAGTAAACATATGGACTAAAAGTGGTTTCATGGATGAATTTCTTGTACACATTTTATTTTTTGCCATGTGATGTTTTAAAATCATGTATACAGTCAAATTTATCAGTTTTTGAAATTGTACTTGGATTTTCTTGAACTTAGATTCTAAAGAAATTTACTCACGGTTTCTTCTAGTACTTGTATGGTTTCATGTTTTGCACATTTGGAGTGTATTTTATGAACATAGTGAATCTGAGGTTACATTTTTCCAAATAGCTATCCAGTTTCCTCCACACCATTTATTAAAAAGAACATTTTTTTCTCATTGCTTTGAGATGGCACCTTAATTGCTTCTAAATTTCCACAAACAGGCTTGAGTCTGTTTCTGCGTATTCTATGCTGTTTCTCTGGTATGTCTGTCTAGGTATGCTCTAGTATCACTGTTTTAATTATAGAGCCTTTACAGGATGGTTTCACGCTGGATGGGGCTAGTCCCTTCCTCACTTCTTTTTTTTTTTCAAGGTGTTCTTAGATATTTCTGCATGTTTCTTTAGGAGGATTCAATCATAGGGGTAAAGTATCAGAATTTCTGTACCTAACTCCCAAATAAATACATGTAAATGTATACATACAGAGAGAGATGAAGCAAATGTGGCAGAATGGTGTCAAGTGATGGCTCACTGAAGGGCATATGGGTGTTTATAGAATTCTTGCAACTTTTCTCATGCTTTAAAAAATTTCAAAATAAAATGTTGGGAGAAAATCAAAGAAAAAAGTTGGAGAGAAGTTAAAGTGGTTACCATTTATGCTTTGGAAGAGGGTGGACAGACATGGGAGTGGGAAAGTGGCTCTTCAGCGTGTACTTTAAAATAATATTTAGGCTGGGCACAGTGGCTCACTCCTGTAATCCCAGCACTTTGGGAGGCCTAGGCAGGTGGATCACCTGAGGTTAGGAGTTCGAGACTAGCCTGGCCAACATAGTGAAACTCCGTCTGTACTAAAAATACAAAATTAGCTGGGCGTGGTAGCATGCACCTGTAGTCCTAGCTACTCTGGAGGCTGAGGTAGGAGAATCACTTGAACCCGGGAGGCAAATGTTGCAGTGAGCTGAGATGGAGCCACTGCACTCTAGCGTGGGTGATAGAGTGAGACTCCATCTCAGAAAAAAATATATATATAAAAGAAATAATATTTTGTTTTATTTTGAGCAATCTAAATGTATCAGTGATTCAAAGGAAAACATAAATCAAGTGAAAATTAATATAATTACCTCAAAATATGGAAGCTATGAAATGAATTTCAGGCTAATATCAAATTTGGCCAGTGTTAGAATTGGGAAATTTAAACGGTGTCATAAAATTCTTGAGGAATAACACACACTGGGACCTTTCACTGGACAGAGGGTGGTAGAAGGGAGAAGATCAAGAAGAATAACTAATGGGTACTAGGCTTACCACCTGGGTGATGAAATAATCTGTACAACAAACCCCCATGACACAAGTTTACCTATGTAATCAACCTGCACTTGTACCCCTGAACTTAAAATAGAAGTTAAAAAAATAGAAATTCGTGTACATAAGTTATAAGTTATAAAAATAAAATTCTTGAGGATGGATGAGCCAAGGGAGTTCTTCTGGGGGTCTGCCTCTTCCTGGTCCAGGGACCTACTGGTTGAGAGGAGCTGGGAGCCAGGTGGCATCTCACTCCCAGAGGAGGCATCCCTGGAAACTTAGAAAACTTTTTCATCTAGAGATGACAATTCTGACTCCTTTTCCCACTTTCATCCTTCTCTTTCCCACTCTCTAGAGATTTCTGTATTTATTAAAGGCCAACCAACTTCCATCAGGTGGAGTCCTGTGTACCATGTGTCCTTGTGGTGGAGTTGACGCATGCATATGCACATTTGCACACCTCCAACATCACTTCTGTCTTTGTTCCACTTTTCAAAGCAGACATTCTGAGGAGAGGGGGCAAGAAATCCTTCCTAGTTGTCAAGCTAGCTGGCACTACTGCTCTCTCTCAGCTAGGTTTTTTTTTTTTTTTCCTCCCTGGAATTCTATTGTCTTGCTTCTTATTCTTCATCTGATTACAGCTCTCCTTCATTCAGGTCTCAGGATAGACTTCACTTGTTCTGAAAATTTGGTCTATATTTTTCAAGATCTTGTTATCTGTTCTTTCCATGTACTCCTATAGTCCTTGGGATAAGGACAGCATAGGACATTTTGTGGTGTGTTGTAATTACCTAATGATGCCTAACATTTACTGAGCACTCACTATATGCTCAGGGCTTAAATGTACTATTTGATTTCCACATCAATCCCATGAGGTAGGAGACACTTTGACCTGTATTTTACAGAAGAGGAAAGTCGGCTTAGAGAAACGTAGTCACTTGTTGTGACGGGCAGTCTTTAGGGTGGCCTCCAATGATCCCCACCTTCTGGCATTCACAGTCTTGTGTAGTCCCCTTCCCTTGAAAGTGGGGCTAGTAACTTTCTCCTAGACAACAGAATACAGAGAAAGTGGTTAAATGTCACTTCTGTGATTTGATTATAGAGGACTGTGACATGTATCTTGGTGGCAGAGTCTCTCTAATGCTTTCTGAGCTTGTACCCTTTGATAAAACAAGAGAGTATGTTGGAAAGGCTCATATGGCAAGGGACTGGGGGTGCCCTCTGGCTAACTGCAACCGAGATCCTCAGTCCAACGATCCTCAAGACTTGAATACTGTCAACAACTGCACGAGTAAACTCAGAAGTAGATGCCTCTGCTGTTGAAACTGCAGATGAGACTTTACTCTTGTGTATGATTGTAGCTTTGTGAGAGACCTCAAGAAAGAGGGCTCAGTTAAGCTATGCCCAGATTCCTCACTCAGAAACTGTGAGATAATAAATTTGTGTTGTATTAAGCTGCTGCATTTTGGAGAAAAGGCAGATAACTTTGGGTAACTGATAGATAACTTAGCAATAGATTGCTAGCAATAGACAACTAATACACTTGACTTAGATCCCACAGGTAGAAAGAGTACAGGGTTAAAATCCAGGGCCTCTGATTCCCTCAATGAATACTTATGTCATGCTGCCTGGTTACTTACCAATTATTATTATTATTTTCATTTCAAACTTGTTCTGACTTTAATTCCTGGCATTTAGCCTGAATCTGGTATTTTGTGCGTCCTTGACAGTTATGAAATGAAAAGTGGGTCCATGAAACACAAAATATTGTATGGTAAATTAGCCAATCAAAGCAACATTTTTAAACTTTGTATTTCTTAAAATTGAGAAAAGAGAGTCCGGGCATGGTGGCTCATGCCTGTAATCCCAGCATTTTGGGAGGCCAAGGCGGGGGGATCACGAGGTCAGGAGATCGAGACCATCCTGGCTAACACAGTGAAACCCCTTCTCTACTAAAAATACAAAAAAATTAGCCAGGTGTGGTGGCGGGCGCCTGTAGTCCCAGCTACTCGGGAGGCTGAGGCAGGAGAATGGCATGAACCTGGGAGGCAGAGCTTGCAGTGAGCCAAGATCGCGCCACTGCACTCCAGCCTGGGTGACAGAGCGGGACTCCGTTTCAAAAATAAAAAAAAAATAAAAATCGAGAAAAGAGAAGAGCTACACATAGCACAATTATTCTTGGAACTATTTTGCACTTCTGTGTGCTGACTGTTATGTTAGGTTGCATGGTTAATTTTAACATCTCTCTACACTAGAACATGGATTGGGTACCACACTTGGGCCCTGATTTGAAATTAATTACTTTATCAAACATTTGTTAAACAACTTTGAAATTTCTGCCTATGTGCCAAGCCCTTGAAACACAAAGCTGGGTAAAACAGTGTAAGGGCAAGGACAAATACAGATAGTGACATCATTGCATGATCTGATAAGTGATTTAATCACAATTTGAACAAAGAACTGTGGGAATAAAATACAGAGGATAACCTTCCTTCAGTGGTCTCCCTGTTTCTTTCTCTCTCATTTTCTCTGTCTACACACATGTGCACACTAACACATGTATTGATATCATTCCGGCTAATTCAGAAAATCATAAATGTTCACTCAAGAGAGTTAAGATTTTACTCAATGATTGTAATTGTAAAGTGACTATGAGAAAAAGTTCAAGTGAAAGGACTTGGCTGATCTGAAGTAGGGTGTTATCAATTTTAATGAATCATTGAGCAACAGGTTTAGAGAGGACATTAAAAGAGATGACACACAAATATAAACCAGAGAATTGCCAATTGAAGGGAACAACCAGAAATGCAATTTAAAGTGGTGTTCTTTTGATGTTCAAAGTAACTTTTGGTGATTTTTACACACAGAGAAAAAGAAAACATTTTTTCCCTACTCAAGGTACTGCCATACAAAATAATCAAAAGGAAAAAGTATCACTTTTAGGTAGCCATTTTCTACACCTCAATCAGATTAAAGGTCTATTTTTCATCGGTTTACTTAGAGTGAATTTGCACTGCTGCATGGTGTTGTTAGTCTTTGTTGGATACCATAAGGTGTCTCCCAAGAACTTAGGAATAATGAAAATAAAATTGTTCCCTGAGAGCTAAACTATGAGCCAAACAAATAATAAATAAAAGTAGAGAATCACAGTTACCTTAAATAGACAAAAGAGCTCCCAGGACTGCAAGACTTGATTGTAACCTGCCTGAATGTATTAGAGTACTAAGAAAGAATATAGTCTCAACTGATGTCTGCACAGCCATGGGAAGATAAGGGAAAAGAAAGTCTCAGAGCAATATGGGCATGCCATTTATGCATGGTCCTGGCTAGGGAGTAAGAGCATCCTTTTGAGTAGGATATGTCTAGCTCTTACACATCAGATTAATCTCCCAAATCCTTGTTGTGTTCTCTTTACATGATCAGGAAGGAAATCTCCAATTGTGATCTGGCTTCCTGCAGGGGTTAAGGTAAACAAGGCAGACCCTGAGAAGAGGCGAAGGCAGAAAGTATCAGTTGGTTGAAGAAAGATAGTATCAGTTGTTGAAGAAAGAATAGAAAGCATGGGCCAGGCCGGGTGGCTCACACCTATAATCCCAGCACTTTGGTAGGCTGAGGCAGGTGGATCACGAGGTCAGGAGATCGAGACCATCCTGGCCAATATGGTGAAACCCCGTCTCTACTAAAAATACAAAAATTAGCTGGGCGTGGTGGCACGTGCCTGTAGTTCCAGCTACTCGGGAGGCTGAGGCAGGAGAATCGCTTGAACCTGGGAGGCAGAGCTGGCAGTGAGCAGAGATTGCACCACTGCACTTCAGCCTGGCGACAGAGCATGACTCCATCTCAAAGAAAAAAGAATAGAAAGCATGAGTAGTGATTACAGACATAAATTTCAGTAGCCCACTGAAGAAATATTCTGTGATTTAATGTCAGTCTTTTTAAAGTCACAATTTACAGCAACCTTTTTCTCCCTTAGAATTTAAACATGCTTAATCCCGTTTCATCTCAAACAATAAAATAAAAGAGACATGCCACCTCCACTTTTTCCAACACCCCTTTCCTGAGTTCCAGCTAACACTGTGAAAGCAAGGTGTATGTTTCTTAAGTATTCATTTAAGTTCTTGGGTTTATTTACATATTGTTTCTCCCTGGCATTAATCAGAGTATTGTTTGAATTTTCCAACGGTATTTCAGTTACACTCTGTTGATTCAAAAGAAGGTTGTTTGTCCAAGCTTGTCCAAGTCAGTTTCAAGAGGCTCAGCCACCAAAAGTTTCATCAAAGAGGAAGCCAAGGTCATCAGTAAAGCCTCACGAGAGGTAGGATCACAGGGGTGAAGTGGACACTCACGGGTCCTGCCATCCTTGGCATCAGGAAAGTCTCCATTCTGGACCACCTTTGTCTGTCTGAACAATTCCTCTCAGATTTTAGAGTCTGGAAATTTCCTGAGTAGCTTAAGAGAAGATAAGAGTCAAAGTTTCCAAACTGTAGAAATAACCCAAATGCATGGCTCCTTTTATTTCCACAAATTTGGCCAGAGACATGACAATTTGGGCAACTTTGTGCAATGTTTTACATTTAATGATTTTTATGACCCAAACTCTGCTAGGCAGAATAGTATAAGCATTTGTAATCCGTACTGAAATAATCCATCTGGCATAAAATCCAAATTTCAAAATTGGATGAGATTGTGTGTTCTGGGCCTACCAAGATAGTTATTACACACATGAGAACTCAAAATACTAAAGCTACTGGTAGAAACAATTGCTCTTCTCCTTGCTGTAAACATGAAAGTGAGAAGCAGCAAAGAACGATCAACAAATTAACACCCTTTTCATATTTTTTGTGACAGCTACCTGGAACGGGCAGGAAAGAAAAATGCAGATAAGAAAATTAAAACCACAGACTCCTGGGCAGCGAACAAGAGCCTTCTGATCCTAATTCGATCTGGAGTTAAGAATGAAGGGGATTTCTGTAGCAGTTTCTTTTGCATAGCAGAGCTCCGACTTTTCCAGC
This sequence comes from Homo sapiens, assembly GCF_000001405.40. Taxonomy (NCBI): domain Eukaryota; kingdom Metazoa; phylum Chordata; class Mammalia; order Primates; family Hominidae; genus Homo; species Homo sapiens. Next base: position 29,748,998 of record NC_000021.9, read on the forward strand.
AACAGCGTGTCCCTGGAAGCTACACAAAGTCCTCTTTGATTGCCTGTGATCAAAGCCACGAAGGCTCTCCTGCAACATCTTAGCTTCAGAAAGCCAGGAAAATCAGAATGCTGAGAGTATATTAATAATTCCTAAACATATTTTTAAGGTGAGTGGTACTTCTAACAGAGCTTCATTATTACTAAAAATGATTTGTTTCTGACTTTCCTGTTGGGGAAAAAGTTAGCCTTAACTTTCTGATGAGCAAGTTGCATGTTACAGTGGATATTGAACAATATAGTCAGTTGTTTTACTCAGAATTTATGCAGCTGATCACATAGGGACAGGACTGGATGATAGAAAGCTCACTAGACTGGAAGTCAGGAGAATCAGCTTTGTCACCGATCTAACGTAGCATAGTGGACGTGTCTAATAGCCTTGGCCTCAGCATCTCCATCTGTGAAATGGGCTGAAGGGCTTGAGCTCTCTGTTACTTCTTTGGGATGTGGTAGTTAAGAAGGCTCCCATTGGATTCCACATACCCTTGTTTATAGCCATGGCTGAATCTTCACAAGACTGCCAAATCCCAAGCTGCCTCCTCTTCTGTACCATTTCTGCCACATTTGGGTCTTTATCAGCAGGAGAGTGCAGACACTTTAATGTGAATTCATGTGCAGCATTTGACCGAGGATTATTTCTACTTTTTAAAAGGCAGCAAGCAAAAACATGCAACTTGATATATGGGGGTGGGAAGGATCATATTTTAAAGTCAGAAGAACTGCTTATATATTTCAACTATAAAATTTATTATCTGTGTGAATTTCATTAAATTATTTAACTCCTCTGAGTCTCAATTTCTTATCTGTATAATAAAACCTAGTCCGCATATTGCAATGAAGTTAAAAAGACAGTCTGTTTATGAAAAGTGTAAATTTCTATTTAATATCAAAAGTACGTAATCTAAATTGTGAAGTCTTTATTATTTTTACTATTTATTTTTATTTATTTATATATTTCATGAATATTAGTAGTAGTTGTTATAGAAGAGTATTAGTAGTATTAGTTGTAGGGACAAGAACCAACAAACTATTTTTTTAATGATGGCATTTCATATACAATGAGGAATCAGGGTAGAAGAATTAATTGAGGAGAGGGAAGCATCTTTTTGCGGCAATTAAAATATGTACAATCATACCTAAACTAGTCACCCTATTTTTAGTTCCTTCTCTCCCTTCCTTCTCTCCCTCCCTTCCTTCCCTTCCTCCCTCCCTCCCTCCCTCCCTCCCTCATTCCTTTATTCCTTCCTTCCTTGCTGTCTTGCTTTCTTTCTGAATATGTACCTACTCTACATTTGCCAACTCCAACTCTGGATGCATTCTAAAGGAAAGACAAGCCAACCACAGGGTAGAAACATCACCCTGAGCCAGAGCTCTGGGTCAACAGTGACGACAGGAGGCATCTGGTAGGGAGAAAAGATGTAGCAATTTTACCTGGAACTACAAAGATTTGAGACTCAGAATCACGCTGACATTTGGGGACCTAGCAGGGGTGTATAGACAAAATGTGGCACCACATTTGTCTTGAACTACTGATTGCTGAGGCAGATTTTCTTGTAAAGGTAGGACGCCAAGCAGTATGGTCCAATCTCTCCTTGATTTTCTGATGAGGGTCAATAGAGGAGAGAAGGAGAGAGAAGAATTGAGAGAAGCAAAATTTGGAGACCGTTGAAGAGTCAGGCTCTCTTATAGATTCTCAGAAGAAAAAAGAAAACCTGTGATACTGATATATCAAATAAGAGAGGTTTGATATATTATTAGATATCAAATTGATGTATCTAATAAGATAGGTTTGATATTTTCACTCTCGTCCGTGTGAAGAGACCACCAAACAGGCTTTGTGTGAGCAATAAAGCTTTTTAATCACCTGGGTGCAGGCGGACTGAGTCCGAAAAGAGTCAGCGAAGGGAGATAGGGGTGGGGCCGTTTTATAAGATTTGGGTGGATAGTGGAAAATTACAGTCAAAGGGGGTTGTTCGCTGGCAGGCAGGGACAGGGGTCACAAGGTGCTCAGTGGGGGACCTTTTGAGCCAGGATGAGCCAGGAGAAGGAATTTCACAAGGTAATGTCATCAGCTAAGGCATGGACCAGCCATTTTCACTTCTTTTGTGATTCTTCAGTTACTTCAGGCCATCTGGATGTATACGTGCAGGTCACAGGGGATATGATGGCTTAGCTTGGGCTCAGAGGCCTGACAGATACAACATTTGATTATATTTGATATATCTTATTTGATATACCTAATAAGATATATCAAATAAGATAGATAGGTTTTAAATAAGATTAGTTGGCAAGAAAGCTGCCTCACACCACCCCTACTGCAGCCTTTTGCACATTTCTGTCCTTAGCTTACCTCCCTTTCATCTGGTAATAATGGTGGCACTGGACCTTTTTTCCAGATCACCTTCCTTTAGCTGCCTCTTGGTCCACTTTTCCCCTTCAAGGTTGCTCTTGCTGCTAAAGGTTTACCATGACTTTATTTCTGTGGATGGGAATGGGGAGTGAGCGTGTGTTATTATGGAGCCATCTCTTAATGATGTAGTCCTGGGCCCAGGGAGAACTTGCAATTGCATGCTCCATAAGTCCTTCTTTATTTCTTCCATGCACACAGCAGCTTTGCTAATGCCTCTCAGCCTGACACACCCAGTCAATCTGTTACACTCAAGATGGTTTTTACTACAATGGGAGGGAATCTGCATATGTCCTGGTGGGTACTGGTACATCTGATTTTTACATAGGTTGCAAGTAATCTGACCAGTTTGTTAATGACCTTCTAATGTACATTTGCATTATGATTGTTCCCATTATTTGCCATTCCAATTCCACTTACGGGGGTTTTCTTTCGAGACGCTAGCTGTCTTTCCTACCTGCCTGTAACACATTCACAAAGTTAATGAGGACATGTGCGCATGGCAGTGGGTGTCACCATTTTAATTGCTTCCAAATATGGTTAGCATATGTTGTCTCAGTATAGAAAATCTGAATTAAAATGCTAAGCCTTTTTAGTACTGGCAAGAGATAATAGTCTCTAGAGCTAGGGCTCTTCTGAGAAATTCATGACGTCTCCAAAGTTTCCCTCTGGTTCAAGAAGATGCTGGTTTTTCTGAAACAGCTCTTATATACTTTTGATCTCCTTGGACTTTTAACGCTTCTGTAGATAGTGATTTGGTAACTTCCATGAGATAAGGTCAGAGCTAGAATGGGCTGGGACTTGCTTTCATTAGTATGTGTCTAAGCACTTGGTCCAGGAATGATATCCTTAACAGTAGCTTTCCTGTTCAGTCACTTCCCCCTAATTTAACTATAAGAACAAGGAACTTAATTTTGTTGAGGTCTTACAAAAAATTGTATTCTTTGATTATATGCTGTGAGCATGAAGGATGTGTGAAAATACTCAAAAGAGAACGTCTGCTTCTTCTTTGCAAGAAGCTTACTATTTCTTGGATGAGACCAAATGGCCAGAAAAAGGAGCTTAACAATATTGTACAAAGTAAATTCAAAGAAAAAATATGGCCAGGCACAGTGGCTCACACCTGTAATATCAACATTTTGAGAGGCCGAGGTGGGAGGATCACTGGAGGCCAGGAGTTTGAGACCAGCCTGAGTAACATAGTGAGACTCATATCTCTACAAAAAAAAATTAAAAAAATAAAAAATTAGTGAGTGTGGTGGCATGTGCCTGTAGTGCCAACTTCTTGGGAGGCCGAGGCAGGAAGATTCCTTGAGCCCAGGAGTTCAAGGCTACAGTGAACTAGGATCGTGCCACTGCACTCCAACTTTGGATGACAGAGTGAGGCCCTGCCTCCAAAAAAATAAAAAGTATATGTAAGTAGTGCATCTGTTATTGAACAGTACCAGGAAAGGAGATTTCTTAAATGATTGGAGAAGGTGGGAGTGGAGGACTCTGCTTAGAAATGCTGGACAAGTTCAGATTTGATATGACAGGCTGCTCTAGTTCCTATTTGGAGAACCTGAAAAATAATATGCACAGCACCCTATGCTCTTGTCAGATGATATCATGCCAGAGGCAAGAGCTCTTTTTCTGGTGAGTGCATGCATGCATGTGTGTGTGTTTTGAGTTTGCAAGCTGTCTTACTTCATCCATGTTTAGTGGAAAAGAATATTGGCCCACTGTGTAATAACAATTATTAATAGTTAATAACAATTTTATAAAATAAATTATCTAGTGCGATGAAACAAAGGATAGTCTCTTCTTCATGTATAATAAAATATAATTTGATTGAGAAACAAACCCTTCATCTGCATTGTACAAATAGGTGAGAGGTAATTAATGGGAAGATTTTCTTTTTCTCTCTGGGAAAATGAATCACATACTTGGCTTCCTTGGCTGCCTGTCAAGAAAACAACTCTCCACACGCTGAAATATCTTAGAGGCAAATTGGATGCTCAAGACAGAAGCCTGTGACAGAATCAATGTTGGACTCTCCGCAGATGGGGCCAGTGTAGCAAAGCCCTCTGGCATAGATGGGCTTCATATTACTGTTAGCTACCATAAAATTGTCCCTGTGAAACCACAGAAAATTTTACCAACTCCCTTTAGGGCAAGAAAGAGAAATGGGAACAAGAAACAGAAAACAAATCACTCACTCTGTTCTAGAGTATAAAAGCAGATACTGGCAGGCTATTTTTAAAAGTTACCTTTAAAATCATCCCTTTGCTTTATTAAAGAAAGCAGTCTTTGATTTCATGTACAGGTGTATGAAATATTTTTAGGTAAACAGTATGAAGATCTAAGGGAAAAGTCTGTGTGCCTCAGAAGAGGTAATGGTGTGTGCAATTGGATTATTGGATGTTCTGTGCCCTTGTATAATATATATATAATATATAGTTATGTAGATCATATGTACGTTGAGCAAAACTACCTGGATCTGAACATATGGAAATCTCTATGATCCAGTAAGAGGTATTGGGATCCTTTTTCTTAAGGAGAAAAATCCTTCAAAGTTAGGTATCCTTTACTAGGCAGGCAGACTCATTACCAAAACTGCAGTATGCGGACCAGTCTTGGGTGTTTGAAACTTGGCTTTGATACGGTGACAACTCTGTGTGTAAATTACTCTGCATAGTAAAATATTCTAACCTCTCCTGCATAGTAAAATACCAATCAGCAATGAAGACAGATTACAGCTGGAACAAATGCAGTTAGTGAACTTGGATTTTTCCATACTAATGAAGTTAAACAGAAAAATAAATAAATACAACAATAGGAAAGTCCAAAATAACTCATGTGTGGGTGGCTTTATGTACTTGGAGATCGATGCTTACACATATGCGTCATGCCTACAAAGACTGAGGTCCCAAGCAGGAGATCAAGAATATGGAAGGAAAAACTAAACTTCCTATAGAAAATGCATGTAAAACAGGTTTTAGAGCCAAATAATCACGTGTTCAAATCCTGGTTCCTACTATTTAGTTGAGTTACACAGTATTTCAGATCATGAAAGCATAATTTCCTCACTTACGAAATGAGGAGTAATCCTCGCCCTGGGATTTCTGTGAGGAATAAATACAAAATCACACATCTGACACAGAGGGGTGTGATTGTCATTTCAATGTGTCAACTTGACCAGGCGACAGTACCCAGTCATTCAATTAAGCACTAACCTGGGTGTTGCTGGCAAGGTATTTTGTAGACCTTGTTAGCATCTGCAATCTGTTCACTTTCAGTAAAGCAGATTATTTTCCATAATCTGGGTGGGCCTGATTCAACCAGTTGAAAGGATGTAAAGGTAGAACTGAGGTTTACCTGGGGGACAGGAAATTCTCCCTGTGGACTGCAGCATCAGCTTCAGCCTGGGAGTCTCCATTCTCTCTTTTTTAATGGCCTGCCCTATCGATTTCAGACTTATCTAGTCTCCACAGTCATGTAGGCCAATTCTTTGTACTCTATCTATATATCTAAATCTATCTAGCTAGCTACCTAGCTAGCTATTATCTATCTATCTTGGTTATATGTTTCTTTCATGGAATGCTGACTAATACAAGTAAGAATCTTAAAATGTTATTTTCTGTATAATCCAAATTTGAGGGTTCATATTTGAATACACAAATTCTATATTTCTATCAGATTGTAGTGATGGATAAAAACAAATATTTGTCTTCTGCTCACCTCCTTTAAACTAGAGGAGAAAGAAAGTGTGCCTGGAAGTTCTCAAGTCTTTTCCTGTTAGTATATTAATATGGATTCATTTATTTGAAGCATGATCATCCCACACTTAGAAAGCCTAGCCTTGAGGAAATCAGGCATAAGGCAGATTAATTGCCCTGGCTGAAAAGGGAAAGGGAGAACTTAGGGATGAGAACATCAGCATCAACATCAACATGGAACACCATTTATCATGTGCCAGGCACTGTTCTTAATAGTTAACTAACAGGCATTCACTTATTTCATCTTCATGGTAACCCTAACAGGTGAATACCACTATCATTCTCACATTCCAGGTGGGGGATCTGAGGCATGAGGTTTAAATTGCTTGTCCTGGAATGTGGTAAAGTCATAGCGGCCACCGCAAAACATCGCTCCAGAGAGTCAATAGAGTGGAAGCTCCTTTGGGTGCCTCTTTACATGGAGAGATGGGAGGCAGGTGGAAGAGTGCAATCCCGTAGAGCATGGAGCATCCACAGGAGCCCTCTGATATGGAATGAGAACTGGAGGAGAGAAATCAAAAAATAGGAAGAGCTTAGGGCAAGGAATCTGAAAACAGGACTATTAGATAAAATGTCAGTGTAGGGACAACGTCTTGGTCTTCTGGTCTCCAGAATTTAACTCAGTGCCTGGAAAGTAGAATATATCCCAAAAACCTGTCATGAATTGAGTAAAAAGGTTCGGATAACATTTTACCAGGAGCTGGCTTAGGTATTAGGGTTAGAAGAGAAATGCAAAGCATATTTTTACTGTCTGTGATTGAGGCCATGGTTATTAAGGTTGTCTGGCTTATAAAAACCTCTTAAAGAATGCAAAAAACATTTTTGAGTTATTTAAGTGGATGCCTCAAAGAACATTGAGGGAAATTTTTATTACGAGGATGTGATATTTAAAATAAACGGGCCGGGCGCGGTGGCTCACGCCTGTAATCCCAGCACTTTGGGAGGCCGAGGCGGGCGGATCACAAAGTCAGGAGATCGAGTTCAACCTGGCTAACACGGTGAAACCCCGTCTCTACTAAAAATACAAAAAATTTGTGTGGTGTAGTGGCGGGCGCCTGCAGCCCCAGCTACTCGGGAGGCTGAGGCAGGAGAATGGCGTGAACCGGGGAGGCAGAGCTTGCAGTGAGCCGAGATGGTGCCACTGCACTCCAGCCTGGGCAACAGAGCGAGACTCCATCTCAAAAAAGAAAAAATAATGACAATAATAATGCTGCGCCCAGCACGGTCAGCTAATGCCACATGGTAATTGCTGCGTGTGTGAGTAGCAAAATCACATGGAAGAAGAGCTGGCCTTGGGGACAATGCCACGTTACAGTGAGGAGCTCCAGAAAAACCCAGTAGAAATTTCTCAGGTTCACGCCTGGGTGCCCATCCTCTCCCTGATCCCACAAAAGAATAAAGATCTTACAAATATCCAATGAATACCAGGATGGAAATAACTTGTTTCCTGGCATTCAAGACAGAGGAAATCCTTACTATTAAAAACAAAAAACAAAAAACAAAAAAACAAAAAAAACTAGAAATGATTAGCAAAGACATGAAACACAACAGTTTAAAAAAATAAAAAAAATAAACTAGAAAATTCTATCATATTTGTTCGTTTTAGTTTGCCACTTGAAATACAAACCAGTGGCCGGGCGCGGTGGCTCACACCTGTAATCCCAGCACTTTGGGAGGCCGAGGTGGGCGGATCGTCTGAGCTCAGGAATTGCAGACCAGCCTGGCCAACATGGTGAAACCCCATCTCTACTAAAAACATACAAAAAATTAGCTGGGTGTGGTGGCAGGTGCCTGTAATCCCAGCTACTTGGAAGGCTGAGGCAGGAGACTTGCTTGAACCTGGGAGGCAGAGGTTGCAGTGAGCCAAGATCGCACCATTGCACTCCAGCCTGGGCAACAAGATTGAGACTCCATCTCAATATAAAAAATAAAAATAAATTAAAAAATTTAAAAAAAAAGAAATGCGAACCAGTGACTGAAATGTATATTTCCCAACCAGGGACTGTTCCAATATCACATTTAAAAGGGGTTGGTGGCCTCATTTCAATTCCCATCACATACATTGTTCTAATTGGTAAATCCCTGCAGACAAAGCAGGAGCTCCAAAATCAGGGTAGAAGGTTTCCTTCAACTTCTCAGATTAACTATTTTGGTAAACAGCATACATATTTCTCACATAGTGCTAATATTATAATGGCCAACCTCCAGATTTAAGTGCATCAATTAAGTAAACTACACTACTTCTGTGAATAAAAGATGTTTGTTTTACTAAATCTGCCAATTTAATTAACTAGCACAATTTCCTATATATAGAAAATTTGAAACACAAACAGTGACTTCTTCTATGACTAAATTTTTTCCTAATAAATACCTGCTTAAAAGATTGTCGGCATGAGGATAGCATTATTTTTTTAAGTTCTTTCTCAAAGAAGCCAGTCAATCAAGAGCTTATCGAGTGTGTACCAGATAATCAATTTTTCCCCCAGAGGACTTAACTTTAAGCAGGGTTTTTCAACTTCTGCATTAATGATATTTTGGGTTGAAAAATTTTATACTGTGGAAGACAGTCCTATGTTTTTGAATTTTTAGCAACATTCCTGGCCTCTACCCATTAATGCCAATACTACCCCTTCCTCAGTTGTAATCTTAAGTGTGTCCAGACATTTCCATATCCCTAATTGGCAAAATTACTCCCAGTTGAGGGATGCTGCTTTATATTCTTGAAATAGATTGCATTAGACAGCGTAGGCTATCTATGACAAGTATTTCTCAGATCTTAGCTTGAGATAATAGAAATTTATCTTTTGCTCTAATCAGAGAACAGTGAAGGTCATGAAGGTGGGAAGGGGTAGCATGTTCCATGTTAGAGATCTTCCACCTTTCAGCTACTGGAGCCACATTCCATTGGCCAGAATTTAGTCATCCATGCCCACCTAAATGCAAGGAAAACCGTGAAATATAGTCTCATTGCATGCCAAAGAGGAAAACAAACTAAGATTTGGGAAATAACATCAAGTCTCTGCCACAGGGTGTGTTAGTCTGTTCTCGCGCTGTTAATAAAGACATACTCGAGACTGGGTAATTTATAAAGAAAAGAGGTTTAATGGACTCACAGTTCCACATGGATGGGGAGCCCTCACAACCATGGCAGAAGGTGAATGAGGAGCAAAGTCACGTCTTCCATGGTGGTGGGTAAGAGAGCTTGTATAGAGGAACTCCCCTTTATAAAACCATCAGCTCTTATGAGACTTACTATCATGAGAACAGCACGGGAAAGACCTGCCCCCAAAATTCAATTACCTCCATTGGGTCCCTCCCCCGACATATGGGAATTATGGGAGTTGCAATTCAAGATGAGATTTGGGTGGGCACACAGCCAAACCATATCACAGGGATTATAACAAAATAAGGTCAAGTCATGACAAACAGATTATTTTGACGTTGTTGGAAGGGATTGCCACAAAACATCATTAGACTAATTTACTTCCAGTCAAAGAAGCCTGTATTTGCTTACATAGTCCTAGAACACTGAGCAAAATTATGAAAGGATAATCTCAAAGCCTCTTTTTAGGTCATTAGTGTGCGTTTAGTGAGATAATGGACCCTCTTCTAGTCCAACATTCTCTTCAGGTTCTTCAGGCCTGTCTCAGAGCTATGGAGGATGCAGCAAAAGGGATGCCTTTGATCTGCTGTCTCTGGATGCACAAGGAGCTCAGAGAAACAACCAGGACACAGAACAAAACAAAGCATGGAGCTCTAATTTAGGGGTTTCAGCTAAGCGAGTCACTCAGCACCAGCACTGCACAGGAGGTAGGTAAGTCCCGATTAAGTTTCTGGCTTCAGAAGCTCCCCTCTGTGAGACCTTCAGAAATCTTCTTAATTGGAAAACAGCTTCAGTTCCCTTCTTTTCTTTTCTTTTTCTTTTCTTTTTTTTTTGAGATTGAGTCTCACTCTGCCCCCAGACCAGAGTGCAGTGACACAATCTTGGCTCACTGTAAGCTCCACCTCCCAGGTTCACGCCATTCTCCTGCCTCAGCCTCCCGAGTAGCTGGGACTACAGGCACCCGCCACCATGCCCGGCTAATTTTTTGTATTTTTAGTAGAGACGGGGTTTCACCATGTTAGCCAGGATGGTCTCAAGTCTCCTGATCTCGTGATCCGCCCGCCTCGGCCTCCTAAAGTGCTGGGATTACAGGCGTGAGACACCACGCCCTGCCCAGTTCCCTTATTTTCTAATGCTATGTTTTCAAGGTTGTTGTTAGGGTTAGTTAAACTAATTTATATGAAACACCTGGTGAATATAGTGCCTGGCACAGCAGTATTTATTTACATCCTTCTTAAGTCTTTGGAATCATAGATTATACTATCAGCAGATAAACTTGACAGATGCATAGACATGATCAGAAAGAGAATGGAAGGAAGATGTGGAGAGGGAGAACAGAAGTCAGAAACCAGAACAAAGGAAGACAATGTAGACACTGTAACATTAGTAGAGAGTTATAGAATATTGGGTTTAATTTTAGGTAGAATGCATTTCGTTAGCTCTATCTGGTTTATCTTTGATTTGTCCATTATACAAAGCTGATCTCTCTTCCCTCTGCTGTCTACTCCTCCCTGGAAGGTAGGCAGTGATAGATGCTAAGATTGGTTTGTCCTAGGCTATCTCAATAAGGACATTTTCTCTACAGAATTTTCTAATTTCAATGAGCCCCAAACCATAATTTTGAGCAGCTGTACAAACCTTTCTGTAATGATAGTAATAAAGATTGCTACCATTTATTGGTTGTCCATAATAATCTTTATTCTGTTTCTGTTCCAGTTCTTACAGCTTCCTTTATGAGAAAGATTTGTTCTTCTGTTTATAGGTGAGAAATCTGAGACCTAAGAAATTAAGTGATTGGCCTGTGGGAGATTTGAATCCGGTTTTTCTGACTCCAAAGCCTTACCTGTTTCTTCCTAACATGTTGACTGCCTATTCTAAGCATATACAGTGTTGCAAATGTCTGACACTGTTCTAGAGCCTCATCCTCTTTTCACCTCCAACATGCTCTTGTTTGTGGCCTGGTCGTCAGAGTATATGCGCTGGGCTGGGAAACCCTCATTGGTGGAGACAAAGTGGCAAGAGAGTAAAGGTGGCAATTTCCAAGGGGACCTCATTGCACATCAGACACAAAGTGTGACTCAGGCATGTGCCTCAACATATAAGCCAAGAGAGTGCCAGGCCTTTAAATAAGAAACACTGGATGTTTTCTGCAACTTAAATACAAGTAAGCTTGGCGGGTAGGGAGGGAAATTGTTGTACTGGAATCTAACAGTGTTTTCAAACGTTCCCATTTCACCATTAATGGTGGCACATAATCAAATTAGCCTTTAAGAGCAATCATCACTCCATGGGTGGCACCGTGGTATGCGAAGATGCCTCGGAGATTTTAATTCTCTGTAACAGCTTTCTACAATAAAACAGTACCGAATTTGAAAGTCATTGAGAGTAATTCTAGTAGGTCTTGTTTATACACGATCTTGCAGAGGTGTCTCAAGAGCTAGTGGCTTAGATTGAGTCACTTTATACAGTTAAAGCTGTAGATATAAGCACAGACAGAAAACTGTACCTCTGTAGATCTGTAGATGTCTGTCAGTGATTCACAGCTCATACAACGCCAAGATTCAAATTTCTCTTAGAAGGGCTTTTAGTAATTCAGATGGAAAAGACTTTCCAGACAGATTCCAAAGGATTATGTTTGGGGACTGCAAAGGAAGAATTTCCAAAATTTTGTGGGCTTACTTTTTTAGTTTTACAACAACATTTACCTTTCCTGTGTGATACTTGCTGATCACAAGGGCAATACCCTGTCCTCGGTAATCTATTGTGGGCTTGCTGTTGATGATAATAAGTTTCACCATGAAGCCTGTGACTAGCCCAAGTTGTCAGAAACTCCTCATTTCTCCGATAAGCACTTTGCCAAGCTGGCAAATGCCCCTAGGAGCCACAGTGCCCCTGTTGCCTGCACACTTTGGACCCTTTTCATTAGCTTCTGACTCATTGCACTTGCACTTAGCGCACGCTCTGATGTGGACTTCCAGCTCAGAACCCAGGTTCTCGAACTCATGAACGCATTCAGCATCCCTTGCTATCACAACCAGCTTGACAGAAAGACCACAGGCCAAGTGCAGCAGAGTTCCAGAAAGTGAATGCAGCAAAATACCCTTGCTCTCTTTGAGGTACTGAAAACAGTCCTGCCATTTAGCTTAAGTAGAAATCTAATTAATATGTTGAAGAAAAGATCGAATATTACTGTATAACTTTCAACAAGAAAACCAATTCTGAAATGAAAAAAAAGCAAATCATGCTATATATTAAGATAAATATTTTTTAGAAAAAGTTCTTATATTTCACAAGGATTCACTGTGTGTGAAATTCAATTAAGTCTTTTAAATCAGATTCTATTTATGCCTTTACAATTACAGTTAGAATTTTAAAAATGTTTCTTTCTTTCTTCTCTTCTTTTCTTTCTCTCTTTCTTTCCTTCCTTCCTTCTTTCTCTTTCTTTCGTTCTTTTTTTTTTTTTCTCACAGTTTAGCTCTTGTTGCCCAGGCTGGAGTGAAATGGCGTGATCTCAGCTCACTGCAACCTCCACCTCCCAGGTTCAAGCAATTCTCTGCCTCAGCCTCCTGAGTAGCTGGGATTACAGGTGCCCACTACCATGCCTGGCTAATTTTTTGTATTTTTAGTAGAGACAGGGTTTCACCCTGTTGGCCAGGCTGGTCTTGAACTCCCTACCTCAGGTGATCCACCTGCCTTGGCCTCCCAAGTGCTGGGATTACAGGCATGAGCCACTGCACCTGGCAAGAAACGTTTCTATCGCACAAAATAAAGTAAAGCTGTGCAGTACAGTATTTTTTCCACATGGCAATTTTTGAAACTTGGAGATTTTCAATGTTCACAGTTTCCTTCATGCAATGCTCTATCCTAGTTCAGGGGACAGGATTTCTCTAGTTAACAGATATTCTGTCTTTGGAAATGACTGATCTAAATGTCAGTCTGCATGTCTTTCCAGGAAGGCATCATCATCGTAAGGTGCCATTATGAATAACATTCTGAGATCACCTGAAACACTAACTTAAAAATAAGACATGCTAAGTTTTAAAATCATAGCATTTTCTCTCATTTTTAAAATGATTAATTTATCATAAAGGAAACACTAGGTTCACTGTCTCATTCTGCAAATTGTGAGGAATTACATTTGAAGGTAAGCAGGCCACTTACAACTTATTCATCCTAGTCTTCAATTATTACAGCTATTTAAGTGATAATTGCTATTCTAATTTCACTAGAATTCCAACTATAATAGGAAAAGAGGTAAATAACTTTTCAGGGGCTCATGCTTGCATTTCTTTGATTATACAAGAGAAAAGAAGACAATATGTGAGTTTCTCTTCACTCACTTTTGGCAACTTCTGTCTGTGCATTAAGAATTCTAGAGCTGTAGCACCAGGAGGACAGGACCACCCTGTATTCAAATTGGGAGCCTCTACAAAGTCACCTTTAGACTGCAGAGTCATGCTTTTCTCATCAAACCAGCCAGCCCTAATTTTCTTTAGGTGTCATTTGTTTACATTTCAAAATGAATAAATTCCTGTCAACGTGTTCAATGTAGTACTTGAAATGAAATACTGGATATGTCACACAGACAGCTGAGATTATCTTCTGAAGTCCTAAGATTCTGATTAATGAGAAAACGATGTAAAGCCAGATTCTTCTCCCATTCCTCCAGGTTTCTAGCTTGAAATTTGCCTTCTGAAAGTAAGCCAGCTTTTCTCCTCCAAAGTAGTGCCAGGTTTCTGTCTGCTAAGGGGACTGATATGGTTTGACTCTGTGTCCCCACCTAAATCTCATCTTGAATTGTAATCTCCATGTGTTGAGGGAGGGATCTGGTGGGAAGTGACTGGATCATGGGGGTGGTTCCCCCATGCTGTTCTCATGATAATGCAGGAGTTTTCACAAGATCTGATGGTTTTATAAGTGTTTGGTAGTTCCTCCAGCTTTCATTCTCCTTCCTGCTCCCCTGTGAAGAAGATGCCTGCTTCCCCTTTGCCTTCTGCCATGATTGTAAGTTTCCTGAGGCTTCCCCAGCCATATGAAATTGTGAGTTCATTAAACCTCTTTTCTTCATAAATTACCCCATTCAGGCATTCTTTACATGAAAATGGACTAATACAGGGACTAAGCGTCACAAGAAGGCATAAAGCCTTCAGTGTATTGCAGCTCTGTCCAATGGTGGTCAAATTATTTGAGGAGTGGGTGGGCTGGGGTTAGTATTAGAGTTTACATCATGGTCCTGTCTTTTGACTTTTGTCCTTCCCTTTCTCCTGCCCTTAGGGTATCAGAGCCAGGAGGGTGGCTGACTCTGATGATAGAACAAGAGCCAAATATGCTCCTGATGCTCCAGTAGAGTGGTCTTCAGGTGATCGAGATTCCGAGCTCCCAAACCAAGGCAAGAATAAGGAAACTGGAACAGGAGGGCATGCTGGGCTCCAGCCTCCCGTGACAGTGAAACATTGCCTTAGAATGACTGTTGTTAATACAATTGAGGAAATATAACACGTAATCTTGTGATTAAGTTATACACAATTTGATTTAAATTTAGTTCCTGGCAGTTGCTAGGTTTCACTCTGGCATACTCTCTCAGTGTGGAAGCTGCTGATTCAGAAAGAGATGTTCCAAAGCTCATGTATTTCCTGGACACATCCAAGTACTGAATAAAATGCTGGTTAAATAAATGAGTTAATTTTCCAAGAAAGACACCAATTACTTTTAGATTCTTTTGCTTTCTTAAGCAGATGTGTACACATTCGGAAACATAATTGGAGGGAGGATAGAATGGGGGAAAACATGGAACTGCTGGGAGCTCAGTCAGAGACTGAAGATGATGCAGAGACTTATTGAGAGGACCACATTGGGTGCCTGGAAACTGGAAGAACAAGACACTTGGACTCCTATTTTTTCACAAGTTGGTAGGATGGGGACAGAAGCATGGGAGGTGAAAACATTATCTAGGATTAAATACTACTTTCAGTTTACTAGTGCCACAGAAAACACTTTATTTTTCCACGGATGTTCAGAAACCTTTATTTATTTCCTCCCTTAGCAGTGTGGATTTTGTAGGACAGAACCATACTAATTTCATACAGATGCTGGGACTGTCTCTAGGCAGAGTTAATTAGTGTTAGTTAACAGCATTAGTGTACCCACATCCATAAAAAAGTAATTTCCCTATTGCAAAGTCATCTAAAATTTTGTGTCAGCTCAGACTCTCCTATTTCCCCTGAATGTCATTCAAAGGAAACACCACTAACAAAAAGCTAATTAACCTCCACAGAAATAATTTTTAAATCCAAAGTTTGATGTCCAAATTCCCCTAGGCAAGGTCAGTAGTGAAGCCACACAATCAATGCTGATGGCTATATCTTCATAAACAAATAAACACATCATAAGATCATAAGATAACTGATTTCTAGATACCTACACAGTAGCAGAAATCAGAAAGGTACCTGCTCCTCACAAAAGCATCAGAATTAAAAGCATTGTGAACTTCCTTTTGATAGTTTGGATGCAAAAATTAAATATATTATAAACGTGAATAAACTTCACCTTATCCTTAACAAGCTAGATACTGGAACTTAGAGATATTAAAATAGTGAATTCAGAAAACTTAGGGCTTTCAGTCTTCAATTCCCAGACTATTTATAAAATGCATTCCAAGCCCTTTTAGATGTTTTATACATTATTATTGACTTGAAAATATAAATCGAATAGGTTGAAATAAAACATGATTTTCAAATGGAGAAAAAATAGTGAGATATATTTCCTTTAAAAGATCATGACCTCTTTGCATTTCTGTCTCCCTTCTTATAGCTCCTGCCTCTGGCAGAGCCACATGCTCTTAGAAGAACAGAGGAATAGTCTAATATAGTGCCAAGAAGTCAAAGACCTTTATTTCTTTCTAAGTTACTTGAGCACTGTGCACACACCACACTTGAGTGTGCAGCATTTTTGTCCCTCCTACTTTTATTTTATAAGAAAATCTAATATGTCTCTTTTTTCTGCTTGCTTTTATGAGTAGAGATTATGCTTTCAAGTAATGAGAAAGGCTCATTTCTTCACTTTGCAATTTCCTTCTAATCTTTTTTATTTTTATTTTTCCACCTTGAGAGGTCTCCTTGCTACCTTATACCCTAATGGATTCCTCCGTGCTCCACAGACATGGCTACAGATTTATTTAAGTTATTGCATTCCTTCTGTCTTCTGTCATTCAACTGCAAACTCTGTAAAATTCTTTTCTTTCTAGCCCTAAATTGGCTATATAAGATGGCTTTTCCCAATAGTTACTGAGAGGGCCTTTAGGGAAAGAATGCTCTTTGGCTGACCCTGAACCACCATATGCCAGGGGACAGTTAATCCTGCTTCGAATGGGGACTAAGAGGGAGGAAGTAGAGCAGAATAAGAATCCCTCCCTCTGACAAATACAGCAAACTGGGTTATATTGTCCACCTGCATGTTGTCCACCTGTGAGAGCCAGGAGCAATGCTTCTGCACTTCCCTTCAATATTTCTTTACTACTGTTCTTGTCAGCTTAAATTTTATCTAAGAAAATTCTTCTTTTTTTTTTTTGAGACAGAATCTCGCTCTGTCACCCAGGCTGGAGTGCAGTGGCGCGATCTCGGCTCATTGCAAGTTCCACCTCCCGGGTTCACGCCATTCTCCTGCCTCAGCCTCCCGAGTAGCTGGGACTACAGGCGCCCGCCACCACGCCCGGCTAATTTTTTGTATTTTTAGTAGAGACGGTTTTACCGTGTTGGCCAGGTTGGTCTCGATCTCCTGACTTCGTGATCCGGCCGCCTTGGCCTCCAAAAGTGCTGGGATTACAGGCATGAGCCACCGTGCCTGGCCAGAAAGTTCTTCTTTAGACAACTCAGTATGTTCTTGGCATATCCTACACTCAGCCACAGGCCTTAAAACAAAATCCTTCCAAGCATGATGTTCTTAATATAAAACAGTAGTTCTGAATCACAGACGATTTTATTGTCTCCACCCCTAGCTACATTTTGGCATTATCTGAAGACATTTTTGATTGTTACGATTGAGTAGGTGCTACTGGCTTCCAGTGGGTAGAGGCCAGGGTGTTGCTAAACATTCTGCAATGCACAGGGCAGCCCCCCACAATGAAGAATAATCTGATCCTTCTGTTGAGGTTGAGGAATCCTGAGATAGAGGTCTGACTCCCATCTCTTCAAGCCAGAAAATACATAAGACCTGGTTGAGAGGCCTGCAAAGCTTTTGATAACACCAAGTTTTGGATTTTATTCCACAGACAAAATCAAAACCAGCATTGTTGCATCCATGACTCACTAGCACACAGTAGCATTGCTAGAGTAAATAGCTACCTGTTTCTAAATATTCTTTCTCACACATAGAGACAGCTGTTCGTGAGCATAGTACGATATACTTCATCAGAGGGACTTCTCTGAAAACTTGTTTGTATAAGGGAGAAGAATAAGTGAAGTTGCTCTTCTCCCCCAGGGCCGCATGTACTTTGAAAACAGTCTCTTTGAAATGGCTTCCCTCTTCTAAATCTTCTTGAGGTTATAATGCAGAGTATTTTCTTTGATGTTTCTTCCGTCTGTCTCTCTTTATGAAAGAAGCTCTTCAATTGCATGAAAGGCTCTGTTATGGGATTGTTTCCCAAAGACTGAAGATTCTGGGGTCTTAACTCATTTAGTAGTAAAATAGGAGTGCACTTTGTAGGACCCACCTTCTCCTAGCACTTTCCTGAGTCTGCCTAAGTGTAGAAATTCCCAAGCTAGCTAGACAGCAACTTTCTCTGTGGGGCTGTGTGACTGGCACATACTTCATCCGAAGGAGGGGTAGAATGGTGCCCATGGAAAAGGGAGAAAGAAAATGAGAAAAATCACAAAACCACTGAATATTAATGCATCATAAAATCAGGGGAAATGGTCAAATAAAGGAATGGGACAATGTGTGTGTTTTAAAATATCCTGTATGTCTTTTTCTGGATATTTCCAGGATGTGTATGGATGTCGATTGTAGTAAACAGAATTATTATCTATACATTACAGCCTCTTAATGGGATCTGCAATAATAATGGAATTCTTTTGAACATTTTCTATAATTAATCTAGACAGCAATTTGCTCATATGTATGTGGCTTTTAGAACAATTAAGAGAATACAACCTGTCTGCATTATGGAAGTTGTTGTGACCTTCATATAAAAAAAGGTTTGCTCAGGAGAAAGATGGAAAAAAAAAAAGAACTGCAATATAAAAATATTCTATAACATAAATTTTTTAAAACACAGGACTTTGGACATTGTGGGAGGAAGAAGTACCCCATTAATATATTTATTTCTCTACAGTAGGAAAGTCTCCAGCAATCAGAGAACAATTTTAGAGGTCTCAAAAGGCTCTTGTGCTTCAACTTTTAATCTGGTAGTGACAGGCAATTGAAGTAGACTTGCCTTTGAGTCAGAAGTCCCTACTCCTCTTCTCTTTCATTTTGGTTCAAGTTAATTTCTCCTCAGCTGAAATTTGTATGTATGTGTGTGTGTGTGTGTGTTTGTGTGTGTGTGTTCTCCTCAGCTGAAATTCATGTGTGTGTGTGTGTGTGTGTGTGTGTGTGTGTGTGTGTATGTATTCCATGTAATGGAAAGACAATAAGAGACAGAACATTTGTATTTTACTTCCATGACTTGCCTTTTTGGCTTCACTCCAGATAAAACTATTTTTAAGCGCTGGCAATGGGGTCCCAGCTACCAATCTTCCGTGCTGGAGGTGACGGTGTAGAAAGGAGCAAAAAGTGCTTTCCCTCATGCAAGGTGCTTGAAGGTGTTTATACGGGAAAATGATTATCGAGAGTTTTTAGGCTGGATGACCTCCTTTATGGGGAAGATGTTCTTCAGGAAGCCAAGAGACTTGAGTGCTAAGAGACTTGGGTGCTAATTCTGGGTATGCCTACAGCTTCTTGGCTTTGAAAAAGACACTGATGAGTCAGTTGTTTTCATCTCTGATCTGGGATAATAAAATCTGATGCCAATGATCTTAGTCCCTTAAAAGTGGAACCTGAGGCCAAGGCTTTTGTGCGAGTCTTTTGAGATGGGAATTCTGGGGAGAAATACAGGACAGGAGAGTAAAATAGAAAAGGAGAGAAAGACGATACAACGATGCATTACTGAGCTGTCCACCACTATAAATACCTGGTGCTTGATTCTGCAGGGACCTTCTGAGAGCCTTCTGAATGGTGTCTCAGAACTGTCCACCCAGGGCACAAAAAGAGGAAGCATGATGTATCCGTTTTCACTCCCATCGGTTAAGAATGGCACCATGGGTGTTAATGTCCTCCGCCTCTGGGTTGCATGGGCATATGTGCAGGGGGGATGCCACCTGAACCCCATGCTGCAGATCGGAGGAGCCCGGGGAGGAAGAGAGAGGCAGCCAGACAGACCATGCTGAAGAGTTGTCTATTTCAGTCTCCTAAAACCAGATTTGAGCTCGTTCTGTTCACCATACACACATTTTCTGTCCTCAACTTACGCAGTTTTCCTGATGTGTCTTCTTCTTTGACTGAAGAATTGCAAGTCTATTCTTCACACTCAAGTCAAATATAACTTTCCACCAAGCTGTTTCTAATGATAGTGAATACCGTGTTTACTTCAAAATGTTGCTTTGAGGATTAAATGAGAAAATGCTTTTAAAGCATTTAGCGTAGTCTTAAGCATAGAGGTAACAATCAATCAATTATTGTTGTTCTTTAAATTTTTTTTCTTAATGATTATTATATTTGCTAGATTACTAAGCACCATGAGGGCAGAAACTGTGCCATTTGTGAGTGGCTCATATAGTGCCTGGCTACTAGTAGGTGTTTGTTATAGGTAGAATTGTGACAAGCAAAAAAAGACACCTTGTAATCAGAACCTGAGAACATGACTTTATTAGGAGACAAGGTATTTATAGAGGGAATCAAATTAAAACGAGGTCACTAGGATGGGCCCTAATGCCATACAACAGGAGTCTTTATAAAAAGGGGACATTTTGACACAGAGACAGACGCGTACAGAGAGAAGATGATGTGAAGACACAGGGAGAATTCATCTACAACTGCAGTCCCCAACCTTTTTGGCATGAGAAACCGGTTTCCTGGAAGATAATTTTTCCAAGGACTGGAGGTGAGGGGTGGTGGGAGCTGGTTTTGGGATGAAACGGTTCCACCTTAGATCATCAGGTATTAGATTCTCATAAGGAGTGTGCAACCTACATCCCTCCCATGCGCAGTTCACAATAGGGTTTGCGCTCCTAAGAGAATCTAATGTCCCCGCTGATCTGACAAGAGGCGGAGCTCAGGTGGTAATGCTCACTTACCCGCTGGCCACTCATCTCCTGTTGTGAGCGGTTCCTAACAGGCCATGGACCGGTACCGGTCTATGCCCCTGTGGGACTGGGGATCCCTGATACACAAGCCAAGGAATACCTGAGGCTTCTAGAAGCTAGGAGGGAGACCGGGGACAGATTCTCCCTTACGGCCCTCAGGAGCAACCAACCCTGCTAACATCTTGATTTCAGCCTTCTAGCCTTCAAAACTGCAGGATAATAAATTTCTGGTTTTCTAAGCCACCCAGGTTATGGTACTTTGTTATGGCAGTCTTAGGAAGCTAATACAGTGTTCACTGAATTTTTGAGTTTTTGGAATAAATAGATGAGTGACAAAGATGTGAGTATGATGTTGTTTTTTATAGTAGTTCACCCTACATATCTTTCAACGTCCAGATAAATTCCCACGAGTGCTATTCTATAGTCCTTCCCTGATCTTCTGGATG
The DNA here is from genome assembly GCF_000001405.40 of Homo sapiens. Lineage (NCBI taxonomy): Eukaryota > Metazoa > Chordata > Mammalia > Primates > Hominidae > Homo > Homo sapiens. The sequence continues at coordinate 29,770,086 of NC_000021.9, forward strand.
CGGGGAGATCTTCTCTATCAGTAACTGCATAGTTCTTCTTTCAACTGATACAAACACTGCTTTGTGACTTTTCTGGAATGGCTAGACAACTCGCGTTTTAAATTTATGGTCCAAGTATATATGAATACTTCATCCGGAATTGGAAACAGATTGTGTCACCCATCGTGCTCAGCTTCATCGAGTTAAATGCCTGAAGGCCCTATATGTTAGTAAATGCCCCAATCTGCTTCTCCAGTAGTGCCCACGTCTGGGTCTGATGCTCTGCTTCCTTCCATATGTGACATTTCTAACATCAGCGTAACAAAGTGAGAGGGTGCAGGGGTGCCGATGACTCCAACAATGACCCTTGTCAGCACTTGTGGGATTGGGACAAATGACTGCTAATATTCAGATATATAAAACATGCACATGTAGCCACCACTGTCTCCAGGCAGGAAGGTGACCAGGCAGGCTGGAAAGCAGAGAGACTCACATCCATTTTTTGAATACCCAAACCCATATACTCCCAACAGGATTTTGATAAATGTATTACTCAAATAAATCTAGTTTACTGTTTTTGTGCAAACAGATAAATATCTTCCTACCACTTCTTGTTCCAACTTGCTTCAACAAGAACATCTAATAAAAATATCTTATTTCAGCATTTGTTCATGGCTTGTGCAGACATTGTTTTTGAAATAATAGTCTTTAAAACGCTGGTCTCAAAATGCTTTCATGAGAAATTCATAGAGGCAAAATATTCACTTGCCTAGGTCCTCAGTAGTGGTTGATAAAAATTTTAGCAATTAGTGTCACCTTATTTCAGTATGAAACAGAAAACAGTGATGTTCTTATTATTAAGTCTTCTAAATTAGTAAGTGGGATGAGTCAGGAGGGAATTAATGACACCAAAGGTAAAAATAATGTAGTGAATATGGTTGTATTAGGAAATTTTAATTAAATGTGGTTTCTATTATAATTGGTTCTGATATTTTATTAACATGCTTCTACATGTAACTCTATCAAAATATGCATACAATCATGCCAACAGTTTTTAAACATTTGAGGTTTTAATAAATCCAGTACCCATAGTGACTCTGATAGTTGCAGTGTTTAAATGAAAAACCATGTCAACATTTTATTTTATCTGAATTATGTAGTTCCAAAACTCATACTATGGCTGCCCTAAAAACAGCTACTCATTCCGTTTTCTCCCAGAGAACTTTATACATATATTTGGTAGAGCAGGGATTCACTACTGTTAATAAATAAGAAGGCCCCGATGTCTAATGGAGTAAGAGAAATAAAATATAAGCTTTGTGGGGGAAAACAAGGTACTAATTACGTTTACTTTTATTTTCATTTGATGATAATTGATTTTTGTTTCAAGATCAGTAGAGTATGTGATCTCCATGCTCTTGCATTTAGGACTAGCTGAAGTCTTGGTAGAAGCAGAGGGCATGCTGGCCAGTGAAATGTTATTCTTGGACTTCAGTTTTTCCTTCTATAACAAATACTAGTAATGGTTGGTACCTGGCTCATGGGAAAGGTGTTCATACGCTTGATGTCACGCTGATGGGAAAATGTTGATCTGATTGGCTGCACAAACCCAAGCCAGTGTGGGCTGGATATCACTGATGAGTAAGTGACATTCCCTTGTTGAGAATCAGAAGTTGACATCACCCAGTAAGCACCTTTTGGCTATACCAGTAGTGAAAATATTGAAAATACTGCTGTATTGCCAGCTGGCAAATAGCTGCTGTCTTAAGACTCTGGGAGCTCCTCCCACTCCTATCACTATGCCCGCCCCCTAGTCCCTCCTGTAAGGTCACTGTATTCCTCTAGTTCTACCAAATAAAAGATGAACACTCAGCAAGCAGCTCTGGGACAGCCAGATCCATTCTTTTTAGTTGATGCCAAGTCCCCCAGTTGTTTGAATACCATTCCTGGAGTTATGATACCAATCTCATAGTTTATTCGTTGGAACTTGCCATTTTCAAAAGATCAGTGCATTATTCAAAAACAAATTAATTCCTTTTGGAAGATCTGGTTCTTTTTACAGGCACATTTTTTTTCACTTCATTGAATCTTTCGAAATGGAAATGTTTAAACACTCTTGGCTGTTTTTTATTGAAATACGTCTTGGTCCATAGGTAAGAAAATCAACTGAATACAATTTTTGTTCATTATTGAAGAAGGCTGTAACTCATATTTAAGAAGTGTTTGCTGCCCTTTTTGAGTTATACTATGAAAAAATGACTTTAGATAAAAATAGTTTTTGAAAGTGTGTTATTTGTCTACAACAGCATCAACACTCAGGGACAACCGTTTCCTGCCCTCTTGAAGCTAATTTCTAACTTTCCAATACACTAGTGTAAACCATTTCTTACATACTATTTCAACAGAACCAAAAATCAATAGCAAAATGTTTTAAACTACAAAGACATAGTCTTCTATGTAATCAAGGACAAAGTTTTATCTTTCATATCCTTTTGGAGAGGAACTCAATTAACTATTTGTCATCCCCCCCACCCTTTTTTGAACAAAAACTAATTGCAGTTCTAAAATTTTCCTCATTAAAATAGAGCACTGTTTAAAACCAGTTTGTAAATTTGCGTATGTGAAACCCAAAAAAGAGATCCTTAAAAGGTTCAAATACTAAAATTGTGCAAAGAGCCATCAACAAATTAGGCAGAAGCAGTTTGCAAAGTAGATGGGCCCATTTTCTTCACCACTTAATGGTTATGTTGGGTTAATTACGCATATGATAAATATCATGTTTCAGAAAAATTTTAAGTTTTCATTGAACTTTGTTACTATGTATTTCCTATATTCTTCTGTGTCAATGTTAATGTCCTCAATTAAAATTTCTAATGATTGGAAAATTTTTTAACCTGTATTGCTCCATTTAGTAATACAGGGGCAATGAACAAATGCTGTTAATGATGATGATGGTGGTGATGTTGAGGGAGAGGAGGCTGATAAGGAGTCCATGTAACTTATAGATGGGTGCAAGAATTTAAATTCCTCAACAGAAATTCTGGAGAACAGATGCTTTATAAACTTTTATGATAATATCTTTTTGTATTAGTTATATAAAAACAAAGCAGTAAGGAACAGGGCTCTCGTCTGCTTTGTATCAGTGTAAGTCCTTCTTCTGAACATTCTGCAAGCGAGAGGACTGGGAGAAGATAAATGCACAGGACACAGAGGGCTGTATTTTCTCTAGGCTTCAACTCATTTTGGCCCATGGCAGTATATTCTGAAAATAGTATTTCAAAATAAGCACTGACAAATGTTCAGTGACAGGGTTGGCTTCCCTTCTTCACCTATGTTAGGTAATCGGCATCCACCTTTGGTATTTCCAAGTTTTCTGCTTGTCTACTGGAGCCATGTGGGCAATTCTTCTTGACATATGTCTACCTGTCTTTCTCCAAGGCAGAGTCGTGAAATGTTTCCTTCTGCCTTCTTTATCACACTCTACAAAGGAGCACAGCCTACTTCATCAAACATAGGCAGTAACTAGATCATCCCGCTTGGATTCCTATATATCTCTACAAGTCAGAGTCGGTGCATAACAACCTCTCGTACACCATAGCTCATCTAGAAAACGATAAAAATGTGTACAGCATAGCTCATCAGATAGCATAGCTTATCTAGAAAATGATAAAAATGTGTACAGGGCAAAGGGATGAGGGGGTTGACATCAACATCTCAGCACATTTGTAACATATTCACAGGGGCTTGCATGTATTTTGTGGAAAAATCTGTCATAAACTAAGGCAATTTAAACTACATTCATTCAACTTAAAATAATAGCAAAACAACACACCTTCTCAAGTCTTGTCCATCCCTTTCCCGTCTGAAAAAAGTGTTTACTCATTCACTCAATCCAACTTTTATTTTTAGGCTATATGTAGCCAGACCATATCTCTATGCTGGATTTAGCATACAAAGATAAGGAACTAATATTTTCTGCTACTCGGTGGATTTATATCCTGAATATAAGCTCTACTGGCAAGGCATTCATCTTCCTTCCCTACTGTACCCTTCAATTTCTTATTCTGCAGAGAATTATAATATCCTTGCAGAGAATTATAATATCCTTATATCCATTGGTTTCTCGGTTCATCAACAGAAAGCACTTTTGTCCCCTTGGCTTACAAACCAGCAACCTACTTTTCTTTCACTAACCATATGAATACAACTTCAACATATTATTCAACAACTTAAGCAAATTCAGACTGTTAGGAAAGTAGAACTTTAAATTCAAGATGCAGATTTATTATGAGAGTATATCACAGTTGGAACAGAGGTAAAGGAAACCAGACATCTGTTGAAGATCAGTGTAGAGAATCAAGTGCTGTTTCTTTATTTTGCTCTTTTTTTTTTTTTTTTTTTTTCTGAGACGGAGTCTCACTCTGTCACTCAGGCTGGAGTGCAGTGGCACGATCTCGGCTCACTGCAACCTCCACCTCCCAGGTTCAAGCTATTCTCCTGCCTCAACCTTCTGGATAGCTGGGACTACAGGCACCTGCTACCATGACTGGCTAATTTTTGTATTTTTAGTGGAGACAGGGTTTTACCATATTGGCCAGGCTGGTCTCAATCTCCTGACCTTGTGATCCACCTGCCTCGGCCTCACAAAGTGTTGGGATTACAGGCGTGAGCCACTGCATCAAGTGCTGTTTCTTTATCTCCCTCTTTTTCTAAGTTGAGGTTTCTGATCTGGCTGGCTTTATGGATGTGAGACCTGTGCAGTTGCATGGGGCTTGCACATCGGAGGACGCTGAGCTTGGTTTCATGCCCTGCTGTTGCTGTCTTGAACTTCTTAATAATTTTTGAAACAAGGGGATCCACATTTTCACTTTGCACTGGGCCTCTGAATTAAGTAGCTGGTCCTGCTCCTCATATACTATCCTGGGGTTAGTTGATTCTTTGCTTTTACTGCTAAAAACATCCACCAAAACTCAGCCAGGCATGGTAGCTCACGCCTGTAATCCCAGCACTCTGGGAGGCCAAGGCTGGCAGATCACGAGGTCAGGAGTTTGAGACCAGCCTGACCAACCTGGCGAAACCCCGTCTCTACTGAAAATACAAAAATTAGCCGGCATGCACCTGTAATCCCAGCTACTCAGGAGGCTGAGGTTGCAGTGAGCAGAGATTGCGCCACTGCACTCCAGCCTGGGCGACAGAGTGAGCCTCTGTCTCAAAAAAAAAAAAAAAAAAAAAAAGTCCACCAATAGTTGCTTTGTCAATAGATGGCCTTAAACCATTGAAGAATCAAGGAGTTTGGAATCCTGGTATTGTTGGACTTATAGACTTGTAGTACTAGAGTACAGAGAAGCACCTTTCTCTGCTTCCTCTCTCCAGCTACCAAGGAGCTCAGTTGCTCAGCTGAGGAGGTAAGAGCAGCAACCAGCCTGGACAGGCTTCTGCACTCCTGGTACAGTCCAGGGAGGCTCACCTTGCTGGTGGTATTTCCCTGCCAGCCCTCACAACTTGAACTTCCCTTCTTCCAAACCAGAAAGGAAAAAAAGGGCAACAGGAAAGGCCAGGTCTCCTGACTCTGCTCCATGGTGAGCCCTTTCCAACTGTGTGCTATTTTGCTGTTACCATGGTGATCAGTTGCTCTCTACTAAGTCATTTTTTTACCTTTCTCTTTCTTCAGTGGAAATTTGCATTTTAGAACTTCTCCCCAAAACCTGTTCTTCTTAGCATTCCTTCTTCACTTCTACTACTGTATGAACAGACTTCCTTTTTAGATTTAAAGGCGCTAAACCTCCCTTTAGTAGTTTTATACTTACTTTGTATTAGTCAGTTTTCATACTGCTATAAAGAACTGCCCGAGACTGGGTAATTTATAAAGGAAAGATGTTTAATTGACTCAAGGTTCAGCATGGCTGGAGAGGCCTCAGGAAACCTACAATCATGGCGGAAGGTGAAGGGAAGCAACGCACCTTCTTTACAAGGTGGCAGGAAGGAGAATGAATGCAGAAGGAACTACCAAACACTTTTAAAACCACCAGATATTGTGAGAACTCTCTCACTGTCATGAATATAGCATAGGGGAAATTGCCTCAATGATTCAATTACCTCCCACGAGGTCCCTCCCTCCACACATGGGATTATGAGGATTATGGGGATTGCAATTCAAGATGAGATTTTGAGTGGGGACACTGCCAAACCATATCAATGATTTACCTTTTTATTCTTTACTTTATTACATACCCTCATAAGAAACTGTAGCTGAAACCTTAACATACTTGGTCAAATACTTGGATTGAATAAGGTGAATATTGAGTTTGTATCAACAAAACACTTCTCGTGTAATCAGCATATAATTTGAATAGCTATAAAGTTAAGATATACAATGAAAAGATTTGTAGAAAATAGTCTCCATGAAGGCATATTGCTCAATTTTTATTTATGGAGTTGAAATTTAAGTCTACACATCTCTGTAGCACCCCAATTAAAATGAGAGAAGAAAAATGGAGAGATAGGAACTACATGTAGTTTCCAGTGTGGAACAAGTGGATGGTATTTATTAACGGTGACAAGGAGGATGATATTTTTAATATTTTAACTCCCTGTTGATAAAAGTGAAAGAGTCTAAAGTTTAGAAGGGGTTGTTAGTGATTTAGTGATGACCTAAACAAGCAAATGTGGACTTTTCAATGAAAACCTCTTTGCAGGGGTGGTTGAGGTCATGTTAGCCAGTAATCTTTTGCCAGGGATCTTAGGTAGATATCCATTCAACATGTATTTTTTTCAATACATTTTAATTGAGTGACTACTACATCTGAATTATTGTTCTGGGACTGTGCTTGAACTGTTCAGATACAGTTTTTACCCTCATAAACTCTGTCTACCGAGGATGTCAGACAATACCAGAAGAAAATAAAGGGATCAAGTATCAAGAAAGGGAAGTACAAGACTGGTCCTAAATTAGCCTAAGGAAGAAGATCTCATCCCTGACTGTACATTAGAGTCATATTGGGAAACTTAAAAACATAAGTAACAAGAATCCAATTCTCAGGCCCCACCCTAGACCAAGTAACTCAAAATCTCTGGAGATTAATATAAATTCTGGAGATGAGCTTGAGGTGTCAGTACTGGGTGACTCTCGTGAGGATTGGGGTTCACCTAGAGGGAAGTGGGTCAAACTTCAACCAGAACCAGAATCACCTGAAGTACTTGCTAAAACATACACTTTAGTTACCACCCTAGAGATCCTGGTTCAATGGGTTAGGGATAGGGCTCTAGAATTTATATTAATCATTAACAAGGTCCCAGTCGTTGCTTAGGCTATTAGTCAAGGGACTGCAATTTCAGAACTACTGCTATGTGAAAACCATGAAGGCTTTCCAAGGATGTGAAAATTTTCCCAGGACTAGAAGGATGTGTGGACAGAGAGAAAAGGTAATTGGAGAGGGTTTGGGGTATGGATAACAGCATTGAAAAGGCCCAAGTCAAGAAAGCATTTGAAAAATTGAAAAAGGTCTAATTGTGTTTGGAGCATAGAGTGTTAAGGACATAGGTGAGGTGGCAAGCAGGGAACGAATATCTGGTGATACTGAAAACCATATCAAGAAGTTTGTACCTCATTCTAAGGCCAATGGCAGCACGCTGAAGGACGTTAAGTACAGGGATAACACGATCTGATCCTCATTTTGGAACGTTAATGCAGGTGACTGTCGGACTAGAGGCTGTTTCAGCAGTCCTGGTGACAGAACGAACAGAAAGAAAAAAAAGAAAGAAAAACGAATCCACAGAACTTGACGACTAATTGAGTGGCAATGGGTCAAGTGAGGGAAGAGTCAAGGATGATACCTCTAATTTAGGTTTAGAGAGCTAGAGGATGGAGCCCTTCACCATGACGCAACACAAAGAATTTGGGTCAGTGATATGCAGGCTGTGGGAACTGCAGCAGACTATCTAATGTCCTTGAACTTCAGCTTCTTCATCAATAAGAATAAAAACGTATCTGAATCATAGGGACACTGTGAGGGTTAAATGTGGTTGTGGGTAAAAAACTTAATATAGAACCTAGCGTGCAGTTCTCCTACCTCCTGTCTTCTCAATTTAGTATACATGTTTTGTCCCAGCTGAAGAAAAGCACAGATCTCTAAGCACACAACTTTGTGTTATGTATTTTGTGTTATATGCTCTTAATGTCTGTAAGATGAGAGAGAAAACCAAGGTGATGCTATACTGCCACCATGCTAGAACCAAAGCACAGGATAAAGCCGATTTGTTGTTTTCTCATTTTTCCAATTTTTGCAAAATAAAATTAAGATTTAATATAAGTGGTTTCTGGGAAATATTTAAAGCAAGATTCTAGCGCAGTTCCTTGCGGCGACTCAGTGCTTCCTAAGAGCAGTTTATTGTTTCGTGTGTATGCTGGGACTCCTTCATGAAAGATGTTTGATGGACAGGACTAATGTCTGCTTCATATGCTGTCTCTTATCAGAACTTTTCTCTGTGTACTTAAGCTTCAAAGGAAATTATTTGACTTAGGATGGAACAAATCCATCCAACAACCAACCATGTTTTAATAGGGTTTTACTCTACACATGCCCTATCAAGAATGCAATCTGTTGGCCATTGCTCTGTGCTCCCCACACCAATAAAAATGTGACAAAAATTAATCTCTAGTTTTTCGGGTCAGTTACTGGTGGGTGAATAAGTTATTCTGAAACAGATATGACCTCACAGATGGAAATCCTTGACCCAGAGTCCCAACTTCAATGAAGCACTTGCTGGCTTGACCACTTCTAAGAGATCATTGGCTTCTGGTCCTTCCTGAGTTATTCCTCTAACACTCTTACTCTTAACCAGAGGGCTTTTCGAAAAAAAGGGAATTATACTAATTCAAAATGATTTGGGAAAATATTTTAAGGTCCTCTTCCTTGAAATCTTCTATTTCGAATTGTGAGATAATGCCCCCAAGAAAATAAGTCTTCCTATTTGGTCTGAGTACATGGTGATCTCACAGATAGGCTACCCAGCTGAGCACAGGGCAAGCTCAGCTTAAGGATGAGTATCTGAAAAGAAACAGAAATGTTCTGTTTTTCTAATTCATTGAGAATTACTTTTACAAAGGTGACATATTTGCTTTTAATCCCCAAAGCGACAACCATTTTTGTACTTTATCCTCAGAAAAATATGTCACATTTCTTTGACTCTGCATGAAATGCCTGTGATAAGTCAGACAGAAAAACCATTTCTTCTTTGCCATGAATAAAATATTTTGGAGGTCAGTGAGTGAGTGTGTGTGTGTGTGTGTGTGTGTGTGCACGTGTGTGTGTGCATGTGTTTGGAGGCTTATGTGTGTAAGGGAGCTTATGATTTTCAGTGACATTCAAGTTTATTTCTATTATAATTAAGACAATATAATAGAACAATAGCTTTGTTTTGCCCTTTTATGGTGTGTGTGTGTGTGTGTGTGTGTGATCCCAACTAAAGTTAATGTGTCATTTCTGACATAATTATCTTTACCACCCACAAAAAGTGGACTTTAGGTCAATTGAAGAGGTAAGTAATAAACTATATAAGGGGAGGCTTTATGGCCATGAATATATAGTATGAGCCCAAAGGAGTATTCTCTACTCAATGTCTTCTCTCCCAAACAACTTAGGGAATCAATGGCTGAGCAACATTAGCTAGGCTCCAAAAATTCCACTAATTTACTATGTGATAATATCGTTTTAAAGATGTGGTCTTATAAAAAGTTACATTCTCATGGAACAACTTTTGCTGGAGGTATCTAGCTGACAAAATGTAGATAGTGAGATTGGTGAAGGCTAATTACTTATATGACTGTGACCTGCAAAATACAAGTGCAAAGAAAAAAAACCCTCATGCCTGGATTTTCTTCTTGGAACACTAAATACTATGAAATAATTAAATCTGAACTGCAGGTTGGGCACTTCTTTATTAGCTTTGTGGTCTTGGTCAAGTTATCTAACTTCTATGACCTTAAATTTACTCATCTGTAGAACGGGGCTAATTATACCTATCTCATAAATAGATACTACCTCTTAATTAGGTGGATTCAGTGAGATAGAATATGTAAATACTGTAGCTAATTGGATGCCAGCTAGTATCTACTTACTCTGAAATTAGTAAGTGTTAGTTGGAATTTCCTGAAAGGTACTTATGGGGACTATTATTTTGAACCACGTTCCCCTTTTCAGCCATGTCCATGAGATTACAAGGAACCACTAAGATTTATATATTTTGGATTTAAGCTAAATTTACCCATCTTGGACATAGTTATCCATTATTTTGTAATAACATTATTGGAATATTTACAAAGATGGTAAAATAGAAAAATTCAGTGCATGAGACAGTTTAGGAAGGCATATATATTCTGAAAAGAAAGTGGGTGCTATCACTTGAATTATTAAAGCCAACAAGTACCCCAGAGGTTGCTTAAGATTTCATTTCACTTAGCTAGGGTAAACCTGCCTGAAGTAGCGGAGAATTTGCTAGGTATCCCTGCCTGCGACAATAGAAACAGAAGCCGTTCAATCAAAGCAAACAGGAGAACGAGCAGCTTTAGGGGAATTAGGGCAAGAATCTCTTGTGGCTCAGCATCATTTTATCACTTGATTTCAAGCCAGCAAACTTGTTTCTGATGATTAGATATTGTTCTTAATTGCAGAAGAAGCACCTTATGGATTTCCTGTCCATCTTTATAGTATATTTCAATATTTTGTAACTAAATCACTATTGCTTCTGCCACACCTGCTTTACATTTGACACATTGAAGGGTGAGTAAAAATGATTAGAGACAATGTTTATATGAAAGACATGTCAGGAGAGCAAGAGAGAGGATCTGCTATTCCTGGATGATTTATTTCCACCCACAACCCAAAATTATACCAACCCCTCAACCTCAGATTATAGATATAACACATTCCCATCTGGAATAGCCAAGCAATACAAAAGAAGTATTAAGAAAAGTAAAACCCATCTAAAATCTCACTCCCAGGGGTGACATAGGTGAGCATTAAAATGCTCATTTTAATGAGTATTCTTTAAGACATCTCTTTTATGTACACACATGCACACACGTATACACAAACCCTTTTCACAGATATATACACAAAATTTTATATAAATGGAATCATACCTATCTGTGCTTCTTTGCAACTTTATACTTCTTTGCAACATGCTCCTTCCTTTTTTCCTTTCTTTCTCCTTTCCTAAAACCTCCTTCCCTCCCACACTGCATTTCTTCCTTTCTTCCATCCCACCTTAATTCCTTCCTTCCATTTTTTATTTTCCAGGAACAAGGAGTTAATTATATAACTTTCATGGCCTACTATCATCATTAGCCCATGCAATATCCCTCTTTATAAATACGTACCTATGTGTATGCCATTGTATTTCCCACTCTCATTACTCTCTTCCCCACCCCAAGCTGGTGAACATTCAATGGATTTAATGTATATCTTTAAATGTCTATAGTTGTTGTATGCACTTTTAAACTTACATAAATTTTGTTGTTTTACAGATATCTTTCTGATTTTTTTTTTTCTCAGCACTATCCCTGTTCTTACATGTGCACCTAACCTACTGTTTCTTTTTTTTTTTTTTTTTTTTTTTTGAGACGGAGTCTCGCTCTGTCGCCCAGGCCGGACTGCGGACTGCAGTGGCGCAATCTCGGCTCACTGCAAGCTCCGCTTCCCGGGTTCACGCCATTCTCCTGCCTCAGCCTCCCCAGTAGCTGGGACTACAGGCGCCCGCCACCGCGCCCGGCTAATTTTTTGTATTTTTAGTAGAGACGGGGTTTCACCTTGTTAGCCAGGATGGTCTCGATCTCCTGACCTCATGATCCACCCGCCTCGGCCTCCCAAAGTGCTGGGATTACAGGCGTGAGCCACCGCGCCCGGCCTAACCTACTGTTTCTAAAAGCTGCCTATTGTGCCCTGGTTCCATCCTCTACTCATTCCTTAGTGATGGGCATTTGGGTACTGCCAACTCACTGTCCCGTATACAACACTGCAACACCTTTTTTTTTTTTTTTTCTGAGACGGAGTCTCGCTGTGTCGCCCAGGCTGGAGTGCAGTGGCGCGATCTCGGCTCACTGCAAGCTCTGCCTCCCGGGTTCACGCCATTCTCCTGCCTCAGCCTCCCGAGCAGCTGGGACTGCAGGCGCCCGCCACCAAGCCTGGCTAATTTTTTGTATTTTTAGTAGAGACAGGGTTTCACCGTGTTAGCCAGGATGGTCTCGATCTCCTGACCTTGTGATCTGCCCTCCTTGGCCTCCCAAAGTGTTGGGATTACAGGCCACTTTTTTCGGTAATGTTCCCTTTCTTTGGGACATATGTCAGGAATGGAATTGCTGAGTCATGGAGAAAGTTTATATTTAACTAAGTGCGCCAAACACTTCACAGATTCTTGATTTTTCAGAAGGGCAAGGGGTGGTCAGCACCCCCAAGATGGAGTATCATGAGGTCTAGGATTCTCTTTGGTCCACAGGCTTACTCTGATTGATTCTGTGCCTGCCTGTTACAGGCAGAGAGACAGGGGCCTGGATTACCCATTGAACCTGTTTGTCTTGTAGATTTGAATTACTTATTTCACATAAAACGGGCAAAGATTTCCCCATGGATACTACTCAGATTTGAAACTAGTTTTTCCTAACGATGACATGGATGTCTTTCTCAGTTAATGAATATATCTAATTCATCTCCCTTTTAATAACTTCAGGGAATTTCCTTTTACTTTGCTTCATTTTATCAACCCTTCAGTATTACACACGGAGGCTTGGTTTTGGTTTTTCACTATGTAAACAATGCTGCAATGAACATCCCTACTCATGAACATTTGTATTCACTTGATCATTTTTCATCTTGGTGTAAAATCGTAGGTGTGAAATTGTTCCAGCAAAATTCATGCACATTTTAATTCTTGATGTGCAGTGTCATTTCCCTACAAAAAGACTGTACCATTATATAGCCCCCAACACAACACATTAAAGTATCCATTTCTTCCCATTCTTGAACAATGCTTAATTTATCCATCTCCAATAATCTGATATTAGATTTTTTATTTTTATTCTTTGATTTTATTAAAGTTAAATATTTAAAATATACAGTATTTATTGACCTTCTTCCTGTAAATTTCCTGTTTTTGTCTTTTGCAAATATTTTTCTATTACAATATTTGTATTATTGTTATTTGTAAGACCTCCATCAGGGCAAAAATAGTACCATTGATGTGGATCTCTATTTCCCATTTTCTAGTACTTAGTAGCTGCTCAATAAATGTTTGCTGAATAAACATTAATATTTTGTCTGTCATATATTTTGCAGGTTTTTTTGTTTGCTTTAAAATTTTATTTCACTGTGCATATACATATTTTGATGTAATCGACAGGTTAGTCTTTTCCCTTATGTTTCAGTTTTCCTGTATTTTTAGTTTTATTTACTCCACATATTATAAGCATATTTGGTAACTATTTTATTATAGTCCTTATATGGTTTTATTTTTTAGCATTAAAATTTTTCAATCCATATCAAATGAACTCAGTGAGATCAGTAACATAGGGTTCTGGCTTATATTTTTCCAGCCCCTTTTATTGACTGGTTTGTTGTTTTACACATAATGCTGCATTTATCTTATACTATATTTTATGTATACTTAGGTCCATTAAAAAATTCTCTATTCATTTCCACACATTTATTACTTAGGCTATCTTTCTTATAATTTTAACTTTATTGACTTTGAAAACATAAAACAATCACATGACTCAAAATTCTAAAGAGTCCAAAGGATACACAGAAAAACGTTTCTTTTACTATTACCATATCAATCAGCCCTATGAACAAACTGAGCCCCGACTGTTGTTTTTTTGCTCTTTGTTTTTTTTAGACGGAGTCTCGCTCTGTCGCCCAGGCTGGAGTGCTCAGTGGCGTGACCTTGGCTCACTGCAAGCTGTGCCTCCCGGGTTCACGCCATTCTCCTGCCTCAGCCTCCTGAGTAGCTGGGACTACAGGACTGTTGTTTTTTAAAAATAGTATATTATAGGGATTGTTACGTATCTTACCTTTTGTGAAGCTTAACAGTAAATCACACTATGTCAATATAAAAGAAGCTTTTTCAGTTGTTCCATATTTGAATAGTCTCACGTTGATGGATGTTTAAGTTTTCCTAAACTTTTGCTGTTAAAAAATACTAGAATCAATAACCTTGTACAAGCTTATTTTGTACCTTGAGTACATGTGAAGAATATTTCCTAGAAGTGTGATTACTGGGTCAAAGGGTAAATGCGTTTGGTTTTCTGACAGATAATAATATTGACAAATCACTCTTTATAAAGGTTGTGCTAATTTTCATTTCTACCAACAAGGGATCAGAATGACAACCCTCCATCCCCCATATACATACAGTGGGTGTTGTTTGGGGTAGTATTTAATCTTTGTCTAGGTTTTTTTTTAAAAAAATATCACATTATATAACAACTTCTTTTTCTTCTTTGGTTAAATTTGGAGATTTATAAGCTCTGAGACACTTCTATTTAAAGTATGTATGACATACACAGAAAATCTCTTTGTTTTTAATAAAAGATGTGTTTACAGAAATAAAAATAAAATTAACTATAGACTTACCATTGTTTAATTAATACTATCCCATACATCAAATGGATTATTTCTAATAATGCCTTAAATGTTTGAAAATTCGTGAGTTTCAACTCTGAGTTCACACAAGTTAAGATACATTTTAGTTTAGTAAATTAAGGTGTAATAGAAATGAATGAATGAATTAATAAATAAATACACTTATAAATCAGGGAGTTGCCCAAGCTGTCTGATGTTATCTCAAGGGGTATTTTGCAGCTGAAAAGCTCCATGTAGGCAAACAGAAACATCAAGTCATAAAATAAATCCTACTCAGGAAAAATCATAATTTGACTTAGGTTTTAATAATTATTATTGAAGTTGCAGCAAAACAAAACAAACCCAGGGTGATTAGTCAATTCATAAACAATTCAGAAATGGTTCCCTCCAATACCTAGTTTTTCTGGTGCATTTTAAAATGTGTGATTATATTTTTAAAAAGCTTTCCTCACAAAAAATCAGAAGTATCACCATTTTATAAAAATCGTTTTATAAATACTCACTGCTACAAGAAGATATCAGCCTAATGCCATGCTTAAGTTGAACTTTGAGGATTTATTTTGACTTTTAAAAACGCTACTTCAGGCTGAGTGTGGTGGCTCATGCCGTAATCCCAGAATTTTGGGAGGCTGAGGCGGGTGGTTCACCTGAGGTCAGGATTTTTGAGCTAGCCTGGCCAAAGTGGTGAAACCCCATCTCTACAAAAAATACAAAAAATTACCTGATCATGGTGGTGTGAGCCTGTAATCCCAGCTACTCGGGAGGTTGAGGCAGGAGAATCCCTTGAACCTGGGAGGCAGAGGTTGCAGTGGGCCAAGATTGCATCACTGCACTCCAGCCTGGGCGACAGAGTGAGACTGTCTCAAAAAAAAAAAAAAAAAAAAAAAGCCCCCGAAAAACCCATTACTTCATTTTTGTTCATATACTTTTTGGTATCATACACATGGCAAAGCGCAGAAAGTGCGTGTTCCTTATGTGACAGCTTTTTGTTCCCTGGGCATAGATTCCCGTGGCTGCTGTAGCGAATGAACAGAAACTTGGTGGCTTAATATAACAGAAACGTATTCTCTCACAGTTCTGAAGGCCAGAAGTCCAAAATTAAAGCATCCATTCCCAAGGCTTTATCCCTCTGAGAGATTGGAGAGATGCTGCCACAGTGAAAGAATGGGCTAGGGGACAAGCCTATATTGCCTCTGTCAGTTTCTGGTAGCTCCAGGCATTGCTGGACTGTGGCAGCATTACCCCAATCTCTGCCTTTGTCTTCTCCTTCCCTCTGTGTCTCTCCTCTGTGTGTTTTGGTGTTGTTGTTTTGAGACGGAGTCTCGCTCTGTCACCAGGCTGGAGTGCAGTGGCGATCTCCGCTCACTGCAACCTCTGACTCTCTGGGTTCAAGCGATTCTCTTGTCTCAGCCTCCGGAGTAGCTGGGATTACAGGCACACACCACCATGCCCAGCTACTTTTTGTATTTTTAGTAGAGATGGGGTTTCCCCATGTTGGCCAGGATGGTCTCGATCTCTTGACCCTGTGATCCGCCCGCCTCAGCCTCCCAAAGTGTTGGGAATACCCGCGTGAGCCACAGCGCCCAGCCTCAGTGTATCTTACATGGACACTAGTCATTGGATTTACAGCTTATTTGGAAAATGCAAGATTAATGTCATCTCAAGATTTTTAGCTTAATTATATCTGCAGAAGCCCTTTTTCCAAATAAGGTCACATTCTCAGTTTCTGGGGGATTAGGATATGGACCTATCTTTTTGAGGGCCACCTTCGACCCTCTACACCCCTATTCTAAATTCTATTACTGTAGTTATATTTTGCCTATCCCTGAACTTCATGTAAATGAAATCATCCCTATATCCTTCTTGGTGTCTGTCCAGCTTCTTTCACCAGTTTGCTTTTTGTTAAAGAAATGTACACAGAAAAGTCTCTCTGGTATTGCCACAGTTAATAAATTTCCTGTGAAACCAGAAAGTCTTGGGCAAGACATTGATGACTGTAGCACATGGAGGATAAAATCAGGAAGCTTCCTCAAAGCACTCGCCAGCCCAGCCTTCCCATTTAGGGCACCCTACAACAAAATCCTGCATTTGATCCATTTTAACTTGAGATTTCTCAGTTCTAAGAGACTCAGTATATAGGAATTAAACCTATCCCCAGTAAGCCTTCAGATAAGAGTGTCTCTGAAAGAATTCATTGATGGATAGCCTTGCTTTGAATAAGAATATCTTCACACTCACACTAAGGGTCACTAAACCCTTTCATAGCTCTAGAGTCAGGCTTTTTCATTTATCTGAGATTCATTGTAATGCATTTGTTTCTTCCTCTTTAATGAATGGATATTGCTTCTCTCAAATTTAAATTTAGTTTCAAATACATATTTACGATGTCATTGTCTGTGCTCAAGCAGGCGATTTTAAGATGATCTGTAAGTATAACCAGGCAAATTCGCTGTTCAAATGAATCCTGCCAACATATTTCTCATTAATCCTGGGAACATGACAGGTGCATTTATTAATACAGAGGACTTAGTGTTAGAATGCCATGTCCTTTCTGACATACTAAGCCATTTTTAATTTGCTCTTATCATTTAAAGTCTCTCCTTTTCAAAGATATTAGATAACTCTACAGTGTTAAACATCATGGAGTGATTTGGGGGCTCAAGGGAGAGCATCTTATATAAATGTTTTCCTAATTTTCAAAGGATCCAGGCACCACCCAAAATGGTAAGATTCATAGACTATCTGGAGGAGAGGGAGAGGGGAAGATAATTTTGTTTATTTAATTGATTCTCTGTAACTTTTCTCTTGGCAAGTATAGCTCACTAATGGACTTTGCACAGCACAATCATTATTAGAAATGCCACTGTGACATTTGATTAATCCAGTCTATTTAGATTTCGAAGACAAATCATATATTTATCCTAATATAATTAATTACTATTTCCTCCTTTTGGATTTTCCAACGAACAGTATTTAGAGATATCCTTGACATTTTCATCTTTAGCCTATAGACGCACCACGATTCTTCATAGGTTAGGTCCATTCCAGTGTGATGCAACAGACATTTTTTGGTAGAACGCCAGGAACATTTATCAATCTTGCTAGTGACTTCATTTAAATTTTAATAAGTTATGCATTTCTTTGGTAATTTCTAGTGCTGGAAATTGACAACAGGGTTTTATGGCTTCCTATTTTAGTGTCCCTCATTTTGTTCCTCGTTTATCCTGATCTCCCAAGAGAAATAACTTCTTAGGCACGGTCGAAGAATCTTTGTACGAAGTTTCTCAATTTGAGACAATATAATTACTTCTATTCATTCATTTGTTCATTTATGTAATCATTTGTTTGCTTCTTCGATAATCTAACAAACAGTTATAGGTGATAAAGATAAAAGTATAGCAGTAAATCAAAGAGACAGTCTATATCTTTCTAGAGCTCACATTTCAATGAACGGTGAAAGATGACAAAACAATTCCAAATCTATACAACATGTCAGATTGTGATAAGTCCCACAGAGTGAAATGAAGCAGGATGAGGAGCTTGGAAGGGCGAATTGTTATGAGAGTGATTGTGTTATTATACAAGGTGGTCAAGACGGGCATTGCGAAAAGACATTTGCAGATACCCAACGCCATGTGGTATCTGGGAGAAAGCATTCAGGCAGAGGATGAGCAAGCCCAGAAGTCTTTGAGCAGGAACATAGAATCCTAGAATGGAACCTAAGGAGGCCAGTGAGCACAGTTGAGATGGGATGGAAATGACTCAGAGAGTGGGTGGAAGTCAGATCACATGGTGTCTTATAGACCAATGGTCCCCAGCCCTTTTGGCACCAGGGACTAGTTTTGTGGAAGATAATTTTTGCATGGACCAAGGAGAGTGGGGAATGGTTTCAGGATGATTCAAGTGCATTACATTTATTGTGCACTTTATTTCTATTATTATTACGTTGTAATATATCATGAAATAATTACGCAGCTTACCATAATGCAGAAATCAGTGAAAGCCTTGAGCTTGTTTTCCTGCAACTAGACAGTCTCATCTGAGGGTGATGGGAGACAGTGACAGATCATCAGGCAGTAGATTCTTACAGGAGCCTGTAGCCTAGATCCCTCACATGCACAATTCATAATAGGGTTCACACTCTTATGAGAATCTAATCCCGCTGCTGATCTAACAGGAGGCAGAGCTCAGGTGGTAATGTGAGAATGGGGAGTGGCTGTAATACAGATGAAGTTTCACTCACTCACTCACGGCTCCCCTGCTGGTGTGTGGCCCAGTTCCTAACAGGCCACATGGCCCATTGGTTGGGGACCTCTGTTACAGACCACTGAAAATAATGGGTTTACTTCAAATGAACTGGAAAGCCATTGGAAGTGGCTATGTTAAACCTTACCTGAGACCTGTGCTCCTTAATATCAGCAATGATGAAAGAAATCCCTGTACTCTTTGTCTTATTAGAAATGGCTTACTGCAAGAACCACCCTTCCCCATATGACTTAGATAAGGGTTGGGAATGACTTCCTTGTTTACCTAGGGCAAGGCCAGATGCAGACCTTCCAAATTCCCATTCTTTGTCTCATACACGATTAGCTGAACTATTGGTCCCCACTGACCAATCAGAACAAAATGCTTGTTAATTTGACTTAACCAAACTTCAATTAAGTTTCACTCTTCACCACAGGACCCTGAAATTGACTCACTTCTTAGGTTAAGCAAGTATTGGAGTCATAATAATCCCTCCTGAAAATCATCTACAAAGAAAGATGTCTCCTGTTTAACTGTCCGATCAAGCCATCTGCTCTCCCCACTCCCCCATACCTGGCTCCTTCCAGGTTGGCTTACTCCTTTCTGTAAAAGAAAAGCTCTTTTCTGCCTGACCTTTGAATTGCTTTCATACCTCACGGAGTAAGCATTTTCCCTATTGCAATAGTACCCCTTCCCTTATCGCAGTAACCCTGTTATTGCAAAAGTCCTTTCAAATAAAGTCTCTATTTTCTTAAGTCCAGATTTGTTTTTTATTTGCTACAGGTTTTGAATGTAGGAGAGATATGGATAATGGAGTTTATGAATAAAGGCTTTGGGTTGATTGCTGCATGGAGAAAAGCAGTAGAAACCTGTAGAGAAACAAGAAAGGTAATGGGGAAACCAGTGTTTATTTCCGTGTTGTGAACTTTAAAAGGGTATTTGTAAAATGCCTATAAAGTTTTAGTAAGAATTGATCATGCCCATAAGCTGTATTCAATGCTCACAAATCAAATCTTTGTGAAGCTCATGAATAAATGAAGGTTGCTAGAGGGAAAGTTAAACTGAGTGACATGTTCACGTAAGTCTCCTTTAATATTTATTTATTTATCTATTTATTTATTTATTTGTGGTGGAGTCTCGCTGTATCACCAGACTGGAGGGCAGTGGCATGATCTCGGCTCACTTCGAACTCCACCTCCCAGGTTCAAGCGATTCTCCTGCCTCAGCCTTCAAAATAGCTGGGACTACAGGCATGCGCCACCACTCCCAGCAATTTTTGTATTTTTGGTAGAGACGGGGTTTCACCATGTTGGCCAGGATGGTCTCAATATCTTCACCTCATGATCTGCCCACCTCGGCCTCCCAAAGTGCTGGGATTACAAGTGTGAGCCACCTCGCCTGGCCAAGTCCCCTTTTATTATATTTGAGATACATATTACCAGTAAGAAGGCCCAATAAATGATACAGGTTAAGATGTTAATCATAATGAATGCCCAGTTTCGTAGTTTCTTTCTTTCTTTCTTTTTTTTTTTTGAGACAGGGTCTTGCTGTCACCCAGTCTGAAATGCAGCAGTGCAATCACAGCTCACTGCAGCCTCGAACTTCCAGGCTCAGGTGACTCTCCCACCTCAGCCTCCAAAGTGAGTGGGGCTACAGGCGTGCACCACCATGCCTGTATTTTTGTATTTTTTGTAGAGATGAGGTCTCACTATGTCAGTCAGGCTTGTCCTGAACTCCTGGGCTCAAGTGATCCACCCACCTTGGCCTCCCAGAGTGCTGGGATTACAGGGATGAGGCACCATGCCCTGCCTAGTAGATTCACCTTATTCACCTATTTACAATGAATGTTTGGTTGGTGCCCCTTTTCTAAATCCTATTCCAGATTCTAGGATACCACAGTGAATGAAGGCTCATTGCTTCACGGAATTTACATTCCAGGTGGGGTGATGGATTCTAAATAACAAATCAGTTTAAAAGAGGCACTGATGGTGGTGGGAAAAAAGTAAACAGGGTAATAGAAAGATGCTTGGGAAGGAGAGGGGGCCAACTTTAAATTGGGTGGTCTGAGTAGGTGACACTGATGCTGAGAAGTGGTTGGAACAGTTAGTGCAAAAGTCCTCAGAGACCAAGAGTTGGGCATCATCCAGGAACAGAAAGCAGATCACTGTGGCTGGATCTGAAGCTGGATCTGGAGTATGGTGTGAGCTCTGGTCAAAGAGAAATGCTGGACCAGAGCCCATGGGACTTCGCAAGATGTGGTAAGGGACGAGAAATTTATCCTCAGTGTGATGGAAAGCCAGACAAATCTGTGATATACTGATGCTGGAGATATCTCCCGATTAGAATTGTCTTTTCCTGCATTCCCAGGAGAAGAGGAGGAAAAAAAAAGGAGGGAAAAGGGTTTGGGGGCACTGAAGCCTGGAGAAAGAACAGTGCTTTATAAGAGTGGAGTCGTTCCTGTGGTTTAGTACTATGATTGCTGTTGAGTTCCAGCAAGGACCCTTTGGATTCAGCTATCCACATACATGAAGCAGGGAGAGACAAAGAAGAAGAAGGAGAAGGGAAGTGGGGGGGGAATTTAAATAGTATAGTTTAGGTAGTTCAATGGGCCTGAAATAGTCCACGCATGATGTTGAACTGTATGAAAAGCAAGCCTCAAGACTTTTACTGGATTCTCAGCCTTGGCAAAGAAGGAAAATTTATTCTTAAGGTGGGCAGGCAATTGGTCAATGATGGCTTTCTAATAGTCTAGTAAAAGCAGTTGAAAGCCCTAGAGAAATGCTGACTACTAAGGAGTTGGAGGGCCTGATAAAGGAGAGGATGGAGATTACTGTAGAGAGGAAGAACCAAGATGAAATTTGCATATATTTGTTGAAATATTTTAAGCAGAAAACTCTTAAATAAACTAATTTCTGAATATGAGCTTTCTGTGGGCCTATGTATTCATGATACTATAAATATAACAAATATTTACACATGTATTGATGGAGAGGACTGCAGGTGCAAATAAGAATGTTTGCTTTATATGCTGATTTAACAACATAATTTTTGTACGTTAGAATTTTTGATAAAAAAGTGGGTTTTAGAGTTTAATGAAATACTTACCATATCAATTTTGGAGTTTAACCCATTTGTAAATTGGAAACTGACTGTTATGTGTGTGTGTATATAGTATATATTAATAAATAGTATATATGTCTATGTATTGTGTATATGTGTATATGTATGTGTATATGTATATGTGTGGATATATATACACACATATGTATATAGCTTAGATAAGTTCAGCTTTTGAATTTACTGGAATAAGAGGTGCTTTCCCTTTGTTCCATCTGTAAAAGAAGAAAAGGATCCCCATGGTTGCCATGATTATATGACACAGATGGAATTATGAATTCAGTGTTAGGAAAGTGCTCATGATTACCATTATTTGAAATGTCTTGTGGGTGAGGTGAGAAAATTACTTCCTGAAGGTGCATTTACTCTCTCAGGGCACTGGTTTGCCATTCCCATCGTTATGAGGTAATTTCCTGAAAGGCACAGACTTCTCAACATGAGAAATCCTAGAGCATTGTCAAAAGCAAGTTTCATCCCAAGTACGCAGTAGGCACTCCATAAATGTATGCTGAATGGACAAAATTTGAGCAGCTGGTGGTGATAATTATGATTTAACTACAACCAAAATGTCCACTATGGTTAATTAAATATGCCTGCTCTGAAATATTTCCTTTGCTTTGCTCAGTGCAACATGATGCATGGAGTTCCGAAGGCATGGTGTGGACTCACTGCTAGGTGATGGTGCAAGTTGCAAGGTACACCTATTCCTATTCATGATGCGACTTAGTATGAAAGTGACAGTACAAACGTAAACAACCTCATTAGCAGCTCTTACCAAATGTAAATGTATAGCACGAAGAGTAATTGTTTTACTGGGGAAAGAAAGAATATCTGCTTTTTTATTTTTAATTAGCTTCCTCAGAATACGGGAAGAATAATTTCCACTTTTGTCTCAGTAGCACTTAGTGCAATCAAAACTATTTAATGTCACTATTTTCTACTACCCTGTGTCAATTAATGCACCTTCATTGCACGTGAGCAAATCTGATCCTCTCCCTCATACGCAGGCTGTGAATGAAAGCTGGTTCATGTAAATGGCCCAGAAAAAAACATATTCAGGAGGAGGATGGAGGAAAATTCTTCTCTAATATGCACACACACTACATTGTTGACTGGGACCTAGCATGCAAGGCAATATAGGGTGTCTACGAGACTAAGCCAGATAACATGAACATGAGGCTATTGCTTGTGGATATTCTTGATAGGAACATTTTTTTGTGTGTGTAATGTTTAGGGCCATAGCCTTGGACAACCCCGTGCATTAATCTCTCACAGTATAGTCCACAGGAATGTTGCTCCCCCAAGTCCCATAGTGCCTAGCTGCTTCCATATGTAACAGCCCTGCTACAAGTTATGGCTCTTGAGTATATTCAGTGGAGTGCATGCTCTCTCTCTCTCTTTGTCTCTCTCTCCCACCCCCTACCCTGCCCCTTCCCCTTTTCCTTTTCCCCTCTCTGCCTTTTCCTTCTCCTCCTCCTTCTCCCCCTTCCTGTTTATTCCTCTCTCTGTTGGTTAAAGAGCATGGCAGAGAAAGACAGAAAGGAAAGCTGCCTTCCCCTACTAGAAGAGAAATATCCTAATAATGTGACCATCACCGGCTAGCTAAATAATTCAGGTTAACTAGAAAGGGCTACTAGAAGACCAGCAAATTAGCTGAATTATAGAATAAGTTTGAAAATCATTGATTTCAAATAAATACATTAAATAAAGGCTCAGAAAATTTTGCTTATAGCGGTGCTCCACAGATTTGCTTTAAAAATGTATTTATAATTCACATGTAATTGTTTGTCTGCCAAGTGGGTGTGTTTTTAGGAAGCATTCCACGCACTTTGTTAACCTTCTTCACAAACTTTGCCCTCGTGGAAGACACAAAGGTCCATTTCAGCATGGCTCTGTCCAAATTATGACAATTATTTTTTATAATAATGACATAAAGCTTGAAATGCAAATTTATGTACAAAATGTTTTAAAAAGACCTCATGAGAATAAAAGGACTGTGTTTTCATAGTCCAACAACAAAAACCTGATTTTACTTCAAAAAGTGACCCCGATTAGTCATTTAATTTTACCAAAAATAGGATTTTGTTTGATAAGATAATTATAACTTGTTTTTCCCCTAATATTCCAGACATTTCATAATGATCAAATGAAATGACCACATATGAAAGCAATTTCTTTAAAAACAGCCTGTAATTCCCTAACAATTTAGTGCATAGAAATCATCAATTATTAAATTAATGGAGAAAAACGTATATTTTTAAATATCGATTTTAAATAACTGACTCAGTAGCACATCTCACTAAAATCCAGATCTGTACATGTCACTGTGTTAGAGAAACATTATCTCACTTTTAAAAGCCCAGCAAATATTTTCACAACCTTAAAATACTACTTGAGGAAGTTACTTTGGGTTTACAGTCAGCTATTATAGTTCTATAATTGTCAAGCTATGAAACATCATCATCATGGTTAAAAGTAAATGGAAGCAAAATGTACCTCGTTCCTTGTGGATCTGTGAGTTAACCAGTACATGGGACCTGCTTTCTGAATAGTACCTAGGCAGTTGCATATATTATGTGTTAGAAACTGTTTTCTTTTTATGTACTGATTTTTCCAGGTACAGAATAATGTAGTTGGGTTTCTTGGGCTTTTGTGTTATTGTACAGTTTGTTTTTCATGGTAAAGAGAAAGTTGGGGAAATAGAAATATGTCTCTGAGTAACTAACTCATTATTGGTAATAATTCCAACTGGGATTTTGTCCAGAGACAACTAGTGAAAGAGGCTTCCTCTTCATTCACTCCATTTACTCTCCTGGAAGTATGATCATATAATTTATCATCCCAAATGACAGCATTTTTGAGTGCTGGTAAAACAGATGTAAATCAGAGATGTCCTGGGCAAACAGAATGTAAGGTCACCCTGGCTGTCACTCAGGAAGCTCCCAAGCTTCCTGATGCTTTGCTCTAAATTTTTTTTTTTTTTTTTTTTTTTTTGAGATGGAGTCTCCCTCTGTCACCCAGGCTGGAGTGCAGTGGTGCAATCTTGGCTCACTGCAACCTCTGCCTCCCAGGTTCAAGTGATTGTCCTGCCTCAGCCTCCTCAGTAGCTGGGATTACAGGCACCTGCCACCACGCCCGGCTAATTTTTGTATTTTTAGTAGAGATGGGGTTTCACCATGTTGGCCAGGCTGGTCTTGAATTCTTGACCTCAGGTGTTCCGCCTGCCTTGGCCTCTGAAAATGCTAGGATTACAGGCATGAGCCACCGTGCCCAGTCTGCTCTATTTTAAGATTGGTTAATTATCTATGATTTCTATTTTTCCCTGATCTTTTACACCAGTTCACACCATGTAAAATGACTTCCCTTTGAGCTATCCTTGCTGCTCAGGTTCCTGATCTCCCAGCAGCTGGTCTTCAAGCCTCTCTGGGTAACCTGTGATATCTTCATCAAGTATTCTCATTTTCTCCACACATTAGACCAATATTATTACTCCTTTCTTATCCTATTGCCCCATATTGCTCCACCTGAATTAATGTAAACTTTTTTTATAATAGTTTCTCAGATGCTAATAATTTCAACAGTCTTCAAGACCACAACTAAAGAATTTCCCGAATACTCTTTATCCATGCTACTTGACACTTCCTACACAGAAATAACTTTTGATGACTCTGTGAACAGATAAAGGCTCATTACTTTTAACATTTTCTAATAATTTAATGTATTTCCTCTTTTTTACTTGCTAGCAAGAGAGTTGCATATCATGAATCTTTTCTTTTGATAGTGAGGCTATCAACTTTTTCTTTTTTTCTGCTTGTAAGTCTGTCTAACTTGTCTCATATTTGGACAATGAGCTTCTAATGCTGTCCAGGGTTGTCAAAATCATACTTCTTCAATTCATTTGCCTACTCCATGACTACTGGAAATGGCCACATTTGTACATTATCACCCTTAAGATGGACACAATTTGTTTATGTTTCTAATTCTTAGCTTTGTCTCTTGAAATAAAGGATAGGACTCAGTTATTACATATTCAAAATTTTGTGTGCATTTTGTCATTGCAGGCCTATTTATTAAGAAAGTTTATGAAAATGTGTCCACACATCTACAAGTTTCAGAAATTTGAATTATATCTCATTCTTAGTGGGCTAAATAATGTGGAAGAAATTAATGCTGACAGCAGTCATCATCTCTTAGTCTTCATTCTATCCCCAAGGCTGAGTGTGGTTCTTGGGTCTTTGAAGTCCCTAGTTAATGTCCATTTAATGAATGGAGACCAAAGTAAAATTTGGAGAAAGACCTAAACTGCCCCAATCAATTTAATGATAACTGATACAGGTCAAGTTTATTGTTATATTTTAATTGTTAATTTTCACCATTGAGATTATATAATTTTAATTACAGAAATTATATCTGTATAATATATTATACATTATATATTCTATTGCGTATCATATAAAATATTATGTAAGCTATTTTGTAACTTTAGGCACTCAGCAATTGATCTGATCTCTATTATAAGAAGTGCAGCGTATCTGTTTTTTTCTTGGTTTCCATTATTATACATAGTTAACAAAGCTACATCTAAACCAACATTAAAACAGAATTTGGGATGGGTGAGGTAGCTCACACCTGTAATCCCAGCACTTTGGGAGGCCGAGGTGAGCAGATCACTTGAGGCCAAAAGTTCGAGACCAGCCTGGCCAACATGGTGAAACCCCATCTCTACTAAAAATACAAAAACTAGTTGGGTGTGGTGGTGCATGTCTGTTATCCCAGCTACTCGAGAAGCTGAAGTAGGAGAATCACTTGAACTGGGGAGGAAGAGGTTTCAGTGAGCTGAGATCACACCACTGCCCTCCAGCCTGGGTGACAGAGGGAGACTCTGTCTCAAAAGCAAACAAACAAACAAACAACAGAAAAAAAAAAAAGAAAAACCCACAGAATTTAGTTGGTTTCTAATGCGTTAGTACAAAAGTAAACATTTTAAATAGCCATAGCAGAAGGTGAAACTTTCCTATTATCAGGAAATCAGGTAGCGGCTATCAAGCTGCCAGCAAGACAGTGTCCTTACCTGCAAAAAAAAGAGGAATGAAGCTCAGAGATACACTGACCTTTTGTACTATGTGGGGAAAGGCTGCAATCATTTTCTTAAGCCTGTGTGAAAAATGTTTCTGGTATACTTTATGTCTTTGTGCATGGGAGGAAGGTCTGAGGAAGCCACGCAGAAAGCATCAGTGGCCAGAGAATAATTGCTGCCAATCAGGCCTTTCTCACCCACGGTTCTGAGATGGAGGAGTTGTCATGTGTACAAATGAATTCCTGATGTGACAGGCTGCCATGAACAGTGATATTTGGCTTCTGTTTCTAGTTGATTATACTACAAATCTATTCCTGGAGTGGAGAGATGTAGAGACATTGAAGCCAATGTATACGGGGAAGCTGTGTATTATATATGCACCCTCTCAGTTTTCACCCATTCACAAATTCCTGCCTGGACAAAATAATTCCATCACACAGCCTCGTAATTTATTTATAGTTAATCTATGACATATATGTAATTAGTTGCATTTGTCAATATAATAAAAATGTTGAATTTGCAAGGATAGTAGGCAAAATTCTTCACTAATTTTTGATCACCTTGAAAAGAACAGTTCCATTTAAAAGTTGTAGAGTTCTACATGAAGAGCAACACAATGCCTGAGCTTGTCATTTTTCTTTAACAATGTCCCGCCTAGATTTCTTTTATCAAAAAAGTACAACGTTTTCTCCCACTAGATGAGGTTTCCTCCTGCAATGCCCAATCATCCCTTTATTATTGCCTCCTCTGAGTAGATACTGCATCCTACACTCTTCATGAAATTCAGCTCTTTCTTCAGTGATGAAAAACAAATAAAGTCTGTTTTTCAGTTTGTTGGTTTTTAGTCCCAATGAGTATGTTTTCTTCTTTTGTTTTGTACTCATATGTAAGTCCCCAGAGTACTTCTAAAACAAATTATAGAGAATAGGTGGCATCTACTCAACATGATGAGTCCTGAATACCGACTGGAAGAAATTGACTTTATTTATTAAAGATCCTTTCTATCTACTGTCTTTTATAATATACTTGGCTGTCTGTCTTGCATTGATCCAACCTGATAATAAGCTTTATTAGGTCTATCCTCTGAACATCCAAGGATACTGCTGCTAAAAATTCTTAGGCGAATGGGAAGTAATGACTTACCAGATTCTCAATTTAGGTTTTATTGGTGACCTCACTGAAAAAGCTAACAATAGGATGGATAAAATTTAACTCTACTACGTACTCCAGGATTATCGTTCATTACTTTAATGTAAGTAGTGCTAAGTAGTTTAGCATAACTTTAAACACACAAGTTCTTTTTCTTACAACTATATAGCTTAGAGCCCTAAGATGATTTAGTTGTTCAAATTTTTCCCTAAAATTCTGCAATTTGAATAAATATGAGAACTCCAAGTGAATTCCAGTCTTAACATTGTATCACATTAAATTGAAGAAAGAAAAGCAAGACAACTACCACAGTGCCTTTTAAAAATCCTTCATTCATTACCTGCATTTCTCAAAGAATTTTAGAGTGATTTCAAAGAACATTAAAAGAAACACTTTTCAAAGTCCACTTTCCTCTCAATTCCTGTCTCCAAATACTCCTCGGCATGTCCAAAGCCTCTTTGGGTTGCTCAAAGCAGTATTAACGTGCTGACAAATTCTAGGGACTCTGTATATTAATTCTCCTTAAACATTGGTGGGTTAAAAATGACACTATATAGTCCGAAGACATCACCTGGCTGGCTTGCTTTACTTGGTGGTTGGTTTGGTTAGATGCTGTGTTTGGTGGAGGTAGGAGTGAAGATTGGAGAGAGGCTGAGAGAGATCGATGCTAAATTAATTCCATTTGTCCCTACTGACAATCAACAAAAGATTACCTCCAGATAATACTATCTCAGAGAACACCTGAGAACTGTAAACATTGCCTGGAATTGTCACATTCCAAGAATGCCAGCAATCCCAGGCTAAACCTCATCATCCAAAATAAAGGTTATCAACCCTTTTCCTCATATCAGTTACATGGAAACAATCACATCTTCCGTCTTGGACATTTCAACCTTTAATGTGCCATCAAAGCATTATATTTAAAAATCTGTCTTGCTTAATTTTATAATTAGAAGAACTGGAAAAGAATTGCAACCGTTTTAAGACATTTAGACTGACATGGACACTTACCATATGTAAAACCACATGGCGCTGTTATGCTATTCACGGAATGTCTCACTTAAGGTAGAGAGTAGAATATCTTCCACTTAACATGTAAACAAATGTTTAAAGACATTAGGTGACCTGTCCAGGGACACACAGCCAGTAAAGGCCAACCTCAGATTTAAACCCAGCTGTATCTCACTCCAGAGCCCCAGAGCCCAGGTGTTTTTGTTTGTTTGTTTGTTTTCATTTGTTTTTTGTTTGTTTGTTTGTTTTTTGAGATGGAGTCTCACTCTGTCGCCCAGGCTGGAGTGCAGTGGCACAATCTTGCCTCAGTGCAACCTCTGCCTCCTGGGTTCCAGCGATTCTCTTGCGTTAACCTCCCAGGTAGCTGGGACTACAGGCATGCACCACCATGCCCGACTAATTTTTGTATTTTTAGTAGAGACAGGATTTCACTATGTCGGCTAGGCTGGTCTTGAACTCCTGACCCCAAGTGATCCACCTGCCTTAGCCTCCCTCCCAAAGTGCTGGGATTATAGGCATGACCCACAGTGCCCAGCCAGTTTTTTTAAACAGACAACATTTATATTCAAGTAGAAATTCCACTTATGGTATTACTAAAGAGGTCATTTTAAGGTTAAACCATTATTGGCTCTACAGTAAAGTGTGAATGAATTTTGTTAAGTGGAAAATAATAAAATTTATTTAATCATAAGAGGCTTCTCCGAACTTCTTCTGCAAATGAGATTGTTGTACTGAGGAGTCTCCTAGGGTCATAACAGCTTGCAAAGTACATCGTTCTCTTATGCCATGGCATGAGAATTTAGACAGTTCCTTTTTCTGTGGGTACATGACAGCAAATCCCTTATAAGTTATCTGGATCACAAAAATGAAATACACGATCTGGCTTTCTTAAAGCCTACATAGCCCAAAGCACTGGCCCTTTAGCTGCTCCCTCTAGGCATGCAACAATTCAATGCTACCAGGCATTTCCTTTCTTATGTGTCAGGGCTTATCTCTGAGAACAGTAGAAAGTGATTTTACAAATCGAAAGGAAAACAACTTTTCTCCACCATGTGTATGCATTCTTACAAACCCATACTGGCCCATTTTCCCCACTCTAAAAGCTTTTAAAAAGAAGACACCTTTATTAAGCAAGCATTACAAGTCAGCATTATTGTATTCACACATATATGACAGAATGGACTATAGCGAGAGTATGTACCCAGGTCTTGCAACTTTAAAAAGGGAATGTGTTCTTAACATTTCCTAATGGTCAATTGTTTCTTTATTGTACTTGATGAATTCTTGTTGGAATTTCTGTTGGCTCAATAAACCAAAAACTCTTCAAATGAAAATAAAGTTAATGAAACAAACCAACCCGTTCACGCATTAGGCTTTTGATGAATACCTTCTGTGCACCTAACACTATAGTAGATTGTGTAGAAAACACAAGAAAGTATAAGACATGGTCTATACCACAAAGATACTTTGTATATTGGAAGATGAACACTGTCACACAAGTATGAACAAAAAATGGTAAGACCCTGTATGTAGACAAGTCGGAGGAGGGAGAAAGAGGATCCATGGTCTATACCTGAGTGCCTGAGGACAGGGTGAGGCAGCTGATGGGAGAGGGCAAAGGGCGGTAATTGCTTTGATTTTGCCTCATCACAACTCCAAAGCCAGCAACTGGTTTACAAAACAAGGGCCATGATCTCACTGAAAATAATATTACAAGAGATCCGATGGTGGATCATTTAACTTTTAATGCTCTCATTTTACAAGTGAAGAAATCAAGACAGACTGGTGTTGAGTACCTTGTTGAAGACCACATGGTTGACTAGGGACAGAAATGAGCTTAGAGCCAGGAGTAGTGACTCTTTGGAATGCTTTTAAGTTGACCATTTCTTCTACACTGGCCTCCCATACACGCAGGCTATTTTTTGACTTACTCTTCTATTAGGTGGGTACAAAAGTAATTGCGGTTTTTACCATTACTTTTAATGGTAAAAACCGCAATTACTTTTGCACCAACTTAATAAATAGTACTTACCTCTTTTTAAATTTAGCTGACACGGTCCAAAAAGTGGAAAAGTCACAGTTAATTATTTTTAGTCAGGCTATTGATCAGGGGCTTAAATCAAATACCCAAACTGAATTCAGACTTCACTAATTTGCTGAAGCTTGAAATGTGGAAAAAAGCCCCAAACTTCAAGGTTTGTGAAACCTGGATCATCATTTTGACTGACTACCAGTGTGTACTAACTGGAACTATTTTCAGTAAAATTATTTTACGGAAATTAGTAAAAAAAGATTCAGCATGTTTTACAAGAAGACAGCATGAAGATATAGGGCTGTGAAGTTCTGCAACTCTGTGGACATATTTTCAATTAATTTTCACATACGCAGATATTGAAAACTATATGTATATAAGAACATAAACTCTTTATAAAACAATTCTCAATTCAAAAATTATTGGTTAAAGAAATACTGTTCTTCTACAATTATAGCCCAGTGATAATTATAACCTAGGATTCTACTGGACTTTATTTCATAAGGCAATTCTTTGACGACTCTACCCACTCTCTTTTTTTTCTTTTCTTTTTTTCTTTTGTAGAGATAAGCATCCATTATGTCTCACTTTATCAGACTTTGTGAAACAAAGCAAACAGCAAAAAAGAAGCTGGGAGATGGAAATTCAGAGGTGCAAGAAATTTCTCATTCATATCTTGGCATTTATTTCTCCCTGAGGCAAAAATGGATGGAACCATTTCAGAAGCTGAGTTTTCCAGTTATGCTGAAACTGAGAGGAAAAAGCTCCCCTCAACTGCCAGACACATGGAAGGCACTAGAAGGTGCCCCAACATGACTAGAAAGATCTGAATTCTCAATTGTCTCTGAATTCAAAAATTGTGGAGTCAGAGCTCTCAGTTTTTCTTACATCTAAATGTCAAGCCCTGCTATTAATCTTTTTAGAAAATATATTTATGACCTTCCTTACTCTTTATGTCTCTGACTACCTTAACTTAAGGCTTTATTACAAAATGCCTTCGGTAAGCCTCAGGTTTGTTACTTTTGACTCTTGACAATCAAATTGACTTTCACCCTCTCCCTCTTTCAGTCTCTCTCTCTTTCTCTGTCTCTCTCTCTGCCTCTTCCCACCTCCAACACACAGTAGAATAACTTATTTTCAAAAAAAATATTGCTCTTGTTACTTTCCTGCCCAGCAAACTGTTGCACCAAATGAAAATCTTTTTGTCTGGATCTCATCATCCTCCATTCTGTCCTCCAAATTGATTCACTGTGCATCACGCTCTCTGCATCCCATACAGCTTCTAAGATGATCTCTGTAGTTTGGTTCAGGCTATTCACACTGACTGAAATGCAATTTCAAGCCTCCATGTCTATACCAATCATAAAAACAGAAACCCGAAAGAATCTCTCCTTGACTATCCATCATCTGCGATCCATTTTGAACCCTCTGTCTGCCAAGAAATGTGTCTTGACCAATCTAGCTCACATAAAGTATATACTGACTTGTTTCCAAAATTACAACTTAGAATTTGATCCCGGATCTTCCACTAGTATGCTATATGACTCACAATACGTTGCATGTTCCTTGAGGGAGGCACTATATAACGCTGGATGCATGGCTGAAATGTGCTGACAGTCATAGTGTCCAGCACAGTCCTATAGATATGAAGGTTTCTTATTAATTGATTATTATCAAAGACCTCAAGCAGACAGTGAAATTTTATTACATAATGCTGTAGTTTTTTTTCACACTCTAATGCTTGATGAGATGTGGATATTTACGATCTGAATTTGATGAGTGGATAACTATCCCTTAATAGACAATCTGGTGGTCAGATGTAAAGTAACCATAACTCCATCCTCCCGGCTGTTCCATGTTCTTCTATGTGAGATTTGTTCCTAAATTCCAACTTTATTTATTTTTAAAAATAATTTTGTAAAATGCAAAAAAAGCATTTTAATAAGTAAGCAAATGCCATAGTTATGGTTGCTGCAGGGTTAATTTATTCATCTTTCACAAGCTAAATGTTAACGCATACATCTAAGTGCCAAAGTAATCAGCAATTATATGCACCACATAAGCAAATGAACATGTCACCATTACATTCTTTACATTTCCTGCCTCTTATCCTGGAACAGGATTCAGAAAAGTGTCAATAGAATGCAGGAGAATGCCATGTGTTGTGTTGAGAGAATTTTCTGGGCTGGGGCTCTGAACTTCAAAGACAATTTTGGGTATAAGCTGGTGAGAGAAACCCTGGTGGCTCTTCTTTATAGCAGGGCTTTCACTAAGTAAATGGCCCCATGTGCACTCTGAAGAGTTGTGGAGGATGGGCTAGCTAACTTCCTAACTCTGTGAATACATGGTTCAGCTCTGTGCAAATCCACAATTGGCTTACTGACTCACAAAATTGGTAAGTGAGGAAAAAAAATATGTTTTTTTTTCCCAGCTAAGATGGCTATTATTTTCCTAAGCTCAGCATCCTTCCTCCATTGCTTTATCCAAGCAATAGACCCCATTCCTACCTGTAAGTCTGTACACATGATCGAGGATGATCCCATTGACTCATTTCTTGGAATTATTTCTAGTTGGGGTCTGTAAGGAAGAGATCCTTTTCTCTTCTATCATGGAATGTAAGGAGAAGGAAAAGAGCTGACTGTAGCTATGTGTCCAGCATCAAGTAGATAAACCTGGTCTGGGAGAATAAACCTGATACACTAAGGCAAAGGGTTGGAGGATGGACAGAAGCTCATAATGGCATTAGATGTCTTGACCCCATCGTTTCAGTTATTCCAAAACCAGCTCAGCTTTTTCTTTGAATGTGAGATCTACCTCTTTATCTTGATAATAACTCCCCCATATATCCATTTTTCCCCTAACCTACATCTCGCTCATACGTAATCAAAGAAAAGTGTCTAAAACATCAACCAAGGCAAGGGAGAAATTTTTTAAGCCAAATTTTCATCAGAGAAAAAGAGATTCTAAAGATTTGCCACTCTCCTTCCCCATCAGCATGTCTAGTTTCCATACCTGGCTTGAAAATGCTTGCACCAAAGTGCTTCCTAAGAAAGATTTGTGTGCTTGAAAGAGATTTCTTTAATTTGACAATAGAGCATGGTCCATTTTCAACTCCAATTAAAAAAAAAAATGAAGACAAAACGCTAAACTTGCCTCACTAAGTGCAATCTTATTTGAATACAATGAATATAGAAGAAGCTGAATCTAATTATAAAGTCAGCAAATGGTAATATCAGGATGTTGAGGCTAATGTTTTTTGCACTGTATGATAGTAGGGCAAATTATTTTCAGTTTAATTGTAAAGCTTTCTTTAAAGAGAGAAATGACACATTCTATGTTATCATTTGCTACTTTTAAAAAGTTATAAAAATATGAACGGCTAATGTTTGGGGAACTTTCCCCTGCTATTATTCTTGCATGCAAATGCCAGTTTGTGTGTGTAAAAAGAAAGGTATCTGTGGGAAGTTAGTTATACATAAGTGTCATTAAAAATACTAATAGCAAACTTGTATAGTATTTACCATAGACCAGGCACTATCCTAAACTTTCATATGACTTCATTTTGCCCTCATAATAGTCTTATCAACTATTATTATCCCCATTTTACATATTAGAAGGCTGAAGTTCTGAGACTAACTTCACCTCTTAAAGGCAAGCTGATGTGATGGAGTGGACAACTTTGTTTGCCTAACCAGCCTCTATTTGTTTTTCCTTTTCCTTTCTCATGAGTTTCTAGATTTTGTGGGGATATGCAGCTTATGAACTTCATGGGAAGCTAAGCCCACTCTGAGTATGAATGGGCACAAACCACCCCTCCACCCCCTGCAGCCACAGTTATTAGACCTAAGAGAGCCAAAAAGGGCAAATCTCAGCCTAGTTGTTAGAATGCTAGAGCAGGCTTTGCTCACTCATTCACAAATCATGTGATATGTGGTTATAAAGCCTGGAACTGCTGCAGCCACTTTATCACTATGGGTAACAGGTTCAGCAGGAAGCTGATAGTGCAGAAGGCAGGGAAGAGTAACCGAAGCCACTAGGTCCTTTATGACATCATTGGGCCACTGATCAAACTGGCCCTGAAATCTGATTCACCATGAACTTCCAGTGTTATTAGCCAATAAATCTCCTTTAGGGGTTAAGCTAATTTTCAAATCAAATGCAGTGTAATTTACCTGCCTTTTAAATTTTGAAGACTAAGAAGAAATTGTTTTCTTCTAGTGGATAAACAACTCCACTAGAGTGAGTGGGGTGAGAATTAGGTACTTTATAAAGCTAAATTAATTCCAGTCAATAAAGCAATCACCAACACACATATTTGCTTATTGTGTGTTGGTTAGTGTATATAGGAGAGTACTAATGCACAGGGTGCCAATTCTCCCCACCTGACACCTATAGCAGACATTGCTAGTCAGCCATTATGGTGCTCCTACTGAGCCAGCTTTCCTTCTCATCAGTGTTTGAGGTAACCACAGTCAAGAGACCAGAGTTGGCAAGGGAAACCTGTGATCACTGATATAGGTAGTCACTGATTGTTGCTAAAATATATACCTGGAAATTTGGTGAAATCTCTGCATCATAAATCAGCATTTCTCCACAGGGACACTATTAATAACTAGGAGTTGTGTTGCCATATAAGAAACCAAACATGCTATAAATCACAGAGTAATAAAAAACATGACATGAAAACACAAGTCGACTATAAAATTTTATAATAATCTAGAGTAAATAATAAAATTGTGCTGTGACACCAATAAACAGTCTTACATTTACTGTATGCATTTATTTTATAAGGTATCCCACTATATTATGAATAGTATTTATGCTTATAAAATTATAATTCTGTTGCATCAAAATTTTACACAAAATGAATCTATAATCTGCTATCATATTAATTGAACTTTTCATTGACATTGATATTTTAATTTAGATTGACTTTCTTGGTGTAATTGGGTGATCCATCCAGGTCATTCAAAAACCAGCGAATCAGTCAGCCAATAACAAACCAATTATCCAATTAAGTTACAAAGCTTTTTTTTTTCTCTCAATACAAAACCCTACAATAAGTTGACAGATTCAGAATCATTCCTCTGCGATTACGGAAATACTTAGATTAGCAGGTTTATGATAATCATTTTGGCATTATTTTCCCACTGAAAATGATTTTAAAACGTAATGTCATTTGACCCTCTCTTGCCTTATCAACTCTAAATGTAGGTAATTCCATATTATTTAAATATCAATACTAAGGGAGTATCATCCATATTGATCAATCACTAGGTAGGGGCCTTTTAAGACATTTGTTTAGGCAACCATCCCATAGCCCTCTATTAAGTTATTGTAGAGTCTAGCATTAATTAATTCATATACTGAGTACTTACCTTGCGCTGGGCACTGAAGATATGTAACAATAAACAAACCACACAGGATCTTTGTTTATATAGGGCTTATTATAATAATTCTTCAGTGAAATAAAAGTTAAGAACAATGACGACATTCATAATTATGTCTATCCATAGTTTTGTCTATTCTTAGTTATGTCTATCCATAAAGGTTTTTAGAAGTTTTACAAAAAATATCTGCTATTATTGTTGGACATGACCAATGAAAGCAAATGTGTTTTAATATACTGAACTTTATATAGGTAGCCCTTGTCTTTTCTCATTAAGCCCCATCTTCAATCCCTTTTCCATACGACTTGATTCAGATACAGGTCTCAATCCTCCCAGCCTTCCGGCTCTTGAGGGCATTTCAGCAGGGTTTGAACACAGCAGAACAGTGTGTTCACAATCAGCATGATGTCTTAAGTCTGTCTCAACAATTCTTCAAGGGATGAGTTAAAGCTTCTTTTAAAAGCTATTGTTCATGACCTGGTAATTAACTGTATTTATGGAGAGCCAATGATGTATGAAGGATCCTGATGGCATGCCAACAAACTGCCCCTTCCCTGTGGCGGCTGTGGGGTGTGAGAAAGAGACATGTAACTGCAGGTACACATTCTTGGTGGCAGTACAACTTTGGTCTGATTCTTGTGTCCTTCTAAGCAACTGTAACTTGGGTTGTGATGGAACCAGGAAGGCAAGTGAGGACGGTCATTCTGGAGGAGGCTTACATGCTACATTCTTCCTCTTACAGATGTTTCCATAGGGTCAGGTTGCTTGTATCTCTGTCTTGCTCATGTAATCCTTCCTTCATATAGCCAGTCAAGTGGCCTGCATAGTTGATCTCAGAAAGGTTCTTATTCTAAGATAGAGGATCTGCTCTATGGTGACATTCTTTAAAGAATAATTTTTAAAATCTATAATTATAAAAAAACATAGCAACAAAGCAGAAAATTCAAGAACAAATTTGTTGATACATATTTATATACAACAAAGCAATTAGTTGTTTATTACCTCAGCTCTTCAGATGCTTCATAGAACCAGACCCAGCCACTATTTTTCTCTCATGAGTTTGTAATTTTTATTAATTTTCCAAGATGAGTTCAGAGCATCAGTACAAGCAGCGGGTGTCAAGGTTGAGTTGTGGATTCCTGATAGCCTTGTCTGTGGAAGTCAGCTTTCCTCCATCTGGAGGCTCAGTTTCCATGGTGATATGCACTGGTATACCTGAGGTCTTCTCATTGAGGGGCTTGGTGAAGTGCAGGGTAACTTTACAAAGAGGACATGTTAAATTCCTTGAATGAGGAAAATAACAGATCACTGAACACTCAGGATTGGCCTATTCTCCACTGGATTTGAAGATTTCCTACTGAGAATGATGGATGAAAAAGGGAAGGCAGAAGAGCCCAGATTACCATTTTCATAGAAATTTCCAGAATAAGGGAGGGAAGTTTTGTTTTCAAGTCGGGTCTGAAGTGACTGACAAGAATTGGTGAGGCCCTGAGGAAAGCCACAGATGGATTAATTGCACTCTCCAACCCTTGCAGTTTTGGCTCTCAGGCACAAGAGCAGGACTCATTGGTGAGTTCCAGTGATCTGCTCCAACACCGAATAGCTGGAAATAAATCAACAGTTGGCAAGAGCTGTAGTGAGTGGGCTTGCCTCTGGCTCACAAGCCTAATACAATACACAGTTTCTGAATACATACCAACTGGCATCATCAAGACTGTAACTTGTCACCATGAACCAGGCTTTGTGGGAGATTATTCCATTGCCAATCTGATATGCTATATATATTAGAGTAATTACCAGGACATTCAAAGAAAGGACCTGTTAACAGAAGATGGGTTGTTTTTATATTACAGATGAATAAGAATTACATAAAGCAAGGCCAATTTCTTTTTGAAGTTCTAGCAGCATTCAATGCCAGTGTTCCTCCTTCATGCTTTGGCTCTTTCCAGAAGCACTAAAGGGAATTGTGTGCTTGTAATACATACCACTTATGCATAATTCCTTTTGAAAATCTGTCTTTCTGATTCTCAGCTTTCAGAGAGTTGGCCAGCCCTTCCAATGCCCCCTGCAGTTCAAAATGTAGTTTATAATTTTCCTTAGCCCCCCATGTTTGTGAGGGAACAAAAATATGGCAAAGAAATATACTTGAAACACACAAAGAAAATCAAGGCTTTTCCAGGCTCAAGGAGGCTGATACACTTTTTGAATCTCAGATGATTGGCTAAGGATTGCATTCTCAGTTGTGTTTCTATTTAATAATTGGCTTTTCTCTCCATCCTTGACAATTTTTTCCCTCAAGTCAAACTTTTCTTAATTATCCTAGTTTATCAAATATGTGTTGTTTTTCCTTTAAGTATTTCCCTTTCAATGCACTTTACAGAAGCATCATGAAAAGTGGGAAGAAGCAATTATAATGAAAAGCATTGTAATTTTATCTAATATTTAAAAGCAATGATGCTGCTCCAGGTTAAGACTGTAATCAGACATAATTACTTAAGACATGTATACCTTGGAAATATTGTGGGGTCGGTTCAGACCACTGCAATAAAGTGAATATTGCAGTAAAGCAAGTCATGCAAATTTTTCGGTTTTCCAGTCAGTGCCTATGAAAATTATGTTTACACTCTACTGTAGTCTAAGTGTGCAACAGCATTACTTCTAAAAGAAAAGTACATACCTTGATTTAAAAATGCTTTATTGCTTAAAAATGCTAACTGTCACCTGAGCCTTCAGCAAGTTGTAATCTTTTTGCTGGTGGAGGGTTTTGCCTCGTTATTGATGACCTTGCTGTGGATTAGGCTTTGGCTTAAGAGGCTCTTGCGGCTGGTTTGAGCTTCTATCCAGACCACTAAAACTTTCTTTATATCAGCAATAAGGCTGTTTTGCTTTCTTATCATTTGTGTGTTCACTGGGGTAGCCCTTTTCACTTCCATCACGAACTTTTCTCTTGCATTCACAACTTGACTAATTGGTGCAAGAGGCCTAGCTTTCCGCCTGTCTCGGCTTTTGCCATGTCTTCCTCACTAAGCTTAATAATTTCTAGCTCTTGATTTTAAGTAAGAGATGTATAACTCTTCCTTTCACTTAAAC
Organism: Homo sapiens; assembly: GCF_000001405.40. NCBI lineage: Eukaryota > Metazoa > Chordata > Mammalia > Primates > Hominidae > Homo > Homo sapiens. Next base: position 29,809,809 of record NC_000021.9, read on the forward strand.
ACCTAGAGGCCATTGTAGGGTTACTAATTAGTCTAATTTCAATATTGTGTCTCAAGAAATAGGGAGGCCCGAGGAGATGAAGAGAAATGGAGGAACAGCCGGTCAGTGGAGCAGTCAGACCACACACAACATTTATCAATTAAGTTAGCTGTCTCATATTGGTGCCTCAAAACAATTACAACAGTAACATCAAAGATTACTAATCACAGCTGGGCACGGTGGGTCATGCCTGTAATCCCAGCACTTTGGAAGGCTGAGATGGGTGGATCACTTGAGGTCAGGAGTTCCAGACCAGTATTGCCAACATGGTGAAACCCCATCTCTACTAAAAATACAAAATTAGCTGGGCATGGCAGCGGGCACCTGGAATCCCAGCTACTCAGGAGGCTGAGGCAGGAGAATCGCTGGAACTCAAGAGGTGGAGTTTGCAGTGAGCAGAGATCTTGCCACTGCACTCCAACCTGGGTGACAGAGTGAGACTCTGTCTTAAAAAAAAAAAAAAAATCAGTAATCACAGATTCACAGATCACCGTAACAAACTGAAATATTTCAAGAATTACCGAAATGTGATACAGAGATACAAAGTGAGCACATTGTGTTGGAAAAATGGTGCCGATAGGTTGCTCAATGCAGGCGTGCCCAAAACCTTCAATTTGTAAGAAATGCAATATCTGCAAAGTACAGTAAAGTGAAGCTCAATAAGATGAGGTATGCCTGTATAGTTCCCATTTTCCTTCTTTAAACTCAGCTGATCTTGTTTTGCCAAGCGTGTCAATCTATGGAAACACAATCACCTTACCCTTTTAAATTTATATTTTCTTTTTTTCACTTATTAAATCCAAGAAAGAGAAACCCAGGGAGCTGGTAATCTCAGGAATTTAACACAGCATTGGTGTAATAGGAGAGCCTAGAGAGAAAGCAATGAAGACAGAGAAGTAGCAATAGCTGATTCAAAATTCTGCCGTGATGCCTGGTTTCAGCCCCACCACCTTGAAATGTTCATCAAGCATCTATTTTCATGCTTGTGCATAACAACAGCTCACAGCACCAGAGCTACAGGTTCAGATAACAACAAAGGTGATGTGGCAGCTGGATTACTCTGAGAATGAGAACATAACACACCCCCAAAGTAATAAAATTTCTTATTAAAAGGGAAGATATCTTTAAACAACCCTTCATGTTCCCCCTGAGACTGACAGGCAATTTCAACTGTTTATTTTTATTTAGCTCTGATGAATGCCTCTATTTCATTCAGCTTCATAATAATCTGGTGGTGCTCGCTGCTGCTGGCTCCGAGTGAAAGTGTAAGTGGAGGGCGTCATTAGAGGCATTCCATCGCATTCTTGGTGAAATTAGATTCTTTGGAAACTAAATCAAGCCTTAGTTTCATGGAGGGGAAGCTGGACAAGAGGAGAGTAATGTGCAATTGGTTGAATTATCCCTTGCTTTCAAGGCATTAGACAAGGTCAGAAAACCAAAGTTTAAATTATATTTTCACTCATGTGTGCACTCTGTCCGTAATAACTCGTTAATGAGCATATTGATATTTATGCCATGTCTGTTTCCTTTTAGGGATCACATTTTCATTATATTGTGGGCATACAAATACAGTGCTATTTAGTGAATTGCTTTATTCTCTCTAACTATAAGTAGATTTTAAGTACAGCCTAGCAAATAGTAAATGGGCCCAAAGAAAAAAACTATTTTTGTCTACTCTGTCCTCCCTTCTGATTCAAGTATGTTTAGTGGAGTTTCCTAAAGCAGTGGTTCTCTACCTCTCTCCTTCTTTAGGACACACATGCAGGAGTCCAGTCCATTTGTGTGATGCCCTGCTGTCATGCCAGTGCTGAACTGTTCATAATGGAACACAGGAATCTTGCTCATCCTCACTCAAAATCCTCCCGTGACTTCCTATCCTCAGTGAGAATAAAATCAAAAGCTTTAACCTGCCTGCTTATCTTCCACCTTCATTATAGTCTAGATGCCTTCTCCTGCCTTCTGCTGAAGCCATGCTGGCCTTCTTGCTTCTCCGGGGTGTCAAGCGTGTTCCAGCCTCTCGGCTTTTCTATTTGCATTCCTCCTTACCTGGAAACCTCTTTTCCTCTATTTTCAGATGACTTGTTTTCTTACTATATCAGGTCTCTGCTGAAATGTCATCTCCCTGGAGAACTCTCCAAAACGATCCCTTTTAAAATGGTTCATCAACCCCAAGTCATTCTTTACCTCTCACCTGATTTATTTCTACAGGTCAGTTACCTTCATGTGAAATTGACACCTATGTGTGTGTCTGTGTGTGAATATATATGTACGTGTGTATAATTTCAATTAATCTTTTTCAAATTTTCCCAATATAAAATAAACTTTATAGGGATTTGCCTGTCTTACTCTCTACTGTAACCTCAATCTCTGGAGTAGCACCAGGCACATAATAGAGTTCTTCATGCATTTGGGAAATCATGAATGAATAAGAAAGACAGGCATGGTGCTGTGGTGGGGATGTTCTAATTATGCTGATTAGATTACCAGCCAAATACCTCTAACTCTGCCCTTCACTCTCTTATTCAAGAAAGCATATATGAACATAAATGAATGGCAGTAATAGCAGAAGAATATCCTTGAATCCTTTGCCATTTGTTCTTTTTTTAAAAACCTTGACCTCAAACTGTATTTTTTGAATTTCACTGGTAATGAGTTACTTCCAATAGTGATAGCTACATGTTCTAACATCTGTCTCAAAGACCCCATGTTGAGAATGCAAGTGTGCCCAGATCAGGGTTCCAAACTTGTGTTCTATTCCTTTGTGAACACTTTAATTACCTTTGGATTCTTAGGAGATATAACAACTAGCATCAAGCATCCAGCACTAGCTCATTGTGAAGCCACTAGGAAATACACAGATGAGTGAATATGCTACTCTGATTCCAAAACAAGCCGGCCAGGCTGGGTCAGCTCAGAAAAGATGTCAGTCAGTCCCCTTGTGTCTCATTAAAAGGTCTGCCTAGATCAGTGTGCTAAATTTTCCAAACGCAAGAAACCTGGGGCAATATTTCGGTTGATGCATTTGACATCTCCTTTAAGCATTTCATTCTTTGCAACCGAGTATACAAACATAATGAATAGGGTTTTTTAATGCTAAGAGAAAAAATTGTACGTAGGAAGATAAGATATTCTGGGTACAGGAGACGTTGCAGCCTTTTCTGTGCATTAGCATTGGTTCAGTGAGTACAGTACTGTGGACATCTGCAACAACCTTGGGTATAGGATTCTCTAGGCAGCTCTCTCAGAGCATGCAATACTCCTCTTTTCACATGCCTGGCACACGCATGTAAATGTTTGCAATATTCAAGGAGGTGCTGCCAAGATTTGGTGACAACAGGCATTGTGGAATTGCTGATCTCACAAACCTGAAGCATTGTAAATATTGACTTAACAATAATTTGGACTGAGGTGTTACTAAACCCTGAAAGCAAAGCCCCCAAGAATTAAGGCTTGCCATAAGAGGGAGCATTTGGCACTTTACCCAAACTAAGTGTTGGTTCAGTCATATTTTTGTACTATCAAAACCTAAGTTAAATTACCACCTAATTAGATGAGTCCTCTTAGGAGCACAAGAGAAAGCAGAGATTGAGAAATCTCTGGGAAAATCCAATCATTATCACAGAGAGTGACAATGCACTTGTGTGTTTTCTTAAGAAACCAGGTTTCACACACATTTTTTGTATCAATATAGAACATTAAATTTCTAAATTTGGTATTGCTGAGTATTACAGACATTAAGATAAACATGAGTGTGTAGCATTAAAAAATATAAAATGTGTCTGAAGCCACTGTGTCTAAAGAATGGGACATTCAATATAGTTTACATATTAATATATCTTACACCAAGGTAGCAATTCCTTCCTGGAGCACAAATGCATATGATTTGTATGCCAGGTTTTTCCTCTGAGTGTTTGATTTGATCTCCTTACATAATACTGTAATGCAAACCAGATTCATAATCATCTCAGTTCCAGCTGAAGAAACTGAGATCCACAGAAGTGAAGTGTCTTGTCCATCCACTACGTACTAAACACTGAGGCCACGGGTTAGACCCCAAGAAACATTCTTTTTTTTTTTTTTTTTTGAGATGGAATTTCACTCTTATTGCCTAGGCTGGAGTGCAGTGGCATGATCTTGGCTCACTGCAACCTCTGCCTCCCAGGTTCAAGTGATTCTCCTGCCTCAGCCTCCTGAGTAGCTGGGATTACAGGTGCGTGCCACCACACCTGGCTAATATATATATATAAAATAATAATAATAATAATAATTATTATTTTTTTTTTTGCTGAGATGGCATTTCACCATGTTGGCCAGGCTGGTCTCAAACTCCTGACCTCAGATGATCCACCTGCCTCGGCCTCCCAAAGTGCTGGGATTACAGCCGTGAGTCACCGTGCCCAGCTCCCAAGAAACTTTCTATTTCCCCTTTTGCTTGCAGCAGTTTTTGGTCTCTTCATGACAAAGGAGAGATAGGCAGATGCATTCCACATTTCTTCCTGTTTACTCAATACATTTCTTATGTAACTTAGATGTTCCTCTTCGTCTGATTTGCGATGCTGGGTGCTTGGTGAGCATGCATATGGAGAAGAGATATCCTACTGTTCCCACGAGCCAGGAGTGCACAGAGGCAGCTGCACCATTTACAGCCTAATTGGCAGCATCGTAGATCACAGGATGCCCAAAGTTCACTAGGAGGAGATAAAGTTGTCAGAGAGGACCCCTGAAGAGATACATCAAATGCTTCTTCCTTCTGCCTCTCTCGATAACGATTCCGACTATGTATTACAGGTTTGGGGTTGTTATGGTGACAGGATGGGAATAACTTGGGAGGCAAAGAGAGAAAATAAGTTGCACAGAAATTCATCTTTAAATCCTTTGGATGTGAGACAGGTTTGAAATAGTGGTAAACCTGGAGGATGTACAGGTATGCATTAGGGTGTAGAGTGAGTGTGGGCATTTTGAGGTTAAGTTTTCAAATTTTTTTATAAAGGCAAGGATGTGTAGAGCCTAAGAGTGTAAATTCTGAAATTCTGACACCAGAAAGTCTTGTTTCAAAGCTAGCTTCCATCACTTACCCGCCTGTGCAATCTTGACCTGGTCACTTTACCTCTCTGGACCTGTAAAATGGTGATAATCATCACATCCATTTTATAAGCTTGTTTTGAGTATTAAATGAGTTAATGCATGGAAATAATGCCTTGTTCCCAATAAGTGGCCAATGCATTTTGGCTGTCCACTCTTCTGGCTTATCTACTCTTAACTTAAGTACTATGTAATAATAAAGTCAATGCACTTTTTTGCTTCTCCACTTTTACATACTATTGTAAAAAGAGTACATAAGATTATTTTGTATTTCCACTGGAGGTAGTGCAGTGTCTGAGACTCATGGAAGCTCTGGAGTCTTATCCAGTCCTTTCCTAACTGCATGACTTTAGGGAAGTCACCTAACTTCTCCAAGTTTCAACTTTCTCATGTGTGTATTAGAGATATTTGTAGTGGATATCTCATAAAGTATTGCTCAAATAAGGGGTAAGCCCCCTGTAAAGTGCTTAGCACAGTGTCTGTCACCTTGTAAGTACTCAGTTGATGACGGCTGTTTTGATTATTCAAGGAAACTATGACTAGGGAGGTGGCAGGATACTGGGAGTGGGGTGAATTAGTCTAATAACATTATTCGCTATTCTGCCTGCAGCATCATTTTTCTTCTAGAATAAGATTTCCCACTGACTAAAGAAAGATAATATATAAATTTTTCCTTTCTCCACTCTAAAATACTATTATTAAAAGAGCTCATATAAAAAGAATGCATTTATAAAAAGAATGTCTTTATCACTCTATCATAAGTAATTCTGAATTATGATGATGATTATAGCTATGAGCACAATTAAAAATACTCAACAACTATCACCGGTCAATAGAGAGTGAAAATTACACCATATGCAAAAATAAATTCAGACTAGATTAATGACTTAAATATAAGACATGAAACTATAAAACTACTAGAAGAAAACATAGAGGAAACAATCCAGGACACTGGTCTAGGCAAAAATATTATGGCTAAGATTGCAAAAGCAATGACAACAAAAACAAAAGTAGACAAATGAGACCATATTAAACAAAAAAACTGCACAGTAAAGGAAATAATCAACAGAGTGAAGAGACAATCTATTGATGGGAAAAAATACCTGCCAACTATTCATCTGACAAAGGACTGTATCCAGAATACACAAGGAAGATGACTCAACACCAAAAAAGCCCAAAATAATCCCATTAAAATGTGGGCAAAGGATACGAATAGATATTTCTCAAAAGAAGACAGACAAACGGCCAACAGGTATATGAAAAATATAATCAACATAATTAATTATTAGGAAAATACTAATCAAAACCACAATGAGATATCATCTTACTGCAATTAGAATGGCTATCATCAAAAAGACAAAAAATAGCAAATACTGATGAGGATGAGGAGAAAGGGGAATTTTTATACACTGTTGGTGGGAATGCAAATTAGCATAACCATTATAGAAAACAGTATAGCGATTTCTCAACAAATTAAAAATAAAAATACCACACAATCCATCAATCTCACTACCAGGTATTTATCCAAAGGAAAGGAAATCAGCATGTCACCTGCACTTCCTAGTTTATTGCAGCACTATTCACAATAACCAAGATATGGAATCAACCCTCAGTGTCCAACAACAGATTAATGGGTAAATAAAATGTGGTATATATACACAGTGTAATACTATTCAGCCATAAATAAAGAATGAAATCCTGTCATTTGCAGCAACATGGATAGAACTGGAGGTCATTATGTTAAGTAAAATAAGCCAAGCACAGAAAGTCAAACATTGCATGTTCTCACTTATATGTGGGAGCTAAGAAAGTCAATCCCATAGACAAAGAGAGTAGAATGAGAGTTACCAGAGACTGGGAAGGGAAGTGTGGAATGAAGAGAGGTTGATTAATGGGTACAAACATACAGTTGAATAGAAAGAGTAAGTTCTAGTGTTTGATAGCAGAGTAGGGTGACTATAGTTAACAACAATGTACTGTATATTTCAAAATAGTTAGAAAATATGAAATGTTACCAACACAAAGAAACAATAAAGTTTGATGTGATAGATATTCTAAATATGCTGATTTGATCATTACGTATTGCATGCATGCATCAAAATATCAGATGTACCCCACCAAATATTCACACTTATTACGTATCAATAAAAAAATGATAATCTGGACACAGCTTGTGCCAGAGTAAAGAAATGCTCAAAGAAGAATGGGGACACATTGGAAGGGCACAGGAGCCAACTTAAAGCAACTCTATCTGGTCAGATTTGGTACAATTTGTGCATCAAAAGAGTAATAACTGTATTATAAGATGTTGCATGAATAAAAGTTCATGAGTACATAAAACTACTCATAAAAGAAAAAATAATTATAGAGTGAAAAATTATAGATATTGAAATTGATTAAAGTACAGCGTCTTTTAAATCCCCATTACCATCAAAAGCGAAAACAAATTAAAATTTTGTGATTTCATGATCATTACTTAATAATAGTAAATTGTTAGTATGTATAATGCATTATTGTTCCTAACCATTCACTGCCTTGCAAGAGGTAGAACATACTTTACTGTTTCAATAGTGCTGGGCTTGGCCATGTGACTTTTTGATCAATGGCAGGTAGTGACAATACACTGCTTCTAAGAAGACACCTGAGTCATCTTGGTATTGCCCCTTTCTCGAGCTGCTGTCTTCCTCTATGCCAGCAGCGCACCCTAGAGAATGGTTACACATTCATAGGGGTCATGTGGAAACCAACTGGACCAAGCCAAACCTGGCAAAATCACAGCAGACCTGCAGCCACCATGAAATGGGATCAATAAATTAATGTTTGCTTTTGCAAATCGCTGGTATTTAAGGGTTGTTTGTTGCTGCAGCAAAAGTTGAATAATAAATACAGAGTCATTTATACAGAACCTGTTATGTGCCCAATATGAGAAAATACGCTTAATGCATACCCAACCCAATATTTAGTTGGCTACGCATTAAACATACTCCCTCATTTTGTCCTCTCCCTATTCCTATGGGTTAGGCACGATTATTCCTATTTGGCAGATGAGTGACAGAGTAAAAATTGTTGAATAATTTGCTACATAACTTATTAGGGATCAGTTAGGTATTCAACTCAGGACCATTTAACTCCAAAGTCTGGAGTCTTAGACAACATGGTGTACTGCATTCTAAGGATGGAAATTTAGGGAAAACCCTATGTTGACTTTAAAGTGAAATATGGGTGAATCCCAGCCATTCCATATATTTCAACCATGTAAAACAACGCACATTATATTGTCTGGCCAAATCCAAAGTAAATAATAAATGTTGACAGACAAAAAAAATTTCTGGGAGCAAACCTTTTGAGAAACAGAATTTACTTAGGTGACTCAGACATATCAAAAATCACACTGAATCAATCCCAAATGATGTACATTCTCACGAAGGAAAGGAGCCAGATTTTTAGTCTAACTCTTCTAGATTCTTAGCCCTGTCTCCATGGCCCTTTCTACATAAATCCTGGCCTTAAGAAAGGCTTCTGGGCCTCCTTGACTTTCTCTTCCTATCCCAGCTTTGACGATTTCTCTCCATTTGAGAAATGAATAATTCAGAATTAGAAACCCTACTTGAGTCCCACCACTCCCCAGCCTCCCAGCTTGCTCATATCCTCATTATGGGAAAAGCTATTCCAAAAGGCAAACAGCTTTTCATAATTGTTATTTAATGGATATTGCCTGCTCCTGGGATTTCTTTCTCAGTATCTATTTGTAATTCAAAGGTCAGCGTAATACCACTGGCACACACAAGGATTCTGACAGATTTGTTCCTCCTGATTGAAATTCAGATACAGAACCCACAGTGACACAGTAGGTTTGTTTAGGAGTCTCTTCTGTGGTGTAGGTCACAGTTAGGATGAATCTGACCTCATCTTAATTCTGTGTCTTCACTAGTCACTAAGAAAACTGACCTATGAATGTGGAATATGGCCAGGAGCATTTGTTCACTAGCCTGGCATAGCAGGGATGTCAGCAAGTAGAAAAGCTAGGTCTACTATGGTTATTATCCCTCTCCTTAACTGGCCCTAATATCACCTAAATGGGTTCCTCCTAAAGGTAATTTAAGCAGAAAAAGGTGGCCCCAGAGAGTAATTTAGGCCTCATGTATGTACATATTTGCAGGATTTATATGGCAAGCTATGCTTACATTATTAATGGCAGTCTTATTTCAAGATACTATATATTGAAATACTATTCGACAAGAAAGCTATTTTCCAAGTAGGCATGGATGATGATTATTTATTAGTTTAAAATACATCCCTTCTTCCCATCTCACCAAACACCACTTCCATTTCAAATAAGCTTGAAGCTCTCACACACTGCAGTTTATGCATAAAGGCTGGCTGCTTAGAAGCACTCATGGCTTGTGATACAAGGGAGTAAAATCCTACCATAAATTTCACAGTATTTATGATAGACACTTGTTTACTTCAAAAACAGAGCCAAATTAAAAATCAGAAAGGACAAATTCTAGGGCTACCAGCATGGTTTCTATGTTGTGTGCTTGTGTGTCTGTGTGTGTGTGTGTGAGAGAGAAAGAGACTTTAGATTTTCTTCTTTCTATTTTTATTTGATAGCGTGATATTTCAAGTTCACTGTTGAGGTTATTTCCAATCAAATTGCATTCAACCCTGGAACAATGTATAGGTTGTCAGCATGGATGCCAGTGGAGGGTATAAAACTAACTTCTATAAGGTCATCATAATTCCTCCTCCCCCAGAGAAAATCTAACAGCAATTGTGAGGACAGAGGTTCGAAAGGAGCAGTCAAGACTATTTGAAATAAAAGCTACGAGAAGAATTCAGATTTTAGAATAGAGCAAGCAAGGTCAAGGGATCAAGTTTCCGTATGAGACCCTGACCCAGATGACAGGGACCGCCTGCAACATTCTCCCACCCCCACTGCACTTTCACCCCATCAAGCCCTCAAACTGGATTGCTGATCTTTGTTCAAATAGTAGCTTACACACTGAGACTAAGATGAGTCTGAAGCAGAGGCTAGGCGTTCTGTTTTTTAACATTAAATATATAAAGACTTTGAAAGATGTGACCAAAGAAAGCTGTCTTTTCCTGGAGCTTTTGAAAAAAAAAAATTAACAGCAACTGCAACTGCCATACAGAGTGCTTGCCATGTGACAGATAGAAGATCATTAACTATGTAGTAATCAATCATTTGCACACATATGTGGGTCCCCATGGGACACAACATTTATTATCCAGTTAATCCTTGAAAAAGTGTCTACTCTCACTGTTTCCATTTTTTTCTTCCTGCTCTCACTTCCAAACCAATTAGATTTTCACCCTCATCATTTCTCTGTTACTGTTTTTATCAAGATCACCATGGGCACCTGTGGTAGTAAATCCAGTGGTCATTTCTCAGTATTTATCTTTCTTGACCTATCAGCAGCATTTGATGTACTATTCTTTTCAATGATAATGAAGAATGAATGGAAACCTGAGAAGTTTCCTGGGAAATTATATTTAGAATTCTCTTTCTGATGAAAATTGTAAAGATACGCTGGCAAAAATAGGTAGCAGAATGGGGAGGAAAAAAGAGTACATGACCAGAAATCATGGGCGTGAGATGTGTGGCTAATTAGGGCTGCAGGAAAATCACTGCAAGAGAGTGATGAGCATTGCTGTTACACTACTTTATCCTATTTGCTTGTAGGAAAATTTTAGACTCTATGGGACTATAGTTCTCCCTCCTAGTGCTAATTAAATTAAAGCCATCCTCATTTTTGAAAAGGGGAGAATAATAATAGGTATGATTATTAAAATTTATTATGCACTAGGCACTGATTTAAGTGACATACATACGTTAATTGATTTATTACTAGGCAATCAGGATTTGTATCCTAATTTTACAGACGGCAAACTGAGGCACAGGGAGGTCAAAAACCTTACCCAAGTTTACCCAACTAGTAAGCAATGTGCCAGGATTTGGATACTGGGAGAATAATAACCATAATTCCTAAGCCCACAGTGTTTGTAAATACCAACATATCTACTCACTTGAAACTCCTGAGCAATATCCTATAAAGTTGAGACCCACAAAACTGTTAGGAGCACCAACCCTCCCAACACACAGTAAAAAAAAAAAAAAATCCATGTATAACTGTTCATTTCCCCAAAACTTAACTCCTAACAGCCTACTGTTGACCAAAGGCCTTGCCCATAATATAAATGATTGATTAACACAGATTTTGTATATTCTATGTATTAGATACTGTATTCTTTCAATAAAGTAAGCCAAAAAATGTGAAGAAAACCATGAGAAAAATACATTTACAATATTGGACTATATGTACCTGTGCTGTAAGTTTACATTGTCTGTTTATAAGATGAATTGTCTGCAACTGCAGTTGCAGGCCTCAGTCTATGGCACATATCAAGCAATTCAACTTTTTCTTGTAGTGTTGTGACATTTTTCTGCTTCTTTGGAGCACTTCCAGCATCACCAGTGGCACTCTGTATGGGTCCCATGCTGTTATTAAAGGTTTACAGTATTGCACTAAACAGGATGAAAAACACATGAGAACCATGAGAGGTCACTTTTTACTGAGGTTCACAATTTACTGAAGACAGGAATCCTCATGGGGAGATATTAGTGTCACACCATGTTTTAAGCAGATATTCGTAACACTTAAGTTCCCTGCAATAGGAAGGAGGTGGCTACAAAATTATTACCGTAGTATAGTATGTACAAGAGTTATAATCTGCATCTTTATATTTGTTTACATTTCTCGCTATTGCAAATGGTGCCATGTATGGTCTGTAAGTGGTTGTGTAAGTTTTTATAAATTTTAACTTTTTATAATAGATTTGTATATAGTTTATGGTTGTAAGTGATAAAATAGACTAGTATCTATTTTATCATACATTTTATGTACTCATGACACACAACTTTTTATTAATTGTTAAAATACTTGTAGGCTATGCAATTCTTCTGTAAGCTTTTCCAAATTCTCACAAATCTCCAAAAATTTACCAATATATTGAAAAAATATTTGCATATAAGTGGACCAACCTAGTTCAAACTTGTGTTGTTCAAAGGTCAACTGTACATGTATTGGGATTCTTTTGAGGGGAGGTAGTTTTTAAAATTTGAGTCTATTTTTAAAACTTCAGCCTACTGATCAAGTGAAGGCATCAGGAAAGTGTTTCTGTAAATGGTTGCATAGCATATATTGTAGAGTCTCTGGGCCATACAGTCACTAATGCAACCATTCCACTCTGCAATAGTGCTAAGGCAACCATAGACAATATGTAAACAAAATGGGCATGGTTGTATTTCAATAAAACTTTATTTACAAAAACTGGGGACAGAACAAATTTGGCTTATGGGATGTAGTTTCCTGACCCTTGAATATTGTAGTAGCATGGATGTTGTTGTGTTAAGTAATATTCTGTCTAATAAGCATAGCCCAAAGCTGTTTCATGACTTTAGCAGACAATTCTACTTTGTTCCAATGTACCCATGCTTATTTTCTTTTTTGAAAACAAAACCCATAATTTTTTAGATGGACTTATGACTGCTCAGAATAGACGGCCCCTCATCCACAACCCCTTGCAACAAGCTGTTTCCATGTGACAAGTTCTGGCCAATGAGAAATAAGTAAATGTTACATGCACATCTTCTAGGAATTATCTATAAAAGAAGATAATCTCCTCTTTCTTGTGGGTTAATATATGGATGGACTTTCTGGAGTTCCAGCAGTTACCTTGGACCACGTCACCTATAGAATAAAACCACACACAATACAGCAGAGAGATCAAAGAAAACTAAGCTCTTCAACATAGGGCACCAAGACATCCTCGATCTAGACTTCTTTTATATGCAAGAGAAATAAGCCTCTATTTTTACTAGCTTGCTACTATTTGGGTTTTCAATCACACTCAGCCTAATCTAATCTTTCCTGATGCAATGACCAGGTATCAAGTACATCACTAAGTTGCACTTGTTCTAAAATATCGCAAAATGGCAGGATGAGAAGGGGCTGGGACCTCAGAAAAGGGCATGGAACTTGACATTGTAAAACCTGAATCTGCCACTTCATGTGTGATCCTGGATAAGGTGCTTCAACATCACTGCTAGTTTCCTTGCCAATAAGATAGGGTTAGCTCCAGCTAATTTGCAGGTGTACTATGAAAGAAAAATGAAATAAAATATGCGAACATGAGAGACAATTATTTACTCCAATATTGGTAGAATATGTGTATTTAAATATGTATATAAATATGTCTGTAACTACATAATTTTTATGATAATAGGTATAAATATATATGCATGTATATATACATATAGAAGGACAGAAACAACACTGATGTATTAACTTTAGTTACCTTGGCAGGGTAAGAGTAAAGATAGTATGAGGGGAGATTTTTAATTTGACCTTTATAGAGCTATGTATTTATTACAACAAATTTATTTACAAATCAAAATAACGAATGTAAATAAGCTATATATTCTTACATATAATACATAAAATATAATGTAAATATACATAAATGTAGCTTAGTATAACACCATACAAATTTGAAGCTCATGTTTCTTGAAACTGGATATGAAAAACCATAAGAACCATCAGTTTTGGAAATAATTATTTTTTTGATCATAAGTGGAGGAAAGAATGTAGAAGGAGGAAAATTTTAGACAACTTGACCAAGGAGTACTCTTACAAATAAGGCTGATCTGAATATATTCCAACCATGCTGTAAGATTTAAAGATTTTCTGAAGGTGCAAGATATCTTTTATCTCTCTGTACATTGACCTATACTGTTTTGTTTTAACCTGTGCTATTTCTTGCTTAAAAATCTTTTGTGTATCTGTTAACTCAAACTCCTTTGGCTTTTCAAAGCTTCTTTCAGCTCTCCCAAGCAGAATACATTTCTTCTTGAATATATATTTATATAGTCTTAGTGGCTGCATCTTACTTTGGAATAAAGTAGTATTTTTAGTTTAATGGGAATACCATGGAGGGTCATAAGAAGACAAAGAACAAGGAGTCTAACAGGATCCCACTAACTTCTCTGTGGAGAACAGATATAATGGGGCAAGGTCAAAAGCACAGAATCAGGGGAATTGCAATTTCTCTGGTGAGGGGTGGTGGTGACTTGGGTGATGGTGATGGTGAGACGTGGTCTGATGCTGGATATATTTTAAAGACAACTGGAAATTAATATATCTAATTATACACTATAAATATATAAATATATCCTCCATACACGATAAACATATTTGTTTTACCATCTCATCATTATTTATTTATATACTTTTATTCCAAAGTAAGATGGGGCCTCTAAGACATTTTCTGTTTACCATTCATTCACTGAAAACATTTTTGTGAGTGTCTCCCACACCTCCGGCACTGTTTCACATTCAGGGGTTATCATAGTATACAAATAGACAAGCAACCTCTTTTCATGAAGCTTACATTTCACTAGGGGAGACAAAAATACCAATGAAAAGTTAAACATATAAAAAAAGTCAGATGGTGATAAGGACGAAAAGAAGGATCATTGTATGGGAAGTGGGCAAGGAGGTGCTTTTTAGACAGAATATTCAGAAAAGGCATCTCTGGTCAGATGTTACTTGCACAGGGAGCTCAGTAAACAAAAGGGTGGGCTTTCTGGGGGAGAAAAAACCTTGATGCAGGAGCATGTGGTCAGGTTAAAAGAACTGCAAGTAAGTTGAAAAGACTGCAGTGAATGTGGCGAGAAGTCATTGCACGTGAATTCAGAGGACGAGAATCGAGATGGTTCAGGGACTGCTAGGTCATGGTAAGGATTTCGCCTTATTTTTAGTTTAATGGCAATACTATGGAGGGTCATAAGAAGACAAAGAACAGCCGGTCGACTTTAACAGCATCCCACTGACTTCGCTGTGGAGAATAGATACAAAGGGGCAAGGTCAAAAACATAGGATCAGGGAGATTGCAATTGCTCTAGTGAGGAGTGATGGTGACTTGAGTGATGTTGATGGTGAGACGTGGTCTGATGATAGGTATATTTTAAAGGCAACTAGAAATTAATATATCCAATTATAGGAAAATGTTTAATATATTATTGTGGGAAGAATTAATTATTTTAATAAATGATTAAAGATTAGAGCCAGAGACACTTATCATTTAAGGGATGATTAAAGAATAATTCGGTTCCTAAATGAGGAATCATCAAAGAAGTAAAAAGGATGTTGTGTGTTTCTTGGATTCTTGTTTAAAAGTTACAATTTCTTTTTTTAGAAAACTGAAGTTTATAGTGGCAAGAGCAAAGGCTTTAAAAAGCAGGATGGGGGAAGACTTTATGCTGTATTTCTAAGTTTTAAAACAATAGTGCATTATGATATTGAGAGTATGACTTGGGTGATTTAGAAGTTAGTGATGATGTAAAGAAAGCAAGATTATTTTTTCTTAATACAACTGAAAACATAGCTTATATTAACAAGAAACAAACTCATCAAAAAATTTACAGAATCTTGATATCTGTGATGCTAGAGAGAAAAATATTCTGAGTATTTGTGCACTCTTTTAGATGATATATCTTTGAATAACACATGAATATGTTAATACTATGTAAATGATGTTTTACTGGCTTTCTGGTTAAAAAGGGTAATGCAGCTACATTTGATCATGATGGGCTATTTTGCTAGTAGGATTTTTAAGTTTCTGTGAATCATTTTAAGAGATTACATAAAAGAAAAATATGAAAGCTGTACAAATGATCAAAATCTCACATTATTCTTAGAGAAAAGGAGTACTGGTCTAAATAGAAAACTTTGAGAAATATGTTTTCTAAATTACTGCCAAATACTATCCTTTACATAATTTTTAAGTCTGTAATGCACAGGCAGTCAGATTCTGGATCACGATGATTGTTTAGAAACCAGAATTGTTCTGAAAAATCGTATTTGAATGCTATTTTAGGGAGTGATCCTCTCTCTCCCCACACAAACCTGCCTGGTCTTGTTTAAAAGGAATTTCTGCTTCTTTTAGAATAATGTAACAAGTAACTTGGAGCCTCCTCTGTGCCTCCACAGGCACTCTTCTCCAAAGGAAGGTAGTGACATGGGATAATGAGACTGAGAAAAGTGTAATGCACAGAGCTTGGGCTTTCTTCCTGCCCTCTGCACACACTTTTCTCTCTTCCTCATAACAAAATTCCTGGGTGACGATCTGTATATTGGTCATTACTATGGGGAAGGTTGAGTAGCAGGAAGTCCATTTGATCACGTTTCCAAGCCATGGCCTCTACTCAAACACCACTACTGTTAATCTCCATCTATTTGATACCTGAGACTCTCTCTCAATTGGCTCAGATCTCAAGGTGGGTATGAGGGTTACTTTTATGTGTCAACTGGGCTTGGCCTCAGTGCCCAGATATGTGGTCAAACAATATACTGATGTTCCCATGAGGTTGTTTTCAGATAAGATTGACATTTAAATCCATGGACTTTGAGTAAAGCAGATTATTCTCTATAAAGTGGATGAACCTCTTGCAATCCATTGAAGGCCTGAATAGAAAAAAGACTGACCCCCTTGAGCAAGAAGGAATTCTGCAGCAGATGGCCTTCAGATTTAAAAGGAAACAGTGGGTCTTCCCTCTGTCTCTAACTTGCCAGGCCACCCTGCAGATTTTGGGCTTGCCAGCCCCCATGATTGATGAGCCAATTTTACATAGCATGTGTGTGTGTGTGTGTGAATACATATGTATATGTATAGTATGAACGTATATAAATATATATACACATATGAATTCACATACACATATGTATATGGAGAGAGAGAGAGAAATTTATTGATTCTTATTCTCCAGAGAACACTAACAGAGGGTTACTCAGGGATAGAGGGACTTAAATTAATTATTCCTCCAATCAGAGTAGACAATATTTTCAAAGTATCAATAGAAGAATCACTTGCTTGTATTATAAACCTAAGCAACAAATTCAAAGTCTTCTACATGGTACCAACATGTCTGAGATCAAAGATACTCTCATGGGACCACATGCGTTTATTTCAAAAACACATTAAGTAGTCTTTGTGCAAAAGCATGTTATTGTGATAAAGTGATTCAGCTAGATCATGAGGCTAAAAAATCACCCATTTTGATAAACTTTTCAATTTGTTCAAACTCATCTTCAATTAAAAAATTAATTATATTTAGGGCTGCTTAACTGGTTAATTATTATCAGAAAAGCCTAACTTAATAAAGAAATGCAGTGAGAATCAAGTTGAAGAGATATACATTGCTATTTTAATTCTGAAAATACCACACATTTTAAAGCAGGTGGTATTTTGAACTCAGGCCCTAGACAAAAATTATTCTTGCAATTTTAAGTAATATTAAAACCTAATAGAAGAACAGATTAATGGAAAATGAGAGTTTTATGAATTCAAATATATTTCATAATATTTTTAAATGCTCAGGCCATGATGAGTCAACGGCAAGTCATAGTAAGTTGCAAAAGCATGAAAAATGTTAGGTGCTTCAATGTTTATGAAGCTGTATGGCACTCATAAGTCCAGATTTGATATAATGTTCAGCCATTGCAGCAAGTAGGGTGGACATCTCAGGTTTCCCCAAATCCTATTTTGATTAACACATGTCATAACTGTCGTAAATGACTCAAGAGTTACATTTTAGATCAACGTAAAAAGACTTTAATGGATCTACCAAATGGTGATTAGTGAAAGGAGGACATATGAGAAAAAATCTAAAAAATGTGTCTGGTAGAAAGGGGGAATGAAAGAAAGGGAAATAACCCTGATTCCGTTACCCATTGCTGTTCAAGTAAACACCCCAAAACTTAGCGTCTTTAAACAAACAAACAAAAAACTATTTTGTTTGCTTACTATTCTCAATTTGGGCTAGGTTCTGCTGGATGGTTCTTCTGCTGGTCTTGCCAGTGGTTACTTGTGTGGCTTTATTTAGCTGATGGGTCAGTTAGAGGCTTGAATTGGCTGGGCCACTGAGTTTTTTGAGCTCATGTCTTTCTATAATATAGTTAGGATCTCTCTCTCTCTCTCTCTCTCTCTCTGTCTCTCTCTGTGTGTGTGTGTGTGTGTGTGTGGGTGTGTGTCTAATGAAACACAGGGTGTCTCTATTAAGGTAATAGACTTTCTCACATGGTGGCTCGGGGCTTTCTAGACAACAAAAGCAGAAGCTACCAGACTTTTTTAAAGCTTAGTCCTGGAATTGGCACAGTGCATATTCTGCTTCCTTCTATTGGTCAGGGAGGCTGCCCATATTCAAGAGGAGGGCACTACACAAGGAAGGGCATGATTACCAGGAGGCATGGTTTACTAGAAGTCACTTACATAACAGACTGCCACAAACCCTAAATCATTTATACCGAAAAACCTTAGTAATTGATTTGGGTGTAGATAAGCCTATGTTTTAAGTAGATTTACATGTTGCTAAATGAAATTTAATATTATAAATGAATAGAGACTTTCCTAGGAGCCTTGATATTATTTGACACTATAAAATGCAGGAATGGTGAAAGCACTTTATATTATGTATTTTCCTTAGTTCTTTTTATTATTTGTTTGTTTGAGACAGGGTCTCACTCTGTCACTCAGGCTAGAGTGCAGTGGCAGGATCTTGGTTTATTGCATGCTTGACCTCCTGGGCTCAAGCAGTCCTCCCATCTTAGCCTCCCAAGTAGCAGGGACTGTAGCTGCACACTACCACACCCAGCTAATTAAAAAAATTTTCAGAGACAGAGCCTCACTATGTTGCCCAGAATGGTCTCAAACCTCTGGCTTCAAGCAATCCTCTTGCTTGGCCTTCAAAAGTGCTAGGATTTCAGGAATGAGGCATCACATCCAGCCTCCTATTTTCTTTAGTTCTTATACCACCTATTGATAGGTGTTCAAATATTAGCCCCATTTACAGATGAGGAATTAGTTCAGTAATGCTGAAAACTTGTTCAAGGTCACATAACAGAGCGATATTCAAACCAAACCAGTTTTACTCCAAAGCAAACCTTTTAACTCAGCTCTTCTAACTGTAATAGTCTTAAAAATCTGGTTTCCAAAATTTCAGGGGTCTACTGCCATGAAGTCAACTGATTCTCTTTTTTAAGGCTGATTTGAACGCCTTTCCAATGTAGCTTAATACAAGAAGGATGAGGATCCTGAATTAAACTCCACAGCTGTGTTTACATTTCATAGAAAGTTGTTTCCTAGGTAAAAACGGCATGCATTAGTAAATATCTCACCACATGCTGCAGTGACCTCTCTAAGACTCTAATAAGAAAAAGGCTTGCTCATATTCATCACTTTTAAAAGGAACCTGTTTCTGGACCATTATATGGAAGTATATTCTTCATGTATTACACTCTTCAAATTCTTCTTGAAGCAAAGGGAATGTATCTCAGCTAACTTTGGACGTCTTCATAACATGAATCATAGTCAGGTGTAATATTTTATGTATCTATAGTAATGGTGATAAGCTCTGTGGAGTCAGAGAATGTGTTATACTCCGTGGATCCTCCAACTTTGAACACCCTATGAGAACCAAGCAAGAGCTCAATGAACATTTGTTGAATTAATGTTTGATGGTGACAAAAATAGCTACATATTTTTCTATCTGTGTTAGCAAGCAGTGCCACTCAGTATCATTTCCCTCATTCTAAATGATCGATTCTGCCACCCGAGCAGAAACACAATGAGCTGATGCAGATGAATTTAAGAAGCCTTTGAGGACCTCTCTGCCATGGAATGTTGCCTGATAGAATCCAATGCTACATGCTGTCAGATATGAATTATTCATTGACACTTCACTCCTACATCATTATACCTTTCATTCTGCTGTGTCTGCACAGATAGGATTGATTCACACATCACATCCAGTAACATTTATAATCAGAAAGAATAGAAACATTTTCACAGAGAAGAAAACATGTAAGAATACACTTAGGATAATCACACTAGTAATTGGTTCTCCAGCTTCCACCTAAGCAAGAGATGTGCTGGAAGAAAAAAAAAATGTGTTGCTTCTTGTCAAAATAGTCATTGTTTAAGCAGTAATTCCCAAATAGAAACACCTACTTTCACACAAGGCCTAGGAAATATGAATCATTTTGTGAAATCTGACACCATATGTTCTAAAATAGGGTACTTTGCTGGCAATGATTGCAAAGCACTGGCTTGGAAAATCTACACATAGGATCTTTCCAACCATGGAAATGTATGAATCAAGAACACTGTTCTGAATTAATTATCATTGTGTGTATGTTTGTATGTGTGTGAGAGTGTCTGTGTGTCTGTGTGTTGTTTGTGTTTTTCATGGGAAATAAACTCTTGATTAAGCATTAGATACACACCCACCCACCTCCCCACACACACACACACACACACACACACACACACACACACACACACACACACACACTCACACACATATTCTTATACAAAACAAAGGAGCAGAAATAAAATCAGAACCAATCCTGGATTTAAAGAAAATGTGATAGATCCATTCCACTTCTTCCTTTAATTTCTGTTCTGTTTATTCAAATAACTGTTCATTGAGGAACTGCTTTGTGCCATATAGATTGTGAGGTACTGGAAGTAGAGTGATGAGCAGGATAGATAGAGTGCTTGCTCCATGAAGCTCAGAGTCTTATAACCACAGCATGTATTTAACCTAGTATATCTCCTTAAAGTTTATTTTCATTGTGTCCTAGGAAGTTTTACAATCTTTCACATAATAAGTGCAAGGTAAACATACATTTAATGAATAAAATTCATAAAATTTACTGCTATAGAAATAATTTCAGTTCATAAATTTCAGATATTACAAGTTTGTAAATACTGATCAGAACATGATTATTTATGCTACTGGCCAATGTGTCTGATGAACATAGAGATTCCAATAAAGATGAAAATGTAAGAATTCAAGGTGATGAAATAGTGCAACAATGACAAAAATATATTAATGATATTAATTTGAAGCTAAATCACAAACAAAGGTCACCATAATCATTCAGTTGGGAGGGGATATTTTAAAACACAAGCAGAAAAGCAACATTCCACCTTGTCTATATGGACATTTTAAAAATGCTTATGGTGAAAATCTGCTCATTTAAGGTGTGTACTGTAGCATTCTATTACTACCATTTATTACAAAAGATAAAAATATTGGATACTGAAGCAGTTTCGGTAGATTTTGCTGAAACACATAATAGAGCTAGAGACAAATGTTTGTGCCCAACCTTCATAAATAAGGAGTGAGAAAAGGCAGAAATGTTTGAGCAGCCCACTTGGTACTGTCTGGTTGGGCTCTTCTTTACTTCTGCAGCTTTGACTCCCACCATTCCCATCTTTCAGTCCCATTGGCTTCCTTCAGTTCCCCAAATGCTCTCTGCTCCCACCCACTAAAGAACTTTTGCATACGCTATGCCTTCTGGCAGAAATATTCTATCTACCCCCTGTATTCGTCCATTCTCACATTGCTATAAAGAACTACCTGAGACTGGGTAATTTATAAAGAAAAAAGGCTTAATTGACTCATGGTTCAACAGAAAGCATGGCTGGGGAAGCCTCAGGAAACTTTCAATCATGGCGGAAGGCAAAGGGGAAGCAGGAACATCTTACATGGCCAGAAGAGAAGGAGGAGAGTGAAGGGGGAGGTGCTACACACTTTTAAACAACCAGATCTCATGAGAACTTACTATGATAGGAACATCAAGGGTTTGGAAATCAGCCCCCATGATCAAAACACCACCCACCAGACCCCTCCTCCAACACCAAGGATAAAAATTCAACATGAGATTTGGGCAGGGACACAAATAAAAACATACCATTCTGCCCCCAGCCCCTCCAACATCTCATGTCCTTCTCACACTGCAAAATACAATCATCCCATCCCAACAGTTCCCCAAAGTCTTAACTCATTTCAACATTACCTCAAAAATCTACAGTCCAAAATCTCATCTGGGACAAGGTAAGTCCCTTTCACCTATGAGCCTGTAAAGTGAAAAACAAGTTAGTTACTTCCAAGATACAATGGTGGGTACAGGCATTGGGTATACACACACATTCCAAATGTGAGAAATCAGCTGAAACAAAAGGGCTACAGGCCTCATTCAAGTCCAAAACCCAGCAAGGGAGTGGTTAAATCTTAAAGCTCCAAAATAATCTTCTTTGACTCCATGTCTCACATCCAGGCCACACTGATGCATGGGGTGGGCTTTCATGGCCTTGGGCATCTCCACCCCTATGGATCTGCAGGGTGCATCCCCCTCAGCTGCTTTCCTGGACTGGTGTTGAGTGCCTGTGGCTTTTCCAGGTGTATAATGCAAGCTGTCAGTGGATCTACCATTCCGAGGTCTGGAGGACAGTGGCCCTCTTCTCATAGCTCCACTAGGTATTGCCCTGGTGGGGACTCTGTGTATGGGCTGCAATCCCACATTTTTCCTCTACATTGCCCTAGTAGAAGTTCTCCATGAGGGCTCCGTCACTGTAGCAGGCTTCTGCCTAGACATCCAGGCATTTCCATACACCCTCTGAAATCTAGGCAGAGGCTCTCAAGTCTCAACTCTTGCCCTCTGCACAGCCACAGGCTTAACAGCACATGGAAGCCATCAAATCTTATGGGTTGTACACTCTGGAGCAGTAGCCTGAGGTGTATCTGGGGTCCTTTTAGCCATGGCTGGAGCTGGAGCTGCTGGGATGCAGGGAACAGCGTTGTGAGGTTTTACAAGACAGTAGGGCCCTGGGCCCAGCCTGCAAAACCATTCTTCTCTCCCAGCCCTCTGGGCCTGTGACAGGAGGAGATGCTTCCTTCAAGGCATTTTTTCCCATTGTCTTGGCCATTAACTTTGACTTCTTTTTAGTTATGCAAATTTCTGCAACTCGCCTGGATTCATTCCCAGAAAATGGGTTTTTCTTTTCTACCACATGGCTGGGCTACAAATTTTCCACTTTTATACTCTGCTTCCCTTTAAAATATAAGTTCCAGTTCCAGATCACTTATTTGCTCACAAAGACAAACATAGGTTGCTAGAAGCAGCCAGGTCACTTCTTGAACATTTTACTGCTTAGAAATTTCTTCTGCCAGATATCCTAAATCATCACTCTCTGGTTCAAAGTTCCATAGATCTCTAGGGTAGGGGCACAATGCCTCCAACTTCTTTGCTAATGCATAAGAAAAGTGACCTTTGCTTTACTTCCTGATAAGTTCCTCATCTCCATCTAAGACCTTTTCAGCCTAGACTTCATTGATGATATTACTATCAGCATTTTGGTCACAATAATTCAACAAGTCTCTAGGAAGTTCCAAACTTTCCCTCATATTCCTGTTTTCTTTTAAGCCTTCCACTTTTTTCCAACCTCTGCTCATTACCCAGTTCCAAAGTCACCTCCACATTTTTGGGTATCTTTATAAGAATGCCCCACTCCCAGTACCAATTTTCTGTATTAGTCAGTTATCTCATTGCTGTAAAGAACCATCTGAGACTGGGTAACCTATAAAGAAAAGAGGTTTAACTGACTCACAGTTTTGCATGCTGTAAAGGAAGCATAGCTAGAGAGGCCTCAGGAACCATACAATTGTGGTAGAAGGTAAAGGGGAAGCAGCTCATCTTACATGGCTGGAGAAGGAGGAAAAGAGATGGAGGGTAGGTGCTACACATTTATAAACAAGCATATCTCATGAGAACTCACTCACTGTCATCAGAACAGCAAAGGGGAAGTCTACCTCCATGATCCAATCACCTGCCACCAGGCCCTTCCTTCAACATGAGATTTGAGCAGGAACACAAATCCAAACCATATCACCCCCTACCCATACACACACCACACACACACTCTCTCAACAAGGTGGCTCCCAGGCATCCTTCAGATTTCACAGCACACACCACTCCCCTTGGAAACCATTTCTTAACTGCCATGAATATGGAGAATCTCCATGCTTTCACAGCACCATGAACTTCTCCATGGCATTTATGGCAGCCCTGATTTGAACATATACATAACATACACATAAATACAATTTTATGTATAAAATTAATTTCAAGTAAAGTGCTTTATATAATTGTATACAAATGTATTAGTCTTTTGCATTACAAAGGGTTTATTGCAAACCTATCACATAGTAAACTCTTAAGGTAGGTTTATTGAAGAAAGAAGTGAATGAATTGAAAGAGAGATACATTAGGGAAATCAGATAGTATTATCCTAAATTTTGAGGACCAAGTATTTTTGCAGTTTTAGTATTTTTTTAGAACAATAATTTGATCATTTTTACTACCCTCGGTTGCAAATACATTAATTTCTCCCAAAATAGGAACTTGGAAGGAAATTTATTTTTTGAAAACTATTAAACAGAAGTGGCAATATTCTTATATATATATAAAAATATATATATTTATGTATTACATATATATTATATATGTAAAATGATGGTTATCGAGATAATAGAAGAGATTATTCTTCTGCACTATAACCCATTACCACTACTAACCATCAGTGAAAATATACTAGAGAAACTGATGGATCTGCTTCCTTCACCCCCCACTTTGTTCTTCACTTCTTGGTCATTCTTCTGTTTACTTGGCCTTCACTTCCTACTTGGCTGTCTAAGAGTGATAAAGAGCATGGGCCTTGAATTCTGGCAGAGCTGGATTCAAATCATGGCTCTGGCAGCATACTCTACCCCGAAACTTCTTCACCTCTCAGCTTTCTAATATATAACATAGCAATAAAAATTATACATCATAGTTCTTGAAAGTGTTTAATGAGTTAACATATATTAATTGCTTAGCACATTTCTGGCATTAGTATTAATATTATTAATATTAATTAATATTCATCCAATATTAATGATTTTATTTATTCAATATTAATATTGAATATTATTTTATTTATTCAATATTACAATTGAATATTATTTTATTTATTCAATATTAATTAATATTAATTATTAGTACTGGAGGGTTTTTTGTATCATTATTATTCTCACTCTTGTCTTACTTTCTCTTTCTCTGGTCTTTAGCACAGGTTTGGCTCTTCTGATTTTCACACTCAGTCTTCCTGTGGGCATAGCGTTTCTACTATGCTCTTTCTGATCACTAATGCTCCAGGTAGCAATCCACACATGCTAATGTCCTCTGTTTAGGCTTCTTCTGGACCGCACTTAACTCAATATTATTTTTCTTTCTTGATTTGATTCACTTGCAACTCAACAGTGTTTGTATTTTGTGTACTTTTGTAAGCCTCCTACAAATCTTTCTGAAATTTCATGGGGACTTACCTACCCTACTAGCCTGCAGCACCCAGCAGCATCCCCTGGCATTAATCTGCTCACTTAGTTCTTCTGCTGGTGGCTAGATCCTCTGCCTGGGGCAGGTCGGAAAAGTGGGAAATGGCAGAAGTTTTTTGAGAGGCGTGGCCCCAGGAGCACTAGCTCTGGGTTAAAGTCCTAACATAACTGGTCTTGTTTCTTTGTCTCTGGTCTTTTTTCTTTGTTTCTCACATGCTTTTATATTGCTCTGAGACTGTTCATCAAATCCACTCATCAAAACCTTGTGGAAAACACAGTTGTTTCAAGAGTTTGCTAGAGCCTCTGAATCCCACAATCCCATAATGCACATCTCCAAACAACTGATCATTTGTTGAGGACATTTTAGGGTATTAAAACAGTCAGTGCAGGGAGGAATTCTGGGGCTTCAAACCTCTCGGGATCTTTAAGGCTATATTTTATATCCTATAAATCCATCTGGTCTTGGGCCCTAAACACAGATAATATACTTTTGCCCTGTTGTTTGCTGAAGAAGCCATATTTCAGAATAACCCAATGGGCAATAATGATTATTTCCTCTATTTTTTTTAACTTATTAACTCATTTTGTCGTTGCTTTATAAAAGCTAAGTCCAGAGCTAGCAATTGCTTGGTGATTTTGGTACAGTCTGATTAGATAATTCCGGCTTAAAGTAACCTGTTCCTCAACAGCAGGTTTGTTTTCCCCAACCACGCAAATATTCATTCCTTTCTGACTTGATGGCAATAGACACACTTTGGTGAAAGAAAGCTGTGGGAGAAACTGTTCCTTGGAAAGCAATAGCAGGCTGCACTCTTCACCAAGCCTGGCAGGCTGCTGCCCACTGTTCTATTACAAGCACATTCATTTCAGTCGGTCAGTGCACTGTCCTTTGTAAAGTAAAGAGTATAATTTCTTAGATATAAAAAGAAAGCAGAAATCTACCAGCAGGAAATTGAACTGAGGCACTGGGAAATTTAAGAGAAAATTGTATTATTTCTTTCTGTTTTAATACAATGGATAAACCAATCATGAGAAATAACATTCTCTTGGGGCCAAGTAGGGAAAGGATAGCTATGTAAAAGTACTAAGTCAGATGATCAGTCTCTAGAAATGCTTATGATACACAGAGACAGACACACGTCCCCTGGCTTATTTGCAGATGTTAATTTTAGGTTATTTTTATGCAGTATAGCTCCTTTTATTTCCTAACCAATTTACTCAACTCTGGGAAAAGTCCCTATGTACAGTGGAACAATTATTAGGATAATTATAGTAAAACATATACTAAATAAATTTTCTGCTAGGCAGATTAAAAATAAGATCCACTCTGATTTGCCATTGTTGCCTGTGAATTATAAGTTTATAAACATGAAAGTTGGATATTTTGATAAGTATATATTTAATAGATAATGCACACATATACATGTGTAATGTTGCATATATATATATATTTACACAGACACTATCATAAGCCCACAAATCTCACATCATGAGAAATCAGACAAATATTACATTAAATTCTAACGTGTCCATACCTTTCTTAATGCTAAAAAATGTAATTTCATTGATAGTGTAGAAGTATAAAGCTTAGTTATCTTCTTTCAAAATTCTCTTCTATTAAAATGGGGGCTGAGAGGAAAGAAGAAGCCACCTACATTTTGTCTCTAGGAGCCAAGAAAATTATGCTTTAGATATTGCCCACAGTTTTAGAGATAAAGTCCAACTCTCACCTTAGGCATAAAGTCCCTCATGATCCAGCACCTGCTTTTTCTCTAGCTGCTTTGGCACTTGGGACCCTTCACCGTAAGTACACCCTGATGCAGTCTTCAAAATCTGAAATGCTAGTTCATACCCTTTTCACATGCTTTTCTGAATGGGATGTAATCGTTTTTTGGATAGCTAAGCTGAAATTGTAATTCAAAATTAATCTTTTCTGGTTTTCACACCCCTTATATTTTCTGGTATCTCTCTCTCCTACAAGGAGAGTTGTTAGAGTTCAGGAACTTCATCTGCAATGATCTTGTGTTTCCTGACACCGTTTTGGCACATAGGGGAGGCTCTACAAGTGTTTATTGAGTAAAAGAATAAATGAGTGATTGACAATGAACTTCCTCATTTCTCTTCCGAAAGCCTTTAGCAGCATCTGATGCTTCTTAACATAGTTATGTCCAGGGAAGAACAACTTCTAGATATTTATAACTCATTGTGAATATAATAAATATGTGATTATATTGAGTTAGAGTCACAGGAGGCAGGACTATGAGAGCACTGAGAAACTGAAGAATAGGAGGACTAGGCAACCACCAATGGGGGGGAATGACAGCAAAGAGAAGTCTGGGAAACAAAGACAATTTTCCTATAGAAGACTACTTTTTGCTAGAGTCAGCCAAGCTTATGAGCATATAGTTCATATTTAAATCTAAATATTTTAGAATATATGAAGAATAAACCAGAAGAAAATACATTTGTTTATAAATATATCAAACTTAAAGCAGACCCACTGTGATCATAAGATTTAGAATATAAAAAACTTACCGTTTAGTAAACAGTGCCACTGTTCCACATTAGTGGTACTTGGGTAAAAACACACAATAGTCTTATACAGTGTGGCTTCCAAAGCCCCGAGTGTGGAGAAGCCCCCAGTATTCTATATTTTGCCCCAAGAAACTTTATATTTCTGGGAAAACTAAAATCCACCTTCCAGTATTCTAAGTAGAAATGCAAATTTCATAATTTTGGAAAGGGAATAGGTTTGATTATACACTAAGAATCTGAAGAGGAAGATGGTTCAAAAAGTTAAAAGTGAAATTTTATCTATATGTTTCTAAATGATTTCAATAAAGGAGAAAAGAGGAAACTTCTTAAATTAATAAGCAGGTTTGCAAAAGACCCATTCAAAGAATTTCTGCATTAAAAGCTCATTGGGTCCATAATAGGATAAGAGGAATCAGCCCTTGATTCAGTAGCGAATATAGTATCATAGAAGCCCATAGGAGGAGTGCTGGAAGTCAAAGTTCTAACCAACTGGGGGCTGCAGAAACTGAATTGGACAACCAAGAAGATAGTTTTGTATTTTAAACTATGAAGAGTACTAAAGCTCTCTGAAGAACTTCAATGAAGACGGATATCACAGAAAAAAAAAAGATTCCTCATTGGCCATTTAGCTTCCATCTTGTTTGTACTGAAAAAAACTCAAAAGGTGAAACAGTTATTAGTAAGTGGGAACTGAAATCCATGATGGATTAAGAAGTTGTAAGTGACTCCTGCCCCTACTCACTCTTCTGCTGCTCTCCGGGAGTTCTGGCTCCTAGTTTAACTGGGTTGAACTCAAAGATATTGCCTGCCTGCAAGACTTCAGAAACAGCAGAACTAGTAGGTCTAAGAGAAATCACAGCAAATAATAGAAGACTGGTGAAGGGCAAATC
Source organism: Homo sapiens (assembly GCF_000001405.40). Classification (NCBI taxonomy): domain Eukaryota; kingdom Metazoa; phylum Chordata; class Mammalia; order Primates; family Hominidae; genus Homo; species Homo sapiens. Next base: position 29,838,657 of record NC_000021.9, read on the forward strand.
ACTATCTAGTTTTCAGCAAAATAACGTGGATTTTACAAGCCAAAGCTCTGAGTTTGATACTGATTACAGCAGAGACTCTAAAATTATTAAAGAATGTCCTGTAATCTCTTGTAATAAAATAACAGTTACAAAGATCTAGCATGGTTTGCCTGAAAAAAGAAAACATGAAAACAAGATTCATCACTTTCTTTGTCACAAGTTACTAACCTCACAGATCACAGAAATTTATTTGGTGGTGCTTAAATTGTATGAAGGAATCTGACATACCTTTTCACTATTTGGTGGACAAGATGGAAAAAAAAGGAATTTAGGCAAATTATTAAACGAAGTAAGCTACTATACTTGAAGAGTACAAATTAATGAATAAATATCATACTATAGGGATTTCTTTTCTTTTCTTTTCTTTTTTTTGAGGCAGAGTCTCACTCTGTTGCCCAGGCCAGAGTGCAGTGGTGCGATCTTGGCTCACCACAACCTCCGCCTCCCAGGTTCAAGCGATTCTCCTGCCTCAGCCTTCCATGTAGCTGGGACTACAAGCACATGCCACCATGCTTGGCTAATTTTTGTATTTCTAGTAGAGACAGGGTTTCATTATGTTGGCCAGGCTTGTCTCAAACTCCTGACCTCAAGTGATCCACCCTCCTTGGCTTCCCAAAGTGCTGGGATTACAGGCATGAGCCACCATGCCTGGCCAGGGAATTTCTAGTTGTAATTTGAGTAAAGGCTTTGTCCATAAAGTTACTCAAAATATTTGTAAAACTAACAGATAACATGGAATGAAAGAATTAGAATATAAAATTTTTGGTAGACTATATTGATAGTCTAGAATTTCAATGATAATTGTGAGATCCCATTCTTGGATTAAAAAATATAAGACAGTTACAAAAGGGAAAAAGTGAGACTTGGTAGCATGTGTATGACTTAGGGATTTGAGCTGATAGTAAATTTAGGTGGAATCACTATTGAGATGTTATGGGGACAAATGCAAAAATCCTACTCTAATATGCAGAAAGTGATAGTCCCACTTATTTGTTCAGACCATATCTGGAGTAAGACAATACTTTGTGGGTTTTGCAGTTCTAGAAGAATTTAGGGTAAATTTATGAGAAAGGCAACAAAGATAGAACTCATCCTGATATCTTATAAGGAATAGTGGATGAAATTGGGAATATCTGGTATCAAGAACACTAATCTCGCTGGTGGTGGAGAAGGTGATAGTTGACCTCAGTAGTGTGAAAGGTTTTTATGTGGAAGGAAGGTAGACTATTCTATACAGTTTCAAGGGCTTGAATGACGGCAAATTGGTGGAAACTCAAAGAAGACAGATTCTGACATTATCACGAACTATTTTAATGGTCAGTGATGCTCAAGTATGGACTTCCTTTTCCTTGAAGTTGGGGATGGACTTCCAGATGGTGTGGAGTGGGAATTGAAAAATAGGAATATAATGTTGCACTTGATGAGTCAATGTCCTTTTTAAGCCTTGAAATTAGATGATTCTGTAATTTGGGGAAAATGTTTTCATCCCAGTCTTATTTTTTATTTTAACTCAGAGTTTTGAAAAATAAGAAAAAAATAAGATTGGAATATATGCCTCACCAGCAATACAAACATGATTTTAGGAAAGGGGATCTGAAGTCTCAAAGTGTTCAGGAATATTAAAACTTTTGTCTTGCAGATTATTCTAAAAATCACCATTTGCCATTTCATATTTCTAGCAATGCATCAGAAGGGACAATTTAAGTTTCATAGTCTATAAATAGCTTTGTCTTTCATATTTTTTTTTACACATAATTTTTGAGAATCTTTGAAATCAAGGGGAGGATGAGGCACAACTGTAGCTATTTATCCCACTGGAATCCCTGAAATACCCTTTCTAAGAGGGTGCCTATTGCAGGCTTGAGAAATCAATACTTAACCTATAGAAACAATTATTTTAAAACAGCCTTTCAGAGGGTGGATCAAGTTTGACTAAGGGCTAAAAGTGGTGAGACAATGGTTTCCTGCAAAATAAATTCAATAATTGTTTTGGCTCATAATATTTTTTTACACTGTGTCTGAACAATTAATGACTTTTTCTGGTAGTCTCTTGCTGAAATATCAACATAACTCTCAATGCAGAACAAGAAAGCTTAAGGCTGAATCCAAAAATAATACACTATAGAAAATAGCAACCAAACCCACCTACCTGATAGACACAATTTTACAAAATACACACAACAGCTGGGAAAAAAACATAAACATGGAGCCAAAACATGGAGATTTGGCTTGAAAAATAAATGGAAATTAGACATGGCTTAGCAACTGGATGATTACAATAGTTGACTGAACTGAACTTTACACTGGATGGTCTGGCATTGTTTAACCATCTAGAAAAACCATATGTAATATTTAGCTTTTCTTATTTTAAAAATTTACTTATACTAGCAAATAAGAAAGCTATATTAAACACATTTTAATTTTTATGATATTGTATAGTGTACACACACACTACCGTAAATTGGACAGTGAGTAATATTTAAATTGATGATGATAGCTATAATAACTTTCCCACTGTCAATAGAAAATCAATATGTCTTTATTGAATTCAGCAAAAATAAGCCAAGTTAAGCAACTGAATGCTTCTAAATTTGTAAAGTCTGCATCAAAATTGTCTAAGCTTGTCTATGGCTTCTTTCTGTTTGGCAAACACTGCAAATTTAGATCCCATGGCAGAGATTTTTGAACACTTTATAATTATTTTAATCTCCATCTGAGGATGTCAGACTGCTTCTAATTTGAGAATAATACTTCTGATACATTCTAAGAAGTTAAGTAGTTATTCTTCCAATAGTGCTAATAAGTGTGATCTTCCCTATTCACTCTTTTGCCCCATTTTCTTTGAAATTAGAATAATGATTCCATCTTTAGCCGTCAGCTGATCCACATATAGTCAACATCACAAAGGAACATAAATGATTGAAAAGTTAAGCCAAAATATGTTATTGAATATATCTGACCTCTGACAAGTCAGGCTTCACTATATGCCACTGTCTATTGGAGAATCATGTCATCATTGTTGCAAAAGAATGGACAAGGTATATACTGTTTTTTGTTTATAGTTTTGACAAATTTCCTATTTCCTCTACAACTGCTTTCTCTCTTTGCCCCTCCCTCTTGGAAGCATTTTCCGGAAACAATGGTTTCTGTTTGCTTGAATCAGTTGCCTCATCTCAAATGCCTACCTTCACCCAGCTACAAAATAAGCAACACTCAAATCTCTATAAATACATTTGACTGTTTCTCACGTGCAACTCTTCTTTGACTTAATTGTTGACTCTGTCTTGTATGATCAAATGTTTATTTTTTTCTGGGTGAATTATTACAGAATATTCTAAATCTCTAGATGATCCCTTTTTTCTATGTGCTTTGCCTCAGCAAACTCACTAGTGTGATCTGCCAAAAATACGTAATGCATTACAAAGCCAATTATAAATAATCTTGATAAATACGCCGTTTTGAATCACTCAGGTTATTCTTTGCTTTTTAAAGTGAATATTCAAAAGATTATGTATTTTTTTTTGGTTTGGGTTGATGGTTAGAAAAGACAACCAGAAATGTAATACAGTTCATCTCCCCGTTTCTGTTTATTTTCATAGTGATTTGCAACTATACTGAGAATGGAAAATAAAACATTTGTTGCAAGAGGATGCTTATGTTCATTCTTAGGAACATGGAGTGAAATTAGAAATGGAGAAATAAAAGGAAGCGAAGAAAAGATCTCTGTACTAGATGTGGGTCAGCACACTTCAAATTCTGAAGGCTTACTAGAAATTTTCAAAAGTTTTTGTCCTCATATTTTGGAGTTAATTTAAGATTGTTAACTTCAGACGAAAGAACATGCATTCATTATTTGGCAGAGCAGTATGTTCTTGGTACTTAGATTTTCAAATATCTTTTCTCATGTAGGACGGTCAATTCCAATGGTGAAAATTCATTACTCTTGTCATTCTAATCAACAAAAGAAAAGCAAAACTCAGGCAGTTATATCTTCAAACTATCTGGCAGACAAGTCGACATTAACTTTTTATGTCATTATTTTATCAAAAACTTTAGCTTTACAGTTTGCTACCTGGAGGAAATCTTAATATGTTGGCATTCAATACAGCACGAATGTTGATGATTTTTTGCACTCTGTGAAGAACATTTCCAGCAACACTCACAGTTTAATACCCCTATAGGCTTCCTTTCCAGAGATCATATGTTGCATTTAATGACTGATTGCAGAATAGTGCAGCAATAAGGTATATATAGTAAAGGATATTTGAGTATGTTTCCTATTATATATTTCTGACTCTACAATCCAATTATTTGTTTACCTTCTTTTTTTTCCATCTGTGTTCTCAGTTCTGAACTCCCTAGCCTCATGAATGGTATATGTTCAGTAGGGCTTAATAAATATCCACAGAACATGAGAATGATTCCGTGGGCAGGTTCTTGTCAGTAGGCTCACGTTGTCAAAGTACCATATTTTAAAAACTTGTTGGATTGGTGAATGATGGTTGCTAATGCCCTCCAGAGATCCCAGGTAATGACTATTGCAGTGCAAGACAGTGACACATACCTAGAATTTGAATCAGGACCTCTGAGTTCAACCCAATTCTGCTCACATTGTAACTTGGCCTTTTGAGGACTTACAATGTTTGTTTGTTTGCTTTTGTTCATTTATTTTTGTTTTTAGTGTGTAATTTTCTCAAAAAGTAGAGCTAACATCTGATCTACAACGAAGAGCAAATGGATGTTTTGAGATATGAAACATTACACAGATATGACACTGCTGATTGATGGTTACATAACTCCAACTGTGCCAATATTTTGAAATTTGTTGAAAGTAAGATTTTTTTTTAAATGTAAAAGGCCTTATATATTTTTCTTAGGTGAAGGAGATGTGGATCTGATATTTTAAAGGATTTCTTATTTTAGAATTTTGGTTTCTGTTGAAAGCTTCAGCCGACACTGGGGAGAGAGAAAACTCCATTTCTATGGAAGAAGAAAATCCCAGGAGAAGATAGATGCATTTTAACTTAGCAGAAATGGACCTGTAAATTAATTCATTTGTCAGAGTTGGGGAGGGGGACTAACTGAGGGAGATAATTTGGAACCAGCTCTCCTGCCTTCAGTAACCAGGTTCTGCTTTGCTGATGATTTAAATTTACACACTCACTCCTTCTAGAGCGATGATTCTTCCTCTGGACTGGTTCAGTCCCCACAGACTCCTACTTGGAGGGCAGAAAGTTGGTGCTGTCACATCCAAGTTTTCACTCTGTGATAGTCAGTGCTCTGGGAGTAGAACTGATACAGGCAACTGTCATTTTCTGACAGGAGAGTGACAGCGTGAGTTGTACTCACACTCTCATTACGCCATTTGGAAAGGCACAATGTCTCCAGAGTATGCACTCAGTGGTTTATTGGTCTTAATTTGATGTTTGCTGTAATAGATATCTTTGTCATTGCATTTTTTTTCCTTTGGCTTAATTTTATTTTATTTCCTATGAATATGATTTAAAAAAAAAACCTTTGCAGATATAGAGCCTTGATTTGTTTTACCTTTGAATGCAACATGTATATTCCTGCAGTTCTTAGACTGTTCAATCAGTGCTACCAAATATCTGACGTCAGCTAACACCTAGCAGCACTAACACCTGAGGGTCAAAATTAAACTCTCAGCTGGGGTCTACATACGCCAGTAAAGAAAGGCCTCAAGCCCCAAGTTTTGACTGCTGATTTGTCTTATACTTCTCTTCTTCAATAAAGCTATTACATTTAATTTTAGATGAATTAAGGAAAGAGATGCTGAAGTGAAACTACAGGAATTGTTGAAATGTAAGTAAATGTTTCTTCAAGGCAAGCTAATCAACTACTGCAAATCCCTTCTGATTTAAGGAAAATATAACAAAAACACGAATATTAGACACATTATGGATTTTTACTGCAGATTTCAACTTTAGACTATATTCCTGGACTCCTCACTCCGTAAAACCATTCAATACCCTCACATATATTCTCACTTCATTTACTTTGCTACTTTTCTGTTTTGGCGAGTTATAGTACGTCATTATTTTTACATCATTTAAGTTTATAGCATTTATATAAATACTTTTCATAGTTGATTGATCTTGGCTCTATTCTTTATTTACAAGTATCTTTTTTTCTTCTGGATATTCTTATCATGTAATTCTTCCAGGAAAATTTCGTTTTGTTCCAGAACACTTGTCTATACCAGAAGGGGAATTCAGGAGAGTATAACATTCTTTTTCTTGCTTTCAAAATTTATAAGACTGTCCACTGTTTGATATGAGATGTGCAGAAAGAGAAATCAAAGGATATTTATATTATTCCTTCCTGCATGCTCATGTGAGATATTTTCCTTATCTTTAAAATTAAATAACTTCACTAGAATATGTTTATGATGATTGCAATGTTAAAATTTTTCCAGAAACAATGGGTGCCTATCTAGAATCACTATTGGTTTATTTTAGGAAACACTTTTTTTTTCTTTATATTCTTGGAATTATTTTTTCTCCTTTATTTGTTGAGTTCTCTTTTTCAGGAATACTGATTAAGAAAAAAAATGCCAAACGTCTTTTGCCATATTTATGTCTTTTACCACATTTATGGTAAAACACATTATTGCCATTTTACCAATGCTATTACCATATTTATGGTCATTTGAAAATCCTCATTCTTTTCTATTTTGTTTTGTGAGATATTTCAAGCCTGTCTGTCATGTTTCTGTGGTTTTTATTTCTGTTAATCCTGCGTTGGTTACTCAAATGTGGCTTTCTTTCTCTCAAATGTTTATATTACTCTCATTTCTTTGTTAATTATATTAACTCCCTTCCTTGTTTTTTTCTTATTTCTCATTTGCATGCCTTTATCATTGACATCATCCCTGCTTCTTCCTTCAGGAAACCATCTTGTCTACAATTTATTTGAGAAAATAAAGTTATTTGTCTAACGTAATTTTTGGTTTCCTCTTGGAGTACTTGTTCTCATTTGCTCTTTGTTTATTTTTCTTTTTCCCTTTAAATTTCCTGGCACTATCTACACCCATGTTCCATATTGGATCCTTTGAGATTATTTTTCATTTTTCTATGGAATTAGTAGTTTGTTGAAGAATTGGGTGTGGAGGGGAAGCAAAGTAGGAAGTGAGTGGCAAGAGACTGCAGCCTTGATTCAGCATGTGGCCTGAAAACCCTCTCACTCACCCTGTTACATGCTTTGTCACAGGGGAACATCTTGTTTTTGCCTTCCAAAAAGGTAGGGCTCAGAAGTCTGTGGATTCACGGGCCCTTTGGTTGTATGCTGTATGGTCACTACTTCCTGTTTTTTTCCTCAGCCTCCTTTGCGCCCTGGATCCTCCTCCCCACTGGCCAAATAGAAAATGGAAGACACAGAATAGAAATGCTTCTTGACCGGGTGCAGTGGCTCACGCCTGTAATCTCAGAACTTTGGGAGGTCGAGAGGGGCAGATCACCTGAGGTTGGGAGTTCGAGACCGGCCTGACTAACAGGGAGAAACCCCTTCTCTACTAAAATACAAAATTAGCCGGGCGCGTGGCGCATGCCTGTAATCCCAGCTACTCGGGAGGCTGAGGCAGGAGAATCGCTTGAAGCCGGGAGGCGGAGGTTGCAGTGAGCCGAGATCACACCATTACACTCCAGCTTGGGCAACAAGAGAGAAACTCAGTCAAAAAAAAAAAAAGAAAGAAGAAAGAGAAAGAAAGAAAAAAATAAAGAAGGAAAGAAGGAAAGAAGGAAAGAGAGAGAGAAAGAAAGAAAGAAAGAAAGAAAGAAAGAAAGAAAGAAAGAAAGAAAGAAAGAAATGCTTCTTCATGCATTTGTCCCGTCATTCTGTTGAGCTGTTCTGAGATGCACTAAGGACATCCATATTGTTTTTCTGTGATTTATCTTATATATTCCTCCTTTACTCAAAACTTCATAGCAGGACTTTGCAGTATTATGACACATTTTGTAGAGGAAAATCTGCACTCTGCTTAAAGAATGAGAAGGGAGAAGGTATGCTTTTTCTTTTTGTTATCCTGTTTGATTTTGGTTCAGATTTGACAGTAGTTGGCAAATATTCTTTATAGTTTTTGGTTTCAAGTTTTAATTATTTTCTTGTGTTTTTTTGTTCGTTTGTTTCCTTCATTATAAAATTTTTTCTCCATCCAGTTTTCATATGTATATGTATGTATGTGTGTATATGTGTATGCATGTGTATTATATATCCCATCCTTATTCAAATACACATGTCAAGATTTCATATATATTTGAGTAACAGTATGGCATAAAATTGTGAACTTGACCTTGTTTAATCGACCTCCTACTCTCTTCTCAACACTTTATTTTACTGGCTCTTCTTCTTTCTGCCTTTTTGATACTTTATCTTCTCCATTTCTCTGTCCTTTAATGAACCATTTTCCTCTTCTTTATAATTTTAAGGCTTGCTAGAGGTATAATTCTTAGCTCTCCGCTCTTTTCTTCACTCTCATTGTCCTTTTCCTTCTTCTTCCCATCATTTTTCTATTTTGCCTTCCTGCCTCTCTCCTGCCATCTTCTATTTCTTTTATAAGTTACTTCTCAGCAGTTTCACTGTTTCTATACTTTAACTATTGTGGCCAGGAGCAGTGGCTCATGCCTGCAATCCCAGCACTTTGGGAGGCCCAGGCGGGTGGATCACTAAGTCAGGAGTTCGAGACCATCCTGGCCAACATGGTGAAACTTCCGTCTCTACTAAAAATACAAAAATTAGCTGGGCGTGGTAGTGCGAACCTGTCAGCCAAGCTACTTAGCAGCTGAGGCAGGAGAATCCCTTGAACCTGGGAGGTGGAGGGTGCAGTGAGCCAAGATTGGGCCATTGCACTCCAGCAACAGGGTGAGACTCTGTCTCAAAAAACAAACAAACAAACAAAAACACGAAACTATTTTTTCTCTGCATAATCTTCTCACATTTCTATTTCTGGGCTCTGCATCTTTGTTGCAATGGCTGGTTGTCTCTTTACTACATCAAGTCAAACATCTTTGAAACAATTATCATTGCATTCTCTGTATCCTCAGCTGGACTTCCACTTTTCCATTGGTTGCATCGGGATGCTGGATCATGCTTTCAAGAACACACCTAATCATTCTCAACAGTATTGCTGTGATACTGCCTAATTACTTTGTTTTGTTTATTCAGGTTGCAACACTATTGTTTCTCTCTTTCTCTCTCTCTCTCCCTCTCTCTCTCTCTCACACACACACATGCACATGTGTATGTGTATACACATAAAATTCACCATTGCTTTACTTAGCCTTAATTAACTAGTAGTAGCATTTATACTCTCTCAGTTACCCAGGGTTAAACGTAAGTTATTATTATTATTATTATTAAAAGTTTTTTTCTAACTTGATCGTCTCAGCCAATTCAAGTCCAATAATCAGACTTTGCCTTGGCAACGACTTTATCTGTACGCTGCTTCTAGTTGCACTTTTACCACCCTAAGACCCTTAATGCCATCAATGTGGATATCTAGAGATGCTAAATTCTCTTTCTGTCCCCGCCAATGTACAATGCATGCTTCTGCTAAATTAGACTATCTGAGCTGGAATGCCAACAGTATCACTGTCTGGCATTAATAATGTCCGTGACTTCCCTTCATGCCCCTAATGAACCAGTAATTTGTCCAAGTTCTCCATTATGTTTTCCAACCTGTGCTTCCGGCCTCATGGCAAACAATTCAATTGCCTAGTGCAATTGAATCCTCCACTCACACCTTGATGCTTATTAGAGTCTAAATCATACACAAACTATCACTTTTGTGTCTAAGCTCGTAACATTGTTTTTATCCAGAAATCCTGCTTTCTACTATCATGCTTGTCAAAATCTTATTCATCCTTCTCAAATGGAAACCTTCTTTGTAAAGATTTGTGGATCCCTGTGGCTAGATGTATTCTCTCTTTCTTCAGTTCTTAATATCATCTACAAGGCTCTATATAGCCTGGCATTTGCATACCGTTTATTACATATACTACAGCTTGCCTTCTTTGGGTTCCTTAAATAGACCAAGTTGTGTGTGTATATATATATATATATATATATATTTTTTTTTTTTTCCACGATCTTCACCTTAGCTGTTTGGTATACGTAAAATGTGTTTTTCCTAGTCCTTAGGATGACTTGATTCTTCTTAAATGTCGTCTCTTATGGAAGTTCATTTATTCCACCCTATTCAAATAGATTTTCGGAACTTTCTCCCATGCCAAATGTTTCTTTATCATAACACTCTGTCATTTCCCAAACTGACTCTGTGAAGGCAGAACAGAACCCAAATCTGTTTTGTTAACCAAGGTCTACAAACACACATAGTATAGTTCCTGGCATATAATAGTTGCCAAAATATTTATTAAATGAATAAATGAATGATTAAGCATATTGTTTATACTTTTTCTTTTCATGTCCCAGACTGTATTGTACTTCCTAATATTTTTCTTGTATTTTATTAGGTTTTAAAACCTTTGAAGTAAAAATAAAACATTTTGCATTGTTCATCTTGGTATCCCTTAGCTTCTAGTATGGTGCCAAACATTCATGAGATTAATAAATGTTTGCTGAATTAAATCGATTTGAATTAAACCTTCAGAACAATATTAAGTTATTGCCAGGACATCACAGATGGTAAGTGCAATTTCCTCTGCTAATAGCTTCCAAGGTTGATGATGAGATAAAATCAGTCGAGCATCCATCAATAGGGGAAAAGCTCTTAAAAACTAAATCCTCTAAGTCATTGTAGTGTTGCCTCCTTTGTTATACTTTGTTTCCTGCGCCCATCCTTCCTTAGAGCGTCAGACACAGTTCTTATGTACTACTTCATTAAGGATAAGTGTAGAGTGATGTCAGGAAGGAGGAAAGGCCAATAAAAGGCCGTTTGTTTTTAGCAATGTTCCTCTTAACCACCAAAGACAATGTGTCCATGTGCTTATCCCCTTCTCTCTGCTTAACTCCTTGACTCCAATTTCTCAGCTTACCTCTAATGAGAGAGTGTGCCTTAAATTCGAGATGAGTGCCGGTAAGGGTTCTTAAAAGCTGGCACATTTCAAGTGCATGGTGAGAAAACTACCCCAGGATTCTGCAGGTGTTAATTATGGTGGAAGCTAGCATAAAGATGCAGAGTGTAGAGCGGCTTGCTGCTCTGATCTTCATGCCCTCTGGTGCCCTCTGGTGCCTCTAAGAGAGAATGACTGAACCCAACAGTGGATGGCCCCTGTTACTGGAGATACTCTCTCTCACCCTCTCATATGTGTGTGGAGTGAGAGAACAAACAGCCCCCATGAAACTCACGTTTTTTAGAGTGCAGAAATCTGTGCAAATCTTAAAATAGCATATGCCCGTGAAGTTTATGTCATCCCTTTTTGGTTCGGTTTCGCTGACTTTCAGAAGGATCATGATATCTTCCTTACTGCATTAACATTTGCTGACAGAAGATCCTTAAAAACTATCTCAAATATTTGTTATCTCTTTTTCATAAACAAAATCATCTTCTCTTTGCCATAAATGGAACATTTATGTAGATCCTGGGTAGCATTTCTTAAATCTCACAGATATGAACATAATTCAGCAGATGTAAATTTTTTTTTGTTAGGACTACAAATTAAGCAGTTTGAAGGGTATTTAAAAAATCTCTATCTTTTCGATGTGTGGCTCTGGGTGTTATCCATTTCTAAGGTGTTCAAGATTAAAGATAATACTGCTATCGCCCTAATGTTCTAACTGCATACACACCCTGTACCCAATCTCAGATATCCTCTCCCCTGGCCACTCCTATTCAAAGCAACAAGGACAACCACCACCACAACAATGAACAAAAAACGAATCCCAGGAATGGATAAGGTGGTCGCAGATGCCACAGGTTATTGATGGAAGTAATTTTGGAGTCCTTGTTTAGTGCTCATAACATCTTGTATTCTTGGCCTCCATCTGGACTCTGCCAGTTCCTTAGTCTTAGCAATGTACCAGGCACATAAATTCTCTTTATTAAGAACCAAAACTACTTTTTTCATTTTATGTAAACTCATAAGTCACATCTTCAGCTCATTTTGAAGTAAGAATCTTCAGTATAACAGGGGAAATAGTATAACTACTACAAGGTAACTAACAAGTAACAATGTTTGTATAAAAGCCAGAGAGTATCTCAGCAGGAAATTTAATATTTTAGAAGAACAGACTTTTAGAGCAAACTTTTACTTACGATATTAACACAAATGAATTCAAGATGCCAATAATATTATTCCTACCTTTTATTACTGTCAGTCTGTACAAACTCTTAGCTTATTTGCTTTACAGATCAGTCTGTGAAAATGAATCAACTAGAAATGATTTCTTTTTTTTTTTTTCTTGAGATGGAGTCTCTCTCTGTTGCCCAGACTGGAGTACAATGGTAAGATCTTGGCTCACTGCAACCTCCGCCTCCCAGGTCCAATCAATTCTCCTGCCTCAGCCTCTTGAGTAGCTGGAACTACAAGCGTGAGCCACCACACCAAGCTAACTTTTGTATTTTTGGTAGAGTCAGGGTTTCACCACGTTGGCCAGGCTGGTCTCGAACTCCTGACCTCAAGTGATCCGCCCACCTCGGCCTCCCAAAGTGCTGGAATTACAGGCATGAGCCACATCCCCCGGCCTAGAAATGATTTTTTTGAGACAAGAGAGTAGCAATCTTTGAGCAACACAGATTGTTTACAAAGGCAATAATAGACAAAAGGGAGATATAAATCAATAAATGTGAACAACATCCTCTTCCCATAACATGGCATCTTCTAGGATCTCACTTTCAGTCTGTTCTTTACCTTTGCTCCCTTTTCTAGCCCTATAATGCAGTGGAAATGCCAGAGTCTGAATGACTTTAGCTTGAGTCCTGGTTCTGACTCCTACCAGCTGTGTGATCACAGTTCCTCTTCTGCAAAACAGAATCTAATAACTAACTTCATGAGCTATGAGGAGATTCATGTACAGCACCTATTCCAGAGCCAGGGCTACTAGTCTACCTCATGGCCTCAACTCTCTTAGCTACTTAAACATTTCCAAGAAGAGCGTCTTTAGCACTGACTTCTCTTCTGAACTGGTGATCTCTAATTGCAACATAAATCTTGATGTCACCCCTTGGACGAAATGTCCTGTCTTCAATACATGTTGTTTAGAATCAAACATATTATCTGTTTCCCCAAATCTGCACTGACTCCTGGTATACTGGTTTCTCTTAAAGACACTACCATTCCGTTCACTTACTTAGATGTGACATATCAGTGCCATCTTTGATCCTTCTCCCTGATTTCTTACCTCTATGGAAAAATTTTCAAGTCTGACTATTTCTCCTTCCACAGTTTCTCACATTTCTTCCCACCCCTCCATTCCCATTGTCAGCACTAAGTTCACAGTTGTCTCTGATGTCAGCCTCAGCTCACATCTCTTTTGTTCTTGAAGGATTTTCCTTAATGCTGCTTTGTCACTTCTTTCTTCCTTCTACCTTGATGCTTGACATTCAAATTATTTAGGAATCTGACCCTACTTAAATAGTTAGTTCTCTCCCACAGAGCACTTTTCACTTTCCTTGCGCTTAAATGCAAATAGTGACTGTTACTATTCACATCTGAGTAACTTGGGCACCTCTACCCACTGTTCCTCCTACCAAGAAGGCCCCCTACCTGTAGAAATTCTATACATTTCCCAAAATTCAGACTAAAATCTATGTACTCTGCAGACTTCCTTCATCCTGCAACTTCCAGCTAAACTTCAATGGCCCCTTATCAGTTCCACTTCCTACCTCCATTCTCTGTACATCTTGTCTCTCTTACTAGACTGGAAGATACTCGAGTGCACTACTGATATTTTCTTCCTAGTGGGCACATTGTAGGCAGTAAATAAATGTGGCCTGAAAGCTGAAGCAAATGAAGGAACAGCCACATAAATATGCAAGTCATTTAGGAAACTTTACATTTATCAAAATGTTTTTCAAGTGGTGAATGCTTTACACAAAGTAAAGTGTTATGTTATTTCATTATGATATAGGAGAATATTTTCTTATGTCAGTTTGAGGAATAATTTTTTCCATCTTGGCACTTGTGTCAAATTACTACATTTCAAAGTTAGATTTGAAATTGCAGTAGGGATATATTTTTATTTTAGTGCTTCTTTAAGTTATAAAGCTTCCCTGATAAATATACCAAATTTATCAATAAACTATGTAGAGTGTCTAGATAAAAACCTTTTGGTAATGTAATTCATTCTGATCTTATATCCCAAAGCTTTAAGATTTGCATAAAATCAACATATCTTCTCACTCTTAAAGTACTATTTTGTGTCATTCTAAAAGTAGTGAAAATATTCTTTTATATAAAAGGAATTGTAGCCTCACTGAACAATTTAAGTAAACCACTTTTCTTCATTCTCTACTGGCAAAATATTTTATGTTATCTTTAACACTCTCACAATTCCAAGAAAGTAACTATGACATTTGTGCCATAATGAAGCTTCCTCTCAAGTAAGTAAAGGCTCAATACTTGAAAGAAAAGTCTTAACATTTACATAGCAGTACAGGGGTTCTCAACCTCAGCACTATTGACATTTTGGTTCTGATTTTTTGTTGTTGTTGACTGTTCCGTACATCGTAGGATATGTGGCAGCACCCTTGGCCAAGAATGACTTCTGATGTGACTAAGAACTAAGTGACTTAGTCCTCCAGCTACCTTTTGAATTCAAAAGTCAATTCTGAAAGTCTGTTTATTAGGAAGCCAAGTATCTCTTAGTACTCAGATATCTCTTGGGGGCAAAATTGCCTCCAGTGGAGAATCATTTCAGTAGTAAAAGTATTTACTAATTCTACTTACTGTGTTTTTATAAATTAATCTCCCCAATCTAGCTTTTTGGAGAAAAATAGGCCAACTATGCTTTCCTCTAGTCAACTGCATATGACTCATGGGAATGTCTGATTTCCTCCATTTATTAGCATATTGATAGCAAACTCTTCAGGAGCATTCACCAAATCAACGTGTATTAAATATCCATTCTGCATTGGGAAAATAGATGAAAGAAACACAGACCAAAACCCCTGCTTTCCTGAAGTTTACATACTAGTGGAAGAAGCAAGACAATAAACAAACATATAAAGGAAACATATAGCATGTCAGAGGGAGATAAGTTTAAGGCAAAAATTAGAAGAACAGTAAAAAGAATAGGTGATGCTGTGTAAGCAGCATGGGTGGGTCACAATTTTAAATAGGATGGCCAGGGTTGTCCTCACTGCCCCCATGACATCTGAGCAAAGGCCTGAAGGAAGTCAGTAGTGAGCGGCCTAGTCCATCTGTGTTGCTATACAGGAATACCTAATGCTGAGTAATTTATATAAGTTTATTTAGCTCACGGTTCTGCAGGCTGTACAAGAAGCATGATGCCTTCTGGTGAGGGTCTCAGGGAGCTTCCACTTGTGGTAGAAGGGGAAGGGGAGCTGCATCACATGGCAAGAGAGGAGGAAAGAGAGAGAGAGAAGCGAGTGGGGCTGCGCTGTTTTAAATAACCAGCTCTCACATAAACTAATAGAGCAAGAATGTACTCTTTGCTTTGGTGATAGCACCAAGCTATTCATGAGATATTTGTTCCCATGACCCAAACACCCCCCCACCAAGCCCCACCTCCAACATTTGGGATCAGACTTCAACATGAGATTTGGAGGGGACAAATATCCAAATGATATCAGGGAGTGAGCTTTCAAACACTTGGCAGATGAGCTTTCCAGGTAGAGGGAAGAGAGGCCTTGAAGAAATAGCCTGCCAAAAATAATGAGAAAAAAAAACAAGAAATTACTATGCCTGGAATGGACTTGGGTGGGGGAATGAGGTAGACAAAATTCCCAGAGAATGGAGGCACACATGAAGATCATATAAGCCCCTTTGGTCATTATAAACAGTGAATAAATGACTGTCAGGAAATATCATATATAAAATAGTGGAAATGATGTTTTCTCATCTATTTGCTTTAGTTGCACTCAGGAACTAGGATCATGATGGTTCAAGGATCCGGGGAGTGATGTCATTCGTTTGTCTTCCCCAGCAAGGCCCAGGCTTCTGATCATTTCTTTCACTCTTCCTTGATCAAAGTTAAACAGTCAAGGGGTCATCATTTGAGATTTTTCTAAGAAACTAGCTGGCTGAACTGATGTAATGCATGTGAAGTTGCGAATGGTTTAGTAATGCTTCATCCAGGGATATTTGCATCATAGAAAAAGGCCTCTTAAAAATGGACTTTTAGAATTGACTTTTGAATTCAAAAAGTAAATCATTAGCTGGAGAACTAAGTCACTTTTGCAAACCAGGGCATGAGCTGTTGAGGGCACTTTGGGCCTTTTCAAGACCTGAACTTGGGCTCTAGATCTGACATCATAGACAGTCATCTTGTAGTCTCAAACTATCAAACTAGTATGTATTGGAACCCTGTGAGATATCACTCATTGTCCTTAGGGCTAGGGAAGCAGTGGTGAAAAAGCTAATTCCTAGCCCATTGAGATATTTTATTACGGAGTGAAAGAGACACAAATTAAAGTAGTAAAATAAAAAAGAATAATATTGGTTACATATAAAGTCTATAGAGACAATTAAAATACAGGAAGTACTACACAGTCTGTCTGCAACTTCAGATGGCCAGCCAAAAATACCATCTTTAAAGAGTGATATTTAAGCTGAGATCTGAATGTCAAGAAGGAGCATGAGGAAGAGATTTCCAGCAGAGGAAATAACTAGACCAAAGGCAGCATATAACTTGACATAAGAAATAAGCCCAGCATCTTAGACCAAGTACAGTATATTGCCAGTGAAGTAGGCAGAAGCCAGGTGGGCCTTGTAGCTCATGATAAGGTATTTGAATTTTATTTGTATGTAATGAGCAGCCAAAGGAGGGTTTTAAGCAGATTAGTGGGATGTTCTAGTTTGTGTTCTTAGAAGATTAGGGATAGGGGTTGAGAATAGATCAGCTGGGGAAAGAGGCATAGGAAAGACTTGAAACCCAAGACAAGTAAGAAGGTTATGAAACCAAATAAACAACCCAGATGAGAGGATGGTGATGGTGAAGGTGAAAAAATTAACTGATTGGTGATGTTTTTGGAGACACGATCGGTAGGATTTTCTGACAGATGAAATGGGAGAGATTTTTTTTTCAAGAAGAATCAAGAGCAGCTATCTCCTAAAGTTTTGGCTTGAACAACTGGGTGGTTTGAGGAATGTTTGGTAAAGGATGGAAGACTGGAATTGGGGGGAAACACATTTGGAGAGAAAAGCAAGAGCTTAATCTTGGAAATATTGTTTCAGATTCATACGTAAACATCAGTGTAGAGATTCCAAGCTGGTCCTTGAATATATGTCTAGATTTCTGGGGTACAAGTAGTGTTGGAGCTAGTTGTGGATTGAAAGTCAGCCCAGTGGTGGGTGTTTAGTATCATGGGGCTGGGAGAGTCATTCAGAGAGACTCTATAGCGGGAGATAAGCAGAGGACCCCAGGCCCCTGGTCTGGCCCCAGAGACTGTGTGGAGGAAGATGAACCAGCAGAGGAGAATGAGAAGTTCTGGTAGTGATTTAGGTGGAAAATTATCAGCATACAGCACCAGAGCAGCCAAAAGAATGAAGTAGCCAATTATGTTGAAAACTTTGAGGAGTCAAGAGAAATACAGAGAAATGGCATGTGACATGATCACATGATAATTACAAAGTCTCTCAAATGACTGCAATGCCCCTTGTGTGTTGTGAACACACAATGAATACCTGTGAAATAAAAAGCCACACACAAAATCAGGCTGATCCCAGTGCTGCATTTTTGCTGAACTGAAAATCGTTCACACATCTATTCTGAAATATTTGCTTAGCCCCACCTAAGTACCAGACACTGTCTAAGCACCGATGATATAGAAGGAGAAAATACAGATACAGTTCTTGCTCTTCTGGGGCTTACATTGCAGTGAATAAAGTTAGACAATCATCAAAAGGCTTATCAATAATTTATTTTCAGATGATGATAAATGCTATGATGAAAATGATGTAGAGTGATAGGATGCAGAGTGCCTGAGAGAGGCAGGTAGCTTACAGAAATCTCAGCACAAAGAACAGGAGGATGGAGACGTGGCAGACATAAACACTGAGAGAGCAGTATTTTAGGCACCACAAAGTCGAAGCCTAAGGACCCCGAGGTTGGAATAAATTTGTTATATTTGAGGAACTGCCAGGAGCTCTGCATTGATGGGATGAGGACTAAGAGGGAGATTATTATGAGATGAGGTAAGAGAGCTAAGGTGGGGGACAGATGATGCAAATCCACAGGAAGGATTTTAGATTTCATCATTCAAAGTAAAATTGAAAGTTATTGGAGGGGTTTAATCCAAGGGGTTATATGGATATAACTTTGTTTCAGTTTCAAATGTAAAACACTAGTGCAGGTGTAGATAATGAGTGAGCATCAAAGTAACGTGGAAGCAGAGAGGTCAATGCGAAAGCTATCATGGTAGCCCAGGCAAGAAAAAATAGTGGCATGAAATAGTGCGATAGAAATGAGCAAAGCGGTAAGTGGCAGAGCTGGGATGCCCACAATGGACCTGTCTGACTTCAAATTTGTGTTCTTTCCCATGATTTCACACTGCCTTCCAAGCCTGGCAATCCCTTGCAGTCTGGCGAGAATGCAGGAGTCAGTTACATAGCTACACGCCAAGTAACTAAGAAATGTTTCTTACAACAATGCATAAATGTGACAAACTTGGCATTTGTATAAGGAGTTTATGTTAGATCTGTCTGGGAAATAACAATGAAAACAGTGAGTTAAAACACAATAGAAACAACTTAAAGCCTTTGGCAGGCATTTTTGAGAATTTTTTGTTAGACATTGGCTATTTCCAGAAGACTTCTACCCAACAATAAATAATTTTCATTGTTATGAAAAGGGTAACCCTTTACATGGAAAACTTAACAAACAACTAATGTTAATATTAAAAGGATAATAAGCTGCTTCATTTCTAAATTAACAACTAAATAATAATCCTCTGATTATATATTTACATTGTTTTTCTTTGGATCTAACTTGGCCATTACTGGATTTAAGATTTGAGTTATCATGTCAAGACTTTAACCACCTTCAGCTCGAACATCAAACCACTAAATTTCATCACCCCCTAGTCTCCTGTGAAGGCAGTAATTTTTCCATTTTTATTTATTTATTCAAGACAGAATCTTGCTCTGTTGCCCAGTCTGGAGTGCGGTGTCACGATCTTGGCTCACTGCAGCATCCGCCTCCCAGGCTCAAGCAATTCTCTTGCCTCAGCCCCGCCGAGTAGCTGGGATTACAGGCAAGTGCTATCACGCCTGGCTAAATCTTGTGTTTTTAGTAGAGAAGGGTTTCACTATGTTGGCCAGCTGGTCTCGAACTCCCGGCCCCAAGTGATCTGCCCACTTCGGTCTCCCAGAGTGCTGGGATTACAGGCATGAGCCACTGTGCCTGGCCTATTTTTCAATTTTTAGAGAAAATAAAGGTAATAGAATAACAATTCCTCTGCTCTCTCTGAGAAGGTGACAATGAAGAATGACCCTCTCTCCACTCAGAGAAGGCTGGATTCTTCAATAGTGACGTTTGCCCATGAAACCCAGTGCATGTTGTCCTTCTGCCTCATCTCTTCTGCAGTACCAGGTCCTATGTCAGGGGCTCCCAGTGTCTCCCTGGAACCTCTTAATGACAGCAATTATCAGTCACCTCTGTCAGCTCTCCTTCCTTTAGGAAGTGACTCCCCGGCGGCTGTTCCTATGGGGACCCAGGTATTTCTTATTTCCTCTCAGTGCTAGAAAAATACCCAGGTCTCCCAGTTGCAGCTGGACTACTCTGTTGTGAAATATCAGGGCAGTTCACAGCATTGCCTTTTACAACAATTGCATGAAAGTCTTCAGAGGAGTTTGTTTCGGGAGCTAAGGGGCTGCACAAGAGAAGCAGCTAGCTCATGATACCACTCCTGCCAAGCCATGCCTGTAGCTCTGCTCAGTGACAGAGTCTGGCTTTTCATTGGTGCAAAATCTCATTCTCCTTGAAGAAGATTTACTTCATAGAAAAGCCCTTCACTCCACCCTGGCAGTCTCAGAAGTCATATACTCAAGGGGCCAAACACACAACTTCTTTGCACACCTCCCCACAGGATCAAAGGATCCTAGCCACAGCTTTGGCAGTTCTGAAGTTTCTCAGGAAAGTGATACAACATAAATTCTACATTTTTTTTGTAGAATTTATGTTGTATCACTTTCCTGAGAAACTTCAGAACTCACATATACACCATCGAATACTATGCAGCCATAAAAAATGATGAGTTCATGTCCTTTGTAGGGACATGGATGAAGCTGGAAACCATCATTCTCAGCAAACTATCGCAAGGACGAAAAACCAAACACCGCATGTTCTCACTCATAGGTGGGAATTGAACAATGAGAACACTTGGACACAGGAAGGGGAACATCACACACCGGGGCCTGTTGTGGGGTGGGGGGAGGAGGGAGGGATAGCATTAGAAGATATACCTAATGTAAATGACGAATTAATGGATGCAGCACACCAACATGGCACATGTATATATATGTAACTAACCTGCACGTTGTGCACATGTACCCTAGAACTTAAAGTATAATAAAAAAGTATATATATATAAAATAAAATGAAATAAAAAAACAAAAAAAAATAAATTGTAAGAAGGCTCAAGAATCATTATTGATAGGAATAATGTATTTTAAATTACTGACAGTTCCACTGCCCTCTCTTCTAGCCTCACAGAATGATAGTCAACAGCTAAGAAATTTCCAAGAAGTACTTGAATGTAGGGGGCACTCCCGTCTCCTCACACTGGGAAGGTAAGACTGCAAGGCTTCTTTCAAGTCCAGCAGTAATGCACTTGGCCAGTTGACATCAAAGGTGGGTCCTGAGGCTGAAAAGGATGATTTTGATTTATCAGCACTGGGTGGGGACGCTAACCTGGGCTCCCGATTCTTCTCTGATAAGCACCACATTATTATCTTGCTAGGCCTGAGAATGCTCTTTCATGTTTTGGAATTTGTAGTCAGACAAATGAAGTTTGAATTCTGCCTCTGCTCTTTTCTATCTGGGAGAGCCCAGGCAGGTATTGTAACTTTTGAGTAGCTTAGTTCTATCTTATGTAATGTGGAAATAATGATACGTAACTCATGGTTTATAGGCAGAAGTAAATGAGAAACCATCTATAGTACTCAGGACTCATCTTGGCACACTGTGTTTATTCAATAAATACCAGTGATTATTATATATTGCTCTTCATTTACAAAGGAAGAAAGTGCAGGGCATAAAGGGACCTCACTTGATGTTTCATAAAGACACATCATGGAGGAAAGAATAAGAATCAAAGACTTTTAACTTTCACTCTAGGCCAGGGTTTGTTAAGAGACCAATAGCATACGAGTAAGATGCCTGGTGTCTAACTGATCCTCTTGGGGACTCCAGAGAAAATAAGAGGCTATCTACTCTAAGCCTTTTGACTGCTGGAAACCTCCTAGCTGCAGCTTGTGAGCCCTGGGCAGAGTTACAGCCTGCTGCTGTTACTGCCAACCTGGGGGAGTGACAGCATAATTGGATGCCTCTCTGTCTTTTGGCTCAAGACAAGGGCAAGGAAGAATGCCCACCTGCAGGGAGGAAGTAGAGTCCAGAAGACAGAAATTTTGACAAATAGGGAACTCATCTGCCTCTCTCACCAGCTCTGTCCTCATCTTAGATCTGCAAGCCCTCACCTGAGCTCCCTTCCTGAATGACTTGAACCACAGGGACAAATTATGTCCACAAATGGGTCAAAGATAACTATGTGCCACACCAGGAGGGTATGTAGGATTTGTGACCTTTGGATTGCAATTATTTGTTGACAACGCCTTTGGCAATGTGGTTGCTTTAAATGCAAAGCATGTAGCTGAGACATGAGTGTAATTTGGAGGAGAGTTAGATAATTATTGCATCGTTTAAATATTTATATATTTAAAAAAATTTAAATTGTAGAGTGAAAGAAGCAGTGCAAAAGAACATCTAGATCCATAGTTTTCAATACAGTAGCCACTAGCCTCATGTGGCTTTTGAACATTTGAAAGAGCCAGTGGCTGGTCCAGATTGAGTATGATATAAATAGGAGATATGAATATTGAAGAGAGTATAAACATAGAAAAACATTAATTTTAACTATCACATATTGGAAATGATAATATTTTGGATATATGGAGTTAACAGAATATATTATAAAATTCATTTCATCTGGTTTTTTTTTTTAACTTCTTTCAAAGTGGCTACTAGAAAATTTTAAATTACGTATGTGACTCACTTTTGTGGTAGAGTCATTGAAATTTTTTGCAAAGACAATCATGTCATCTGGAAATAAGAGATAGTTTTATGTCTTCCAATCTCCCGGTTGTCTATTTCTTTTATTTGCCTATTGCAGTGGCAAGAACTTTCAGCCTCATGTTGAATGATAGAAATGAGAAAGAATGTCTTTCTTCGTTCCCAATCTTATGGGGAAATCACTCAGTCTTTCATCATTAAGATGATAACTGTAGCTTTTTGTACTTACTCTTTTTTTTTCTTTTGGAGACAGGGTCTCACTCTGTCACCCAGGTTGGAGTGCAGCAGTGCAGTCTCAGCTCACTGCAACTCTGCTACCTGGGCTCAAGTGATTCTCCTATCTCAGCCTCCTGAGTAGTTGGGACTACAGGCACATGCCACTAAGCCTGGCTGATTTTTGTATTTTTTTTGTAGAGACAGGGTTTTGTCATATTGCCCAGGCTGGTCTCAAACTCCCGGACTCAAGCGATCTGCCCTCTTCGGCCTCCCAAAGTGTGGGATTATAGGTGTGAGCCAACACGCCCGGCTGCACTTACTCTTAATCAAACTCATTCCCTTCTTTTCCTAACTTGCTGAGAATCTTTCTAATGAATGAATATTGGGTTTTGCCAAATGTATTTTCTGCATAAATGTATTTGATTATATGCATTTTTCTTGTTTTGCCTGTTGATATGGTGGATTGCATTAATTTCTTTGTAAATCTTGAACCAGCCTTAAATACCTAGAATAAGTCCATTTAATTATGTTGTATAATTCTTTTTAATATGTTATTGGATTCAGCTTGCTAATATTTTGTTGGGGATTTTTGCATCAAAATCTTTGAGAGATATTGTTTTGTAGTCCTTGTTATGTTTTCAATTTTTAATTTTGTATTGTCTTTGTCTAGGTAATATTGCCCTTATAATTATTACTTATATTTAATTTATGTTTTTTAGAGATAGAGTCTTGCCCAGGCTGTGGTGCAATGGCATGATCATGGCTCACTGAAACCTTGATCTCCTGTACTCAAGTGATTCTCCCACCTCAGCCTCCCCAGTAGCTGGGACTACAGGTGTGCACCACCAGGCCTGGCTAATTGTCTTATTTTTTTGTGGCAATAGGGTCTCCCTATGTTGCCTAGTCTGGTCTCAAACTCCTGGCCTCAAGCAACCCTCTTGCCTTGACCTTTCAAATTACTGGTATTACAGGCATGAATCATCACACCTGGCCACTTATTTTTATATGAAAATATTTTCTTCATCTTTTTTCCTCCACCAAATTCTTGTTGTAGGCTATTTTGTACCTCACATTTTATAATCAAATATGTTATTTTTAATTGTGGACTTTTTAAAGAAATTAAATTTAAAAACTTTCTATCAGTGTATATTGTCTAATTTATTGTTTGTCATTCAACAGTAAAACAGGATTATTAGCTCTCCATGACCCAGCCTAGTTTGAAGATCAAAATCCAGGGTATCTACAGATCCGCTCCAGCTCCCCAAAGTCATCCATCATGAGGTGTGGGTGCAATGGCTCATCCTCCTATAACCTTCCTCATTTATCATGACATCTTGGACTCCAAATCATCGCTTTGTGCAGGTGTAACTTATGTTCTTTGGTTTACTGTAGGAAACAAAAAAACACTACAGGAGAGGAAGCAATAGCAAACATTCAGTGAAACTAAGTCATATGCTTTTAATGAACCCCTTGTTTGTAAAGACAGATCAGTCAAATGCCCCCTAGGCAGACTATTTATATTTATGTTACCACTATCCAGGGTCTGGAATTGAAGATTTATGTGCTATGCTAAACACAGAACAAAACTAATTACCCAGCAGGTGAAATTTTTATGACAACAAAGACCTCAATATTTGGTCTGCTGGCAGTATTCCAATACTGATGGACAACTGTATAAAGATTTATAAAGATTCTGATTTCTCTGAGTTTAATGGATTAACTCTTGACAGTACCTGTGTATTTATCTCTGTGTATCTATGTGTGTATATGTGTCTGTGAATCCATGTACTCAAATATTCTACAAATACTGGACCATAAAATTATTTTGATGTTGTTTTTGAAAATCATATTCTGATACTTCAATAACTGAACAGTATATGTGTGATTTCCACACATAAATTTGATAAGCTTCTATTGGAGAGCTTTTATAAAAATACAGATTCTTGATATCCGTTGCTAGAAATTCTGATTCAGTAAGTCAGGGGTGGAGGTCCAAAAACCATATATCACGTGTGTCAACAGCACCCCAAAACTTTTTATGTGTGGTTGCCCAGAATTGCTTTGATTTTTAAATCAGTTTGTACTCTATAGAGTTAATAAACAAAACTACAAGCTCACTGTACAAAAAAAGAGAGGTTTTCTATTTTACCTTTCAGATTACTAGATTCCCAAACCCCAGCTCATCTGCTTTTAACTCTTTTAGCTATTAATATTTCATTTGGCATTTAGACACTTTAAAAAATTATGTTCACACTAGTTGTCCTGGTTTTCTTCTTCTTTTGACATTGTCTATTATGCAAAAGGAGAATTTAGCTCACTTAGAAACCACGGACCTGCTTTTTCTTGTACTCCTGTCATTCTTCCAATGTTGTTTTATCACAATTTTTAAAAGATCAGCCATGAGTATTTTCATGATTACAACTCTTTAAATATGGTTCACGGTGGAGGAATGTAATAAACTATTTTATGTTTTTGCGCAGCCCTGTGTTTTTTAAGGCAGGTAATACTTTTACTCATTTGTTTAGTTTGGTACAGATAGCTATCACACATTCTTCCCCTTCAGTCACCTACAGAATTACATACTTCTTCTCAATAAGGCCAAGCACATTAAATAATTTATTAGTTCGGTTTTTTCCCTTGGAGTCCTCATGTTTACATCCCTTCATCCTCCTGTTCCAATAGGAATTCGTTGTTGTCTAGGTCTGCCATATCGTGAAACCTCCCTTTAATCATTATTTTGGAGATTCTCTGGCCACTCTCTGTTATTTGGATCCTCCCTCATTCCAGTGAAGTATATTTAACAGATTTTTTTTTTTTTCCAAGACAAGATGCCTTGGAGGTATATTGTGAAGACTGTGTTTGTGATCAGGTCTTAATTTTGCCTTCATGCTTGATTGATAACCAGGCTTATTAGAAATGTTTAGTTAAATATCATTTTCTGTCAAAATTTCAAAGACATAATTTCATTATTTTTTACTTTTCTTGGCCACAAAAAGTCTGATGTTATTCTGCTTTACAAGCATTACATGCAGGGAATTCCTCTCTCTCTGTCTCATTCTCTTAAAAAATTTCTTCTACCCTACTTTCTCTGAATTTTGACCTCTTAAATCAATACTCAAATCTTACCTTTAAAGTTCCATTTTCTATGTATTTTCCGTTTTATTTGAATTTGTGAGAGAATTCTCAATTTTACCTTTTAAACCCTTCTATTAAGTTTTATTTCAAACATCATAATTTAATAACCAACAGGTCTTTCTTATTCTCTTATTTTAAAAAGAATGTGTTATTATTTGATGGATGTTCTATCTAATCTCATCTCCCTGAAGATATTATAATAGTGTAGTTTGAACTTTTTTTCTGCTTCTTATATTGCCTTAATTTTATTTTTTTCCTTCTCTTTGTTCATTATGCACTTTGTCTTTAATGTGAAATTTCTGTAAGTGCCTGTTCATCGTTTGTTGTCCATCAGTTCTTAAGTATGTGGAACTAGAAGCTCTGTCAGCCTGTGTGGGACCTGACGGACTTTACCATACAGGAAGCTCTACTCAACCCAAGGAGATTTTGCCCACACAGGAAATCTGGTAGTGTCTAAAGCCATTATTGATGGTCACGATTGGGTTGGGGTTGCTACTGGTATTTAAGGGACAGAGGCCAAGTAATGCTGCTAAGCATCCTACAACATTCAGAACAGTCCCACAATGAAGCATTATCCAGCTCTGAATATCACTGATGCCACTCTTGATAAACCCTAAGGTAGAGTGATCAGGAAGTAAGTTCCCTGCTGCATTCTTCCACAGGTTACTGTATACAGGACTTTTTTCCCTTGTGTCTATTTTTACAAAGCAGAATTTTCTGAACTCCTGCCTACAGTAGGTGAGTCAAATAATATTTTAGACATAATGTTATAGTAGCACCATGATTCAAAAAGCATGTTTATTGTCAATTCAAAATTTTATGTACTATAATTTATTTCAGACATAACTGTGATTATTTACGGTACATTTCTCACATCCCACTCCAAATAAAAACAACTTTTCTGGGCCTCTATTCATTTAGCATTCTATATTTCCTAAAAATGTTCATAAATACATTAAATCTGACCTTTTAAAAATGAAAACACTTTTATACCATTTACTAGAATAAATACGTAAAATTCTGGGCTTCAACTTGAGAAGTAATAATCAGCTCTGCTAGTTCTATCACAGTAAACACAATGAAATGTGTAAACACAATGAAATGTGTAAACACAATGAAGACAAGCAGATTTCAGCAAGGGCACTAATTTTGCAAACACTGGGAACCTCAAACATCACTTAAAGGAGGATATGATTGCATAAATTATGGGGCATATATGTGAGAAAATGCCATTCATTCATTAACAATAGAAGTTTTTGAATTAATGACATAAGAAATGTGTGTCCCAATATTAAGTGAAAGATGCATAGTAACTTTGAAACAAATCTTGGAAATATTTTTCAAAATAAAATATGCGTATATTCTTTGACCAAGTCATTCCAGTTTTCACAAATCTATAGTGTGGCATGACCCCCAAATGTGCAAATATGTTTGTATAAAGATCTTCACCATCGTTTGTGACGATGGCAAAAGCCACAGCCCTAATGTGTCTTGGTAGGCTTGTTAGATAAAGCACAGAAACCAGGGTACTTGCATGCAATGCCCTGGACAGTGGTCATTTAGAAGAACAAGGATGACTGACATCTGCTAAGAAGGGAGCACATTCCATGTTTATCATCAGTACCAAAAGAGTTTTTACTTTTTTTTTTTCTTTTAAGATAGGGTCTCCTTCTGTTGCCCAAGCTGAAATTCAGTGGCACAATCACTTTTCACTATAACCTCAACCTCCCAGGTTCAATCAATCTCCCATCTCAGCCTCTGGAGTAGCTGGGACTAGGCAAACACAGTAGGTGGTATAGGTACACACCACCAAGCCCAGCTAACTTTTGTAATTTTTTGTAGAGACAGGGTCTTGAACTCCTAAGCTAAAGTGATCTGCACCTGCCTCAGCCTCCCAAAGTGCTGAGATTACAGGTATGAGCCACTAAGCCAGAATTTTTACATGTTTAATTGTTTTTAATTGCTTTCATTTTTTTTTTAAAGGAAGCACATGAAACTGCACCTGCTATTACCTCTGGGATGTGGAATGGAAGTTAGAAACAAAATTTCTACTTTTCAATTTAGCCCATTAGTTACTGTTTGACATTTTCACAATGAGCATTATTTTTATTATTAACAATAAATCACAGTCTGGAAACTTGGCCATGGTAGTGGTGGGTAAAGATGGGGGACTTTTGGATCTAAAATTGGGAAGTGAAAACAAAAGAAGTGGGGATGACACTTCTGATGAACTGAGCAAGTACAAAATAATGAAGACGTCAAAGATTACGGCATGTCATTAAAAAGCATGTTGAAATAACAGTATGGCACACAAAATTCAAATGATGTTTTGAAGTGTTATTCTTGCAAAAGAAAACAAATTTTGAGCTTTGTATTCAAAATTGGTTCTGACATTTCTTGTCACAAAAACTCTAGGTATATATAGAGTAGAGAAAAACAAATTTCATCAAACAAAGTACACTTGAATATCTACGTGGCCTTTTGAGTCCTGCACTCAGTTTGGCTCTTTCAAATGTCTAATTCATTCAGCATGTGAGCCTCACATATTTGTTTGAACCCAGTGGATGGTCAATAGATTTGTATTCTGTCCTTTATGTCATCATTAATAAATTACATACAAAACATTTGGGAACAAAAAGTCTAATGACATTTTTAGTATACGCTCAATAACCTTTTGGAAAACACTCCATGTCTCTTGTTTCTGGGTGCAGGTAGTGACTTTTAAATCTGTTAGAATTTAGAAGCATTGAAGACCACTTAGCTTGCCTCTTAGTGTGGAGCTGCTTTAGTGAATTAGAATAAAAGATCCTTAGAGACAACAGCTATAAAGCTGTTTCACAATGAAAGCAAAAGAAGCGATACGACAGATGAATAAAGAAAACATAAACTAAGCTTAAAAAATAGAACAAAGTGAAGAAAAATAAAGAAAGGAGAAGATGAAGAGGACCAGGCAGAAAAGGGATAGGAGGGCTGAAGAGAGGAGGAAGGGACAGAAACTCCTAGTGTGTACCTAAGTTACCCCTAGAAAAGTGAATCTGTAGCTTCATTATTCCATCACCACGACTTCAGAAAAAGCTACGAAGGGCCAGGCACGGTGGCTCATGCCTGTAATCCCAGCACTTTGGGAGACTGAGGCAGTTGAATCACCTGAGGGCGGGAGTTCAAGACCAGCCTAACCAACATGGAGAAACCCCATCTCTACTAAAAATACAGAATTAGCCAGGCATGGTGGCGCATGCCTATAATCCCAGGTACTTGGGAAGCTGAGGCAGGAGAATCTCTTGAACCCGAGAAGCAGAGGTTGCAGTGAGCCTAGATCATGCCACTGCGCTCCAGCCTGGGCAATAAGAGTGAAACTATGTCGAAAGAAGAAAGAAAGAAAGAAAGAATGAAAGAAAGAAAGAAAGAAAGAAGGAAGGAAAGAGAGAAAGAGAGAGAAAGAGAGAAAGAGAGAGAAAGAGAGAGAGAGAGAGAAAGAAAGAGAGAGAAAGAGAGAAAGAGAGAGAAAGAGAGAGAGAAAGAGAGAGAAAATGAGAGAGAAAAAGAGAGAAAAAGAGGAGAGAAGGAGAGAAAGAAAGAAAGAAAAGACAGAAAGAAAGGAAGGAAGGAAGGAAGGAAGGGAAGGAGAAAGAAAGAGCTAGGAAGTAGGTGATGACGGGAGAGAAAGTAAGTTTCAAAAAAGAAGGTATGGGAAAAGGCATCTGAAAAGATCTGTGAAAACAACAAAACTGGAAGAAAAGACACCAAAGCATTGTATAGCTTCCAGAATTTTTCCCCAGTGAACATCGATGTTTTCCTTTAAGGTGATTTCTGAGGAATGTTGCTGACCACACAGATGATGACAACTGTATACCAGGCTCTCTTGTCTGAGACATATTTACTTTTTGTTTTGCTGTATTTTAAATAAGTTTTTATGCACTTACCTTAGAAACTGTCATTTAAAAACAAACAAACCTCTGTCTTTTCAGGCCCCATTTTGAGTAGAATCCTGTTAGAAGCCTGTTACAAAGCGGTATAATGTGGATGGATCTGTGATGCATTCTTTTTCCCATACCCTTCTTCTTGAAACCTTTTTTCTCTCCCTTCATCACCTACTTCCTGGCTTTTTTAGAAATCCTGATGATACAATAATGAAGCTGTAGGATCACTTTTCTAGGGGTAATTTAGGTACACACTAGGAGTTTCTGTCCCTTCCTCCTCTCTTCAGCCCTCCTATCTCTTTCCTGCCTGGTCCTCCTCATCTTCGCCTGTCTTTCTTTTTTCTTCACTTTGTTCTATTTTTTAAGCTTAGTTTCTGTTTCCTTTATTCACCTGTAATGCATTGCTTCTTTTGCTATCATTGTCAGGAAACAGCTTTGAAAAGGTTTCAAGAAGGAAGATATGGGAAAAGGAATGCACCACAGATCCGTCCACATTACACCTGCTTTCTAATAGGATTCCAACAATATTCTACTCAAAATGAGGCCTGAAAAAACAGAGGTTTGTTGTTTGTTTTTAAATGATGGTTTCCATGGTAAGTCCATAAAATCAAATTTAAAATACAGTGAAATGAAAAGTAAATATGTCTTAAACAAGACAGCCTGGCATACAGTTTTCATCACCTGTGTGGGCAGCAAGATCCCCCAGAAATCACCTTTCAAGGGAAAACATTGACGTTCACTTGGGGAAAATTCTGGAAGCTATAAGATGCTTTGGTATCTTTTCTTCCAGTTTTGTTGTTTTCACAGACCTTTTCCGACTCCTGAGTCCACTAAAGTTTCTCTACAAATAAATATTTTTACTGGTCTTTATTTTTCTTTATATCCATTTTTATGGAGCATATATTTCTACCCTGGTACTTGCCAAGGCAGTCCTGGAGGGCCATTAAATTATGCAACCGGGACCTAAATACATACCAGGTTAAGCCTAGTGAGAAATGCCATCCAATATTTCTGATCTCATTTCTCCCCTTTATTCATTTACTCTTTCTTTCAACAAAACTGAAGCTCTGCTAAGTGGTATGGAAGAAAAGAGTTTGCTCTGGAATAATGAAATAGGAAAGCATTGATATTGATTGTGGTGGTGGGAAGAACTGAGATACAGTGTGTGGATAAGTTCTTACTACCGGCATGATATTTAAGCTGAAAATTAAAACAGAGTCTTTTATTCCATAGGAACTAGGAGTTACTTGAGAAAGTTTTGAGTCTGGTAGTAAATTGGGAAGCAGTGTGTATCCTAGCGTATAGCACTCTTAAGTGTAAACCCCTGCCCATGTTAAAAGCAGAATAGAGTTCTATATGGACATATAAAATACATGTACATCTTTTTCTGCTAATAAAAATAACTCATATCCATTGTAGGAAAACATAAACAAACATTAAAAAATCTATATTCAAACCCTCCACAGCTAGTAACCACTAACTTAATTACACTGTATTTTCTCACAATCTATTTTCAAGGCATATTTCCCCCCATAACTGAGTATAATTTATATATTTTTATGTAATATAGTGTAAACTGCACTTTTGCAGATCCTTTAAAACTAGGACTGTCAGGTTGAGCAAATAAACATACAGAACATCCGGATCCATTTCAATTTCAGATAAATAATGAATAATTGTTTAGTTTATGCCCTATGTTCCTCATAATATTTGGGACATGCTTATACTAAAAAGTTACTCATTGTTTATCTGAAATTCAAATGCAATTGAGCATTGTGTATTTTACCTAGCAACCCTGTTTTAAACACATAATAGTGTATTAAATTTCTTCATATATTAGATTACATTTATATATCATGTTGTGTACATATCCATTCCCTCTGTTAGAAATACACATTTCTGTTTTTTTAATTGAGATAAGTATTGCAACATTTTATATGATTTTCCCAAGAGAAATGACTAAAAATGAAATGATTAGGCCCAACAGCAGGAACAAGATTTTCAATTTGCGATATCAATTGCCAGTTTATATTGCCTTTATCTTTCCTTTGTTAGCATTATACTTACTTTGTACAAATCTAGCCAGTTTAGAAGATGAACAATAGAACACTTATTTTACACTAAATAAAATGTTTTACATTTTAATAATTTTATTAAATTATTATAAATAATACATATAACATATTTTATTAAATACATTACATTTAATAACTTTATGTTAAAATACGCCATTTCATTGTATACATTTTAAAGCAATCAGCAAATTTCTGTTTCACAACTCAGACCTATTGCATCTTCTCTGATCTGTAAGTTTCCATTTGATAGACCATCGTTTGTCTATTCAGAGCTTCTTCATACTTCACTTAGCTTTTTCCTAAATCCAGTCTAGTTTTCTGTCAACCTCCACAGTAGAACCAGAATTATATTTATAATATAAATCTGATCATATTCATCTATTCTTTAAATGCTTCTTTGACCTGCCTCCTTCCACCCCACTAACAATGGGCTCACGGTTAAATGCCTTTGAGACGTAAACTTTTGGGTACCTGGCTGATCTAGTTTACCGGCTTACCTCCTGCCCTTCACCTATCACATTTCAGTCACATGAACTGACTTGCAGCTCTCAAGTTCTGGCCGTGTCACAGATCAAGGTGCCTTGCAAATGCTTCTGACTCTGCCTGAAAGCACTTCTACCTCCGGTCTGTCCTTCAGGGCTGGGCAGGATTGCTGCTTTGCTGCAATCCCTCTTCTGCTCTCCCTGGATAAGGCTGGCCCCACATGTCCACCTGACTTGCATTCTTTCTCTTCTGTAACTAGACACAAGCTTCCAGAGGGCAGGGATTGCATCCTAGTCCTTCGGTTTCATGGTCTAGTAAAATGCCTGGAGCATGATAGGTGGCCAATTTACAAAAACAACAATAATAAAACCAGCATTTATAGAACACTTAAAATTGTGAAGCATCCTGCAAAGCCCCCTTTATCTGTATTAATTCACTTCATTCTTACACAAACCCAACGAATTAGGTATCATATTCTCCACTTACTTTATATGTGATGAAACTGAGTCTAAGAGAGATTAAACAACTTGTTTAAGTAGCTATTTATGTACAGTTTAGAAATGGAAAAGCTAGAATCTGACTGAGTTCGACCTAAAATTTTCACTATGTAAGTGGACCGGGAACAGAAAGATCTGGTCTCTACCACGAAGGAGCTTTCAGTGAAAATCAGGAAGAGACATAAATATGGATATGTATCTGGTGATTTAAGGCAATGTATGCTGTTGTAAAGGAGGGAAAAAAAGAAAGGACCCTGGACTCAAAGTTTTGAATCGTAAGTCCTTGTGTTTTCTCAAGACCTGCACACTGGAAGAAATAAGGAAAAGTGACTACTACCAAAAGCCAATCTTTTTAATTTTTTTTTTTTTTTTTTTTTGAGACAGGGTCTTGCTCAGTCACTCAGGCTGGGGTGCAGTGACACGATCTCAGCTCACTGCAGCCTCAACCTCCCAGGCTCAAGCTATCCTCCCACTTCAACCTCCCAAGTAGCTGGGACAACAGGCATGCTCCAGCATGCCTGGCTAATTTTTGTATGTTTTGTAGAGAGTGGGTTTCGCCTTGTTGCCCAGGCTGGTCTTGAACTCCTGAGCTCAAGCAATCCATCCACCCCAGCCTCCCAAAGTGCTGGGATTACAGGCATGAGCCACCATGCCAACCAAGGGCCAATATGTTTAAAATGACAAATAAAAACTGTAAATATTAATGGTGTACGACATGATGTTTTGCTATATGTATACATTGTGGATTGTCTAAATCAAGCTAATTAAAATATGCACGCTCTCACTTCTTTTTTTTTTTTTTTTTTTGAGACGGAGTCTCGCTCTGTCGCCCAGGCTGGAGTGCAGTGGTGCGATCTTGGCTCACTGCAAGCTCCGCTTCCTGGGTTCACGCCATTCTCCTGCCTCAGCCTCCCGAGTAGCTGGGACTACAGGAGCCCGCCATGACGCCAGCTAATTTTTTGTGTTTTTTAGTAGAGACGGGGTTTCATCATGTTAGCCAGGATGGTCTCGATCTCCTGACCTTGTGATCCGCCCGCCTCTGCCTCCTGCTCTGACTTCTTAACACGCAAATTATACAGCATCTCTTTTGTATGTGGATATAACTCAAAGTCGCCTCAGCCTGGTGCCACAGAAACACTGAGGAAGAATAAACCCTGTATTAGTCTGTTCTCACACTGCTGATAAAGATATACTTAAAACTGAGTAATTTTTAAGAAAAAAGAGGTTTGATGGACTCACAGTTCCACGTAGCTGGGGAGGCCTCACAATCATGATGGAATGTGAAAGGCACGGTCTTATATGGTGGCAGGCAAAAGAGAAGCTTGTGCAGGGAAACTCCCCTTTATAAAACCATCAGATCTCATGAGACTTACTCATTATCATGAGAACAGCATGGGAAGACCCACCCCCATCACTCAATTACCCCCCACTGGGTCCCTTCCATGACACATGGTGATTACAGGAGCTACAATTTGAGATTTGGGTGGGGATGCAGCCAAACCATATCAAACCCAATATATTTGTGGCCAGTTAGGAAAGGCTTCAGAGAGGAGATGGAAGGTACCAATAAGATTGAGACGAAAGTGGACAGCTTCTGAGGATGAGAAATGAGGTTAGAGCTAAAGTATGTTTAGGGACTTGTAACTAACTATTTACATAAATTGAAAGTCATTGAGGAGAGAATTTGGAAGTACAGGAAAAAAGGAATTAAAGAATCTTTGAGGTAAAAAGAGCCTTAGAAATCTCATAGTTTGTTTCCTGAAATGGACTATTTGGAAACCCAGGTTTGTGGAGATATTAAAAGGCATCTCATGATGTACATTTCCTATAATGAAGTCGTTTAATTAGTTTAAATAGCATTCCAAAAGCTTTTGCACATCAGGACTTCTCAGGGATTTTAATATGTTAAAATCTCCTGGAACCCCACATAAAAGTAATTGGGCATTTCTGTGTTTAAGAGTTCAGAGCCCTCAGTCTGGCATACCAGGGCTCAGATCTCTGCTTTGACACTTAACAGGGGTGTAAACTTGGATATATTTCTTACCTTTCCGAAGTCTTGGTTGGTTTTCTTATCTGTAAATCAACCACATAGAGCTGTGAGGGTTAAATATTATAATGTGTGTAGTGCTCTTGGTTTCCGGCACAAAGAAAATTCCTAACAAATGTTAGCTCTTTTATGATTATATTGTTCTTCATTTCTAATATGATTGGTCACAAGGACCTTTTTTATTATGAAGCATCTAGCAGGACAGTGTTTCTCAGGATATACACTGGAAAATATTGATCTAGTTTATTGCCTTTGAGAAATGTTGGGTCCTGTTTTGAAGGGCCTTGAATGTCAGAACAAGTTTAGATTTTATCCTGTAAAAAATTGGAAAGTTTCCAACTGACCATATTAAAATCTGCGTTTTAGGACAGTGGTCTCCCGCCTTTTTGGCACCAGGGACTAGTTTCGTGGAAGACAATTTTTCCACGGATGGCAGAGGCTTGTTTCGGGATGAAACTGTTCCACCTCAGACCATCAGGCATTATTAATTAGATTCTCGTGAGGGGCGCACAACCCAGATCCCTCACATGTCCAATTCACAATAGGGTTCCCTCTCCTATGAGAATCTAATGCCGCAGCTGATCTGAGAGGAGGTGGAGCTCAGGCGATACTGCGAGTGACGGGGACTGACTGTAAATACAGATGAAGATTCGCTCACTCGCCTGCCACTCACTGAGGCCCAGTTCCTAATAGGCCACATGGCCCGTTGTTTGGGGACCCCTGCTATCGACCACTGAAAAATAATGGGTTTACTCTGAGTAAACGGGAAAGCCATTGGAAGTGGCCATGTTAAATGTTACCCGAGCCCTGTACCCCTGGATATCAGCAATATCAGCAATGATGAAAGAAATCTCTCCATTGTTTCTGTTATTAGAAATGGCTTACTGCATGAACCACCCTTCCCCATAATGACTTAGATAAGGCTTGGGGATGACTTCCTTGTTACCTAGGGCGAGGCCAGATGCAGACCTTCCAAATTCCCATTCTTTGTCTCATACGTGATTAGCTGAACTGTTTGTCCCCATGACCAATCAGAACAAAATGCGAACAATGGAGAGAGGCTATAAATACAGATGAAGCTTCATTTGTTCGTCCGCCGCTCACCTCCTGCTGTGCTTCCCAGTTCCTAACAGGCCAAGGACCCGTACTGGTTTATGGCCCAGGGGTTGGGACCCCTGTTTTAGGAGCATGTATTAATATAACATGATTTGGGTGGGAGAGAATAGAGTATGGACAACCAGTTGGAAGACAAATGCAGTAATTCTGTATGTGGAGAGAAGACCCAGAACTGGGATGGTAGAAAGTAGTGGGAGGTTGAATGTGAGAGACAGAATAAAGCTCCAAATGGAGAGAACTTAGTGACTGATTATCCGTGGGTCATCTGGGTTCCACATTTTTTGAACCATATCAGCCATGTTGATTCATGATTACATTTTAAAAGCCTATTTCAAAGTTTCAGAAACGATTTCCAAAATGACTATTTATTAAGAATGCTTATGGTGTTAATTTTGTTATTTTTTCATCAGAGATCATATATAATAGTTTCAGGGTTTTTTTTTTTTTAATATGTGTGTGTGTATGCGTGTGTATGCAAACATTATTTATTTTGTCAATTTCTTTTTCTCATTTTCTCCAAAATAATTAGACTTGCAAAGACTAGATTTATTTTTACCTCAGCACCACTTTATCAATACTCCTTTCTAATTATAGCCTGTCTACCTTAGACATCTGAGGACAAGATTACTGTTTAGTGTCTCTGTAATTGGCCCAAGAAAACACTCCGAGTCCCTGGAGCATCATTTCTACCAGGAAACCTGGTAGAAATGATTACTCTCTTTCTTCATTCAGTGAGGCATTGAAATCAATAATCACTACACATTTCCTAAATGTCAGGAGTCTCATCCTAGGATATAAGGGAGAGCTGGATTTTGCTCCAAAGTGGTCTTGTTTTCAATTTCTTTCCACTGCTTGCAATGGTCCATTTTTTACTAGTTGTCACCCCTGTTGGTAAAGCCCAATACCTTTGCACTCAGCTGCAACAGCATTTCCTACGGACTTCAGCAACCACAATGATTTACGCCTGGTATCCTTAGGGGCTTCCACTGAGGGAAGCACCTGGAAACAATGCCTCTCAGCAGTTCCTCCTCTCCTCTTTTTTCCCCCTTCTCTTCTTTTTAAAGAAATTTATGTAGAGCCCACCATGACCCAAATACCATACTGAGCCCTTCATATGTTTATTTTAGTTTAATCTGCTTACAACCTTTCAAGGTAGTAATTATGATGTACTCTTTGCAGAAAAGAAAACTGAATCTCAGAAATATCCATCGGGATTTTGGAGTCTGGCTGACTCAAAAACTCATGCTTTAACTCCTAAAAACCTCCTCATGTTGGAGGTTCTTTGTTTTAGCTCATAATTGTCTTCTTTATGAAAAATTTTGATAGTCCCTGCTGGAAAAGCTGGAATATCTGTCTGATCTCTCAGCCCTCTAGAAGGTCCAGGTTGTCCTGAACACTCTACTTAATGCAAGCACGTGAGCTCCCACTGTTTCATGAAATGGTGATATAATTCTTAAAGGGCACCTTTGTCAACTAGGCACAGAGTCACACCTAATGGTTGTTTGTTTGTTCTTATTACACAATCCCAAGGGGAGGAGATAGATATGTGTGTGTGTGTGTGTGTGTGTGTGTGTGTCTTTCCTGGCTGTTGTTAACTACTAGGTACTTGGGTTTTGGGTAGACATCTGGATCTAGTTTTTTTAATATAAAAATATTGTTAATAATACCTACCTCATAGGATCATTGGGCCATTTCATAACAGCTTATTGAAAGTGCTTAGTGTGATATCTGGCATGCACTGAGTAATCAGTAGCAGCTAATAATCTCTCTTTCCCTTCTCTTTTTCTTTACATCAAATACATTATTTCTTAGGAAATTATAGGAATATATTTGTGTCTCATTGTCCCAAGTTCTGAATGCTGTAATTATCTTGATTCCACAGATGCTTTGACGATACCAGAATCTACCCCCTACTGGTGTACATTTTTCATCATTTTATTCATTTTTTTGCAAATTATATTCAGCATGCATGATTTTTATGCTGCTTTTTCTATACATGTTGCTGCTATTCACATTGCATCGCCCAGGGAAATGTAATCTGTTGGGATTACACCCACGTTATCCTAGTGCTATTAAATCACGTAGTTATGCTTTTAGGCAGTTTCATCTAATATGTTCTTTGGAGTTCATTTTGGACTCAGATTTGGAAAGTCTTGTAAGCGTGCTTTATTTTTTTACAGAATCTAGAACATTTTGGAGAATTCTTAACTTTTACCACATACATAAACTGAATAACTAAAGTTAGGCAATTCGTTTGGCTTTTGGGAAATAATTAGGGTTCATCAGCTATGCTTCCTAGAAGAATCACTGAACCAAAAATATACTCTACCTGATAAATTACAATCTACTTAATAACCTGCAAATTAGCAAGCATTAGCTCAAAGGATGTAAATAAAATGAGTTCCAAAAATAAGAGGCTTAAACACAAAATGACAGCTCAAAAGATGTATGGTGAAAAGTATACTTTCAACTATATTTAGAATAAAAGTTTGCTAAAATATTTCTAAGGCTGATCTTTTAGAAATCTGTATCTCCATATGCCATGACAAAGATCAATATTTATTTATGCTTTTACAATAAAAAGCAGTATTGTCTTTCTCCTCTAGGGCCTGCAGTAATAAAATATTTTACAGCTCCTTTATATTTTATAACTTTAAATTTTCATTGATGCTAGGCAAGGAATAGTGTAGAGATGTAGTCTTCTTTGTGAAGGACTTTTAATCCTTAATTAATCATTTATATAAATCTATTGCAGAGTGGCCTTTGGAGGATTAATGAGGAAATGTTTCAAAGTATTTTCTCATTAATTCTCAAAATCTTGGATAACAGGCTTTAGACAAAATAAGAACGATTATATTACTATTGTTCACAAAAAGAAAGCTAGAGTATCAAGTAATTCCTTAACTAAATTTTATAGAATGAAATATATAAATCACTAAGAATTTAATTATTAAGACTAAGTGCTACCCAGATCACAAAGTATCTCATGCTGTATTACAGACCATGAGTTAGATTCTTTTCACAACTTTGCAATGAATCATACTGGAAACACTTGGTAGCAGATATAACCCCTATTATTCTTTTATGTTGTCAGTATTGTTTAAAATGTCAAGAGTTTATTCTTAACATGATTATTGGAGTAAATAGTATTCAATCTAACTTAAAGCTTTTTATTTTGTGGCGGTGTCTCAGTTAGTTGAGAATCATGAAATCAAGTGTAAAAGTAGTGTAACTGAACACATAGCACTTTGTACCTTTTGTGTATGTGGGAGACAGAGAGATGAGAAAGTCACCTTCTCCATGCTCCCCAATCGAGTAAGAAAATCAGTCCTGGCAAAATAGCTTGAATACAAGACCAATGAAAAAACACGATAAAAGAAGTAGGAAAGAACACTTTTGAATATAGGTGGAATGTGGGGAGATTAATTATGCCTAGGAGGCACTATGGGAAGAGTTTTTGGAGAAAATATTTGAAAAAGGTCCTTAGGAATAGATAGCAGTTCTGTAGAGACAGGCTGAAGTAAGGGTATTTCTCCTTGAAATGAATGAGAGCGGAGAGATTAGAAAGTACAATTTAGAGAATGGAATTGGTAGGAAAAGAGGAAAGTGGTCTGACTAGTGATTAAATGACTGCATTTGCTTGGTTTGTAGGTAGAAGACAGCAGGCAAAAGAGGTCACCTATAGCCTCAGCAAGGGTTAATAAGGAAGTGAGGTTGAGGTGACTCAGAAGGTCAACGCAAAAAGCATTTATTGAGCACCTATTGTATGCTTTTGCTAGGAGATGGAGACAAGAATGTAAAGGAGGTTAGAGTGCAATGTGAATGGTGCTATGATGGAAGTAAGCCTAGGGTACCAAAGAAACCTTCAGGTGGAGCACCTCATCTGGAATGGGGATGAAAGGAGCAGTCAAAGTAAAATGGAAGAAATCAAAGGAGAAGATGGAATGAAGAGACTTCAAAGGGGAAGCAACAGGATTTAGCCACTGCTATAGACTGAATGGTTGTGTTTCATACGTTGAAATCTTAATCACTAATGTAATATTATTAGGAGGTGGGGTCTCTGGGAAGTAATGAGGTCATGAAGGTGAAGGCCTTATGAATAAGATTAGTGTCTTTGTAAAAAAGACCCTAGAGAGCTCCCTCAATCCTTCCATCACATGAAGACACATCAAGACTAAGAAGGCCACCTACAAAGCACGAAGTGGACCCTCACCAGTCACCAAATCTGCCAGCACCTTGATCTTGGACTTCCCAGCCTCCGAATCTATGAGAAATACATTTCTATTGTTTATAAGTCACCGATTTTTATGGTCCTTTGTCATGGGCCCTCACCAGTCACCAAATTTGCCAGCGCCTTGATCTTGGACTTCCCAGCCTCTGAATCTATGAGAAATACATTTCTATTGTTTGTACGTCACTCGTTTTATGGTCCTTTGTCATAGCAGCTCGATTAACTAAGACAGCCACTCAATGGTTGAAAGAGGAGCAGGACAGAGAGGAGTTAAAGATGAGTCTAAACATCCTGGTCTGAGCAGGAGGGTCTAAGCTTGTCAATCCTGTTAATGGAATTAGGCAGCATAGAAGAAGGAACAACTTTCAGTAGAAGACAGAGGGCTCAGCTCTGCACATGGGTTTGAAACAATAGCGGGGAAGCTATTAGAAATTTCTAAAAATGCTGTTGGAATTGGTGGTCTGGAGTTCTTAGGGAAGTCAGGTATAGAGGTATCTATGTTAGAGTGATCAACAGAGAGAAAGAGCTGCCAACTGTGGTACCCAGGAGAAGCAAAAGAGTAAAGAGGGAGCTGTCAAAGGGGAAGAGTTAGTGAAAGGCATCCAGAAGGGACTTGTATTACACTGGCTACCAAATTGTTCAGGTTCACGAGATACATGGAAGAAACTACTAGATAGCTAGGTATGCATTTAAATGTACCTAAGTATATCTGACCACTTTAAGAGAAAGTATTTTCTTTCCTATTTTTGTTTTAATTAGTTGTATTTAGAGTTGGCTCCAGGGTTTTACTTATCCTCTTAAAACCTGGTAATTGTAACGTTGATTCATGATTTCTTTGTTATTGCTGTTTTTTTCCCCTATAGTTAAAACTAGTAGAACAATTAGCAGTCCCGATCTTCCATCTAAAGACATTTTAGGAAAAACGGTAGCTCTTTAAGGAGCTAGTTTATTAAAAAGAAAGAGGATAATAAGGCCAAGCAATTTTGCAACTGTCTTCTGCTTATTTCCCTGAGATGAAAGATAATAACAACCTCTTCACACAGCCCCAGTTCTTTGATTTTTTTTTTAACAAATGCTTAACATCAAACAGGAGATGAAGAAAACCTCAAGCCAACCATCTTAAAGGCCTATTAGCATTTAACCTCTTAATATTTTGTGGTGAAAAGAGTTTACATATGCAATTGTTACAGTAATAGTTCCCTGAAGCCCCTGGGGGCCTTCATATTATGGTGGGACTACAGAGTTTCAGAATACGATTTGTATAATAACCCTAATCAGAAAAATAAATTACTCACGCTTCACTGTATTTCAAACATAGCACTAATTCACCTCTGATGTAATCAAATATTGAGGTGCTAAACACAAAAAAACCTCAAGTCTATATTATTCAGTGTACCATTTATATCCCTTAAGTATTGACAGGAAAGGTATATTTACCTTTTATTTGTCAGCATAAAACTTCCTACACTGTCATTAGAAAAATCTTTACCAACTCATTTCATGTTTCTTTGAATCAGAATGATTTCATTTTTCTGCCAAGGAAATGTTGCCAACTTCAGATGTGCATTAAGAAAAATGGTCTGGCAAGATAGCAAATTCCAATTTCCTATGATCAGAGAATCTTATTACATTCATCCTCTCTCTTCCTTCCTGTTCACATAGGAAGTTAAAAGATGTTTTTAGGTTTGAATTTGCTTAGCTCTACATTCTCATAAATGGAAGGTAATGTTCTGGGAACTGGCCAAACACTAACTACATCTAAGAAATGAAATTCTAAAGCCCAAGTTTATTTCTGGTTGCTATTGAACTTTCCCATTTGTTGTTAAATGTGCAGATTGCCAAGTAGCATATTGTCTGTGACAACTTTACACAATGGTGGAGATCTGCAGATGGAGTGTCTTTTCACATATGATAAATGCCTAATTTAATGCTGATTTGTGGCAATCAGGACAATGCTGCAGGCTCTTTCTGCTCAGGGATGTCTTGATAGTAGACCCAGGAGCAGGGCATGAGCTCAGGCCCAACCATGGGTTTATGACTACAGCAGTGTTGCCCACTGTCCCTCTTAAAACACTTAAGCTGGAAGGGACCATCATCTGATAAGTGCATAGGTGGAAGTCCAGGAAGGCTAGGTGATAAGGTGAAGATCTCTGAGGTTAGTAGTGCCCCAGGTTGGGTGCCACTGAACAACACCAATGTAATTTGTTTTGAGAAGCACCCAGGAGCACAACAATCTCAAGACTAAATTTCTGTGGAAAAGCCTAATCCTGATTTGTTATTACAACCCAGAATAGATCCTGGCACACTGTAAATAATCAATACATGTTTGTAGAATGAAAATTAATTAAAATGATTTAAAGTACTCTGAACCACTTGTAAGTTTTGCTAGCACTTTCCCTCTTAGTATAGCTTTGCCTTATTTCTCCTGTAATTTATGTCCAATTTATTTGCCTAATCTGAGTGCTAGATAGCTTCCTATTGGTTCTAAAATGCAGTTGGGTATATATGTAATCATGCTTATTGAAGATTAACTTAACTGGATTAAAAATGGTATTTTATTTTCATAAAATTTCAATAAAATAAAACAAAATAAAATGGGCTCCAGAGTTTGGAGATACTCAGTTTTTAAAGAATTAAGAATCAGAGAGGCTGAGTCGCTTGCTCCAGACCACACAGCAGATAAGTGTCTTATTCCATGCAAGGGTCAGATTCATCTAACACATGTATCTGGAACTCTATTGGAAATGTTTACATATAAAAATATGGCTTATCCCTTACTGGGTCCCTCATTTTATAGATCAGGAAACCAATGTCTAAAGTGGTTAAGGCATGAGTAGAAGGTTGACTGGTTAATAGAGGTGAAATTGGCATATGAACAAGATTCTTCAATTCCCTGTCCCTTTCTTCTTCTACTGCACCATGACTCCTTTGGCTAGAGTGGGAACTCAGTACTCTTACATGTGTTGGAATCATCCCTTGATATAAAAGACTTTTTATATTTACTATCTTTGGCAGTAAAGTGTGCTCCACAATGGTATTCAAAATACTATGTAATATTTAATTTGTAAAAAATAAAAGACAATCTTTTACAATTGACACATTTCCATTTTCTCCCAACAACCATCCATTTGTTTGCTTTTTCTATTCACTATGCTCGGAGGCAGGAATTCAAAAATTAATAAAACATACTCCTTGGCATCATGGGATTCGTAGAACAGAAAGGAGAACAGATGGTTGGGGTAAAGGTATCTGAGGCAAAGCCTTCACAGATCAGAACAGAGACAAATTAAACAAACAAACAAACAACAGTAACAATAAATAATGACATCAAAAAAAGGCCATAACAGGCATTTGTTGTCCGTTTAGGAAGAGATGGGACTTTTGGGTGGTTTTACTGTTTGGAAAATGAGTTTTGTGGTTTCATTTCTATCCTCCACATTCCATTAATTCCATGGTTCCCTGATGACTACCATATTATTCCTAGGTACCCCTTTTTTGACTTTTAAAA
The DNA here is from genome assembly GCF_000001405.40 of Homo sapiens. NCBI lineage: Eukaryota > Metazoa > Chordata > Mammalia > Primates > Hominidae > Homo > Homo sapiens. Next base: position 29,882,307 of record NC_000021.9, read on the forward strand.
GAGTTTGGCCCATACTTAATGTATTTTTAAACGTTTTAACATTTACTAATATAGAACCTTCTATTGCCTATTTCCTTCTGGTTTATTCCCTTTCCTTCTGTCATTGAAGAAATGGTTCTAGTGGTAGAAATACTCCACGATTGAGAAGAATGTGGGAAGAAAGGAGGGCTGGTGGGTAAGAATTGCTCATGATGTCTCCCTCTGAATTCTGTGCTCTCACAATGACACTCCAATGTGTGGTTTGACGCCTGGAAGAAGCAGCTCATGATGGGGAAGAATCCAAAGCAATGTAGTTGGAATATCATGCGCAAAGAACTTACAAAGGGAAAAAGCTTATCAAATTCACAGAACCGAAATGAGGGTCCTTGGGAACAGAGAATTATCTCACATGCATATTCCCTGGCCTAGGTAAATAAGTGCTAGGCAAAAGTGCATGAGTAATTGAATGAGCCTGGAAAGTTTGTTTCTATTTCTCCACACATGAAATTCTTGTTTATCCTTTAAGTCTTAACTGAACATTGGCCTCCTCCATGAAGCATTCTCTATCTACCACGATCTATACAGAGCTCTCTTTTCCTTATTTATTTTTATACTAATAACCAGGGGCTGCAACTTGCTTTACTTTCTTGATGTCTAATTACTTTTTCTTTCCAACCAGCCCCCAAGGTCCTTGAAACCAGAAGTCCAGCTTTAACCTTAGTCATTACCTCCTTCAGGCTTTAACATAGTTCTGTGTTCATGGAATCGTGGCTTGTCTGTTGCTAATACCTGAGGGACTCAATCCAATACTAATTCAACAATGTCATGCTCATCTGGAAGCAGTATTTAATATATTTGGAAGGTAACTTAACCCATTTAGTGGTTTTCAGATATCGGGAAGTAGGAAAATGTATTTGTATATTCTACAAAATATTTCTAGTTATCTAACTTTCAGCAACCATTTAAATTTACTTTATAAACTCTTGTGGTTCTATGAAACAGTATTAGAACTGATAATAAGTGCAATAGAGGCTGGTGAGTCAAATAAAAATAATGGCTTCACATTTGACCTTTAGCAAGTAAAGAATTCTCAAGTATATAGATTTGCAATGGTTTTACTTCATTAAGTCACTCAGCGAGACTGACTATTGGTTGTTTCAGGAAAGAAAGTCATAACTAACAAGCAGAGAGTTCTTAATATCAGCCTCTGAGGTCCCCTGTTTGCCACAAAGCAAGTGGTGCACATTTTCCTTCCAAATAGAAAAAATAAAAATGAAATATAAAAGCTTATTAGACCTTCCAAATCAGGATCTTCTGTAGACACACTCAAGACACCCAGGAAGGCATCAGTGTTATCAGGTATCAGGTTATAAAGAAATCAGACTATAATCCTGTGACATTCTGAATGGGAATGGAAAGACTGGTTTACAATGATAGTTTAAAATTTAAAAATATTTATGTGTTTTTTCTCAAAGTCCACTTTCTTTTTTTTCTCATTGCAAGAAAATTAGAACAGACACATTTCAAAATCTCCCAGCACAGAATAGCTATATTCTGCAGTGAATACCAGTGAAACCACAGAATAATTAGAAAGAAAATACCTAAGAGAAAACCAATCAAAGAAAACCCGACAGGCTTCAACAGGTTTCCTTCAGGCCTGAGATATTGAAGTCCTTTTCCACTCTGACTCTTCCTAAAAAGAAGGGGGGGATGCTTTATGTAATCTATTGATAAGAAAGGAGGTAGACAGAAATCTTGACTCCCATGTGCTGCTCCATTTTATACAGGGAAACACATTGTCTACTGTTAAATAATTTTTCTTTGTAGTATGGTTCTGTTACCTGCCCATATCACTGTTCGATAAGCTGCTATGAGCAAACATATTATATTTAATGGAAGTTGAAAGAACAGGCAGAGGGTTAAGTTTTCCAACATGTATGGTTCACAAAGCCAGATGCCAAGATATGGTCTAATCTTCTAAATATATACATTTGTCCATTATAAATCCTTTTTCCAGAGTAATTTTTAAAACAAATCTCATTTTACTATCCTATCGTAAAATGTTTTTGAATTAACCAGAGTCTACTTACCATTTCTCTAAGTATGGTCAAGAGGAAGAACAGGTTGGTTGTATTTTTTTCCATATGAGGACTTTCGTCCCTCTACTCCCACCCCCGACTCTTTGTATTATGGACAGGGAAACAGAAAGGAAATTACTAAGTCAGGGAGAGAGTTACTTGATGGCCATGTTCATCTCTCAGTTTGCCATTTGATGACGTAAAACATAAGAAAACATGAAAGTGGGTGCCAATGTTTCTAACCTAACAGATAAAGTTTGTGGATTTCTGAGCTACATTGCATTACTAGTAATAACTGAAAACATAGATTATCAGCTATTGTGCTACATGCTTTACTTAAAGTAGTTATTATCTCCACCTTCAAGACGAGACAACGGAGATTTAGAAATTAAGTAACTTGACTAGTTAAAACTGACACTAAACCTCTTAATTTTAATCTCTCACTATAGCTACATGCATAAAGTTATGATTACTTAATTGCTGGAAGGGAATCTTCAACAGACATCCAGTGTTCACCCACAGAGCTATCCAGAAAAAGTTCCCAAATCACACAGATACTGGTTCACTTGGTGACGATGTTGCTCAAAACTGTTCCATAAAAGATTCTAATCCCAAATGAAACATTTCAATATTATTTTCATTATTGGAAAAATCTCCATATTTTAGGTCTCCTTGAGTAAATGAGAATGAGCTGCATTTTAAAAACTACTTTTTAATGGACACATTGTAATTATGCATATTTATTGAGCAAAAATGTGATAATGTGATGTTTCAATACATACATATATTGTATAATGATCAAATCAGGGTATTTATTGTGTTGACCGTGGATTTGCTTTCATGAATGTTCATATGTATGTCAGAGTTTCATGTCAGGGCAATGGACGTTGTATGGTTAAATAGTCTTCAACTTCTTCTTCTAAGCCTTTGCTAGATGGTTTTTAACTAAATATAGGCATATTAAAAGTTCTCTTCTCATACCACAACCCTGACCTAGCTGTAGTTGGTTTACAGTGGGACTCAGATGGATGGAATTATTTTTTCTTAACGTAAGAAAAATAAATTCCTTCCTAGAGATCTGCAAAAAAATCTTGTGATATAGAATTGGTGGGAGTGAAGGAATAGAATTTAGCCCTTGATTAAATACAGCACCTATTTGCCATTTAGAATTTTAGTGAAAGATATTGTCTTAGAAAACTTGCTTCAAAGGAAACATTAATGAAAAGGTAGAATGAGTGACAAATACTGCCAAAATTTCTATCATAGCATCAATGATTACATGAGTTAATGTACTGATGACTGCCTGCTGTAAATGCCCATCACTGTCAGCAACATTTTTCTAACAAGGAGGACTGCTGTGCCATCTCATGTTAAGCAATAAAACTTAGGAGGTGAATGACCTTCCATAAACCATCAAAAGCATTCAGAGCTGTTCTCCTTTGAATACCTCCAATTATCTAAATTTATAACTGATATAAACAGGAAAATCAGAATTAAACGTTTAAATTGCTGCTTCTCCACCATTTGGTCTTCTTTATCTTTCCCATTAGAACCATTGTTAGTCTAGCTGTCTTAGCTAATTCAGAGGAAACATCAGGGGAAGATCAATGTATGAATCCCTCATGGCCTATTTGATGTCAATCTAGTCCTTTTTATGAAACACTCTTCCTATAGATTTAGAATGTGTTATTGCCAATGTTTCAGGCTGACCAGCAAAATGCTCAATAAACAAGGCACTTTCCTCCCAAATGACACAAGAGTCAAATGGATGCTGGATACTTAAAAGAAACAAATCTTTACTTATAACATGAGATTAGCTGAACAGAACTTGAGTTGAAACAGAAAATGCCTGTGAGTTCCAAGGGATCATAACTAATATTAATGCATTTTGCTTTCATCCAGAGAAAAAAATATAAAGTCTATGCTCTCTTTTGCCTCACTCCTTTCACCTCTTTTTCAGGCTGACTTTGTTCTGTTCTTTGCACATATTTTCCAGGAATACCAATATTGGAACAGTTTTGAAGATATAGAACTGGGCTGACACTGCAGTGTGTTCATTGTGTTGGCTACCACTGGAAGGCCCACCAGCACACTTCTGTCAGGAAGAAAAGCATTCCAACACACTTATTATAAAGATGGAGGAGAAGGGCATTCACTTGTTTTCTATTGAATGACTTCTATTCTATGTACAAGACACTGTAGGGAATTACAACTTCGTACTTAAAAAAAAAGTATCTTGTTGTGTGTACAATAACTTTAAGGGTAAGTTCAAAAGACCCCAAACACTTGCTTTTTTGGCTTTTCTTTTCCTACTTACAATGGATCCTTTCAACTCTGTTGCCTGGCTTATTATATCCTTTCTTATCACCAGGTTAATAGAACTCTAGGCAAATTTGACAGCCAAATATCGGAGTGCATCCGTAAACATAAATCCTGGTAGGTGCTCATAGACTCAGAAACAAAGGAGAAGAACTGTGAGTTATGAGAGAAATGGCAACTAAGCCTTTTTCAAAGAGAAATGTACATATCCACACATAGGTAGCTGGAACAATTAGGGGAAGAAAAAACATCAGTGAAAGTTAAAGAGAGACACCTTATTAGATTTATTTGGGGGGATGATTAAGGCATAGCTCATTAAAATTCCTTTAGTCTTTCTTCTCATTTACTTTATTCACCATAGGCATGTCAACTTATACTAATTGTATGGTGGTTTTATAAGTATCGAGGAAGATTATCTGACTAGCTGAAACTACTTTCATTCTAAATCAGACAACTTTGAAGGTTACATTAACTCTTTCATGACACTGAATGAGCTAGAGTGTTATGAGTTTTCAGACTACAAAGTCATTGCCTACACTGCACATTTTTGTTGCATCCCAAAAATTTTAGGCATTTTAAAATTTAATTCACATGAAATAAGTGTCACTTACTTCTTTGGAAGAATATGGGGGTACAGAAGTTCTAACCTAACAATCCAGGTCAAGTCAATAAATCTGACTCCCATATTCCACTTCAATCTGAGTTATTTAGAGGAAACATTGAGCTCTTCTGAGGGACTCATCACAGCCTTTGCTTCCATTAAGTAGTCACCTGGTGATGTCAGACATGGGTAGATCAAGATATTGAGCAATCATGTTAGCACACCTCTATCTACCATTGCAAGGGTATCAGAACTGTGCTAGACTACTGATAACAACATACATAACCACCAGGTGTCTTGTACACATTTCAGGCAATTTTTTCTCATATAATAAGAAAGTCAGAGGTAAGGGGTTGCTTGCTTGGGTCCAGCTGTTCAGTAATGCCAGCCTGGACCTAAGTTACTATAATCTTTTCCCTCTTCCTTCCTCAGTGTGTTGGCATTTTTTTTCCTTAGGCTTGTTATCTCATGCAGCTGTTCCAGAAATCATATCTATGTTCACAGCAGGAGAAGGGGAATGTGGAAGAAATTTCCAGTATGCTTATATCTCATTGCCCAGAGCTGTACACTATGGCCAATCCAAGGGAGACTGGGAAAATGAGTATCCCTCCAGAGCTAGGGATAATGCTTTCCCAAACAAAATCAGGGTTCTGTCTTTCTGTCTGCAGGAAAAAGGGTAGAATAAATACTAGATTGGCAACTAGAAGTATCAGGTGAACTATGGTAAAAACCAACTCCCCAAAAGCTAGAAATGAGGGGCCTGCTTCCCCCAACAACCTCAAAGGACTAGGAAGAACATCAATGAGGGAGAAGCCTGCACTCCTTGCCTCCTTGTCTCCATTTTATAGCCCCTCCCTCCCTCCCTCCCTCCTTTCTTTTTTCTTTCTTTCTTTCTTTCTTCCTTTCTTTCTTTCTCTCTCTCTCTCTCTCTCTCTCTCTCTCTCTCTCTCCTTCCTTCCTTCCTTCTTTCTTTCCTTCCTTCCTTCCTTCCTATTTTTGAGACAGAGTTTCTCCTCTGTCACTAAGGCTGGAGTGCAGTGGCATGATCACAGCTCACTGCAGCCTTGACCTCCTGGGTTCAAGAGATCCTCACCCCTAGGCCTCCTCAGTAGCTGGGACTACAGATGTATGCCACCATGCCCAGCTAATTTTTGTACTTTTTTGTACAGATGGTGTTTTGCCATATTGACCAGGCTGTTCTCAAACTCCTAGGCTCAAGAAATCCACCCATCTCAGCCTCCCAAACTGTTGGGAACCACTTACAGGTGTGAGCCATTCACCCGGCCTAGCCCCTCCCTTCTTAAGGTTTTATTACAGACTAGTCTATTTCTGAAAGCTGTGACTCAACAGCTAACAAATGCCACAAATATTTCTAAATCCAATAACAGTCAACTATGCAATAATTGACAACTGATGTGCAGCATTGCAACAGCCTGAAGCCTTTTTATACACACTTGTAACAACAATGAAGCAGGTTTTAAAGGCCAGATAGCTGTACTCACCAAAGAAATCCACCATCTGGTCTCCACTATGATGGCGTTTTAGATTAGAGGAGTTTTTTTTTCCCCCTCCCCACTATCTTTTGAAGAACAGGTGGTTGTCCTGGCCTTCCATCATGGAAAGGTTTCCCTTTTTATAAATGGCAACACAAAATATTCCATCCTGTTTTTTTGTAACTTTCTCCTGAAATCTTCTGCACCAAATCTGTTAAAGTTTCTTCTTCTCAAAATAGCTATGAGGAAGTTGACTTCTCAAGGGCAAAAACCTTTGCAGGGACCTCTTAGAATATGGAAATTGGACTTCTAAAATCTTCTTACTTGAAACAAAGTAGGTCAACTCTTTAAAAAGTATACCAGACATTTTTGACAACAGAATACCAAATAAATTTTAGATAATGACTGAACTGAATAAAATGCATGGACAAGGTAATAAAAATGGGAAAGTTAGAATACAATGAGAGTAATATATGTTAAGTATTTTTTCTTAAAGGTTATATTTATACACATTTTTAACATAAAAAAGGTGGAGAACATATTTGTCCTTCTTTCCATTCTCCGAGTTCTTTTAAAAGATATGGGAAACCTTTAATTATAAGTCAAGAGTAAATACTCCTACTGTGGTTCACTCCATCCAGGATAAATCCAGAATCACAAGGAAAATCTATAATTGTACTGATCCCTGAACATTTTGCGTTTCAATTTTTTCCTTCTCCTTCTTTTTTTTTTCTCCTCCACCTCTTGTTCTTCTATTCCAGTAAATATCCTGCTACACTATAGGCATTTGACAGTATGATATTAAATGACATTGCACCCTATAAATCTTTTATTCATCCTACAAAATCTTTGTAACATACATTACAGGATCTAAATTACTGCCCAGTAAGGAAAATCATCTCATATTTTAGAAACCATCTCTAATTTTCTGTGGCTTGTGCTATCTCCTCTTCTTCAGTTTAAAATAGTGTGTTTCAGCAAAGAGCAAATAAGTGAGTTAAAGACTAATTTACTTTATATTTTGGCATCCTGTATTTTAAGTAACTTTTAAATGTATTAAATAGAATTATCCATAAAGAAGGAAGATAAAGCTAAGTATAAGTTTCTTATACATCTAAGTTTTAATTATAAAAATTAATAATATTTATTTTGAATAACTGTGTCCTTTGTAGAGTTGTTCTGAAACACCGATGCAACCCTTATCTGTGAAAATGTCTAGATCTCCTGGGACAGAGTAATTGTATCTACCCTAAATTCAAGATTTATCTGTCATTTGACAATAAGTCATGTGATACTGTTTGTCTGAATTATACTTTAATGTTTAATCATAAATATTTTTATGCATTATTTACCTCCCCAATTAGACTTCAAAATTCACAAAATATTCTGATTTTCCTCAGTGTCCTACACACCATAGGCTCTAGATTAATTACAAACTATGTTTCTCAAGCTTAACTGATAAACTTCTTTTTACAAATCACAATCCAGTTTAAGTGCATATAGAAACTACCTAATACAGAAAATCAATATGTAAAATAAATCAATTTTTCACTTACTTTGAATTTTCTTAAAGGATTTTTGGCAGAAACTTCTTTTCAAGTGCTTTAGTTTTGCTTTCTGCTGGGACTTTAAGTTTTTGAATTTTCTGCCTAAAGCTCATTGTGCAGTCTCTTCATCAATACTCAAGGAATCAAGAAATCATCCAATAATGACTCCCTCAACCAGCAGAAATCAGGCCCACATTTTTGAAGTCTGTGTAATTGTAAGTACAGTTGTAGATCTGTCTTCCATTCTGAAGATATAATAACACATGTTGTATAATACTAGTATAATTAAAGAACACAATGAAATGTTTCTGAAATGCTTCAGAATTAAGACTTCAGTATTTTAACAGGAAGTGCCAATCTGGTCAAAGTCATCAGGTTCTCCAGAAATTTATAGCAAAGACTACTTGGCAGGAACCCAATATAAGTGACACATACAGAGAAACACACATACATAGACACGCACACTCATAAACACATAAGACTGTAAAAAGATGCCCTTGTTACACAAAGTGGCATGGAAAAGTTGGAGATAAACAGAGCCCATTTATATAATGAAGTGCCAGAAAAAGAAAATCAAAGAAACCAGTTGGTCTGTTTTTTGTATGTGTCATAGATCACCATCACCTATAAATTATCTGTATCAAGAAGCTATTAGCTAATACTGAGGAGACTAGAATATCTTAAACTGAGCCACACAAAATCTCTGATATAACATCTTTTTTTGATATTTAATTCAAAACTTAATTGAATGTTCATGCCTCAGTGGACTATTTGGTACATTAAGATACAAGTTCTGTCAGAATGAAACTAGTCATTTTTAGATCATTTTGATATTTGATAAGACTCATTCTTCTTTCATTCTGTTTGATCATCCCTTGTGTGGAAAAGCCAAAGAAAATGCCAAACACTTATCTGTCATAAAAAGTGAAATATCTCTAGCAGGAATCCGATCATTCAGTATCATCGAGAATCTCACGCAAATATCATACATAAAATATTTTTATGTTATGATTCAAACGTGGAGAAGGGAATGAGTCTATACCCTGTGTAGGAAGGCAGCCAAGTACTTTATCAACATGCTTTTACATTTGGATTTCATTCCATTATAATCACAATGATAGCCTGTGTGGCGTGCATAATGCATTCTACATCTAGAAAATGGTTATGTCTAAAAATTCCATTCCTTCCCTTTCTGTGATAAAGATTTGTCTTCAACATCATCAATAGCTGAAGCAATGCTCATCTGTGACCATCTGTTCTTACTATAAAACAGTAGATTTTGGCAGAATTTGCAAGCATTGAGCTTGTCGGAACGTTAGAACACCTGTTTGATCTTTACCATATCAGATCCTTCAGATGGTTGAGTGTAAATGGGAGGTTAGGTATAGGGAAAAAAGGGTTTTATTATTTCTTTTGAAATGGAAAATATAAAAATTTTTTCAGTTGATGATTATTCTCTACTGTTAAAAAAATTTATATACTAAGTATTAAAAACTATGATTAATATTGAAACATCTAAAGTTAAATGAGGAAAATGTACAAATACAGTTTTGATTGTCCACACACAAAGAGATTGTTAATTTCATCTACTGAACACATATCTTGTTATACAGCAGTGTCTACATATCGTAGGTACTCAATCTGAGCATTAATTAGTAAATGAATGAATTAAAGTGTATTTGATTCTCATAATGAAAGGACTTTGCATTAATAATATTTCCATCTTTATAGATGAATAAAGGTGATGCTGGAATAATTTGCAGAGCTGCAACTCAGAGTGATTCCTTCTGCCTCAGTCACAGGCTTTCCATTAGGCAATGAGAGTAACCTGGTGTAAGATGTGTGTCCTGTATTAGTAACCTCTCAGTAGATACTAAAGAGACTAGAAATACCAAAGTCTGGAGTTGTTGGTTTGGAAAAGCTAGCCAGAGGAAGTGACTTTGAGTAGTTTTGTAAGCAGAAAGCAACACCTTTGAGAAGCTAGGAGGTAAAGGAAGGAGGTGGCATGTGAATCCTTGGAACAAGCATGTTCACTAGAGCAGTGTCAAAAGCAGGCAGTGAGGAGATGTTTCTATTTACGCGGAGGGAAGAATAATTGGGAGAGGAATTTGAAACCTATAATTGGGAGCTTGGATTTGATACAAAGCTGAATTGGGAAAGTGATTGATGTGACTAAAACAACAGCAGTGATGAGTGCTGCTGCTGGGTGAAGAATGGATTGGCAGGCCAGGGCAGCTGGCTGCCTGGAAGGCTGGCACAGCCGTACCCACCCCATATCAGTTGCTGATGTCAGTGGACCGACCCAAGATGAAGAAACGCTATTGGGACAGGATCCACAAGCTGGAGCAATGGTCTCCAGGCTCCCTTAAGCCCTTAGGTCTCTATGCCCTTAGAGAAATCAGGATGAGTTACGTGATGACAGAAGCTCTTCCTTTTTCTTTTTGCTTGAAATGTAATCTTTTTTGTGCTATTTAGTGTATCATATTTGTATGTGAACTCCAGCAAAGTATTTTTTGTTTTGTTTTGTTATTGAAGCACCTCCAAAACATTCTGAGGGAATTTAAATTTGGCCGGACACAGTGGCTTATGCCTGTAATCCCAGCACTTTGGGAGGCTTAGGCGGGTGGATCACCCGAGGTCAGGAGTTCGAGACCAGCATGAGCTAACATGGAGAAACCCCACCTCAACTGAAGATACAATTAGCTGGGCATGGTGACACACGCCTATAGTTCCTACTTTTATTATAATATAAAATAATACAGTTGTTGAAATTGGATGGAAATTTAAAGATTATCTTGTCTAACTGTTTTACTTTTCAAACTAGGAAATTGAGACTTTAAGAGATGAAGTGATTTCATTCACACATTCATTCATTCTTTTAGCACAAGCTCTGGAGTCAGATTCATCTTAGGTTTGAATCCTGGTTTTTTATTTATTATCTGGGTAACCTTAGAAAAGGCATTTGATTTTCTCGGTTTCTTCATCTACAAAATAGAGATAAGTATGGTGCAATAGTTATTATACTATGAATAAAACATTCTTTTTCAAATCACTATAGTGTGGTAGCTAATGGTGTACAATCTGGAGCCAGACTGCTTGGGTTTAATACCCAACTCTACTACTCACAAGCAATGAAAACTTGGAAAAGCTGCCTAATCCCTCTGTGCCTCAGTTCCTTCTTTTGTAATGTGGGGTATGTATAATCTATATTTATATAGCATTTAAATGAGAAAATATATTTGTATGTTTTACCAGACTTAACCTTCAGCAAACAGCCTGGATAAATGCTCACTATATGTAGGGCTGTTATTGTCATTACTCTCATTGCTTTTGGTTAGTACCGCTTGCGTGTTGGGCACTGAATTGATGTAGAATATACAGAGAGAAAGACACAGCTCCTTCCCTCAAGAATTCAGAGTCTAGGCAGATGATGTAAGGAAAGTAACAACTACAATTCAGTGTGATAAGTACTAGCATGGAGGTTGCCCCATCTCTCCTAGAGCTCAAAGAGGCCTGAGTGAATCAGGATCCAGTCATTACAGGAGAGTCATTGGAGAGTCACTTGAGAGGTGGCAGGAGTGGTCAGCAAACCCTTCAGGGAGGTGAAGCATTAGTGCGTGTGTGTTGGGAGCCTGCAGAACAGAGAATAAATCAGCAAAACAGAGGGCAGGTGCTAGGTTAGAGAAAATCCAACAGTCGGTGGTTGTTTTGTACCGCTGGTTGTAGGTTGCACATGAGGAATAGTGAGAGGTAGGGCTGGGTAGTCACAAAGTGGATTGATGAAGAAGGGCCTTGTATTAGTCAGGGTTCTCTAGAGGGACAGAACTAATTGGATATATGTATATATGAGATGGAGTTTATTAAGGAGAATTGACTCTCATGATCATAAGGTAAAGTCCCACGAGAGACCATCTGCAAGTTGAGGAACGAGGAAGCCAGTGGTGGATCAGCCCAAGTCCCAAAACCTCAAAAGTAGGGAAGCCAACAGTACAGCCTTCAATCTGTAGTCAAAGGCCCAAGAGCCCCTGGAAAACCACTGGTATCAGTCCAAGAGTCCAAAAGCTGAAGAAATTGGAGTCTGATGTTCAAGGGCAGGAAGCATCCAGCATGGGAGAAGGATGAAGGCCAGAAGACTCAGCAAGTCTGTTCTTCTGTCTTCTCCTGCCTGCTTTATTCTAGCTGCACTGGCAGCTGATTAGATGGTGCCCACCCAGACCGAGGATAGGTCTGCCTTTCCTAGTTCGCTGACTCAAATGTTAATCTCCTTTGGCGACACCCACACAGACATGCCCAGAAACAATACTTTGCGTCCTTCAATCCAATGAAGTTGACATTCAGTATCAACCATCACAGGCCTTATAAACACACTGCTCAACTATGTGCACTTTAGCCTGAAAGCAATGAGATGCAATTAAAAGATTTTAATCGGCGGGATGGCCTGATTAGGTTCTCTTTGCCAAAAATTGATGAGTGCCCCCTGGATCCACTTCTGTTTGAGTATATGGATACTGCAACATATTCACCTGTTTAACTTGGCTATTTCCCCTTCTCCTGACAGATGGTAAATTCCTTGAAGGCAGTCATCTGGCTTTCTATTCCCAACATCTGTCATAATATCTATAAGTAGCCAT